>NC_000009.12:136260126-136951656 GCF_000001405.40 Homo sapiens
ACATGGCTGCCACTCTCCACCAGCGGGCCCTGGGGGTCGTGTGTGTCCTCGCCCCATGCTGGCCTCGGAGGCTGCTGGTGACCATCTGCATCGGAGGTTGTCTGGGGTGGCGTCACATCCTGCTGCTCAGTGGGAGGGCTGCACGGCCATGCAGAGTGGAGGTGACCGCCCGCCCGGCTGCCCCTTCCCAGGTGTCCAGCCCTGGCCACAACCTCCACCAGCACCCTCTCCCTGGGAACAACCTCATGTCACATCCAGGGATGGCTGTGGTCAGTGGCCAAGCAGAAGACGGGACTGTGACCCCCTCACCCAGGCAAGGTGGGTGGGAGAGGCCTGTGTCTCCCCAGCATGTGGCCCCTTGAGACTTCTGCCTGGAGATGGACTGTCCCTCCCAGGTGCACATGCTGGGCCCCCGAGAATCACGGTGCCACCCCAGGCCTGCACTGACCTCCAGGCACCCCCCCATCTGACTCTGCCTGGGTCACACTGCTGGGGTGGCAAGAAAACTCCTGCTGTCTCAGGTGCCTGCCCGGCGACACGTCGTCTGCCTCCCTTTCTCCCCCGGGCACCTGCCACATCTGGGCACAGCTTGTTGCCTCCACCCAAGGGTGCCCCTGAGCATTTCCCCCCGGATTCACAGATGGTCCAGGGTGAGCAGGAGGTTCAGAGGAGGGTGGCCCTAAGGGCCTGGAAACCCTGTATCCCAAGGTAGATGCAGCTGAGGGGCTGCAGCCCGCACTCTCACTGGGGCAGCAATGGGAGGGCATCTTGACGCCAGTGTGTGCCCCACACAGGCTCTGGAGGGAGACAGGGCAGTGCCTCCAGGGCCCGGCACTCAGCCCACAAAGCAGACCAAGGCACTGTGCTCTTAGAGCCGCCCCAGAAACAGAACAGGCTGAATAAAAATGGGAACAGGAACCCCCATGTCCTAAAGGATTCATTCCCCTCCCCTACACCCTCCTCGGCACGCGGCGTCTCAGGCCAGGACCCCACAGCAGCTCCATCTGCTCTGTCCAGCTTCTTCCTCACTCCCGTGGGAGTGCTCATAGACACACCCCGACCCCAAGGCGCCCAGCTCACAGCTGAGCTTCTCTCGAACGGCCCAATGAAGGAGGGAAGCGCACCTGCTCCCGTGTGGCAGGACCCCCAGCAAAACACCGCAGGCGAGCTTCTCGTGGGTAGGCTCCCAGGGAGCCGAAGTTTTCTCTGTGAATACCTCACTTTTCTCTATTTTCTAGCTGTGGACAGTGCTACACATCGCTGGTGTGACAAGCCGAGCATAGGGTGTACCCCTCCGCCAGGAGGGTGGGCTGACACCCATGCTGGGGTCCAGGTCTGCAACCATACATGTACCGGCCCCTCCCCTCCAGCCCTATAAGCAAACCCTGGGGGACCAAGGGGCGGTATTTGGCCTGGAAGCCTCTTCAGAGATTCCTGGGACTGGCAACTGGTTGCAATGTGAATGACAGATCAGTCTGTGCCCAGGTTTATTTGAAAGCTTCAGGAGGAGGCACGGAGCCAATGGCCGAGCCTGAGTGGCCAGCAACTCCCCTCACTGCAGAGGCCCCTCTGGGCTGGGAAAGAGCCTCAGGACGCTCCCCCAGGCAGACAGGGGCCTCCAAAGGCTGCTCCCCCGGGTCTGCGCTGCCCCCCGCTTTCTGCTTCGAGGGGTTCTGTGATAGAGTCTTGAGGGCTGCTGGCCCTGGGGGCCTGAGCTCAAAGGAGAGAAGGCCTCCTCGGCCCTCCAGGGCCATTTCGAGCCCGGAAAGAAGAGCTGTTCCCAGCATCAGGAAGCCGGGAGGCTCTTGATGGGAAAAACAGCTCCTCCTCCCATGGCCAGGCTCTCGGGCAGCGGCCAGGCTCTCGGGCAGGTGACCCTGGTCATCACTCCCCCTCCCCTGCTCCATGGGGACAGTCCAGGCAGAGCCCTGGTGCCCTTTAATGAGGCGCTTTTGTTGCAAACCAAAGCCAACGGCCATACGGCCAAGCCTCAGAGAAGGTTGAGCTGCCACCGGCCGGCAGAACAGCCCCCAGCCACCCTGGGAGGGGATGCCCAGGGCTACACGTGCCACCCCGGCCCCTGAGCCAGGCTCGTCCACCGGCCACCCGGGGCAGAAAAGGCTTCTCAGGGGAACATCAGGGTCCAGACCCCGACCCCCGACCCCCTAAGACCAACCAACTCACCGCGTGGCCTTTGAGCTTGCGGGGCTGCTCTGGGGGCGATGGCTGGTGGAGCTGCTGGGCCTGCATGGGGTCAGGGGACACAGGGAGGCCTCTGGCTGCTGGCTTGTCTCTGAGCCTCCCTCCCAGGCGGCCTTGACTTTGGGGCTGGAACCCTGTAAGAAATGGTGCAGGAGAGCCTGGCAAGGCCACCTCTGCCCATTTCCTCCTCAGAAAAGCTGGTGGCTTCACGTGGCTGTGGCTGTGGCAGGGCTAGGGCAGTGCCGGGGCTGCTTGCTCCCCACTGGGTGCCAGGCTGAGACAGGACCTCTCATTTGAGCAGGGGTCCTGCACCCCCACTGAGAGGTATGGATGGGAGGCCCAGAATGAGGAGTTTTTCCCAAGGCTGGCCAGAGACCCCCATGCCCAGCTCTGGAATCAGGTTGCTGGTGTCCCCTCTCCTGCAGCCCAGCCTGGAGCAGGTGCTTCAGAGAGCTCAGATCATTCAATCCTCATCCCCACCCTCCAGGTGAGCCTGCTGCCCTCCCTGCCTTACAGAGGAGACGCGCAGGTGGGGAAGGCACATAGCTTGCCTGGGGACAGTCCCCCACCCCTTGTCCACACAGCGTCCTCACTCCGTCTGCCGGTGGACATGGGGGACAGGAGCCTCCCTCCAAGGATGCAGCTGCTGCTTGGGGTCCCTGAGGGGCTGGCCTCCCTGAGGAGCTCCCAGCCACACTCTCCTTCCTGCCTGGGTCCCATGAGATCCCCAGTCCTGCTTATCCTCCCCACCCAATCCACCGCTGCCCCCACCTGAAGTCTGGCTCTGCTCTAGGGCCTGGCCAGGACCACCCCATCCAGGAAGCCTCCTCAGCCCCCCAGCAGTGTCCCCTCCCTCCCTCCATCTGCCCCACCCCACCCCCCAGCAAGTCTGCCTGGGGCCACAGGCTTTTTTTTTTTTTTTTTTTGAGACGAAGTCTCCCTGTCGCCCAGGGTGGAGTGCAGTGGCATATCTCGGCTCACTGCAGACTCCGCCCCCCGGGGTTCATGCCATTCTCCTGCCTCAGCCTCCCGAGTAGCTGGGACCACAGGCACCCACCACCTTGCCTGGATAATTTTTTGTATTTTTAGTAGAGACGGGGTTTCACTGTGTTAGCCAGGATGGTCTCCATCTCCTGACCTCGTGATCCACCCGCCTCGGCCTCCCAAAGTGCTGGGATTACAGGCGTGAGACACCGCGCCCGGCCCACAGGCATTTTTACAAGGGACTTGCACGATCATGGGAAGGGGACAGCATTTCTGCAGCTGAGTCCCAGCCCAGGCGAGAGCACCCACCTGCTGCAGCTTGGCCTGGGCCTGCAGCTCGTGCGCTGGGACGACGTCCGTGGGCCCCGGGATGGGGAGGATGTCCACAGGCCCCGGCATGGAGACGACGTCCCTCTGATGCTGCAGAAGCAGCTTCCTGTCCCGGTGCCTGAACAGCTGCGTGTGTCTCAGGTATTGGATTTCCCTCTGAGCAGGCAAAATAAGCAGATGTCAGCATAACCCCGGAGCCAGCAGGGGAAAAGGCCAACAAAAGGGAAGGGGTGTCTGGGGGGATGCCCTGGCCCTCACACTGGGAGGCCTCCCTTTCCCTCCAATTGGCCTTTGCCCGCCCCTCCTGCCGGGCCTAGGATACCCCCATGGCCTTGGGCTTCCCTGGGCTTGGTGGAGGAGGCAGCTGCGGGCGGCAGGAGGGAGGCAGGTACTCTTTCCCCAGGGCCCACGCAGGGCTGGCACAGGCTGGCTGGGCCTCGCCCTCCCTCTCTGCAGGCTCCAGGCACTGCCCCCACCCCGTCACTCCTTTACAACTGTTCTTTCTGTTCCCCACAGCGTCCCTGGTGGACGCACCCTCGGAACAACCTTGCACAGAGCCCAGGGCCGGGCCGGGCCGTTGCACACTCGCCCTGGGAGACAGCAGCTTCACTGGTGAGACGGGAAAGCGAGGCTCTGCCAAGCGGGTGTCTGGTCCATGGCCCCACTGGGGAGTCCCAGACCCCACCTCCACCACGGCATCTCTATCTGCGACACGCAGCCTGGCTGTGGCTGGGAGTCCCTGGCCCCGGCCAGCTCCAGCTCCTCCCGCCTGGGATCCCTGGGCAGCGCCTGTTCTGCCAGGCCCCGTCGTTGCCATGTGACATGCAGACCCCTTCTAAGCCCCTTTTGTTTCCCCGGCTCACGTTGTTCTCTGTGGTGCCTGCCTTTTCCTGTTTCTCCGTATCTGAGAGGACCTGTGCATGGGTCTGTGGCCTGGGTCTCCGCCCCCAGCTCCCTTGCCTGTAATGCCCCATGCCTGACACCCCAGGTCGTAGTATGTACAGGGCATCCAGGGCAGGGATGGGGATCCCGGGGCTTTCCAGTCAACATAAGGTCCTGCACTGACCCCATTTCCCAGCAGAGGGTCGTGGGCAAAGTAGTCCCCCACCCCAGCTCACCTTTTTTTTTTTTGAAACAAGGTCTCACTCTGTTGCCCAGGCTGGAGTGCAGTGGTGCAAGCTCAGCTCACTGCAGCCTTGACCTCCCAAGCTCAAGCAATCCTCCCATCTCAGTCCACCAAATAGCTGGGACTATAGGCATTGGCCACCTATAGTGGCAGATTTATTTTTTGTAGAGACGGGGTCTTGCTATGTTGCCCAGGCCTGTCTCACATTCCTGGGCTCAAGCGATCCTCCCACCTTGGCCTCCCAAAGTGCTGGAATTACGGATGAACTGCCTCACCCAGCCAGGTTCTTTTATCTGTACCAAGGGTGTTAGCGCCAGCCTCTGCCCCACAGCATGGGGGCACTGAAGTGAGGATGCAGGCACAGCGGCCGCGACCTGTGAGGAGCCCTTGAGCCTGTGACCTGGGCAGGGGCCGGCAAGGGTCCTCGTCCTGGCTCTCAGGCTTGCCCCTCAGCCTTGCTCTCTGCCGCAGGCAAAGCCCTGACTCTGGCAGCTTTTCCCCCCTCCACATGTGCCCCCAGCACCGACTTTCCCTGGGGGTCTGCTTCCTCCAGTCCCTGGTGACAACGATGGCAGGAAGGCAGGTGCAGCCACGGATGGAGACCCCTCCCTGCCAGGCGCGGCTAGGGATTCACCTGCACCACCCTCCCAGCCCCCATGCATGTGCACATCAGGCTTCTCCCCATTTTTCAGATGAGGGAACTGGGCTCGGAGCAGCTGGGAAAGTCCTCTGAGGGCGTACATGGCACACGTCCACCCGGGTAAGTGCTGGCTGCACTAAACTCTCCCAACCCCCTGCTTTACAGAGACCACAATTATTCTCTGGTTCCAAGGAGGAAACTGAGGCTCCAAGAGACAAAGCCACTTGCTCAAGGTGACATCCAGCAAAAGGCTGAGCCTGGTCTGGAGCCAGGGCCACAGGGCCACCCTCCACTCTGGCCACGAGGCCCCCAGAAGGCCGCAGACACTCCTTGTGTACAGGACCACGCTCCACCCTGGCCGTGATGCCCTCTTGGGCCGTGGACACTCCTTCTATACTTCGGGGTCCTGTATGGCCCTGGAGGGTGGCAAGGGCTTGGGAATTCTTTAGCTCTGTTGCTGGGGAATGTTCAGATTCCAGGCAAGAAGATGACACGACTGCCTCTGTGAGCCGCCCACCCTGACCCACCAGGCCTGTGCTGGCCCCACCTGCTCCTTCTCCAATCTGCTGAGGGCTTGCTGCTGCTTCTCAACCAGCGCGGCCAGCACAGCTCTGTCCCTCTTGCTGTCCAGGCACCTGGGGGGAGGTGGCAACATCACTGCCAATGTTGACAGCCCGTGCAAGTGGATATAGAAAGTCACAGACACAGCCAGCCCTGGTCGGCCACATCAACCTGGAATGCCCTCCCAAGGTGCAGGCACCAGGGAGGACGCAGCCATGCGTGGACAGGCTTGGAAGCCTTGGGGTGGCCAGATGGCCCAACCCGGGCTGTCACTCTTCCACCCCTCACAGCCACTTTTGGACTTTTGGGTCTAAAGAGACAAAGGCTAGCCGAGAGCCGCCCCTGCCACCCTGAAGGCCCAGCCCAGGCCAGTGGGTCCTCTGGGGAGGGAGGTGGGGGTCACCCACATCCACCCCCCACCCATCATGGAATAAACACCCTCAGTCTGGCCCGCTCAGACACCGGGTGAGGATGTTAACTGGAATCACCTTTCTGGAGACCAATGTGGCAGTATCAAGCGGCTTCCAGATGCATTCTCACTGACCCGGTCATTCCATTTCTAAGGTTTTACCTTAAGGAAATGATCTCTCTATCTTCATTAATAATGGCAAAACGTTGGAGACAACCTAGAGGCCCGGAGATCCGGGACAAGCGAAGGGAGTTACAGCCCTGTCTCTACGCCGGTGCGCCCTGTGTGTTATAGCGGTTATGTAGCTACACAGAAAGGTTTTCCTGACATATAAATTGAAAACGCAAGTTACAAAACAGCACGTACTGCCCATTTGCAAGTTGAAATAGCCATGTGTGTTTCTCCCCAAAACAGAGTATCCGCACTGGGCGTGGTGGCTCTCGCCTGTAATCCCAGCACTTTGAGAGGCCGTGGCTGGCGGATCAACTGAGGTAGGGAGTTCGAGACCAGCCTGACCAACATGGAGAAACCCCATCTCTACTAAAAATACAAAATTAGCTGGGCGTGGTGGCGCACACCTGTAGTCCCAGCTACTCGGGAGACTGAGGCAGGAGAATCCCTTGAACCTGGGAGGCGGAGGTTGCAGTGAGCCTAGATCGCGCCACGCGCCTCTACACTCCAGCCTGAGCAACAAGAGCGAAACTCTGTCTCAAAACAAAACAAAACAAAACAAAAAAACAAAGTATGCACAAAGATGATCTCAGAGGTCACCTTTGGAACGATGGGGGTATTTTTTTATTTGTGTATTGAGTACTTTACTGCCTTATGTAAGTTTCAGCAAACACCTATTACTGTTTGGACCAGTACCTCTTGTTTCTCAAAACGCTGTCGGGGCCACGGGCGGGACCCGGACGGGGCAGGGAGGGGGCGGGGCTACAGCAGGGCGGGGCTACAGCAGGGCGGGGCTACGGCGGGGCGGGGCCGGCGCCAGGCGCATGCGCTCACCCTCGTCGATGCTCCAGCCAGGCCAGCTCCGCGAGCGTTTTCTCCTGGAGCGCCATCTCTCGCAGGCGCAGCAGCGCGGCCTGGTGCTGTGCTCGCAGCTCCTCCTCCCGCAGGCTCCGCTCCAGCATCTGCAGCTTGAAGCGGCCCAAGGCCCCTAAAGCTCTGGGTTCGGTGCTTCCGGGCCTCGCGGGGCTCCAGTAGGGTGGGCCGCGTCACCGCCTAGCTTCTAGACCGCTCCCAGCACAGGCCACCGCCTCCGAGAAGCCCTCTCGGACTGCCCGCCCCTCCCATCCCCCTATGCCGCCCTCGCTTCCCCGACTGTGAGCTGGCGGGGCAGGCAGGATCTTTAGCATCTCGGCCTCACCACCAGCCCTGATCCAGGAAGCCCAGGCCACCTGCCCTAAAATATACAACCTGGGCGGGGGCTAACCCTGCCCAAAGCACCATGTTGAAATGCCTGCCCCCCTCTGTCACCCAGGGCGGGAGGAACGGGCTTGGGTAGCTGTCAGCTGGAAGAGCGGGTGACGCGATCGCCGGAAGAACCTCCCAACCCAGGACCTGCCTTGGCCCTTCTTAGTGGAAGGACAGTTGGGTCCGGGGCCCACTACCAGGGCCGTGCTGGGTCCTGAAATTGTGCCTCTCCCCCAGGGGACCTCTCCACGTACCTGGTGGGTGGGGTTGTCCGGAGGGAAGAACTTGGCCAGGGGAAGCTGGGAGAGGGCTCCGTCAGGGCCCTCCACCTCTGAGGAAGGAAGCGCCATGGTTGGGTCATGTAGGGGGTCTGAGTGCCCCGTGTCAGGGGCCATTTCTACCGGAGGGCCTCATAAAAGTAGGAGGTCTAGGGCAGTTTAGTGTCCCCATCCCATCCCGGACACACAGGGCTTCACGCAGAATCCACAAGACCACGCGGGAAGGGACAGGCAGTCTCTTGATGTGAAGTTGTGGTTTGTGACCCTACTGATCATGGGAAAGACCAGACCAAAAGTAGAGGAAGCTCAGGGAGACAGCCCAGCTGCTCTGCGTCTACAGGCTTCTAAAGGAGGGGAGAGTGAGGCCCAGAGAGGGAGAAGGGCTGTCGGGGTCTAGCACCAAGGAGCTGGCAGGTGACAGCAGATCCCAGATCCCCAGCTGAAGTAGCTGACCTGCTGCCGACCTCTGCTGGCCATGCTTCTGTTCTGAGTGATGGAAAAAGGAGCCTGTACTTCAAGCGATCCTTAAGGACGTTCCCTCCCACCAAAGACAGAGCAAAAGGGACTGGATTTTGGCTTTGCCATCCCATCTGCAACAACTGAAAAAATCACGTAAATACACACACACATGTGTGTTTATATAGAGATATGTGTGTGTATACATATATATATATTTTTTCACACACACATATGAAATAACAGTTTTCCAGGCACTGGACTTGAGGCAACATAGCACAGTGATCCCTGAGAGACAGAAAACAAAGGAGGGGAGGAGACTTGCGATGCTCACGGCTTACTGCCTCAGAGAGTTGCCAGGCTATGGTGAGGGAGGGGAAGCTGGCTGAGCTGGAGGACTCCCTGGGTAGAGGAGACAGCAGAGAGTCTGGGAGGACCAAGGCAGCTGGAGTTTGTGGGGGCAGAGTGTCAGAGAGGAGAGAGTCGCACAGAGAGAGGACCTCTGAGATGTATCAAGTGTCCCTCTGGAGTATTCAGTAGAGAACTGATGGATGAATGCGTGTCAAGAAGCTACCAGATGCTGGGACAGAAGCGTTCCGGGGGACTGGAAGCCTGGTAATGACGCCTGTTTCCAGTAGTCAGGCTGGAGGACCTTAGGACTCCCAGGTCACTGGGCAGGCAGTGTACACAGAACGTTCTTGCCTTGACTGTCGGAAATGATTAGCCCCAGGCTGAGCACTGATCCAGATCGACCTAACACACTATTAATGAAAAGTCTGAAAGGACCAAATTACTTCTAAATAACTGCAGTCCCGAAGAAAGCTTAAGAATGTTTATAGGGGCCAGTGCGGTGGCTCACGCCTGTAATCCCAGCACTTTGGGAGGCCAAGGTGGGTGGATCACGAGGTCAGGAGATGGAGACCATCCTGGCTAACATGGTGAAACCCCGTCTCTACTAAAATACAAAAAATTAGCTGGGCGTGGTGGTGGGCGCCTGTAGTCCCAGGTACTCGGGAGGCTGAGGCAGGGGAATTGCTTGAACCTGGGTGGTAGAGGTTGCAGTGAGCTGAGATTGCGCCACTGCACTCCAGCCTGGCAACAGAGTGAGACTGTCTCAAAAGGAAAAATTAAAAAAAAGGAATGTTTACAAGAATACAAAAATATCTAGCACTCAGCAAGGTAAAATTCACAGGGCCCAGAAGATATGCAAAGAAACCAGAAAAACACAACCAGTAATGAGCAGGATAATTTATTAACAGTATCCCAGGCTTGACGTGGGTGTGAGAATTGGCAGAGAAGGACATTAGAAGTTTCGTAACTCTATCGCATATGTTAAGATGTTAAGTAGAGCCACAGAGGATATAAAACGAAAAGATCCAAATGGAATGTGTAAACTGATGAAAATTAAATCACTTGAGATGAAAAACACACTGGATGGGATGAAGGGCAGACTAGACACTGCAGAAGGAGAGATGAACGAACTGGAAGATATAGCAATAGAAACTATCCAAAAGGAAACAGAGAAGAAAAAAGAATAAAAGAATACAAAGAGCTTCAGTAAGCTCACAACTTCAAGTGGCCTAATGTATGCGTAATTGTGTAAGCTCCAGCCCTACGGGGCTTAGCAGGTGTTCTCCCCATGTGCGGAGATGAGAGATCGTAAGAAATAAAGACACAAGGCAAAGAGAGAAAGAGAAAACAGCTGGGCCCGGGGGACCACTACCATCAAGAAGCGGAGACAGGTAGTGGCCCCCAATGGCTGGGCACGCTCATATTTATTGTATACAAGACAACGGGGCAGGGTAAGGAGTCTTAATCACTGAGTCGTCCAAGTGATTAAAAAGGTCAAGCAAGTCACGTGATCATAGGACAGGGGGCCCTTCCCTTTTAGGTAGCCGAAGCAGAGAGGGAAGGCAGCATACATCAGCGTTTTCTTCTGTGTACTATAAGAAAGATCAGAGACTTTAAGACTTCCACTATTTCTTCTTCTGCTATCTACTACGAACTTTAAAGAGGAACCAGGAGTATGGGAGGAACATGAAAGTAGACAAGGAGGGTGACCACTGAAGCACCACAGGGAGGGGTTTAGGCCTCCGGATGACTGGGGGCAAGCCTGGATAATATCTAACCTCCCACAAGAAGCTGGTGGAGCAGAGCGTTCCCTGACTCCTCCAAGGAAAGGAGACTCCCTTTCATGGTCAGCTAAGTAACGGGTGCCTTCCCAGACACTGGCATTACCGCTTGACCAAGGAGCCCTCAAGCGGCCCTTATGCGGGTGTGACAGAGGCCTCACCTCTTACCTTCCAGGTCACTTCTCACAATGTCCCTTCAGACCTGATGCTATACCCACCGGTTATCCCTAGGTTATATTTGTAATGCAACAAAGAGTAATATTAAAAGCTAAATGATTAATAATGTTTATCCTAATGATTGATAATTGTCCATGATCATCTCTATATCTAATTTGTAATATAACTATTCTTGTTCTAACTATTTTCTTTATTATACTGAAACAGTTTGTGCCTTCAGTCTCTTGCCTCGGCACCTGGGTAATCTTCTGCCCACATAATTGGAGTCCCTGAAGGAGAGGTGAGAGAAAGAGGAGCAAAAAGATATTTGAACAAATAGTGGCTGAACTATTTCCAAATTTGAAGAAAATGAAAAATCCACAGGTCGAAGAATCTCAACAAACCCAGAGGACAAGAAATATGGTCTGGGCGTGGTGGCTCCTGCCTATAATCCCAGCACTTTGGGAGGCTGAAGTGGGCAAATCACCTCAGGTCAGGAGTTCAAGACCAGCCTGGCCAACATGGTGAAATCCTGTCTCTACAAAAATACAAAAATTAGCCGGGTGTGGTGGTGGGTGCCTGTAATCCCAGCTACTTGGGAGGCTGAGGCAGGAGAATCGCTTGAACCTGAGACGCAGAGGTTGCAGTGAGCCGAGATTGTGCCATTGCACTCCAGCTTGGGCAACAGAGCGAGACTCTGTCTCAAAAAATAAAAATTAAAAAATGAAGAATAACAATAACAAAGGACATCATAATAAAATTGCTCAAAACCAGTAACAAAGAGAAAGTCTTTTTTTTTTTTTTTTTTTGAGACGGAGTCTCACTCTGTCAGCCAGGCTGGAGTGCGGTGGCGCGATCTCGGCTCACTGCAAGCTCCGCCTCCTGGGTTCACGCCATTCTCCTGCCTCAGCCTCCCGAGTAGCTGGGACTACAGGCACCCGCCACCGCATCTGGCTAATTTTTTGTATTTTTAGTAGAGATGGGGTTTCACCATGTTAGCCAGGATGGTCTTGATCTCCTGACCTCGTGATCCACCTGCCTGGGCCTCCCACAGTGCTGGGATTCCAGGTGTGAGCCACCACGCCTGGCTGAGAAAGTCAAAAGCAGCCAGAGAAACAAAGACACGGTGATGTACTGACGAACCAAGAAGAATGGCAATCAATTTCTTGTCACAAATAATGCAAGCAAGAAGACAATGGAGCAATGTCTTCAAAGTACTGAAAGGGAAAAACTGCACCTAGAATTCTATGTCCAGGAAAGAGTACGTCAAAAACAGAGATGAGATGAAGGTGTCCTTAGACATCCAAAAGCTAAAGACACCAGCAGACACGCACCACCAGAAATGCTAAGGGAAATCCTTCCAGCAGAAGGAAAAGGATGCGGGTTAGAAATCTACATCTACCGGAAGCAATGGAGAGCACCAGAAATGGTAAAATGACGACTATGTGCAGATGTAAATATAAACACATATATTATTTAAAACTTTTAACAAGATAATTGGCTGTTTAAACAAAATGATAACAATGTATCGCAGAGTTTATAAAACATTTAAAATAAGCCTGGGCAACATGGCAAAACCCCATCTCTACAAAAAATACAAAAATGGCCGGGCGTGGTGGCTCACGCCTGTAATCCCAGCACTTTGGGAGATCGAGGCAGGTGGATCACCTGAGGTCAGGACTTCGAGACCAGCCTGGCCAACATGGTGAAACCCCGTCTCTACTAAAAATACAAAAATTAGCTGGGCGTGGTGGTGCACACTTGTAATCCCAGCTACTCAGGAGGCTGAGGCAGGAGAATCGCTTGAACCTGCAAGGTGGAGGTTGCAGTGAGCCAAGATTGCACCTTTGCACTCCAGCCTGGGCAACAAGAGCAAACTCTGTCTCAAGAAAAAAAAAAAAACAAAAACTAGCTTGGGGTGGTGGTGCATGCCTGTGGTCCCAGCGACTTGGGAGGCTGAGGAAGGAGGATTGCTTGAGCCCAGAAGGCAGAGGTTGCAGTGAGCCGAGATCTCACCACTGCACTCCAGCATGGGTGACACAGTGAGACCCCCATCTCAAAAAACAAACAAAACATTTAAAATAAAATTCATGACAACAATAACTTAAAGGCCAGGAAAGAAGAATTGGCCTTGTACTATAAGTGAAGTGGTCAACTGTATATACTATTATAAATCCTAAAGCAGCCACTAAAATAATAAGAGTTATAGCTCCTGAGCCAACAATGGAGATAAAATGGAATCATTAAAAACATTGCTTAATCCAAAGGGAGGCAGAAACTAAGTGGAAGAAGAAAATAAAGGACAGACAGAACAAAAGAAAAATAACCAGGTGAGACTCAAACCTAACCACATCCGTCATCACGTTCAATGTGAATAGTGTAAGCACCTCAATTAAAAGGCAGAGATTGCCAGATTGATTTTTTTAAGCAAGATCCAACTCTATGCTGCCTGTAAGAAACACACTTCAAATACAAAGATGCAAATAAATGGAAAGTAAAAGGATGGCAGTGGAGATATCATGAAACACCCGTTGAAGGAGAGCCGGAGGGGCTGTATTAATATCAGACAAAATAGCCTCTGAAGCGAAGGATACTGCTGCGGCTAAGAGGATTATTGCATCATGATAGAGGGGTGAGTTCATCAAGAGCACATAATGATCCCGAGTGTTTATGGGCCTGGTGTCAGAGCTTCAGAATACACGAAGCGAAACCTGGTAGAACTGCAAGGAGAACTCGGCAAATTGCAACGTGATATTTCAATTCCAGTCTCTTATTCATCGATAGGAATGTTAGGCAGAAAATCCAAGATGCAGTAGATTTGAAGAGCGTGATCCACCAACTTGATCTAAGTGTTACCACAGGACACTCCCCCCAGCAACAACAGAATAGACATTGTTTTCAAGGAGCACCCACTGACGTAGACTGTCTTCCAGGCCAAAACCTAAGTCTGGACATTACGAGGTTCACACAGATGTGTTTTGTGAACACAATGAAGTTAAACTAGGAATGCACAGCAGGTGCCAAGCCTGGAGATGGGGCGACTGTGGCCGGCTGGGAAGTCACCGCATCTGCCATGATCACACTGAGGGCTGAAATCACCTTGTGGTGGTCTTGCCGCTCCATCCCTACAACCTGCACGCAGACCCTTCCTTGTTTGCTGACACACATCACACGAGAGGGGAGTCTGGACCAGGTTTCTGTGCAGCCCACGCTGGGGAGGCTGTGCAGAGAGCTTTCCCACCAGGGAAAGCCGCTCAAAGGAGTGGAGGTGGGCGTATCAACGGGCCTGGAACCAGGGAGGGGTTCCTGTTCCCGAAGATGCCAAGACAGGTTGTACCCAGGCTTCCAGGAGATGGCAGCCACCTGGAGGCCAGCCTGGAGGTCATGCCAGCTCAGAGGAGCTGAGACCCTCTGTCCCGGAGCAAGGCCGACAGCAGCCTGTGCTCACCTGGCCGAGCTGCCGCATTCACCCTCCCTGGGCTGCGGACCTCCCTTCGTGTCAGGCTGGTCCCCCAGCTCTAGGGAAGCTTTCCTGCTGAGATCCTGACTCAGCTCCCCAAGGCTGGGTGGGTGGAGATGGTGTCTGCCAGCTGTCTAACCCAGTTCCCCGGGCTCAAGCGATGCCAGGGGCTAGGGCTGCCCGAGGGTCAGTCACGCGAGTGCTGGAGTCAGACAGACCTGGCTGCAGATCCCAGCTCCGCTCTGCATGGCCTTAGGCAGCCACTGTAGCCCTCTGGGCCTCCCTGTTGTGCACCTGCCTCGGGTCCCCCCTCTCGGGTTCACACTGGCCGAGGGCTCTGCCTGCCTCCAGGCCTGGGTGGGGTTTTGAAGACACCGTCACCTGCAGAGGCTGGCTTGGCCACCACATTCTCTGGCCTGTCCTCGGGACCCTGGGAGGACGTGGCAGCATCTGTGTCCAGAGGCGGGTGTGACCTACAGGTGAGGACATGCCCGGGAGACTTGGCACCAGCGCCCGCAGTGCCCACCCCACTGCCTGTGCCCAGAGACTCTGCAACCTGCATTTCCACATTGGGAGGGGGTGGCCAGCCCCAGCCCCCGACCTCACCTGGGTGTGGCCATCCCTGTGCTCTGAGAGGCTGTGGTCGGCTCTCGGTCCTTGCACATCGGAGGCTGCTCCAGCTTCAACGCCTCCTCTGGCCTGGCCTGGGTCGAGTGTCTCTCCATCAGCTGCTGTGAGGAGTGGGAGGTGTGTTGCGGAGAATGCAGGAGGCGGCTCCACAATTGTGGGCATTGGGTCGGGGCGGTCAGGCCAAGCCCAGTCCCAAGGAGGAGCCTGAAGCTGGGCAAGTCTCCAACCTCAGGGGCCTCTCTGTCCATCCTGCAAGTGGGGCCGACAGCCCCCTTCTGCCTCCCAGAGAGGCCACTGCAAGGAAGCAGGGGTGGCCAGTGCCCCGCCAGGGCTGGAGGGTGTGGGAGCTGGGGGACCAGCTGCATGGAGACGGGTGGGAAGGAAACCCCAGCTCCGGTCCCGGCTGGGGGTGCTGGGAGGGCAGGCACAGGAGGGGAGCAAATCCTGTGATGCGGGGAGCAGGGAGGGAACAGGCAGGGACACAGGGCAGGGTGTCTCTGTTGCTGTCGGTCTGAGGCTGCCTGTATGTGTACTCCCACACACACACACGTGCACACACACCCACACGCGTGCACACACCCACACGTGTGCACGCACATACTTCCATCACTCTCCTGGAGATGCCCCCCAACATGTACCGTGGATGTACTTCCCACCATCGACCCCTGAACCAAACACAGAAGAAAGGTCCACCTCCCAGAAGGTTTATCCCCTCCAGCCAGGTCACAGCCGTCAGCCACCCGATCAATCCCCTGCCAGGGTCACCGCTCCTCGGACTGGGTGACATTGTCCCCTCATGGGGCAGGTGCTGAGCCACCCCGGGCAGTGGGAGCTGCCTTTCGGAGGGGACACTATTGGTGCAGGACGGCCCGGCAGAGGTGGCTCAGGAGACACTAAGCTCCTTCCTGTCTGGCAAGAGACCTGCCGGGGGTGTAAGCACCACATGCATTTTGGGTTGCATGCTCCCATGGAGAGCCCAGGGCTCAGGGGCCTACCAAGCCTGGGACACGGACAGGTGGGAGGCTCCAATGGCCATCTGTGACCCAGCTCTGGTTCCCGCTGGGGCACCCCCCAGTGCCAGCGCCCCCAGGACACATGTGGCTGAAACCTCCTGTTTCTGCATAGAGACTTTGCTTTAAAGGGAGCTCTAGCCTCTGGCTTGCCTCCTCTTGACGAGGGGCACCCACTGTTCCTATGGAAGTCTCCGCATTCCTTCCCAGTGTGACTGACCTTCCCACCCAACCTCCTGCAGAGACAGGGGCTCCCCCTGTGGCAAGCGGCTGCTACCTCCAGCCGCCTCCTGAAGAGCAGCCCATCCAGGGTCTGCTGTGTCTCCCGGGCCTCCAGCTCTGCCCGCTGCCGCAGGAGGGCCAACGCCTGCTTCTGCTGGTCCAGCTGCAGGGAGAGCCCACAGCTCACGGTTCCTGCTGCCCCCAGCCAGGGAGGGTGGGCCCCTTCCTCGGGGGTCACCCCAAGGGATCCTATGTCTGGGCAGGGCCCCTCCCTCCAGCCCCCCGACTTTCTCTCCCTGCCAGGGGCTTCCCCATCAGCCCGGGAAGGCCAGGCGCCCTCTGTCTGTTCCTCCCACCTGCATGCTCCCCTCCCTCTCACCCGGCCACTCTGTTTCTAAATTCTATAGTCTGCACATTAGTGCCACTTCTGCTTGGCCTCTGGGAGACAGAGGCTGCTCCCGGCTCACCACCTAGCAGAAAGGGGACCCAGCTGTCATCGGCCTTGGGCAAACCTTCAGAGAATCCAGAAAGCTGGAGGTCTTCTGTTGGGTGTTGGGAAGGCATCTCACACATGGGTCCTCCTGCTGACCTGTGGAACCATGGAGGGGGATAGCTGAGTGGCCCAGGCCGCTCTCCCGGCCTCCCCTCGCCGCTGCCTTAGTGCACCATGGCATGACAGGTTAATACAGCCTCTCCACCTGCAGGGAAACTGAGGCACAGAGGCCAGGAGTGCAGGTGGCCTGAGTCCTGAGCCCAGCTGGCATCAACTCCATCAACAAGAGCCCCTGCCCTGCATGTCGAGGAAGGGCTGGGAGGGCTGCAGCCCCACGGAAGGACACGGAGACCCACTGCATCTCCTCGTCCCTGCTAAGGCTGGCTCTGCCTGACCCCGGCCAGGACCAACTCCAGGATGGATGGCAGGAGTCTGTGGGGAGGGCGGAGGCCCAGGACATGGGCTTTGCCCCCAGACAGACCGGGTCTGTCATGCATTTGCCATGTGACCTTGAACAAATCACTTGTCAGTCAGAGCCCAGTGGGGACACAGAGGTTCCTCCTTCCCTTGTGTGAGGGTCCAAGGAGATAGTTTGGTACAGGCTGGCTGTGCACTCAGCAGGTAGAAGCTGCTGCTGATGGTGTGGACAGGGTGGGTGGGTGATGACGGGGTGGGTGTGAACGGGGTGGGTGGGTGCTGATGGGGTGGGTGGGTGCTGACAGAGTGGGTGGGTGCTGAGGGGGTAAGTGGATACAGACAGGGCAGGTGGGTGCTCACAGGGTGGGTGGGTGCTGAGGGGGTGAGTGGGTGCAGATGGGGTGGGCGGGTGCTGACAGGGTGGGTGGGTGCTGAGGGGGTGGGCAGGTGCTGAGGGGGTGGGTGGGTGCTCATAGGGTGGGTGGGTGCTGATGTAAGCACCTGGCACAAGTCCAGGGCTCTCCTTGGAATTTCTGGGATTGGTCCAGAGCTTGGGTATGAAAACCTCAGCCTCTTCCTTGGATAGTGAAGTCCCCAGCAGCAGCGGAGGGGGCTTCCCTTTCTCCTTGGTGGCCCCAAGTCCCAGCTCTGACTCTGAATGCTGTTGGAGCTCCTGGCCCCACAGAGGCTGCCACCAGGAGGTGCTGCATGCAATGGGGTCTGCAGATGGTGGGGCCCTCGTGATGGCTTGTGGATGAGCGCCTTGGTCACTGTTGGCTGGTGTATGGATGGAGCCAAGACCAGGATCCCCACTCCGACTGTCCCAGAACCGGCAGCTCCTCCAGTGGACTGCTCGCCTTCCCGGAACGGAGCAGCTCAGCCATGAACCACAGCTAAGCCGGTTCCTGGGCGTTTCCACAGCAGCAGAGGACACCCCAAAGCACCGAGACAGGGTGAGCAGCAGGGGCGCCTGGCCACCTGGCGTGCACTGAGCATTCGGGGTCACCCCCGTGGCCCCCATCTAACTGGTGATGATGGGAAGTGAAGACACTCTTACACTTCTTTGTTTGGGTTCAGGTGTCTGTTCTGAGCTGAAATTCCTTTTTTGCAAAGGGAAGAAACCATCTTTTGCTTTTGTTTCATGGCCCTGAGAGAGGCTGAAGCCAGAGAAGGGTCCCCAGCCCCACCAAATGCCCCTCTGGCTCCTGGGAGCCCCACAGTCCTGCGGCCCCCACAGATCTCCCAGCTGTGGCCTGAGGAGGGGGAGTCCTGGTCATCACCGGCCATGTCAGCACCCAACAGATCAGAGGACATGGGGGGACATGAGCTGTTTGTTCCTGAGCTCTGAGCTGTGACCCCGGAGAAAGCGAGCCGTCCCCGAGCTGGGCACGGCCCTGGCTGGACAGAGACTGCAGGAGTCACCCCAGTGAGTGCCCTGACTCCTCTAGCAATGGGTGAGGAGCCCCAAAAGTCTAGCCCCACGTGCCACCCCAAAGTCCCTGGTAGCTGTGAGGATGCAATGGGACAGTTTGACAGATCTTGGCACATGGCAGCTGCGGTCACTGCTGGTAGTGATGATGTTAACTAGCTACGTTCTCAGTCATGTGGCTTGGGTCCTGGGGAGTCACAGCCTCAAACCAGAATGAGGCTGACAGGACCCTTACCCTCAGTGGGGGCTGTGGAGTTTGAGAGCCAGGGCCCTGCTGTCCAACATGGCGGCTGGCAGCCACACCCACCGTTTACATTTAAACTTAACAGAAAATAAAACATAAAATGCCACTCTTCAGTCACACTGGCCACATTTCATGGCTTGACAGCCACATGTGGCTGGTGGCTACCATATTGTACAACTCAGAATCCGGAACATTTCCCTCATTGCAGAAGGTTCTGGTGGACAGTGTGGTGTACCTGTTTAAGTCTAGAAAGTTCCACTGGACAGAGCTAGTCTACATGTTTAAGTCTAGAAGCTTCCATTGGACAGTTCTGGTCTAGGTGTTTAAATCTAGAAGGTTCCATGGACAACTCTGGTCTGGGTGTTTAAGTCTAGAAGGTTCCATTGACAGAGCTAGTCTACATGTTTAAATCTAGAAGCTTCCATTGGACAGCTCTGGTCTAGGTGTTTAAATCTAGAAGGTTCCATTGGACAGCTCTGGTCTGGGTGTTTAAGTCTAGAAGGTTCCATTGGACAGCTCTGGTCTGGGTGTTTAAGTCTGGGTTTCACTGGACAGCTCTGCTCTGGGTGTTTAAGTCTAGAAGGTTCCATTGGACAGCTCTGGTGGAAGTGTTTATGTCTAGAAGATTCTCTCGGACAGTGCTGCCTCCAGTCATAAAAACTAGACCCAACAGACTCCTGTTGCCTGTCCCCCTGGGGCTACTGCACATTCCGCCCATAGGATGGTGAATGAGGTATAGGGGTAAAAACTGCCCCTTCAGGCTGCCCCTTCCAAGGAGGAGGCAGAGCCTGACTCTGACCTCACCCCCTTGGGAGATCCTGGCCAAGACGTGGCTGTCCTGCAGCCATTGGAACTGTCTGTGACTCACAGCAGCCAGCCCCTGCCCATCCAGCCTTCAGGAAGGGCGGTCAGCAAATCCAGCAGTGGGAGAACGGAGCCCCATCCCAGCCCATACCCGGGCACTCTGGGAAGCTTGCTGCACCTCCCTGGGCTGCACTTTCTGGGAAGAGAAAAGGTGCTGCTATGGTTTGAACATTTGTCCCTCCTCATGTTGAAATACAAGGCAATTCAGCCATGAGGCGGCAATTCAGCCACAAGGCGATTCAGCCATGAGGGTTCCACCCTTGTGAATGGATGAGTGCCATCATTGTGGGTGCAGGTTCACTATAAAAGGAAGAGTCCCACCCCGTCGTCCTCTCTCCTTCTCGCCCTCCTGCCTTCCTCTCTGTGTTGATGCAGCAAGAAGGCCCTTGCCAGACACCGGCATCTTGTTCTTGGACTTCCCAGACTCCAGAACTGTGAGCCAATACATTTCTGGTCATTATAAATCATCCGGTCTCTGGGATTCTGTTACGACAGCATAAACAACCAAGGCCAGAGGCCCACGGGGGCCTTCCTGGCTCTGAACTGCCGCCCCACCCCACCGGCACATGCGCTTTCTGCCTCTTCCTGTTGAATTCTCCCCTTGGCACTCATGCCTCAGATCCCACACACTGTGTATCCTCACTTGCTCATCTTCTTACTGCCCACTTGCCCTGAAACACAGGCACTGTAAGGGCCGGGGCCTGCTCTCTCAGTGCCAGGCAGGCAGTGATGCTCAGAGGGTGTGTGTGGAAGGAAGGGGCAGGTGCATACCAGGGCTGCAGAGGCTCCCACACCCTGGAGACTGGGAGAGTCTCCCAGGGGAGGGGCCGGGGTGGGGAAGACGCAGACCCTTCCTCCCTCAGAGGGCTTCAGGTGTGAGCCCGACAAGCCCTCCCCTCCATACACACAAGCAAGCATGCACACACACATGCACGTGCACACACACACAGGACCCTCTCTGCTGGTCCACAGAGAACAGCTTCCCTGAAGCTGCCAGGTGTGGCTCCAGGGCCCTGGGTGGATGCTATCAGTTGGGGAGGACCCGATGAGCACTCCCAAGCCCCACAGCCGGGAAGCAGACTCCAGGAGGGCTCCAGCCCAAGGCTTTGAACCCAGACCAGGACTGGAACCCTTCTCCTCCCCCTGGCACTGGCCCTGCAGCAGGAACACCTGGGGCTCCGCCCACTCCCCCAGGCCTTCCTCAGGCCTCCCCGCTGCCAGCCAAGGAGGGTGCAGGTTGTATCTGGGGCTGCTCTGGGGTGGTGGTCCAGGGTTAGGGGTTGGATGGGGGCCCCCATTCACTCAGAATGCACCCTCCCACCATCTCTCCCCCAGCCAGACATGAATGTGTTTTACTCCAATGCTCAAAACCTGTTCTTTTGAAGAAAATCAACAGACAATGATGAAGCGGCAAACGGGGGTCCCCCACTTCTGAGTCCACACTCAGTTCCCATGGCTGCACCAGCCCCTCCAGCTGCCCTGCCAAGCCCCCCAGCCAGGAGGGTCCTACAGCGCAGCCCACGCCAGCACGAGGCCCTCAAGCCCAGGGCTTCAGCAGCTGCTGGGTCCCTTGGGCACCAGGCAGTGGGCACTGCTCGTTGGAAACCCCGGATGAAAACACTCAGTAGCAGAAGAAAAAGTCGAATCCGAGCTGATGGGACTGTAAGGAAGCGCCCTAGGAGGTGGGCTGGGCACAGCGGCACGGGGCATGGCTGTCATGAAATAAGCACGTGGGTCTCATCCACCGAGGGCCCATCACTGCAGGTGTGGTGAGCACAGAGCACGCAGAGGGTCCCGAAAGCCTCTAAAACCTTTAATAACGAGGCGTGGATGCTCTCCACGTGGAAAAGGATTTCTCTACCCCGTAGGGCCAAGCTCGAGTGCTAGGCAGTGGAAGGTGTTCTCGGTGGATGCCCCGGCCACCCGACCAGCCAGCCCAGGGCCTGTCCGCAGGGTCGCCCTTACCGCAGCTCCGGGGGGTGCAGGGCGCCACAGAATCTGCCCCTCCGACCGACGGCGTCTCCTCCAGTCCCAGGGAGCCCCAGATAGGGTGCAGCGTGGCTGGGCCCGCATATGAGCTGGAAGACACAGGCACACGTGTGGCAGGGCCAGGCCCGTGGAGGAGACAGGAGGCAGGGAGATCCGGGGGACAGCCCCTCATTGAGCAGGAACCTGGGCTCCCGTGGCCTGGAGCAGCTCTCAGACCCCCAACAGTGTGCCCAGGGTGGGACCCAAGGGCCAAAAGCCTGGCGGGGGAAGGGCCTGAGGCCTGGGAGCCAGGAGGCAGGGGTGAGCGGGAGGCAGGGGTGAGTGGGTGGGGCCTGAGCATGCGTCCCAGCGTGGTGGCGTGGGCTGAGGTGAAGCCACCAGCCCACATCTGGGAAGCGTTGGCGCCAAGCCTGGCTGCTCGGAGCTCTGCACTCGGACCCCAGGGGGAACAGGGGTGTGCACGGTCAGCTTCCGTGGCCACCGTTGGTCCCCAGGGCCAAGATCAGAGTCTTCCCAGCCAGCGTGGTCATCGGGACCATCTCTACCATCTACTAAGGGCACTGCCCACCAGGCCCAGAGCGGAACGGGGTCACGCATCAGCTGTGACCCTCACCCCACTGCTCAAGGCTGGCACTGGAGACTGCAGGGCAACCTATCTGGGGAGCACCCGGGCTGTGACCATGGAGGCAGGTACAACTGGACCCACACACCTGCCCCCACTCAAGCTGGCCAGCACGCAAGGCTGACAGAGCCAGGAGCCAGGTGTGGCCACTGACCTTTCTCCCAGAGGTGGCCAAGTGGTGAGGGAGAGCTACCAGGCACGGGGAGGCAGTGCTACTGGGATGAGGGGTCTTTGGGGTGCACAGAGAGACGGGTTTGTGGGCGGAGCATGTGCTGAGCCTGCATCCGGGGCATGTGGGCGGGGCATGTGCTGAGCCTGCATCTGTGAGCACGGCTCACCTCACTTCGCATTTCTTATCAGGGCCCCCATCTGTGCTTCCTGGTACACAGTGACCCAGAACCCACTGGAGTGGCTGAAGATGCTGCCCACACCTGTGGCCCAGGGGTTGTTAGGCAGGGGGTAGACACGCCCTCCCTCAGCAGCCCGCAGGGCCCACAGGTGTTTGTCTCACACCTGCTGTGGGCAGGAGCTGTGCAGGGTCTGGTCATGGTGGTGACCCACCTCCCAACCCCCGCCCGCATTCCTGGTGCTGCAGGGGAGCTGGACGTGTGCCCAGGCCGTGAGGGGCTGCATGGCACCTGGGAGCACAGGCCTGGAGAAGTGTTCTGGAACCCGGGCTGGGTGGCTAGAAGCCCCAGTGCCTCCACCACTGAGTGCTGGGCTCCCATGGGACAGAGGGGACAGACTCACCCCAACTCAGAAATCAGTCTGAGGCCGGGCACAGTGGCTCACGCCTGTAATCCCAGCACTTTGGGAGGCTGAGGTGGGCAGATCACAAGGTCAGGAGTTCGAGACCAGCCTGGCCAATATGGTGAAACCCCGTCTCTACTAAAAATACAAAAATTAGCTGGGCGTGGTGGCGGGTGCCTGTAATCCCAGCTGCTGGGGAGGCTGAGGCGGGAGAATCGCTTGAACTTGGGAGGCGGAGGTTGCAGCAAGCTGAGATCAAGCCATTGCACTCCAGCCTCGGCGACAGAGCAAGACTCCATCTCAAAAATAAAAACAAAACAAAACAAAAAAGAAACCAGTCTGAGAGGCGGCCGGGATCTGGGGCACCCGAGAGGCTCAGCGTGGGAAACGCACCAGATGGCAGCAGGTGGAACCAGCAGAGGCTGTGTGCGCCAGCCCTGAAGCTCCAGCCCCTCAAGTGGTGAGTGGCAACGGACAGGCCAGGCCCCTTTCCTGGCTGCCCGAGCAGCGGCGGAAGCCTTGGCAGGGCCCAGCGAGCCTCTGAGCCTCTCCCTAATCCCTGCTCTCCACCAGCCCGGGTCCCTCCGGGCCACGGTTCATGAATATGATTCCGCCTCCTGCTGTCTCTCTGCCGCCTCGGCAGGGCTGTGGGGGTGGAGGGCACAGTCCAGTGCCCAGCCCTGATGGGAATGTCTGGGTGCCATTGCCACAGGGAGCCCTGGCCGCACCTCTGCCCCTCTGGCTGCACCCAGGCTGTGCCAGGAACGCTGAGACCTCAGCCTGGGTCTGGCCCTGGGGACAGATCTAGCTGGTCCCCCGGGAGCCCGGGGCACTGAAATTAACCTTTTCAAAAATTCTCACTGCCTCCGCCTCTGCCTCCCACCCCTTCTCAAGGGCTGGGCAGAAGTCGTCCTGGGCATTGCAGGCGACAGAGGCGAGGTCTGGCCCGATGCTGCCCTCTTCTGGTCACAATGGCTCAGTTCCATGGGCCGGACTGGGCCTGGGCAGCAGGTGGGGTTGGGAGTGAGATGGGGCACAACCCAAAGGCCCTGGCGCAGGCACCAAGCCCGCCATCCCCTGAGGGCAAAGGGGGCTTCAGGAGAGGAAGCTGGTGGGGTTTCCTAGGAAGGATGGGCAGGGGAGACCTCGGGCCAGGAAATGTCCCAGCAGGAGGAGAGGGGAGGGGAGGGGCAGGGAAAGGAGGGAAGGCTGGGCTTCGGGAGAGGGCGCCTCCTTCCCCCACATGTGGACTCTGGGCAACAGCCCCTCTGCTGCAGTGCCCACTGCCACCCTAGGGCTACACGTGGTGTCTGCCCTCATGCCCTCGGCCACCCAGCAGAAGACAGCTTGGTGGAGGTGGGTGGCATGACCCAGGCCCTGATGTCTGGGGAGCCCACGTCTAGGTGTCCCTGGTGGACCTGGCCACGCATTGAGGGTGCACAGAGCTTTCCCGAGAGACCGCCGCCGGCCTGGCCTCCTGCTTGCCCCGCCCGTGGTGCTGAGTTTTCGAGCCCGGGTTCCGGGGCTGCCTGGGAAGCAGCTGCTCAGGTCAGGCCGGGGTCCCTCATCCAGGGTGCTTCCGTCAAGGACAGAGGGGTGAGAGTGGCCGGGAGTGGCCCAAGAACGCCTGGCAGTATGCGGTGTGCAGGGAGCCGCGGGGACCAGGAGGGCACTGCTGGCCAGGAGGCCCTGGACAGGGATCCCGGCCCACACCAGCAAGAGCGAGAGGCCGGCTGGGCAGGTGGTGGGCTCGGAGGAAGATTTTTGGTGGGGGGCAGGTGTGGAGGGGGTTTTTTCAGGAGAGGAGATCCAAACGTGTTCACAAATCCCCAGGAGGGACTCAAGGCCACAGCTGCTGCTGAGGCTTAGGTGCTCGGGAGGGAGCGGCCGCCTCGTGCACTGCAACCTCTGTCACGAGCATCTAACTCAGTTTCCACCTGCAAAGCCCCCATGGACCAAGCCTGCTGGGCTCCGCTTCAGCCTGGGGCTCACTGGGGCTGCAGGCGCTGGGGTAGGGCAGATGCTCCCCCAGGGGGAGGGAGTTGGGCTGAGAGGGGCCTGGGGGCGCGGGACAGGCACAGTGTCCCCGGGAAGGGGCTTCAGATGTACCTGTGTGACATGGCCCCAGAGGAGGCTGCAGCCCGTGCTGGGGATGGGAGCCAGGTGTGTGAGGCTCCATGGACAGGCAGCCCTGAGAGCTCAGGTGGGGTCGCCGGGCCCGGATGGCAAGGACCACCCGAGTCACTGTCCCTGCACTCAGTCTGGAGCAGCAGGCAAGAGGGAGCTGCACCAGTGGCGTCCCCGAGGCCCGCAGCCAGTTCAGGGGGCATTCGTGGGGGGAGTGTCTGACGCGGGGCTTCCCTGCCCCGGCCAGCGTCCGAGCCAGCACCACCTGCTCCGGGTCCCTGGCCGCAGCCTCTGGACCAGCATGACGGGGACACATGGGGGTGAAGTGAGAGGCAGCCCGTGAGCGTGGGCGGGCAGGTGGGCAGGTGGGCAGGTGGGCAGGTGGGCAGGCGGGCAGGTGGGCAGGTGGGCAGGTGGGCAGGTGGGCAGGTGGTCTTACCTCCCCGCAGAGGGGCTGAGGGCCTGGAAGGGGGCCACGCCTCTCTGCAGCCTTTTGTCTGGTTTCACGTCCACGTGTCCCTCCTCTGGAAAACCTTGGAGAAGAGGGCACCTGGCTTCACTCCCTGGTCAGCCGGGAGCACGGGACGGGGGACCCAAGCCATCACAGCAGGAGAGGAGCCTGAGACACACCTGACAGGGGTGGGGGTGTGGCAGCCTCCCTGGCCCTCAGGCCTCTCTGCTGGAGGAAGGGCAGGGAGGCAGCAGGGAAGGAGCCACTGGAGCGGCCTCACCCTTCTGGCCAGAGAACAAGACAGGAGCAATAGCTGCTGCGGGTGCCATGTGCCACACAGGAGAGCTCACACATCCCACAAGGATGAGCCCACACACACCACATGCCACGTGGGAAAGCCCACGTACACTATGCTGCTCAGACCCCCTGGACTGTTGTCCTCCTAGCCCCCTTTCCAGAAAGGAAACCAAGGCTCAGAGAGAAAATGGGGTCCCCATTCCTCCCAGCCCACAGGACCCCCTGGCCACCCAGCGGTCACCGTGTCCCGGGTGCCGGCCTACCTCGGGGCTTGCTCTCGCAGTGGGCCCTCGGGCTCACACTCTGCTGTTGCTCCCAGCTGGGGCCCCACGACAGTGTCTCGCCGTCCAGGAAGTAGGTCGGGGGCAGAAGGGGCTGGGGCTGCATGCTCACCCACTCCCCAGGTGCCCCTCTGCCCCAGTTGGGCCCCAAGGCTCCAGGGCAGGCTGGGGTGGCAAGCGTGGGGGTGGCGAGCGTGGGGGCGGCAGGTAGGCTGTGGGGGCACGAGCGCAGCAGGCCCACAGCTGGGTCCCTGACGGTGTCCAGCGCTTCGGCACCCTGCAGCTTGGCGGTGAGGCTATCGACCCGCTGCTTGAGGACTTTGGCTGTGGTCTCTAGCGCCTGCAGCTGCGCCTGCTTATGCCGGAGGTGCAGGGAGCTGGAAGTGCCCAGGTGCTCAGCCTCCTTTGGGTCCAGGTAGATGCACATCCCCCGGGGTAGGTAGCGGGTGGTCAGGTCCTGGAGCTCCAGGGATCCCAGAGAGGGTGAAGCTGACAGCAGCACGGGGGCATCCCGGCCATCTTGGGGGCCCCCCATCCCTGGGGGATCTAGGGTCTCAGCATGGTTCCAGGCTCTGTTCAAACACAGGCAGAAGCTGCAGGAAGAGAGACGTGGACAGATCAGCTCAGGCTCGGTCGCCCCAGCAGGGCACGGAAAGCACGCGTGTTTTGCAGGTGTGAGCGTCACAGCAGCGTCTGTGACGGACCCAGTGTCTGTCCGCAGGGACCAGGGAAGCGGTGACGGTATCCACACAACAGACCACACAGCTGCCGCAAAGAACAGGGCCAGGCGTGAGCGAGGGGGCAGAGGAACTGGATCCCGGGCACTGCCGGTGGGGTGTAAAACCGTCCTGCTGTGGCCAGAGGCAGTTTGGTCAAACATAGAACAACCACGGGTCTGGCAAGTCTGCCTCTGGCCACGCACCCAGAAGAGCTGAAGTCAGAGTCTCAAAGACATCACCCATGTTCACAGCAGCCTTATTCACAACAGCCAAAAGGTGGAAACCACCCAGTGTCCATCGAGGGACGAACGGAGAAGCAAAATGAGGTCCACCGACACGGCGGAATAGTATTCAGCCCTGAAATGGAAGGACATTCCGACGCAGGCTACAACATCACCCTTGGTAGAATAAGTCAGCCAGCCACAAAATGAAACTGGCCCGATGGTCCCCTGGAACTCACGTTCATGGTTTCTTTTGAATAAACATAGAAATGAGCCTGGCCGGTCTTAACATGTGAGAAAGTTTCATTTGTCTTACCTGAGTTCCTTTCTCAGGAAACCTACCATCAGGCCTCCCACATAGAATCAAGGAGCTGAAACGCACCAGATCACCGCAACTGGACAATGAGACGCCAGAGTCCTCGTTCATCACGCTTGCTTCCTTACCCTTCCCTAGTTCCCGTTTCCTGCACGGAGCTGCATTCCTTCCCTGATACGCAAGACCCCAACTTTAGTCAGTCAGGGAGTTGGATTTGAGACTGAGCCCCCACCTCCTCGGCTGCGGCACCCAATTAAAGCCTCTTCCCTGGCAATACTCATTGTCTCCGCGATTGGCCTTCTGTGTGGCAAGCAGCAAGACTGAGACCAAACCCCTGGTGTTTCAGTAACAAAAAGGACAAGCATGGCGTGTTCCTGCTCACGTGAGGGTCCTGGGACAGGCAAATCCATAGAGACAGGAAGTAGAATGGTGGCTGCCAAGGGCTGGGGAGGAGATGGAGAGTTAGTGTTTCATGGGGACAGAGTGTCAGTTTGGGAAGATGAAGAGTTCTGGAGAAAATAGAGATAGGGTCTCACTATGTTGTCCAGGCCGGTCTCAAACTCCTGGCCTCAAGCAATCCTCCCACCTCAGCCTCCCAAAGTGCTGGGATTACAGGTGGGAGCCACCATGCCCAGCTATAATTTTTTAGGTGGGGAAAAAAAAGGACAAGGACATGATGAAGTGAGATGAGGCCCTGCAGCTGCCCGAGACGACGAGTCCCAGCTACTCGGGAGGCTGTCAAGCAAACGGAGCCCGACGGTGGCCAGTGGGGGAGGGGCTGCCCTTGGGAAGGGGGTGGCATGGCGGGGCCAGCATGGGATGCTCACCCAGCGGCATACTCAGGACCTGCGTCCTTGTCTTACTGGACATTGACAGATGCAGCCCCTGGGCTGCCCTGTGACCCAGACTCCCGGGAAAGAATCCCAAAACGAGTGCCTTCAAGACAAAATGGAGCCAAAAGGAGCCAGAGGGAGGGGTCGGGTCCTGCAGAGAGGGGTGGGAGCTGAGCTCCCAGGGGCCAGCCTGAAGCCCCCAATACCAGCTGCCAAAGATACGCCAGGGGCAGCCCTGAGGGAGTCCAGGGTGGGACGCTCTGGTGGGTGGGAGCCCCTCCCTGGCCTCTGAGCCAGCTCCCCCTGCCCGCTGGAACCCAGGGCATGCAGGAGGCCTGGCCGTGAGCTCCTCACAGGTGCCTAGCGTGAGGCCAGGCCAGAGAGTGTTTGCCACTGGCCTGAAGCTGGGGCCTTCCACAGCCCTTCCTGGGCGAGAGCCAGGCTGGAAACTGTAGTGAGACCCAGGCGCAACTCCCCCAAGCAAAGTTGGGGGAGGTCTTCAGACCCCATGTGTGTGATTCACGATGCCCCAGGGGGAGGGGCCTCCAGAAATTAAAATACACAGTAGTCAAAGCAAAACAGAAACACAGAAAAGAACCTAAAAGTAAGCGCTGTGAGGAAGTGGGGAGATGGGGACCCTCACGCCGGCCGGGGGATGGGAACCAGGGCGGCTGCTGTGGAGAACAGGGTGCAAGTTCCCGAGAAAGCTGCACACAGAGGTGCACGTGCCCATGCAATTCACTCTCAGGTGTGCACCCAAGAGAAACAGCTCAAGGGCCAAAGCAGGTGCAAGCACCCATTCACGGCAGCGGCAGGTGGAGCCCGGGCATCCGTTGGCCACGAGGTTGTGAAGAAAAGGTCACCTGCCCACAGCCGGGCATTATTCAGCCACAGACTCAATGAAGTTCTGACTCAAGCTGCAACATGAATGAGCCTGGAAAACGTTATCTTGAATGAGCCTGGAAAACGTTATCCTCGGTGAGAGAAGCCAGACCCGTACTTGGTGATCCCATTTAGATAAAATGTCAAGAATAGGCAAATCCGGGCGGGGCGCGGTGACTCACTCCTATAATCCCAGCACTTTGGGAGGCCAAAGCAGGTGGATCACCTGAGGTTGGGAGTTCGAGACTAGCCTGGCCAATGTGGTGAAGCCCCGTCTCTACTAAAAATACAAAAAATTAGCCGGGCGTTGTGGCAGGTGCCTATAATCCCAGCTACTCAGGAGGCTGAGGCAGGAGAATCACTTGAACCTGGGAGGTGGAGGTTGCGGTGAGCCAAGATCGTGCCATTGCGCTCCAGCCTGGGCAACAGAGCAAAACTCCATCTCAAAAAAAAAAAAAAAAAAAAAAAAGAATAGGCAAATCCGTCGAGGCAGAAAGGAGACCCCCATGGCTCCCCCACAAGGGCTGCAGGAGGGGCTGCCTCCTGAGGGTGGGGGCTCATGGGGAGATGGAATGTTCCGGAACTCAGTAGAAGTGGTGGTTGCACAGCACACGGGGAAGGTGCTCAATGCCACGGAACGTGCACTTTAACGTGGTGGATTTAAGTTTGATGCGACTCTTGCCTCCATGAGAACAAGCACAGTGGTGACCGCCTCCTCCAAGCAGGCAGGTGGCACTGTGGGCGGGCAGGGCAGAGCCTGCCCCACCTGAGGAGCCTCTCGGTCATGAGGCAATGTCACGAGGGCCCCAGAACGCACCCAGAACTGTTCTTGGCCCCCCCCAAGGCCCCGCCCGGCATGTGCAGCACCCACACTTTCACACCCACCTGCCTGGGGCTTCCTGGCCCCCCAGCACCATGCCAGAGGTCACTTTGCTCCATTCCAGCACTGGGGACTCCAGGCTCCCGGAGGCTTCCAGGCCCTAAAGTAGAGGGCAATGCCATCAGAGCCCCCCGCTCGGGAAGACCACACGCCCCGTTCTCTCAGCCTCAGAGCTAGGCCTTGACCTCCCTTGGGGGTCTCAGGCTGCTTCCCCAGAGTCTTGCAGGAATCGGGGTCCCACTTCAGGGGCTGTGAGAGGCAAGGGGGTCCCTCCGGAGCCCCGTTGCACCCAGGGGCAAAGGCGCCCAGGTCTGACCCTGCACCTCACCAGGGCCTCCCCCAGGGAGGCATCCACAGAAGCTCTGGCTTTCTACAGGCAGTGGCAGCGACGCCACGAAGTCCCCAGCCCCCAGCTGCAGCCCTCGCCCGGCCACTCCCTGGAGGACACCAGGGGGCTGGAGGCAGCACCTGAGCGCCTAAGCCTCTGGCCCATGGCTGAGCCGAGTCCCCCCAACCCAACCCCAGCATGTACCCCGGACTGTGCAGAACTGGGGACAAAGGTCACGATGCCAGGGGTGGTCCGGGAGACCACGGGGACCGCCCTGCCGAGGACGGCCTCCCTCTGCTGCCGGTAGACCTCCTGCAGCCTCCGGCTCCTCAGCTCCCGTGTGCGCAGGGCCGAGGCCTTCTCCTCCAGGGCCTGCCGCCGCCGGGCCTGCGCCTTCTGGCGCATGAACTCCCGCAAGGACTCAGAGCTGTGCGAGGGTCCCAGGAGCCCCCGGGACCTGGGGCAGGGCCGCAGCGTGTCCTTCTCCTTCCCAAGTGGGTTCTGAGGGAAGCTCCCGGTGGGCCTTGGCAGGGCATGCTTGGCAGCCGAGACGGGGGAGCCGATGCCTCTGCCCTTGCCCTGGGGGCCGGCCCTCTGCACGCCGGAGCTGCTCCAGGGCCGCTGGGCTGGAGGACTGGGCCTTTCCAGAGGGTTCCGCAGTCTGGGGCCAGGGTCCTCCCAGGTTTCACAGGCAGTCCAGGCCCTCCGTGGACAGGGCTGTGTGGCTACAGCACTCCAGGGCTGCTGGGGGAAGGGGCTCCGCTTTTCAGGGGGGCTCCCAGGCCTCTGGGAGGAGGGGCCCTGTCTTTGGGCCCCCCAGGCCCTCTGCGGACTGCAGGCCTGCCCAGCCAGTGCACTCCAGGGCCTCTGGGAGAAGTGGCCCAACCTCTCATGGGGACTCTCCGGCCTCTGGAAGGAGCGGTCCTGTCCTTGGGCCCCCCAGGCCCTCTGCGGACAGGACTCCCGTGCAGTGGAGGAGCTCCAGGGCTCCCAGGTGTGGACACTCCTAGCCCTCTCTAAAGAGGAATGCTTCCTCTCTGTCATGGCCCAGGGACTCTTAGAGAAGGAGCTCTGGGCATTGGGGTCCCTGCAGCAGCCCCTCCCTGCCACGTCCTGCAGCCTCCGCTTTGATGGCCCGAGCTCTTGCCCTCCCTTGCGGGCCTGGGCCAGCTCCAGCCCAGCCTGGATTTGCTGGCGCAGGTCTTGTAGGATGGCCATGGCCGTCTGTATGGTCGCTGGCTGGTCGAAGGAAGCCAGGCTGGGTGTGTTCCCAGACACCTGCTGGTCACTGTAGGCGGAGGTGGCATCGGGCAACTGGGCACAAACCGGTGAGCACTTGGCAGCTATGACTTTCTCGCTGTCTCCTGCAAAGACAGGAGTGTCAGGGGTGAGGAGGGGAGCGGAGGGGAGAGCAAAGCCAGCTCCTCCATCCGGGCTGGAGGCAAGGAGTGTGGGGGCGGTGAGGAGGCCCTCGGGCCCCTGCTGGGCAGAAGCCCTCTGAGGGTGGGCACCACGCCTGTGTGATGAGCCACCGCTCTGCACACAGTAGCCAAGCACAGGTGTGCCTGTGTCTGGGGAGCCCCTGCCGGCTCCCATCCTGCCTTCCTGCCAGGAGAGAGCCTCGGCAGCATGCCTGCCCCGGGAACTGGCGATGGAGCCTCCCAGGGCCAGAAACCCTTTTCTCAGGCTTTGAAAACACTTATTGCCCAAAGTCCCCAGTTGAATGGGTGGCAGGTTTGGAGGGTGTTTGCAGGCTGCTGTGAGAGGCGCCAACACCTCTTCCTTCCAGGCGGCCTGGAGCCTGGGTGTCTCCTTCTCTGTGCCCGCCCCCAGATGCCACAGCAGAGCAGGACAGAGCCCATGGCAGAGGCACAGGTACCTAAGTCCACGGTGAGAGCCGGGTCTCTCGAGGGATCCTTGCTATGGTGCCTGCGGAGGACGGGAGGGGGCCCAAGCAGCGACCTCACCAGAGCTTGTCCCTTTCTCCAGGCGTAAACACCAACCAGCTCCGAATCTTAAACAGAGAAAACATACACACAGCCGGGCGCCCCATGGCCCTCTGGGCACTGGCCCGGACGGGGAGGTTGGTGGCTCTGCAAGCGCCAGGAGGCCACTTCAACACTCCCAGAAGGCACCGGGAGGATATCCCTCATGTCCAGGCCCCTGTTGGGCAGAGCGGGACCCTCAGCCTGCACAGGGCAAGGCTGAGTCTCAGGGCGGCCATGGGCAGGTGGCTTCCCTGACCCTCAGAGTCCTCCTCCTCCCTGACCCTCAGAGTCCTCTTCAGGAAATCGTGGACAACAGGACCTGCCCCACAGCTCTGCCGGTGAAGCTCTCAGCACAGGCCGGGCACGCAGCACATGTGAAAGAAACGCCGAGCAGCAGCAGCAGCTGGAGTGACAACCGCGAGCCAGCAGCCCCACCCTCCGCTCCGTGCTGCACATCGGGCTCCGCGCAGCACGGGAGGTCCTGTCACCGCTGGCCACGTGTGCCGAGCCACAGGAGATTAACCTGCTTTTAAGCCAGCAGAGCCAGCAGTCACACGGGTGGGCAGCGGTGAAGGCTCCCCGGCTGGCAGGGCAGGGAGTCCCGGGCATCGCTGCAGCAAACGGCCCCACGTCCCGAGTACAAACGAGCCTTCGCACGCAAATGGCATCATGCAGTGAGTGGCGCTCATCCAGGTGGCACTTCACAGCCCAGCTCACGGCCACCGATGCCAACACCAGCCCCACCAGCCCCGTGGGCCCAGCTGCGAGGGCCCTGGCAAAGGCCGGAGGTAGGGCCAGCCCTGGGCTCACATGCTCACACACTCACAAACACTCACATTGCTCACACACTCACAAACACTCACATGCTCACACACTCACAAACACATGCTCACACACTCACATGCTCACACACACTCACATGCTCACACACTCACAAACACATGCTCACACACTCACACTCACACGCTCACACTCACATGCTTACACACTCACTCATGCTTTCACACTAACATGCTCACACACTCACAAACACATGTTCACACACTCACACTCACATGCTTACACACTCACACTCACATGCTCACACACATTCACATGCTCACACACTCACACTCACATGCTCACACACTCACAAACACTCACATGCTCACATACTCTCACATGCTCACACACTCACACATGCTCACACTCACACTCACATGCTCACACACTCACAAACACATGCTCACACACTCACAAACACACATGCTCACATACACGCTTACACACTCACACTGACATGCTCACACACTGTCACACACGTGCCCACAACTCCCTCACGTGCTCCCAGGCTCACACATATGCACGCCAATGCTGACAGGCACTCGCATGCTCACACTCATGCTCACACTCTGTCACACGCATGCCCTCGCACGTGCTGTCACACATGCTCAGTCACATGCTTTCACATGCTCACTCATGCATTCACACATGCACACACACTTGTACACACTGACATGCTCACACACGGTCTCATCCTCACACACTTTCACACAGACACACATGCTCTCACACTCACACTACCACACACTCGTTCTCACACACATTCAGTCTCATATGCTCTCTGACTCACACGCTCACACACAACCACACACACTCATACACTCATATACACACTCCCTCGTGCTCTCCCACACACACATGCTCATATACACATGCCCTCACATGCTCTCACACACACACTCACACTCATATACACACGCCCTCACATGCTCTCACACACACACTCATATACACACGCCCTCACATGTGCTCTCACACACTCACACGCTCATATACACACGCCCTCAAGTGCTCACACTCACACACTCTCACACTCATACACACGCCCTCACATGCTCTCACACACACATTCACTCACACGCTCATATACACACGCCCTCACATGTGCTCTCACACACACTCACACGCTCATATACACACGCCCTCACGTGGTCTCACACTCTCACGCGCTCATATACACACGCCCTCACATGTGCTCTCACTCTCACACGCTCATATACACATGCCCTCACGTGCTCTCACACACACATTCACTCACACACACTGCTTATTCCACCTGGCTCTGCAGGGCCAACACCACACATGCCAAGGGTCCCTGGCCCCTATGCCCCTTCCTTAGGCCCAGCCCAGGGCAGCTCCACCCCGTGGCCTGGGGTCAAGACCACTGTGGAGTCTCAGCCAGGGCTGGCCCTGGCCCCCATGAAGGGGGACTTTCTGCCAAATGAGAGTGCCTTGGGCAGGGACCATCCAGAGAGCTGAGCACCCAGGGGCAGGCTCCCGGACTGAGTCAGGGACTTCCCTAGCACCCCCCAGACACGGCACCCTCCTCACACTGCCCTGACCCCTGGCCATCAGCCACAGGCCTGAAGCTACCTCTCCAGGAAGGTGAATGGGCTACATGGTTGCACCCACCAGGCCATGCCCTCCCAAAGCCACGTCCCCAAGGACAGGCTTCCCATGGCCACGGCCTCTCCAGGACAGGACCCCAGGCCATGCCCCACACCCACTTTAGGGCAGGACCCCTTAAGGCCATACACTGTCTAGGACAGGACCCCAAGGTAGAGGAAGGTTTAGGGCGTGGTCTCAGGATTCTCAGACCTGGGTTTAAGTCTGGCTCTGCCACTCACCAGCCATGGGCCTCAGGCAAGTGTTTCACTTATCCATGCCTCAGTTTCCCCATCTGTAAAATGGGGTGCCTATCTCACAGCACCTCCCATAGGGCCACAAGAATGAAAGGGCAGTCACGATCATTGCAGGAGTTAGGCCTGGAAGAGGGTCAGGATTCCACTGGCTCAGGGTGGTGTCAAAGGCCGGAGTTGAGGCCAGCGTGACCCAACTGGTCACAGCTGGGTTTCGGGGGGGACCCAGCGTGGAGGGGAGCCCCGGTGGGGTTTCTCCATCCTAGTCCCTACAGCTGCTCTCCCTCGCTGGGTTGCTGGGCCAGGGACCCGCCTGGGGAGGGGCTGCCCGCCTGCCCGCCCGGCCCCTCCATTGCTGGCCACTCACTTCCCCATTAGCCCGCCAGAGGGTCCCGCTCGATAAATGGGTCCTGATGGGCACATTTTTTCTTCCGCTGAGCAGTTTAATGGCAATTAATTTTTTTACGAGAGGATTTTTAATCTGTGGAAATGGATGAAGTCCCCAAGTGCCCTGTCAAAGTTCTGGGGCCGACCTAATCTATGATAAAAAATGCAAAGTGAGGTGATATAATCTGAAATTAAATATCAGGCTTCATTTTCCTTTGGCCCGGATGGATGAATATTTTATAACTATTGTGATTTAATTTTTTGTTAACTACAGCAAATTTCTAATTCATCCAATTCCCAAGTCCTGTGGCTCTGACCTCTGAACCGAAACTCATCTCTCCTTAGCCCAGCTGTGACTTCGTCACTGACAGAAACTAATGGTCAACACTGTCAGGGTGACACGGTGTTTACGATGATGAATGCGGCCGGTGGCATGCCCTCTGACCCAGTGTCAGGCAGAAAGCAGGTCATTTTTCAACAGAGCCATTAAAATAAAACAAACCAAAGACCTGGGGGAGGGAGGGGGTGATCATGCAGAAAATTGTTATATTGTACGCATGTTTCCACGGCCTTCCGGAACCTTCTGGGTGCCCGGGTCCCTACATCGCAGTCCCCTTCTGCTCGGCCTCTGGCCCCGCTGAATGCACACGGTGGCCCCGCAGCCCCGCTGAGCTCCCACCTCACCCGCGTGTCCTCTCTGGGTATGGGCACAGAGGCGTTTACTCTCGGCTGGAAGCTGCTGCTCTGCCTAGGAGCAGAGGGGCCGGCAACTGATGACACGGGACAGATGCTTAGGCACCTGGGCACGGACAGAACGCACGCCACGCAGTGCCCCTCCCCACGGCCCCAGGGCTGTGATTGCACGCAGTGTGGAGAAACTGAGGCATGGAGCATTACAGGAGTGGCCAGCGAGCTGGCACTGCTCACACTTGGAGTGAGGGTCCCACAAAGCCAATCTCAGGCGTTCACTCCACCTGGGGGCTCTTGCTGGTGTCTCCAAAACGCTGTGGTTCGGTGGCCCCAGAATCCACGCCTGGAGGGTGGCCTCGACAAGCTGCCCAGGCGTGGCCCCAGGTGCACACGGCTGGGCTTCCAGGTTAGGAGCACCGGCCTTGGGCTGGACGGGTGGGAGGCTCTGCCTCTGTGCAGCCCCGGGCAGGCTGTGGAAACTCTGTGAACCTCGGTTGCCTCATCTACAAAATGGGAGCAAGACTGCCAACCTTGGCGGGGAACCAGGAGGCTGCAGTGAGCTCACAGAGTGCGGGCACTGGCCACTCCCCTGACCTCGAAGACGCCCCAGAAGGAAGCCCCAGAGGGACTCTGCCTGCCACCCACCCGCTCAAGGGCAGGGGCCGCTGTCAGGTTCGCCCTGCAAGCTCTGAAACCCATGCCCAGGCTGGGCCGCTGGGTCTCTGCAGGGCACTGACACCTCTGCCCAGTCCTCAGCAGGGAGATGCCTGGATCAGAAATTCCTCTGTGACCACTGGGATCCACCCACAGGATTACCTGACTGGACTCTCCGGGAAACACGCATGAAATTAATCGTAATGCAAGCACATGGCTGACTCACACACCCCCTGTGCCTGCACAAAGTCCCCAAGCTACTGGAGGGAGTGGGGTCTGCGGAAGACCCTCTCCCACCCCCAAGTGTGCAGGTGGAAGGAGATGCCCTGGGCTTGCTCACTAAATGTGAACGTGTGACAAAGAAAGCAAGCACGGCTCCCTCGGCCAAGCGTGCCCTGAGCTGCCCACTGCATGTGCACACATGCCAGTATCTGTTACTGCTCTGAAGAGCCGTGAGCTGCAGGTGGCGTGAGCTGCAGGTGGCGTGAGCTGTGGGTGGCGTAGGCTGTGGGTGCCGTGAGTTGCGGGTGCCATGGGCTGTGGGTGTCCTGAGCTGCGGGTGCCATGGGGTGTAGGTGCCCTGAGCTACGGGTGCCGTGAGCTGCGGGTGGTGTGAGCTGCGGGTGGTGTGAGCTGCAGGTGGTGTGAGCTGCGGGTACCGTGAGCTGCCAGTGCATGCTACAGTGTGGTTGAACAGCTCTGTTTTCTTAGACTCGCCCAGTCTCTGGGTGTTGAGAGGACAATAGTGCCTGGTGTTTGGTGGACTTTCACTTTGTCTCAAGGGACACGCCCCTGCCCGGACAGGAACCACCTGCTGCTCCAGTGGTGGCCAAGGTCACCAGTTGCCTGGGACACCAGCCCTGACGCTCCAGCCGGGCCTGCCGATCCCAGGTGCCCTGCAGAACCCTGTGTACATGGCAGTCCGACTGGCCAGCCCCAGCCCCAGCCCCAGAAATGAAAGCCATCTGCCTACCTAGAGTGCCAGGATCATATGCACCTAGCGTGCCAGGGCCCCAAAATAGCAAACCTTACCTTCGTCTTTGTGTTTGTCTTTGGCCGCTCTTCTAGGGGAGGGCAACTTGGGGGTCTTCTCTCTTTTGCAAGAACTGCTTTTGACCCTTTTGGGTTTTTCCCTCAGAACTTCAGTGAGGAAGAGAAAGGAAGGGAGGGAGGGAGGGTGAGCAGTAAAGTGACACACGGGCCCCCCACGTGGCTACCCCGGGGTCCTGTGCAAACACAGTCCCTAGAGCCATACACATTGCCAGTCCTGCTCCCTGCTTGGCGAGAGCCAGGGTGGGCAGCTAACGCTGGGGACAGGCCACAGTCTGACTGTCACGTCCCCTGCAGTGCTCTGCCTGGGGACTGCCGCTGGGGACTCCTCCTTAGAGAGGCAGGCATACCTATTCAAATTCCCTCCCGAGTGTCTGGTGGCCTCCCCTCCAGGCCCAGAGGTCCTGAGGACAGGAACCAGTTTCTCATCTCTGAATCCAGCACCCAGCTGGGGGCCCGGGCCATGGGCACTCAGGACTGTTTGCTGACTGAATGAATGACTGGACGGGCCAGGCCCCAAGTGAATGCACAGAGTGGCAGCGGCCGGACTGAACATCTCTGGGACCAGGGCCAGGAGGAGTGAGGGCCAGACCTGGGGGGGCCTTGGCACCATGGAGTGGACCCCTCTGCCGATGGGGAGGAGATGGAGAGCCCGAGGGGGCGGAGTTTGTTCAAAGTCCCGCAGCGAGTGCAGCGGCCACCGAGAGGGCCCGGCTCCAGAGGCTGGCTGGTCATCTTTCCCTGCTTCCGACTTCCTTTAGTCTCTGCACAGCTGGGGTGGGGGAGTATCTGGGAAGCCGCCATGCGAGAACCTGCCTTGTCCCCATGGGTGGGGAACCACAGAAGAGGACCCTGGCCCAAAGGCGTCTGGGCCTCCAAACGCCACTTGGTCCAGGCTGGGCCTGTCTCTTGGTTTTCCAGGCCCCAACTCTGCTGGCAGGAGGAGCCTCAAGAGCCAGGTCCTCTGCAAGGGACACAGACTGTGATCCCACTCTATGCGGTCCCCAGAGTCACTAGGCCCATAGAGACAGGAAGTAGGAAGGTAGGTGCCAGGGGCTGGGGGAGAGGGATGGAGAGTAAGTGGGGACAGAGTTTCAGTTTGGGAAGATGGAAAGTTCTAGAAACAGAGGCTGGCAATGGCTGCACAGTGCTATGAATGTGCTCAGCGCCACTGAACTGGGCACTTTAAAAAAGGGCCTCCTCCATGCCTGCTTCTGGAGAGTTCTCAAACTCGGAGCGTGAAAACGAGGCTGCCAGGAGCCGGTGACTGATAGGATGGGGTGGTTGAGGTCCCTGAGTGACCCATTGCTGGACCCTGAACTTGACCTGGGGCAGGGGCAGAGAAAGTGGTCACCAAGCTGATGCCATTGGGGTCCCCCTGGAAGGCGGAGGAGGGAGGAACAAAGTGGCGCTGACCACAGGGCTCAGGCGGAACCGGATCTGGATGGACAGGAGTTCCCCGGCAACTGTGGGGTCAGGGAGATGGCTCTGTCCCCTGCTCTCCGAGGGGCCAGCCCTGGACCCCGCCCACATCTGCACTGGCTCACACTCCACATGGGAGGGACACACCCAAATGCCTGCCTGTGGCTGCTGCCCAACCAGACCTCACGGAGAAACCACCGACCTGGACCCACCCGGCCGGCACTGCACCGCTGGGATGGACAGCAACTGTCCCCACAAAAACGCACATGATTCCCTGTGCTGAGCCCGAAACGCCTCCGCTCCCAAGCTCCCCATCCTTCATTCTGGGCCTCAGGAATCTTGCCGGCGTCTGCCTGTCTCTGGACTCGAGAGAGCCTCCTGCATCCATTTTGCCCCAGCAGCAGAGTGAGCCTGCCCAAGCCCAGCTCACGGCCATTCCCTGCCTAGACCTTAATGGCTCCCATTGCCCGGGATGAAGGCCACATCCTCCAGCCCCCAGAAGCAGCTCCTGCCCCCTCCATCCTACCCCTTCCATTTGTTGAGCAAATGAGTAAGCAAAAACCTGGTGGGGCCCTTGGCCCCAGCCCCTTCCTCACGGGCCTGGGAGCCCGCCAACGGTTCAGCGTTTCCCCATCTGTGGGCTGGGGGGGCAGTGCCTCCCATCTACAAGACGGAAAAGTGAGCCCAGGAGCTGGCAGGGACCTGGAGGGCCCCAGACCCACTCCCTGTGGCTGGCATGCAGCCACACAGAAAACTCCTTGCCTGTTCTGTGCAGGAGATCTCTCAGCAAAAACAAACAAACAACAACAACAAAAAATGCCCCTGCTCAGCTCCCCTGCCCTGCAGGGCCTGCCTGGGTCCTGCCCCACTGGAGAGGCAGAGGGTTAGAACACAGGCTCCAGAGAATGGCAGTCTGGCTCCAAATCCCCCCTTGGCCTCTTTCCAGTTGGGGTCCTCCCTGACCCTCAGTGTCTTTGTCTGTGAGGGTGGCCCAGCATGTGCTGCCCCCATCATGGCCTGAGCATCCAACCCGGAGCACCAGGGCAGCCGCCGCAGAGCCGCTCACCAGGAACCTGGTGCTGGGAGACCCTGGAGAGCTCGCGCCCCTGGCCGTGGGATGCCTTGGCTTCAACTCTGCGCTCAGCTGCACTCAAGATGCTGAAACCTGGAACAGGGTGAAAAGAAGAAGGCAGCGTGAGAAGAGAGATCCGCAAAGAACTTCCAAGAAAAGGTTCCAGTTTGGCAGCAGCTCAAGAGCATTTATTTATTTATTTACTTGAGACAGGGTCTCACTCTGTCACCCAAGCTGGAGTGCAATGGCGCAATCTCAGCTCACTACAACCTCCGCCTCTTGGGTTCAAGCGAGTCTCCTGCCTCAGCCTCCCGAGTAGTTGGGCCAACAGGTGCTGGCCACCACGCTTGGCTAATTTTTGTATTTCAAAAGACTTTTTTTTTTTTTTCTGAGGCGGAGACTAGCTCTGTCGCCCAGGCTGGAGTGCCATGGTGTGATCTCAGCTCACTGCAACCTCCACCTCCCAGATTCAAGCGATTCTCCTACCTCAGCCTCCCGAGTAACTGGGATTACAGACGCCTGCCACAACACCTGGCTAATTTTTTTGTATTTTTAGTAGAGACGGGGTTTCACCCATGTTGGCCAGGCTAGTCTCGAACTCCTGACCTCACGTGATCTGCCCACCTCAGCCTCCCAAAGTGCTGGGATTACAGGCGTGAGCCACCGCGCCCAGCCTCAAAAACTTTTGAATAGCACATCTGACCAATGTTCCAGGCCTGAGAATGCATCCAGTGGGGCCATCAGGAGCTGCACCAGCGCTTGGCACGACGCAGGCATCTCACACAGAAACGCCTCTGGCAGTGGCTCCGCGGAGCCACCAGCAGTGAGCCAGGCCCTGCGCGCCTTCATGCTGTGCCCTGGGTGGGATTTGGACCACGTAGCACCAGGAAGGAGGTACCACAGTATGGGATTCAACTCCTGTTCTTGCAAAGGGAAGTAATGACTTAGAGGGGTGCACCCCAAAGTATTCGCTCAGGCAGGTTGGGGGAGGAAGGTACATGGGGAATTGGAATGATTTTTATTCCATTTTATTCATTATTTGTGCTTATTATACCTCCCACCGCTACGAAAACATGCACTGCCTTAAAAAAACAAAGTCACAAAAGGACAAATTCTGTGATTCCACTGATAGGAGGTCCCCAGAGTTGTCAGAGCTACAGAGACAGGAAGTAGGATGAAGGGTCCCGGGGCTGGGAGGGGACGGGGGTGAGTGTTTCATGGGGACAGAGCTTCAGTTTGGGAAGATGAACAGTCCTGGAGACGGAGGGTGGTGGCTGCAGGACCGTGAATGTGCTCAGTGACATGGAATCATGCACTTTAAAATGGTTAAGATGGTACATTTTATGTTATGCATACGTTACTTTTTTTTTTTTTTTTTTGAGACGAAGTCTCGCTCTGTCGCCCAGGCTGGAGTGCAGTGGCGCAATCTCGACTCACTGCAAGCTCCGCCTCCTGGATTCACGCCATTCTCCTGCCTCAGCCTCCTGAGTAGCTGGGACTACAGGCGCCCGCCACCATGCCCAGCTAGTTTTTTTTGTATTTTTGGTAGAGATGGGGTTTTACCATGTTAGCCAGGATAGTCTCGATCTCCAGACCTCGTGATCTGCCCGCCTCAGCTTCTCAAAGTGCTGGGATTACAGGCATCAGCCACCGCTCCCGGACTACATATTTTTTTTAATCAGAAGTTATCTTAAAAATAGAGGAGGCTGGGCACCGTGGCTCACACCTATAATCCCAGCACTTTGGGAGGCCGAGGTGGGCGGATCATGAGGTCAGGATTTCGAGGCCAGCCTGGCCAACATGGTGAAACCCCGTCTCTACTAAAAATACGAAAATTAGCCAGGCATAGTGACGGGTGCCTGTAATCCCAGCTACTCGGGAGGCTGAGGCAGGAGAATCGCTTGAACCCGCAATGAGATTGCACCATACTCCAGCCTGGGTGACAGAGCGAGACTCCATCTCAAAAAAATAAAAAATAAATGTAAAATTAAAGGAGGAAAACATCTTCCCTGTTTTCTTAGGAAAAGAGTTAAATACCTGGACACAGAGAATCCACAGGACTGGCTCTCAACATCACTCCAAGAGGGAAGCCGTTTCCAAACTTCTTTAGTTACCCCTCCCACCCCTCACCCTTCCAAGGACAAGACCCCCCCACCACACTCCCACCCCCTGTCCCTGCAGGAGGGAAGCTGCCAGACTTTCCAAATCCCAGGCTGACTTTTTAGGGCGCTCCTGACCTAAGCCCCCACAAATCTGACCATGCAGCCCCCCAAGGCTACAGGGACAAAGGCACAGACTCTAGGTCCAGGGACCAGGCCCCCTCTTCCAGTGCCACAGGCCCTGTGTGCCCCTCCCTCCTGGGCGCTGGCATCTCCACCGCTCCTCTGTCGTCTCCAGGGAGGGATCCTCATCATGGACCCAGCTCAGAAGCACCCCTTCATGACTCCTAATCCCCACCCTGGGGGCACGCTGCATACACCCGGCTGGCCCCCACCACGTGTCCAGCACAGCCCGATCCTGCCCGCTTTCCACCCTCCCGACAGCCTCGCAGCCCTCCTGCCCCTCTCTGGCAAAGTGGCCACTGACCTGAGCATTCAGGGGCTGGAGGGGGATTTTTTGCCTCTTGGCCTTTCCTCCTAAGCATCAGCGTGGAGGCTTTGTGGAGTCTGGAGGCGCTGGAGGGGGCTGAGGTGCCCAGGGACGCACAGCTCCCCTGCTGCCACGCCTGGGCCCGGATCTTGTCTCTCAGCTGCTCCAGCCGCGCGTCACTCTTTCTGGGCCTCTGCTGGGGCCCCAACACCTGGGGTGGCCTCTCCTTCCAAGACACACACACGTCGTGGCCCCCCGAAGAGCACGAGAGGCGGCCCGATGACACCGAGCTGTCCCCATCCCTAGCCTCCGGGCCTGTGGACCACATGGGCAGGCTGCACGCCTTCCCCCAGGGTCCTGGTTCCTTGAGGTCGTCAGACCCGACCACGTGGGGAGCTGCCCAGGGTGGGTCTGGCTGCTGGGAGGGCCCGGGCCACCTCAGGGCTGCCACGTCATCCTCAGCTGCAGGTGCGCAGAGCCTGGGAGGGAACGGCAGACATGCCGGTCAGACATGCAGGCGCAGAGGTGCCGAGCAGAGCCGCTCAGACTGGCCCCACCTCCCCGGGCATTCCTGCTCCACAGACTGGAGGTGGAAAGGAGGGCCTGGAATACACCCCACCTGGAGGACAGCCCCGGCATTCTCTCTCAAGCCCTGACCACACCCCTCTGAGGTAGGTAATGTGATCGGCCCGATTTACAGATGGAGAAACTGAGTCTCAGAGAGGCCGGGCTGCCTGCCCAAAGGCACGTGCAGAGGCAGGCACGTCACTCTGACCCCACGCCCTTGTACCTCCCACAGAGCCGCTGCCTCCAGCGGCAGGCATGGCACCTGCCAGCAGTGCAGCCCCCCGCCTAAGTCCACGCAGATGCTACCTGGGCTTGGCAACAGCCTTCCAGTCGGCTGCTCTCCCTGGGGCCCCATGGGAGAAGGGGCCCTGCCTCTGGCTGTTCTTGTGGCAGGGCTGAGGTGTGTCCCCCAGGCAGGTGGGCGGCGTGCCCACGACCAGGGTCGGCATGGCCGCGGGGCTGAGGGGAGAGCAGGTGCAAGGTCAACCTGGCCCGCCCTGCCTGGGGTCGCTGCTGCCTTCACATGGCGGCTTCGAGGCCTGCAGCCCCACCTATGACCCTGCCCGGGATGGGCTGGCCACTGCCTGGCTCCGGATGCCCGCCTGCGCCGGTCCCCTGGCCCACGATGGAAACCCTCAGGTGGGTCATTGAAACTGGGCTGGCACGGTGGGCAGCCCGGCCCTGGGCTGGCCACAGCTGGGGGCCTTCCTAATGAGCTGTCTCTTGGTGGGGTGGGGGAGAGTTCCGGCTGGCCCCGTGACAGCATAATAACCTTGTCACTCAGCGACAGAGCCTCTGGCCTTCAGCTCCTGATGGGGCTCTCAGCGGTGCCCCACCCAGTCCGCCCAGGCCCAGAATGACATGCAGGGAGGGAATGGGGCCGGGCTGGGCTTGTGGGGTCAGTGTTGGGCAAGTTTCTGGTTGGTGGGGGCGGGGCCTAACCCCAGGTCAGGGTTAGGTTCAATTCAGTCTGAGGCACAGAGGTCCCAGCAGCTGTGGGGCCCAGCCCAGACATCCCAACAGAAACACATCAGCCACCATCTCTCAGTTCCATGGGGCTGGGCAGGGGAAGGGGCGCTGGCTTCTGGGCTCACCCTGGTGCAGGCCAGAAGACACCCTTTGCCCACAGTGACAGTGGCAGAGATGCCAGGTGCTGCCCCAGGTCAGGAGCCCCCGCTGGCCTCCTCGGACCCTGCACATCCCAGTGGGTCCGTGACACGGCAGTGTGGTGGGGAGGACATGGCTCTGCAGTCCCTGAGGGGAACTCAGACTCAGATCCCAGTTCCCTCCCAGCTCCTTCCCCACCCCCACTGGCAGTGCCACCTTGGAGCCTGGGGACCACCCCCTCCCCCAATGCTCACCATTGTGAGCCCCTGGTGAGTCCATCCCCGCGGGAGGTGGCAGTGGCACGGAGCTGCGATGATCATGAGCACGGATTTGTTCCAGGAATGGCCCTTAAGTTGACCCTTCCCAAGTGGCCCCAGAGAAGGGAGGTCTGCGCGAAAGACCTCTTAAGTCTAGGAAGGCACGAAGGATGGAGGGCCCTCCTCCAGGCTCACGCTATAGAACCTGTCCTCTGGAACCGCCAGGCAAACGCCTGGAGACACCGCCCAAGCCCAGCCCCACATAGGCACGGGGCCCAGGGGAGATTCCAAGCCAAACGGGGCCCTGGCTGCCGGCAGGCACAGCCACGGGCATCCAGGGCACAGAGGCTGAGCCACCAGCAGCCTCGGAGGGGAGGGAGAGAGGAGCCATCCAAAGACAGGCAGGCCCTGCGTATAATGTGAGGTGCGGCCACCTCCAGCCCCACCTGGCCTGTCTGCACCCTCCTAGCGCCAGGGCATGAGCCCTTTCCTGTGATGAGGCAGGGACAAGGATGAGCCTCGGGCTGTTACACCCTGGGGAACATGTCTGGGATGTTACAGGGAGCTTCAGGGAACCAGCGGTGTGACCACAGGGTCCCCCCACCCTCGGAGCCTGAACGGCTCTCAGGCACCCAGAAGGCAGCTCCACTTCCAGCCCCCTTCCATTCCTACAGAGCCTCGCCCTGCCCAGGGACCCCTCTGCAGCCTCTGCTTCCCAGGGCCATCCGAGTGGTGCACAGGCCTGGCCCCCCTGCTGACGGGTTGCCACCTCCCTGCCAGGCCTTCAGGCTCCCAAATCAGCTGTGGTCCTGGGCTCTCAGCCCTGCTCCCATGAAGGGACAGGGGCAGGGTCCTCCTGAGCAGAAGAGGCCAAGTCTGGTGGCTCCCTTTCTCCCATGAGCAGGAAAACCACCCAGCCACTCAGCAGCTGCCTGGAGGCTCTGGAAGAAGGTGCATCATAAATGCGTGGAAATGCGTCGCTGTGACTGGGAACAAAATCATGACAGCAAATGCCTGGGAACGGAAAAGCAAACCCAGCGAGCAGAGCATCGCGAGGTCCTGCGAGTTGCCCCCACCACCGGCTTCCTTCCTTCTCCTCCCCACCTGCCCTGGGGGACAGCGGAGCGTCTGCCTCCCTGGCCTGGTCACCAGCTGAGGCTTCCAGACGCAGCTCTGAATCAGGAGACACACGTCAGCTCCCGAAGGCGGGTCCACCTGTCCAGGACCCTCTGCCGATGTTGTCCGTGCCACGGGGACCGCTCACAGCCTGCACCGGCTGGCGCCCCTGCCCTGCCCCCAGGAGACTCACGCCTGCTGGGGTACGAGGCTCGGGGCTACTCTGCATGGGGTGGACAGGAGCAGCAAGGCTCCAAGAAGGCCACTGGGCAGAGGCTGCAGCCTGAGTCAAGGGGTATCCCCTGGGCAGGCCAGGCCCCCCTGTCCCCAGCAGCACGGGAGCCCTGCAGCCAGGCCCAGCCAGCCACATCCCCACCCTACTCCGGGCCTAGCTGGGTCCGTACCCATTCAGACCCTGCACCTCAGCTCCTGGCCTCTCCGCAGCCACACTGCTCTCTCCACTCCACCCACCATGCTCCAGTCCAGCTCAGTGAGGCACATGCAGTTCCCCTCCTGGGACCTCTGTCACCCCTCCTGAGCCTCCCTCCCTGGGGGGACGGTCCCCTGGGGGCAGGAAGTAGCCTTGCCCATGGCACACACTGGCGTGCAGATGCTTATCGCTGGAAGAGCGTTCCAGGGCCCCCAGTGCACCACGCGCCGTGGCAAATGCTTGATGACTTATCTTACGTCGTCTCAGGGCAATCCCACCAGAGAAAAACAGGTGCTACTTCCACTTAACCAGCGGATGAGGCTCAGCCTAAGTCATGTGTCCAGGGTCCCAGCAGGGTCAGAAGGCCGGGCGTGCCAAGCTGTCCTACACCTTCCATGTCCCCAAGGCCAGGAGAGAGCAGCAGCCACCTGGGGTCCCAGCACCACGCAGAGCCACTGCATGGGGATGGCTCCTCGGCTGGGAGGGGCTGGGATGAAAACCCCACAGAACAGCCACACACCTCCCCTTCCCAGCAACGGTGGGGCCCAGAGGCCAAGAGCCGTGACTGGCCCAGACATGCGGCTGTCTCTGAGGCCGGTGATGGCGGGCCAGTCGTTCAACCCGCTGGACACGGGTCTTCCCCTCTGTAAAGTGGGCGGAGAGTCAGCCCTGGCTGCTGGGGCTCCTGGGAGTCAGAAGACACATGGAGTACACAGTGCTCACCCTGGGGCTGGGGCGGGGGGAGAAAGGAGGCCAGGGAGGGACCAAGACGGCACCTCTGTCCTCAAAGGGCAGCTCCGCGCCCAGGAAAGGAAAAGGGCAGGTTTCCAGGGCCCAGGAGAAGCCCTCCCAGCAGCACCAGCTCCCAGGGGTGACCCAGGTGGAGGGAAATGACGCGCAGGGGACGAGGATGCCCGGGCACTGTGGGCTCCGCACACCCAAAAGCACATGCCTCCCCGTGATACACAACACACAGCACACACACACACAACACATAAAAGTACACACACACCACACATACTACATGCACCACACACAATACACATGCACACACACACCACACACAATAAAGCACACACACAACACTCACACCACACACAAAGCACACACACACTGCATGCACCACACACAACACACACCATACACACAGCACACACAATACAGACATACAACACACACCACACCACACAACACACACAAACACACATCACACACAGACACGCAACACACACACCATATGCCATACACAATGCATAACACACACATCTCACACACACTACACAGACATACACCACACACAACACACAGACACACCACACAGATCACACAACACACACAGACCAACACACAGAAACACACACCATACACATCACACAACACACACAGACACACAACACAAGGACAATCCACATCACACACACGATACACAGACAACACACTTCACATAGACACACACCACACACAACACACAGAAACACACACCACACACATCACACAATGCACACACAATATACACTTCACACACAACACAGACAACACATATCACACACAATACACAGAAACACACACCACACACATCACACAACAGACACACAACACACACTTCATACACACAACACAGACAACACATATCACACACACAATACACAGAAACGCACACCACACACATCACACAACAGACACACAACACACACTTCATACACACAACACAGACAACACATATCACACACACAATACATAGAAACGCACACCACACACATCACACAACAGACACACAATACACACTCATACACACAACACAGACAACACATATCTCACACACAATACACAGAAACGCACACCACACACATCACACAACACAGACACACAACACACAGACAATACATGTCACACATACACGATACACAGACAACACACAGAAACACACACCACACTCATCACATAACACACAGACACACAACACACACACTTCACACAGACAACTCACATAACACACAGACACACAACACACACACTTCACACAGACAACACACATTACACACAATACACAGAAACACACCACATACATCACACAACACAGACACACAACACACAGACAATACACATCACACACAACACACAGAAACACACCACACACAACACACAGACAACTCACAAACACAACACACAGACAATACACATCACACACACAATACACAGACAACACACACAACACACAGAAACCACATACATCACACAATACACACACTTCATACAAACACAATACACAGACAATACACATCACACATAACACACAGACAACACACACACCACACACAAACGCACAACACAGACACACATTACACACATAACACACAGATAACACACACACCACACAACACAAACACATATCACACATACACACAACACAATCACACAGACACACACACCACATGCAGACACACAAACTCACAGACACAACACACATTGCACACAGACATCATGCACACACACAAACAACACATCACATCCATATTATACACACATCACACACACACAACACACATTACACACAGAACACACAGCACAGACAACACACATCTCACACACTGACAACATCCATTATACACACATTACACACACAAACACACACCAGACACACAATACATGGAAAAAACACATAACACACACACACCACACATGCAGGCAATGTACACAACACACAGAGACAACATGCACACAACACACACAACACACACAACACACACCACACACCTCTGCCCAGCTCCGTACAGGTGTAGCCTGCAGGTGGCACCTCCCACGGCAAGCGCAGCCGGCTGCCGCCGTGGAAGCCTGTTGGCTCTCCAGCCTGTGGCATATGCCGCACTACTGCTGCGGTCTTGGCTGGCGGGGCTGGGTGGGTGGCAGGGTGGGGGGCTTCCTCCTGGAAGCTGGTGGCAGCTCTGCTCTAATTAGTGACGCTGTTTACTTGGCACCGCCTCAACCTAGAAAAGCAAACCCTGGGCAGGCCCAAGCAGGCCTGGGGGATGGAACCAGCGGGCCGTGAAGGAGAGGTGCCCGCCACGCCCCTGCCTCATGGGGCCCAGGGCTGGAGACCACAGAGCCCTCCGCAGCCACAGCAGCCGAGCACAGGCCTGGACGTGAGCATGGCACCCAGCATGGCACCCAGCCTCCACGTCCCCAGCCCCAGCCCTGGGTGCCAAGCAGTGGCCCCCAGCAGCAGACACACCAGGCTGGCCCTGCACCCTGGCCAGGGGCTCCAGCCACCCTCAGCCATGCCCTGAGGCCACCAGGCATCGAGGAAAGGGGCAGGTTTCCAGTGTCCCAAGAGAAGCCCTTCCAGCAGCGCCAGCTCTCCAGGGGCTGACCCAGGTGCGGGGAAATGACCCGCAGGGGACGAGGACGCCTGGGCACCTGGGGACCCATACACCCAAAAGCACATGCCCCCTGTGATATTCAACACACAGCACACACACCCACACAAACACAACACACACAGACACACAACACACACAGATACATACACACGCGGTGCACGCACACCACACACAAACACATACACACACAAACACAATACACAGATACACACAGTGCACACACACCACACACAAACACAACACACACAATGCACACAACACACACAGATACACACAGTACACACACACCACACAAAAACACACACAGACACACAAACACAACACACAGATACATACACATGCAGAACACACACCACACACAAACAACACACAGACACACAACGCACATAATACACACAGATACACACAGTGCACACACACCACACACAAACACATACACACAGAGACGCACAAACACAACACACACAGATACACAGACACACAGTGTGCACACACAACAGATACACACATCACACACACACCATGCACACACATGAGATACACAACACACACAGGCACACAATACACAGACCACACATCACATATATTCCACATGCACACATCACACAACGCGAATACCCAGACAACACACACTGTACACACATTCACATACAACACACACACACGCCTGCCCGGGTCTGCAGGGCAGGCAAGGCCAGCCCAGGCTGCTAGGGTGACTGAGTCCAGGCACCTGCCCCTCCAGCTTTGGCTACCCCATGATGCTGTAGACGGCTCTAGACACCAACCACTCCCCTGGGGCACGGGGGGACTGGGCCACATGGAGGTGGCAGATGCAAGGGTGGGAAGGAAGTGGCACAACAGCCAGTGATTTGTGAAGACCCTAGGGGAGGGTGCCACGGGAGAAGGCAGACGGAAACTCTGAAAGGGGTGAGATGAGGTGGAGAGAAATCACAGGGAGAGTGGCCCTCAGAGGAGTGACAGGTAGGACCCGGGGTCACAGCTGCTGGCACCCCCCACCCTCTGGGCCCCAGCCCCTGCAACGCCCTCGGCCAGCCGCCAAGTGTGGTGACGCAGCCCCTAATAAAAGGCCCTGGCCTACGGCACACACGGGTGGCTCAGAGCTGCTGGGAGACACCGTCCACCCCCGCCAAGGAGAGGCCACAGCCACGGCAGCAAAGCGTGAGGGCGGCAGTCCCCGCAGCAGGCCACCCGGCACCCCCCAGGGCCACTGTGGATAGCAACGTCTCCCAAGCCTGCGTGGCCCGGGCACCCAGCCCTGTGCCCAGCATGTTTCCCAGGCAACCATGCAGCTGTGGAGCCTGGGACCCGGCAGCGGCCGGCATGGGATGCCACCAGGAGAGGAGCCACGACATCCCCGCCTCGGGGTGCAGAACGGTCTGCTGGGCCCCCTTTGTGGGGGTACAGTGGTGAGCCTCTGTCAGCCGGCTGCCTCCACCTCTACCACACGCTGCCCAGCAGGACCAAATGCAGGACCAGGCATCAGCCATCTGGGGCTGGGCAGTGTTTATCCCCATTTCACAGATGGGGAAACTGAGTTCATTACATGACGACTTCATCCCAGGGCCCCACGTGGGACCTGAGCCCAGAGGCGGGGCAGCCCAGTGGGTGGGGAAGGAGAAATTCCTCTCCTGGAGATAGCCTGGCTATGCCTCTGAGGAGGCCCCAAGCCCTCAGAGGGAGCCCCTAGGTGGGAAGACCCCCTCCCCTACCCAGGGGAGCTGGATGGAGGAGTGTGGGCTGGTCTCTCCCGGCTAAGTTCCTGGAAAAGGCAAGTCTAAGCCCCTCCTCACCGGTCTGTGCCCTTTCAGCCCCACCCATCAACCCTGCTGGCTCTCCAGCCCCAGGCCCCTCTGCTGGTGCTTGGGAAGGACTGGGTGGGGCTCAGGTAGAAGCCCCCTACTCACCCGCTGGAAGGCCCAGGCCTCCCTGTCCGTCATGGGAGGCACCTGTGACTCAAAGGCCACTGCCCTGAGCACACAAGAACCCTGGGAGCTGGCGCCTCCAGGGAGGGGAGGGACGTTGTTGCCAGAGAAACCCTGAGGCGTCTGTGCGGGCTCCTCCCCGGAAGCTTCAGAGCCCTGCGCAGCCCCAGCACTCACCAGGGGCCTCACCTGTACGATGCCCGCCCCCCGGCCCCCCAGCCCTGCTGTGGGCAGGATGGGGTGGGGCACACACCTGGGGCGCTCCACCCTGCTAGGCCCTGAGGGGCTGTGGGGGACAGAGCAGGGGAAGGGTCTCCAGGCACCACCAAGGACCCCACCCTGGCTGGCAGGGGGTAGGCACGCACTCGGGGCACCCCGCCCATGCCCCTGCTGTGCTCCCGAAGAACAGCAGGGGAGGGCGGGGCCATCAGAGTCCCCAGCAAGCCCTCCCAGCTTGCTGCACCCCTCATTTCTACATCCTCTCCGGGGACCCCCCACCCAGCCAGCAGGGCCCAGCAGCTGCAGGCTTCCAGTCCGGAGCTGCTTCCGAACCTCGAAGCAGTTCTGTTGAAGGGGGGCCCATGGGGCACTTTGGGCCTGGCCAGGGGACTGACAGAGGCACAGCCGAGTCCAGTGGCACCAAACTCAACCCTGAAGGCCACTCGGCTGCTGGAGTAGAACCTATCTACTACCAAAACAAGTTAAAACTTAGCCAGGCTGGGGTGGTCAGTCGGGGGAGGAGTAGTAACGGGAGGGCTGTGGGGGGCCCGGCTGCCGGCCTCCCTCTCCTGCTGGGCCCCACGGCCCCTACTCAGGGTGTTGGGTCGCTGGGTCCTTGTATGCCGAGCTTCCCCGTAGGCCATTAGGCCAGTTTTTCAACTAAGGGTGCTAATTAGTTTGCAGGACAGGACGTGCTGCCCCCACTCCCTGCCCCACTCCCAAAGCGGGCGCCTTGGGGCCCAGGGGTCCCCTTAGGGACAGGCAGCCTGTCTGACCCCTGAAAATCCAGGGTTCTCCCAGGGGACCTACATGGCCATGGGGGTGCCAGCAGGTGGCACCCTCTCCCCATCCTGGTGGGGTTGCCCGCAGGGCTGTGCTGCCTGTGGAGAGGGTGAGGTCCCTGACACTCATCACCTGCCCCCCAGAAAATGTGTCCCTTAGCTGGATGCGGCGGCTAACGCCTGTAATCCCAGCACTTTGGGAGTACAAGGCGGGTGGATCACGAGGTCAGGAGATCGAGACCATCCTGGCTAACACGGTGAAACCCCCGTCTCCAATAAAAATACAAAAAATTAGCTGCGCGTGATGGCGGGTGCCTGTAGTCCCAGCTACTCGGGAGGCTGAGGCAGGAGAATGGCGTGAACCCGGGAGGCGGAGCTTGCAGTGAGCCGAGATTGTGTCACTGCACTCCAGCCTGGGGGACAGAGCGAGACTCCGTCTCAAAAAACAAAAAAAAAGAAAAAGAAAATGTGTCCTTCCAACCCAGAAAATCGCCCTACGAAAACAAATCTGTTGCCGAGAAACTCCTTTTGGTGTTCAGATTGGAGCTGGGGGCAAAGGCTGGGAGGTGGCCTGGTCTCTCCAGCACTCAGGGTGTCCTGCCCCTCTGCAAGCAGCTGGGGGCAACAGTCCCTTGCTCCCCAGAGGTTGCTCAACCCTGTCCCAGGCAAGGCCATGCTGCAGGTGGCCCCTATCCTTGGGCAGGCGGCCGGGGCCAGGCAGCCCCCGCAGGAGCTTCTTGGACCGTTGGCCTCAACACGGCCAGGAGGTGTCCAGGTATCCCAGATGAGGCCCTCGTGGGTTTATTCCCACCGCGGATGGGCTCAGGTTTGTGCCGTCCTGGGTGGGCTTTTGGAGACAGCCTGACTTTGTCCATCAATGTCAGAGAAGCAGGGGGATGTTCACCTGGCCCAGGGCTGTGCACAGAGCCTGAGACCTGCAAGAGGAGGCAAATTCCTACTGAGTGTCCCAACCATCCCCTACCCGCGTCCCTTCATGCTGGGTTGTGGCCCCCAAGTGGACAAAACGAGACAGCAGTGCTGCCATGGGGACACACCAGTTCCTCCCTACGCTCACCTGTTCTCTGACGAGAGGGAGCAGCCCCTGAGGCCTGTCTGGGGTGTTGGCTTCATGAGGGTTCACAGTGTTACCAACAAGAGCCTGCGTGATCACAGAGCTCAAATACCACCCAGCCCTCAGCAGGCCCCACTCCCACAGAGCCCTGGGGTCAGGGTTCCAGGTGCAGGCCGAGGGTCCCCATGCACTTCAGCAGTTGTGCCAGCCCCAAAGCAGCCTTCCTCCATGTCTACAGGGGGTGGCCCCAGCAGCCGGCTCAGGGGAGAGCTCTGGCAGGAGCTGTGTATGGCTCCATGTTGCTCAGAAGAGAGCCCCTGGCTGGGCATGGTGGCTCACACCTGTATTCCTGTACTTTCAGAGGCTGAGGCGGGAGGATAGTTTGATGCCAGGAGTTTGAAACTGTCCTGGGAGACATGGCAAGACCCTAGCTCTACAAAAAAATTTAAAAATCAGCCAGGTGTGGTGGCATGTGCCTGTGGTCCCAGATACTCGGGAGGCCGAGGTGGGAGGATCACTTGAGCCTGGGAGGTCAAGGCTACAGAGAGCTGACATTGCACCATTACACTCCAGCCTGGGCAACAGAGTGAGATCCCACCTCAAACAAAAGGAGAGCCCTCCCTGCTCCCTGCCCTCCTGCTGTGAGAGGCTGCAGTGAGTCTTTTCCCACAATAGAGGGGTGTGATGTGCTTCCCCCCACCACGGGGGCAGGGCAAAAAGTAGATAAATTGGTATTACAAGTGTTTTTGCAAAACAGCCAAATAATGCTATGGGGCTTCCTATGAAAAATAATTTCCTTCTCCTTTCCCAGAAGCAAGCACTCCCATTTCTAGCAGACTCCTTCGGTGTTTACTCTGTGCCACTAAAAAGCACACTCCTATGGCCGCTCCCTGACCTGTCAGGTTTAGGGGTTCCCCGTGCACCCCCACCTCTTGGCTTGTCTGACCACATATGTCCTTCCCACCCTCCTCATAAACTCAATATTCAGAATTTACATGAAAACACTATTTACAGCTGACCCTATAGGGTCTACAAATACTTTTCCTCTTGCTTTCCCCTTGGATTGTGTAATTTTCGGTGCTTATGAATAACTCAGCCTCAAATTTTCTTCCAATTGTCTAAATTTCCTGTGTACATACAAACATCTGAGGCAGGTATTATCACTTCAGTCTTCTGGAAGAAATTCCTCCAGAATCTTCTCCCCTGCTCCAAACTGGGCTGATGCCAGAGGAAGGGTGGCATCCCAGGATCTCCCCAGCAGGGTCATTCTGGGCCTCCCAGTGCTTCTGCTCTGAGGGGAACCCCCTGTTCCCTCTTCTCTTTGTAGTTAGGCTCCTTTGTTTGGGGCACCACGTCCCTCAAGTGGCTCCATGAGAAAGGGCACATGCCTGAAGGTGTCTTTATACCACCTGCCGTGTGAGCACTGGATGGTTAGTTTGGCTGGGTATAGAAGTCCAAATTGGGAGACATTTTCCTGGAGAACTCTAAAGGCCTTTCCACACTGTCTTCTAGCTCCTGGAGTTGCTCTTGAAAAGTCCAAAGCATGCCAGCCTGGAAATACCATGAACTGTGTGTCCAGAAAGACCCACCAAAGACTTGTGCTCCAGGATAGACCACTTACAACTCATCAAGGCCGCATGGCTGGCGCTGGTCAGAAGGACACCAGCACCTCCAATGAGGTCAATGGGGACTCCCCTGAAGGCCAGGGGCTGTTACAGACAGCAATAGAGATGAGAAGATCCTAAAATAACAGAGGCTGGAGGGTGATGCTTAACTGCTATGAGATTGCAAATATCCTAATTAATGGAAGGGTCAGAGGGGCATCACCCTGGAGAGTTATGGAGATGATAAACATGGTGTCCCTGGGGCAGGATAGATGGGCAGTTGTCAACTTGTACTAGCAGAGTAAATGAAGGATGAGTGACTGATGGCGGTAGCCCCAATAAAAAGTCACAGTCTTTGCTGGGGTTTGGACCTGAGCCAGTCTTTAGACCTGGAAATGTTGATTGAAGAGGTTACCAGGAGGGACATGCAATATTCTGGCCAGCCCTTCTCCACAGGGACCTATAGGACCTGCGCTGGGATAGGGGACTGCTGGACATTTGAGGACAGTGGGGTCAGGGTGACACAGATACCCAGAGACCCAGAATGTCATCATGCCCCCACATTGGAGCAGTCATTGGCGGAGTTCTGCCCAAGCTGCAGTTCGCAGTGGTCCTTACCCCAGGCTCTAAATGAGGGCTGGGATTGACATGTGTGGAGGGGGCCACTGGGGCCCCCACATTGGACCCTTGATCTGCAGGATAAGAGCTCTAATTATGATTCCATGGGGAAGGGCTGGGTGAGAAAAGGCCTCTGGGATACACATGCATCCAACAGGGCAGTGGTCTCGGGCGGCAGCGGTGTGCCCAGCACTCATCCACAGTGCCATGATGGTTGAAAACCTGGAAAGATTCCGAGGCCTACCTCATCCATAAAGTATTTAGAGGGGTGGTGATTGGGGTGTTGCTCGGAGGTCGGGGAGTTGCTCAGTGGTCGGGGAGTTGCTCAGTGGTCGGGGTGTTACGCAGTGGCTGGGGTGTTGCTCAGAGGTCGAGGAGTTGCTCAGTGGTCGGGGTGTTGTTTGGTGGTCAGGGTGTTGTGCGGTGGCTGGGGTGTTGCTCGGTGGTCGGGGTGTTGCTCGGTGGCCGGGGTGTTCCTCGGAGGTCAGGGTGTTGCTCAGCAGTCGAGGTGTCGCTCGGCAGTCAGGGCATCACTCGGTGGTTGGGGTGTCTCTCCATGGTCGGGGTGTTGGTTGGGGTGTTGTTTGGTGGTCAGGGTGTTGCGTGGTGGCTGGGGTGTTGCATGGTGGTTGGGGTGTTGTTTGGTGGTTGGGGTGTTGCTTGGTGGTCAGGGTGTTTCTTGGTGGTCGGGGTGTTGCTCCGTGGTCAGGTTGTTGCTCAGAGGTCGGGGTGCTGCTCAGTAGCCAGGGTGTTCCTAGGAGGTCGCGGTGTTTTTTGGCAGTTGGGGCATCACCCGGTGGTTGGGGCGTCGCTTGGTGGCTGGGGTGTCGCTCCATGGTCAGGGTGTTGCTTGGTGGTCTGAGTGTTGCTTGGTGGTTGGAGTGTTGCTCGGAGGTTGGGGTATTGCGTGGTGGCCAGGGTGTTGTTCAGTTGCTGGGATGTTCCTGGGCCTCTCCTCCAAAGTGAAAGCCAGATGGTTGTCTCTGCACCACCTGCTGCAAGGAAAGAAGCACAGACCCTGGAGGCCTGTTGGGTTCTGGGAGGCAGCACAGCCACACTGAGGAATATGCTCTGACCCTGTCCCAGGTGGCAGGAGGAGGACACACAGCAGGGAAGGACTCGGCGGCAGGCCCAGGCTGAGGAGCAGAGAGCCCTCCCGGGGCCATCGCGGCTGGCAGACCTGCTGGTGTTGCCCACAGCAGGGATGGGAAATGGGGCCAGGGGCTCATGGCAAGGCCCAGCATGAGAATCTCAGCCCAGGCCCCAGGGTTCTGAGCGAGGCTTTCATCTACAGCAGGGCAGGGAGCCACGCACTGCTATGGAGTGAATGTGTGTCCCACAGTTCATAGGTTGGAGCCCTCACCCTCTGCGTGGGCAGTCGGAGTAAGGAAGTGACGAAGGTGACAGGAGGTCCCAAGGCCAGACTCTGATCAGATGGGGCTGGTGTCCTAAGAAGGACACACACTAGAGAGCTGACTCTCACCACCCCAGGAGAGGCCGCATGAGGACACAGCACGGGGATGGCTCTCTCTCTGTCAGGACCCAGCCCTCACCAGAAACTGAATCAGAGAACCTTGACCTCACCCTGGCAGCCCCAGGGCTGTGAGGAATGAGCAGTCATTTAAGCCACCTTCCTATGGTGACTTGCCACACCAGCCCACGCAGACCAAGACACACAGCTTTTGAAAACCAAGTCCTGCTGGGCTACTGGACCCCAGTGGAGACAGACACCTGGCCAGGCATGTCAGGGCATGAGGTGGCAAGAGCTGCCCAACGTGAGCTGGCACAGCCAGGCCCACCCAACCCTAAGGTGGCATGCCCAGCAGAGTTCGCTGTGCAATGGACGTGGACGCGTGAGGACAGACGTGGGGAAGGCAGAAGGCACCACAGTGTGGGCAGGTGCCCAGGCCCAGTCCCGCAGGGCCCACCCACCCTCGGGGGCTCTCCCAGGACCGCTGGAGGAGGGGTAGCTGGCCAGGCTTGGGTTACGGATGGATGGGCTCAGGGAGCACCGAAATGGGCGCAGCTGCATGCCAGTGCCTCTGGGGAGGCTCTGGAAGGCTGTGGTGCAGTCACCCTCAGGGGGACTCTGACACTGCCCCGGTCACCCTCGCGTGGGGGAAGGGACGCAGCCTGAGGGGAGAATAAAAATGGAGTCATGGGCCGAGGCAAATGGCCTCTCTGGCTGGTTAGGAATCTTCAAGAAAAAGATGGAGCCGTCAGGGAAAGGAGGCCTGGGCAGAGGCTTGTGGGGTGCGAGTGGGCTCCTGGGAGGCCTGGGCAGAGGTGTGCGGGGTGTGGGGGACTCCTGGGAGCAGAACAGTGCACGGTCTTTGTATCACAGTCTGTACCCTCCAGAGAGCATCTGCCGAGACACTGAGAAGCCATGCACACGGCACCGTCCGGCCCGCCGGGCATCAGCCACCCCCGCTGGCCAGTAGTTCACCCACAAAGTGGCCATGATGGCAGACAGGCAAACTCTCAGGGACCCAGCAAGCGGTCCAGCTCTGTTCCCTGTCTCTCTCCATGCTGCACTCCTCCCCAGCCGTGCAATTCCACAGCGGGGTCTCCTCCCTGGCCCCTGACCTCTGTGATGCACAGTTTGAGATGCAAACAAACTCCCTGAGTCGATGCAGTGGGGTGTGCGAGGGGCTCAAAGCTGACGCACCTGCACAGGAAACTCAGTCTGCCCTCCCCAGACGCCTGTTAGGCTGACCCTGGAGGCCCTGGGCCCAGGGGAGAGGAGCCCCCGCAGCCTGCAGAAGTAGGGAGGGGGCTGCTGCAGAGGTTGCAGGTTTTCATGGCAACCAGCAGCGGGTCACTGGGCCCAGGGTGGAAACCGCTCAGCAGAGGCTCAGGGGAGAGACTCTGCGAGGGTGGGTGGGGCCGGGCGGGGGTGCGCTCCTTCAGTGTCATCACGGTCAGACAGTCCATCAGACAGACGCAGGGCGGGCGCAGGGTGGGGCCCAACTGAGGCTGGCACTGTGGCCTGGGAGGAGCCCCGCCTTGCACCTCATGGCCATCTGGCAGGACATGTCCACTGCCAACAGTGAGCCCAGCATGGGCCTCGGAGGCCCAGCAAGGCAGACTCGGGGCTTCCTGAGACCACCTGGAGTAGCACCCACTCAGCTCCCAGGGTGCCTGGTCGCCTCCACCCCATGCTCCCCATAAGGCCCAGGCCAACCTGAGCACAGCCCCCGCTCTGCCCTTCCCTGGCCCTGTCCTCATGGTGAAGTGGTCCCAACACCTGGCATTGTCCTCCCTGCACTGCTGTGCCCGCTGCGGGACTGGCATGTGCCCCTCTGGCCCATCTGGCTGCCCCGTGAGTGGCTCAGGGTTGCAGGGTCTGAAGCCACACATGAAGTGGGGGAAGGCTGGGGGCTGGGAACTGGGCCTTCCTCCTGTCTTGGGACCAAGGCCTCCGCTTGTGAGCCGCTGAACTGGGCCTGAGCCGACACCCTGGCTGGACCCTTTCTTTTTTTTTTTTTTTTTTTGAGACAGAGTTGTGCTCTGTCACTCAGGCTGGAGTGCAATGGCGCAATCTCGGCTCATTGCAACCTCCGCCTCCTTGGTTCAAGCGATTCTCCTGCCTCAGCCTCCCGAATAGCTGGGATTACAGGCGCGTACCACCACACCCGGCTTATTTTGTATTTTCAGTAGAGACGGGGTTTTACCATGTTAGCCAGGGTAGTCTCGAACTCCTGACCTCTGGTGATCCACCCGCCTCAGCCTTCCAAAGTGCTGGGATTACAGGCACCCGGCCCCCTTTCTTTTTTTAATTTAATTTAATTTTAAGCTCCAGGATACACACGCAGGATGACGGGTTTGTTACACAGGTAAATGTGTGCCATGGATACACGTTTGTGTCCCACAATTCATAAGCTGGAGCCCTCACCCACCGTGTGGGCAAACTTGGAGTAAGGAAGTGACGAAGGTTACATGAGGTCATGAGGCCGGGCCCTGATAGGTTTGCTGTACCTATCAACCCATCACCTAGGTATTAAGCCCTGCATGCATTAGCTATTTTTCCTAATGCTCTCCCCCACCGCCCTCACCTGACTGGCCCCAGTGTGTGTTGTTTCCCTCCCTGTATCCATGTGTTCTCATTGTTCAGCTCCCATATATGTGAGAACATGCAGTATTTGGTTCTCTCTTCCTGCATTAGTTTGCTGAGGATAATGGCTTCCAGCTCCCTCACATCCCTGCAAAGGACATGATCTCGTTCCTTTTTATGGCTGCATAGTATTCCATGGTGTATACATACCACATTTACTTTATCCAGTCTGTCACTGATGGACATTGGGGTTGATTTCATGTCCTTGCTATTGTGAACAGTGCTGCAGTGAACATACGCATGCATGTGTCTTTATAATAGAATGATTTCTATTCCTTTGGGTATATACCCAGTAATGGGACTGATGGGTCAGACGGTATTCCTGGTTCTAAATCTTCGAGGAATCGCCACACTGTCTTCCACAATGGTTGAACTAATTTACATTCCCACCAACAGTGTAAAAGTGCTCCTATTTCTCCACAACCTTGCCAGCATCTGTTGTTTCTTGACTTTTTAATAATCACGCTTCTGACTGGCATGAGATGGCATCTCGTTGCGGTTTTGATTTGCATTTCTCTAATGATCAGTGATGTTGAGCTTTTTTTCATGTGTTTGTTGGCCGCACATTATGTCTTCTTTTGAGAAATGTCTATTCATATCCTTTGCCTACTTTTTAATGAGGTCTTTTTTTCTTATAAATTTGCTTAAGTTCCTTGTAGATTGTGGATATTAGGCCTTGTCAGATGGATAGATTGCAAAAATTTTCTCCCATTCTGTAGGTTGTCTGTTCACTCTGATGCTAGTTTCTTTGGCTGTGCAGAAGCTCTTTAGTTTAATTAGATCCCATTTGTCAATTTTTGCTTTTGTTGCAATTGCTTTTGGTGATTTCATCATAAAATCTTTGCCCATGCCTATGTCTTGAATGGTGTTACCTAGATTCTTCTAGGGTTTGTATAGTTTTGAGTTTTACATTTTATTATTTAACCCATCTTGAGTTACTTTTTGTATAAGGTGTAAGGAAAGGATCCAGTTTCAGTTTTCTGCATATGACTAGTCAGTTCTCTCAGCACCATTTATTTAATAGGGAATAATTTCCCCATTGCTTGTTTTTGTCAGGTTTGTTGAAGATCAGATGTTGTAGATGTGTGGTTTTATTTCTGAGTTCTCTATGCTGTTCCATTTGTCAATGTGTCTGTTTTTGTGCCAGTACCATGCTGTTTTGGTTACTGTAGCCTTGTAGTATAGTTTGAAGTCAGGTAGTGTGGCTTTGTTCTTTTTGCTTAGGATTGTCTTGGCTATAGGAGCTCTTTTTTGGTTCCATATGAATTTTAAAATAGTTTTTTTTTCTGATCTGTGAAGAATGCCAATGGTAGTTTAATGAGAATAGTATTGAACCTATACATTGCTTTGGGCAGTATGGCCATTTTCATGGTGTTGATTCTTCCTATCCATGAGCATGGAATGTCTTTCTGTCTGTTTGTGCTGGCTGGATGCTTTCTCTGGTGGTCAGGCCAGGACCTCCCTGCCATGTCTGCGTGTCCCTGCATGCCCCAAGCCCTGCCATTCCTCAGGATTGCTAGGCTGTCCTCTCGGTGACATTGCTCAGAGTCTCCACTGGAGGAAAGTCCCAAGGCTGTCTGCAGGCCATGACTGAAACGTGCTGTCCCCTCAAAGGCACGGTGGCTGAGCCCAGGAGCCGGGTCCCTCACGGCCAGAGAGACGAACTTCCCCGACATTCTAGACGGACAGGGCCCTCCCGGAAAAAAGCTCTCTCAGTGTTCAACGGTGTTTGTGCGTCAGCCGCGTCGGCCCCGGGCTAGGAGCTGTGGTTCTGCTGGCCCCTGCGCGCCTAGAGACACAGGTGTTCTCCCCGACAAGGGGATGGGAGAAAGGGGACAGCCTGGTGTCCACCTGCCAGGACCTGGCTAAATGACAGTGGTACATCCACAGCGTGAATTGGATACGGCCCCTGTTATGCTTGAGGAGAGTTTTTAATTTGTTTTTTGAGACAAGATCTGACTCCGCAGGATCACAGCTTACTGCAGCCTCAAACTCCTGGGCTCAAGCGATCCTTCTGCCTCAGCCTCTCCAGTAGCTGGGATCACGGGCATGTGCCATCATGCCTGGCTAAATTTTTAAAGTTTTTTTTTTTTTTTTTTTTTTTGTAGAGACAAGATCTCCTTGTGTTGCTCACACTGGTCTCAAACTACTGGCCTCAAACGCTGAGTGCTTCCCAAAGTGCTGGGATTACAGGCGTGAGCTTCTGTGCCTGGCCGTGAAGACCTTTCAGTGATGCATTTCAGTCCATTCCTGCTGCCGTAACAAAACACCTGAGCCGGGGTCATTGACACACAATAGACATTTATTTCTCACGCTTCTGGAGGCTGGAAGTCCAGGGTCTCGGTGCCAGCAGCCTCAGTGGGAGTGGGGGCTGCTCTCTGCCTCCCAGTGGGTGCCTCTTGCTGTGTCCTCTCCCGGCGGAAGGTGAGAGGACAAAGGGGAGGGGGCCTCGATGGCTTCCCAAGCGCTTCAATGGGGACCCTGGTGACTTAATCACCTTCCAAAGGCCCCACGTCTTATAACGATCTTCTTGGGTCTCAGGTTCCAACATATGAAGGCTGGGGACACACAAACTCAAACCACAGCAGTGACACCCGGGAAAACAGTTGTGACACGCTGTGACAAAGGAAAGCCGCAAAGCCACACGCGTGGACCTGATCCAAGTTACGTGATAGCGCAAGGGGGTGCATGGAGGACTGAGTGGGTGGTGATGCTGCCCCAGAGGCTGTCCCTGGGAACTGTGCGTGGGGACTTATTTGGGGAAAGGGTCTTTGTGGATGTAATTAAGGACCTCAACATAAGACCATCCTAGATTAGGGGTGGCCTGCAGCCCCTAGAGCTGACCTGGATGAGCATGGACCCTCCTCTGTGACCCCCAGATTCTGAGCTCTGGTCCCCCGAGCTGTGAGGAAACACATGTTGTTTTAGGCCACCCAGTGCAAGGTCATTGGTACAGCAGCCCCGCGAGACTCCTTCGAGGCCCACAGCTCAGCACAGCCACGTTTACCGAGTGCCCTCCGTATGCCAGCCACGGTTCTAACTGCTCAGCCTCCCGCAACCCTCGGAGGTGGAGATGGGCGGGGAACGCGGAATGCGCCTGGGCCTCACAGCTGGGGAGTGGATCTGGGATGTGTACCCCTGCACTGTGCGGCTTCTCTCCCCCAGAGGGTTTCAGACTTACACCCGGCCATCGCACTCCGCAGACTGGAAACTCGCAACTCAAACCCCTAAAAGCGAAAGCTGGGGTGCATTTTCTGTTTGCCTTGGAGGGACTCCCTAGGATTTACTGGGGACGGCCGATTTGCCCTCCTCATCCTGTTTGGTTTGAGCTGATGTTAAAAGACTCGCCTCCCACCGCAGACCCGGGGGGAGACCTGGGGAGCTGCCCTCGGAAGCTGAGCAGCACAGACTCTCCCAGGCATGTGCACCTGTCTGTACATGTGTGCATGTGTGTGTGTGTGCGTGTGTGTGTTTCCCTGGCACTCACAGCATCACCATCTGCCAGGCTGGGTGGGGCGCAGATGAGGAAGACCAAGGAAGTTCCACACGACCTGCCTCGCCATGATGAGTGAGCGTGAGCTGCCTCCTGTGTGCCCTGCCTGCCCAGAGATCCCGGGGACATCACCTGGCTGACAAAGTCTGCAGCTGCCAGCAGTCGGCCAGGAATGCCGCATGGCCAGGTGTCTCATACTGGCGTGGGTGTCGTGCGGCCTCACGCGGCCCTTGAGCTATTTCCAGGTGTGGGTATCATCTCCCAGCGAGGTGCTCAGCCCTGGGGTGGGACAGACCGTTTCCTTCTGGCTCCCTGCAGAGCTTGTGGGCCCCTCCACCCACCCTGCAGTCCCCAAACTCCAGGGACTTGGAGGTCCCCAAGGAAAGGACATGGCAGTGGGAGATGATGTCATGAGGGGACTTGGGCAATGGGGAGGAACACATGGCCAAGCTGGGAGGAAGAATAAGTTCATTCTCAGAGCAACGAGATTATGTGAACATGGTAAACCCAAGTGTTCTTTTTAAGTGAGATTACTGGGAAACAAAGCTGAAACTGTTCCTTCTGTGTGTGTGTGTGTGTGTGTGTGTGTGTGTGTGTGTGTGTGTGTGTTTGGGTGTCCTTCACTGTCTCCCTCCCCACTCCCGGCCTGCTTCTTCCTTCCCCAGCTTGGAATCCACGGTTGAGGCTGGTCAGGAACCATCAGGACCCAGCATGGGTAATGGCAGCTGCTGGTGCCCTAGCCCCCACTGGGTCCTACAGTAGCTGCTTGTTGGGGAAGGGGCCTGAAAAGGTGGGAGCAGAAGGAAGCCAGGGTCTTGGGGCCGTGGGCTGCCACAGCCACCACAGAAACACTCCAACTTCTCCCAGCCCTAGCAAACCAGTGGAGGTGTGTGCTGGTGCTTTGTTCCTGGGGTGGCTTGGGGCCGCCTGGCTGCCTCTCCCGAGCCTGGCCCTCACCCAGGAGGCCACACCAGCCTCGAGTGCCCACCTCCGTCCAGAGCCCCAGCTCCCCACTCCTGGGGGCTGAGCCAAGAACCCTGTGGCTGTCCCACCGTCGCCTCCCAGAGGCTTGTCCGGCGCAACAGGACAAGGAAGGACTAAGGCTTAGAGTCGGCCCGATCAGGTGACGCCTGAGCTGTCACCGCTGTCACCACTTACACACAGGGTGTGTGGACAAAGTGGTGCGTGCCAGGGAGGGCTAAGTGACCGAGGGCAGGCACGTGGCAGGCTCCTGAAGGTGGAGGTGGCGCTGACAATGGCCACCAGTGAGCAGGGCCCTGTGTGTGCTGGGGCTGACTCCAACCCCTTGGCGCTGCCACGCAGGGGCTTGGGAGGGCCCCTCCCCAGGCACATGGGAGGTGGCCCCTCCCTGACCACGGAGCCATCGTGTCTGCAGAGGCCCACCCTGCGCCCTGTGCTGCTGCCTGGGGCCAGAAGAATAAGTCGATGTGAAATGGCTTTTTCTTTCCTCACCCCCCTTTGGGAGTCAGGCCCGTTAGGAATGGAAGGGGCTGTGCTCCTGGTCCCCTGGGGGAGTGAGCTTCCCGGACTCTTGGGGGGATCTGGTAAGGTGGATGGTGGGAGGCTCGAGGGTGTCCAGAGCCTGATGGGAGGGGGTGGCAGTGGAGGGTCATCCCTCCAGGGTCTCCCTTCTGGATGTGGACACCACATGTCAGGCCTGTCACCTGGCCTTGTCACACTCCATCTCTGGGTCCCCTTCATAGGTTTTCTCGACAGGAGAATCAGGTCCCTGGATAGGAGGAGACGCCCCTCTGTGCAGTGTGGTGGGGATGTACCCCCAATCCAGCCAGGACCCACTGCAGGGGCCCAGCAGGGGCAGGCACGAGTGTGAGAGCAACATGACCCCAGCAGCTCTCGCTGTGTGCCAGGCACATGGACACGCACCACACAAACCCCACCGTGTGCCAGGCACACGGACAAGCACCGCACAAACCCCACTGTGAGCCACTAGGCACATGGACAAGCACTGCACAAACCCCACTGTGTGCCAGGCACATGGACAAGCACCGCAGAAACCCCACGCCTCAGTGACCCTCCACACCTTGCGGGACGGGCAGCCCTCAGGTGACAGAACCGAGGCTCAGAGAGGGAAAGCAACTTGTGCCAGGTCACACAGCCTCATAGCCCAGCTCGGCCTAACAAAGCCAGAGCCCTCGGGGGTGCAGGTTTCCCCACAAGTTCTGATATAATGTTGGGGCTCTCCCGGCCCAGGGACACAAGCTCCCAGCTCTCTGCATCAAGGAAGGAGACCAGGAGAAGCTCCCCCAGCAATGACAGCTACGAGGCTGCAAATCTCTCCCTCCCTCCACCATTTGTGCAATGTCTTTTGTCCCCACTTCTCTTCACCAGCCTCCCACCACTAACCCAGGGGACCCACAAGGGGCTCACAGTGTTGGTGTGGACCCTCTGTGGGCCTCCTGATGGCAGCAGCGCCTGGGGAAAGAGGGCTGAGCTGAGGCCTGGCACAGGCAGGGCCCCCAGCAGCCCCTGCCCTTACAATGGGATGCTGGCTCAGGTGCCCGAAGCCCAAAGGAGGTGGCCCGGAAGGTTGGAGCTTCAATCGAAGGCCTGTTCTCTGCCCGCAGCCAGGCCCAGGGCTGTGGCAAAGGAGGGTGGTGCCCCAGCCAACACCACTGTCCCTGCCGGCCAGCAGCCACGGCCCCGGCTGGAAGGGAGCAAGGCTCTGCCTGGCTTCTGTGGTCTTTGGGGGAGGGCACGTGGGCCCAGCAGGCAGCTTGCGCTGCGCTCAGGGCACAGATGGTTCTCATTCCCGTTGCCTCCCTTACACAGGAAAAACAAACCAGCCCGGGGCCAACAGACCCCTTTTTAACCTCGTGTTTATTTTCCTTCCCATGCTTGAAAACGCTGACTGTCCTGTGGGCGGCAGCTGCTGAGGGTCTTGCCAGGACGGCACTTTCCTGACCTCAGGGCAGCTCTCCCAGGGAGGGGCTGGGGTGCACGGAGGGGCCCCGAAGGAATGCAGCCCATTTCCTGCTCCTGGACTTCTCCGAGTCATACCCGGGGTCGCAGCTGCCTTTCAAGGGCCTGGAGTCTCCTGACACCACCGGAAGGCCCAGGATGCTGTCGGGGGCAGGACAGAACCCGGGGAGGCCGGCTGTGGGCCTCGCTGGCTGCGGAGAACCCCCCAAGCCATCGGGAGCTGAGGGTGGGTGGAGGGGAAGCCACGTCACACCACATAGGCCCACAGGGCTCCAAGAATTCAGAGGAGGAGGAGGAGGCGGTAGGGGCTGGGGTCCCGGGACCCCGGGTGGGCACAGCCTACTGTGCCACCTGCATCCTCCCTAAGCCTGCACAGTGCCCAGGAGGAAGGAAGGGGCAGGCTGCATCCCCATTCCGGGGGAGCTTGGGAGGGGAATGTGGCCACCCAGGGTCTCAGAGGTGGGGGGCTTACCAACCGTCCCACAGGCCAAGCAGAGCCTGTATTTGTCATCGGTGCCCCAGGTTTCTCTAAAGCAGGCAGACAGCATCCCCACGGCCTGCGCCCCATGGCCCAAGGCAGAAGTTTGGAGAAGGGGGCAAAGCCACGTTGGGGCTGCACAGAAGAGGAGGGTAGGACCCCCGAGGCGTAGGGCGCCCACCAAGAAAGGCAAGGAGGCCTCAGCAGCCCCTCCCCACGTGGGTGAGGCTGCGGGGCTCACCAGGCGGCCTGTGGATGAAAGGAGCCCAGAGGCCAGTGTGGCTGCACTGTGACCCAGGGACCCCCGCGGGCCCTCAGAAGTCCCCAGGGGACCAGCAGCAAGGCCAGGCCCAGGCCCTCTCCCCTGCATTCCCTGGGGTGGGGTGGGCTGGGGCCCACACCCCCTCCCCCCTCCCCCCTCCCCGGGGACTGCCCGCCTCACGGCGCCCCTCCCCCCGCGTCCGCCCCGCCCCCCGCAGAGGGAGGCACGCGGCGGTGGCCGCCCGGTCCGCGCCCCCTCCCCGCGCGGGCGGCGGTGACATCACGGCCACGGCGGCGGGAGGGGCGGCGGCGCCCCGCGCACATCACTTCCTCGGCGCCTCCCCGGGGGAGGACGGGCGAACGAGGCGCGGACGGACAGGCGGACAGCAGGGCGGACAGCAGGGAGGACAGCAGGGCGGGCAGGGGGCGGACGGCCACGGCGCGGGGGGCGCTCCCGGCTCCCGCTCCCGCGTCCCCGACCCATGGCGGGCCCGGCCCCGCCCGCGGCCGACGAGCTCCCGGGCCCGGCCGCCAGGCGCCTCTACTCCAGGTAGGACGGGCCGGGGCCGGGGCCGGGGCCGGGGCTGGGACCGGACCGGGCCGGGTCGGGACGCGGGGGAGGCTGCAGTTGGGAACAAAGGCAGCTCTCGCGGGCGCGCAGCGTGGCTGAGGACGCGCCCCTCCCTCCAGGCCGAGCCCAGCCCGGCGTGTGCCCGCGTGGGCGTCCCCTGAAGCCCTCTTTCCCCCAAGCCAAGGGGAAGGGGGTGGGGGGCCGGGGGGCTGGAGGCGGGGTGGGCAGCTTCTCCAGCCTCACTCCCCTGGCACCTGGCAGGGGCACCGTGGGGTGCTTCCCTCCCAAGCCTGGCCCTGCCATGCCCGGGGCACTCAGGGGCATCATGGCCAAAGAGACCTGGCTGCTCTGGATGGGGCTCTGCCCCTCACCAGCCCTCCACGAGCCCAGTGGGATCCAGCTGGGTTGGAAGGGAGCCAGCCAGGTGGGTGTGTACCTGCCTGAAAAGGCATCTACTCTCCGGGCACATTCCTGGGTGATCCCAGTGACTGGGCTCTGTGCCCCACGCCTTTGGGGATGACAGGGTGGCCCTGCCCCAGGTGGCATGCCTGCCTGGTGACTCCCAATGTCCCCCCAGGGGCTGCCCTGGGCCCAGCCGGGCAGGTGCCTGGAGCCCCAAGCAAGGCTGGGTGGTACCAGGCCTCAGGCAGAGCCACACGAGCGTGAGGTCCAGGCAGGGGCTTGCGAATGGGTGGCAGCCGTCAGAGGCAGGCCTGGCTCCCCAGAGCGAGGGACACTATTGTCCTCTGGACATCCCTAAAACCTGGTGACCTCCCTGATAGGGGTCCCAGCAGCTGATCCCGGGGGGCGCCTAGCCTGGCCCCCAAGGATTCTCTGGCCCCAGCCAAGCAGCAAGCCTCTGCCTGGGGCACCCGAAATGAGGTACTGGTGGCGGCACGGCGGACAGAGGCCTTGCTGCCTCCGGTCTGCTCTCTGCTTTGGTCCCAGACACAGCCCCATTGTGCCGTCCTGGATGGAGCGCTGAGCCCCTAGCCTGGCTCCTGGGCCCCACGCAGGGGAGGGGCGTGAGGGTGATTTTGCTGGCAGCTGCTGCCAGGGGCCTGCCCTAAAGGATTTTCAAGGGTTTCCTCCGCTGATCTGATCGGCTGTGCAGGGCCGCATGTGCTCCAGGGCGGCCGTGCTGTGAGGGGGATGGATAGCAGCCCTGGCTGGAGTGAGTTTGAGTGTGAGTGTGTGGAGCTGTGAGAGAGTGTGTGTGTGGAGCTGTGAGAGACGGGTGTCCAAGACCTTAGCCTTGGGTGAGGCCTGCACAGCTGACCATAGAGTTGGGCATTCTCCAGGCTACAGCTAGAAGCCTGGGGTCCCCTGGGGACACGCCAGGCAGGAGCCAGCCCCTGGCAGGGGCAGTGCTCAGGGGGACCACTCAGAGAGACCCCAGACCCAGCCTTGCATCCCCCTAAGCAGGGAGTCCAGTTGAGCTCCAGGGTGGAGTCAGGCCCAGACTTGGGGGAAGCGCGCCAAGCCCTCCAGCAGGGCCTGTGACGAGGTCCCCCCGGGAGTCTGCACCCCACCGTGTAGCCACAGCCCGGTTTGGGCAGGCGGTTCCTGGTCGGAGCTGGCTTCAGAGCATGGATGCCTAGACGTGTTCTGGGCCAGTGGAAGCTGCGGGCCAGACGGGAGGGCCCTTTGCTGTCATGCTGGGGCTGGAGAGCAAGACACGGAAAAGTCTCCTGTCTCCTGAAACCCGAGTGCTGGGGGCGGCCCACCTGCTGGCGTGGGCGGTGGGCATGTGGATGCCCTGGAGGTGGGCGGAATCCGTGTGGGCACTCCTCACGTGGCTGTACTGGGGTCCCTCAATGTGGATGGGGCTCCAGGTTGGCCCAAGGTCTCCTCTGCCCCGTCTACTGCCTTCCCACACTGACATTCCTTCCTGGAGAGAGGAGTTTCAGCTTTTAAAATGGGGAACTGTGCCTGGAAAACACACTGACAGCGAGGCCCATGAATGTGCCCATGAGCCCACTGGGTACCCTGAGGGGCCCTGGGTGCTGGGTCGGTGGGGACGGGCCCCTGGGTTCTGGGTCGGTGGGGACGGGGCCCTGGGTGCTGGGTCGGTGGGGACGGGCCCCTGGGTGCTGGGTCGGTGGGGACGGGGCCCTGGGTGCTGGGTCGGTGGGGACGGGCCCCTGGGTGCTGGGTCGGTGGGGACGGGCCCTTGGGTTCTGGGTCAGTGGGGATGGGCCCTGGGTGCTGGGTCGGTGGGGACAGGGCCCTGGGTGCTACAGTTAATGCTCAGAATTCTGGCCCACTTGCCAGGGGCTCCCTGGCCCAGAGCAGGGCTTTGGGGTGAAGAGGCCTGGCGGGGACAGGCCAGTGGCTGAGAAGGCCCCGGAAAGTGGGGAAACCCTGGGTGGTCGTCTCCTGGCCTCCCACCTGCTTTAAGGCCAGCTGAGTGCTCCCCGGGGCTGGGGCCGGGAAGGGGCAGCAGAGCCACCCACCTTGGGGTGACCCTGTTAGAGATGCCCTCCAAGCAGCAGTCACCAGCTCCCAGACAGGACGTCCTCAGGTGTGGACTGGGCCCCCCGCAACCTCTCTGGCCACATGGCCATGCTACCCCCTACCTTCACTCCATCCTTCCTCCCTCCCCTGTCCCCGTCCTGGGCACCATCCCTGGTGGGTCGCTGGGCAGCGACGGGCCCTAGGAATTCCTGGCAAGCCTGACCCCAGGTGCTTCCTACAGCTGGGTGACCTTCAGTCCCCTCTCCAGTGATTCCAGCTCCCGCTGTGCTCCCAGCCCGGTCCTGCGCCTCACTCTCTCCCCTCCCCTGGCCACTGAAGGGGAGTCGGTGTGGTTTTCCCTGGGGGTGTCTGGCTGGGGGATGGGGCAGATAGAGCCAGCTGTGAGCAGAGTCTCTTCAGCATCTGCTCAGGGGCCAGCATGTAGGTGACGGCCTTGGGGAGGGGCAGGTGCCAATTCTGTTAGCAGGGCTGGGACTGAGGGACACGGCTTTCGGGTGGCCGGAGGTAGTAGGAGTTGCAGTGCTGGCTTGGGAACTGGCCTTGGTGATGGCACCCCAGCCACCACGGAGGGTCTGAGGGTTCAGTCTGTTGACGAGGACTGGGCAAGGGAGAGGCATTCTAGGTCCTGCCCCGCCTTTGGCCAAGCTGTCCTGAAGGTGGACAAATGGTCTGGCCTGAGTAGGACCCCTGAGCCCACAAGGCCTCAAGGTAAGGAGGAGAGAGCCCAGGGCCTGAAGACCCCCACCTGTCCTTGGATTCCTGCCTCTGCTCAGACCCCGTGGCCGTCTCAGGGATAAGACCTGCCCCCCCAGTCCCCCGCCTCTGTCAGGTTCCAGCCTCCTCATGGGCCACAGGTGGCTGGAGAAGCTGGGAGCCCAGCTGAGAAGGACGCCGGGGGCTTGGGAAGTTTGAGGAAAGGAGCCAGGCTAGGGGAACGTGGTCCATGCCTCCCAAGCCCCACGACCTGGGGAGCGGCATCCCCCAGGCCCCACGTGGCCCTGACCCCGTCAGACCTGGGGCCCTGTTCGCACCTTGGCCAGTCAGGTGAGGGAGAGCACAGAGGGCCCGGCAGACGTGGGGCTGGCATGGTGAGGACTCTGAGCCCCCCCCCCCCGCTGCCCCATGCTGGCACCGTGGGCTGGTGCCAGGGAGGCTGGGGAGGGGGCCAGGTGGGGTCGGGTGGAGCAGAGGAGGCACAGGGGCCTGGAGAACCGGTAGGCGGCCAGGGGCCACCACTGCGCAGAATTCCAGCTTTGCCCAGCCCTGGGCCAGGCCTGGGGGAAGAGGTGCTGGGCTGGGGGCACTCACACACTCTGGACGCCATTCCTCTTTCCATTCACAAACGTGCCTGGCGCTCCCGAGTGAGCCCGGTCCTGGGGCAGAGCAGCCCCCGCTGGGAACTGGATAAACGTTTGCAGAGGAGTTGGCGGGTGACTGACGGGAGGGCAATGCCGCTGGTCCCAGTCCCTGGAGGAGCACGTTGGACGGGATTACCCCAGGGCTCCCCGCCCCGCTGCTGACGAGGCTGACCCAGCCTCTGAGCTGTCCTTGATCCCTTGATCCACGTCAGGGATTGGGGAGGCCCCCGAGCACCTGCTGGAGGACTGGCAGTCCCCCGCCGAGCTTTAAACCCACCATCCTGGAGGTCAGAGGGCAGGGAAGCCTAAGGCCAGCCCACCCCCCAGGACCCGTGGCCATGGTGGGGCGAGGGCTGGCTTGGGGGAGGAGGGCCTGGGGCCTGGCGATGCCATCCCCTGCTGGGGAGGGCCCGCCTCTGGCCCTGAGCTTGGCGGAGAAGGCCGTGTGCAAGGTGGTGTATGGCGCCCCCCGCCCCCGCCCGCTGCTGCTGCCCGTGGGCCTGGAGCTGTGGCTCTACGTGCAGAAGATGCGAAACCTGCAGAGGAAGAGGTGCGGCGGGCAGCGAGTGGGGTGGTCACGTGGGTGTGGGTGCCAGGGCGTGGTTGGAGGCTGTCTTGGGATGAGTGGAGGGGACACCCACCTGGTGCAGCTGCAGGTGGCTGGCTGCATTGCCTGGATCCCAGATTGGAGGTGCAGAATGACAGAGGCCCATCCGTGCACCCATCCCCGACTTTTAGGCCCAGGCCCTTCCCAGGCCAGAAGCCTCCTTCGCCTTGAGCCTCGGATGCCACGTCTCCGGCTGGAAGGGAGGCGGGAGGTGGCTCCCATCATCAGATCTGCGGAGCAGCAGCGTCTGGGCTCCACAGACACCCAGGCCTCAGGCCTGAAGCCCCTCTCCTCCGATGTTGCCTGGAAGGAGGGGGCAGTAAACCGAGTGAGACCACTTGAAAAGTGGCTGGGTGGGGCAAGTGGGCCTTAATCAGGAAGCCCCGTGCGTGGCGCTGGCTGCAGGATGGGGCTTGGCTGGTTGTCATGGCGACGGTGGGCTCCTGTGACCCACGTGGCATCCGGATGGCCATTCCCAGAGGGATGGGTGAGGTGGCTGTGAGGTGCCTGGCAGGTAGTGGGTGGGAGGGCCTGGCCCTGAGGTGAGAGGATCACTTGAGCTCAGGAGTTTGAGACCAGCCTGGGCAACATAGTGAGACCCCCATCTCTACCAAAAAAAAAAAAAAAAAAAAAAAGCTGGGCATGATGGTGCAAACCTGAAGTCCCAGATACTTGGGAGGCTGAGGTAGGAGGATGGCTTGATCCTGGGAGATGGAGGCTGTAGTGAGCCGAGATCGCACCACTGCACTCCAGCCTGGGCAACAGAGCAAGACCGTGTCTCTATAAAAATAATAATGGTAACATAAGTTTTAAAAATGAAAAATGAAAGCAACAGAAAGCAAACAGGAATGATGGGGCCGGCCTGCAAGCAGCCGAGGCTGAACCCTTCCCCCACTTCTCTGAAATCAGGTCCCTCCTGGGCTCCAGCTGTGCCTGCCACCTCCTGGGGCCCCCCAAGCTGCGCCCTTGCTGAGTCTTTTGTGGCTCTCCGGGGGCACCCTGCAGATGGGGGCCCGCCTGCTCACACTGGCCACCCCATGGCATCTGCTGGGTGTGTCCTCCCCCCGCGACCCTCCACCCAGGGCAGCGCAGCAGCCTGAGGCCCATGTGACCTGTAAGAGTAGGATGGAGGAGGACACCAGGCCCCAGAGCAGGCAGCAGGGAGGTGCGGAGCCGGGCAGCCACGGAGTGACCCCACACTCCTCCCCGGCAGCTGAGTGCCAAGGGCAGCTCCCCAAGGCCCAGGGTGGGGGTCCCTCGGTGAGCAGGGCTAGGGTGGCAGCTGACGCACAGGGTGCTTGGGGGTTGTGCAGGGCCCAGGGTGAGGGGTTTCTTCTCTAAAGTCCCTGCCCGAAGGTGGGGGACCACGGCCAAGCAGGGCGTTGGTGTTCAGAAGAGGGCCTGGCCCTTGGGGTTAGGTGGCGCTCACACGGCGGAGTTCACCTTGGGATGGGGCGCCATCCACATCTTCCCACAGCAGCGCTGGGGGTGGCGGGCAGCACCTGGGAACAGCGGGTTCTCAGGCCTGTCCTGGCTGGCAGCGGCGAGCGCTTAGCTCTGTGGGTGGGGGACCAGGAGGAGAGGGGCTGGGACTGGCTAACCCGCAGCCACACCTCCGCAGCACTGGTCTCCCCTGGAGACTTGGAGGCTGACTGAATCCCCAGGCCCTGGCTGGGAGAGCTTGGGGGTGGGGGAGGAGCCGAGATCAGATCCCCACCCCACCCGACCCCCATGTGGCCTTCACAAGCCCCCACTACCGTCTGGGAGCCTCAGTTGTTCTTGGTGGGAATTAGGGGGGCCTCTCCCAGCAGCTGTGGTCGCTCAGGAGGATGGCTAGGGTGCCTGGCCCCTGCAGCCCGTACCTCTGGGATTTGGGTGAAGGCAGGGTATGGGGGCCACACCCCCTGCAACACCGGCCCCTGGGCCTGAGGGTCTTGCCGGGGTCACAAACTCACACCTTTGCCCCAGTGGCGTTCCTGACCTTGGCCGCACAAGGGGTGGACAGGAGGTGCTGGCAGAGGTGTGCTGGCTGGGGCGCCCTTGGGCCGCACACGTGCTTCCAGGCCTGTATCCCAAAGAGACACTTAGGTCTGTGAGCACAGATGTGGTGTGTGCCCTAGCCCACCCAGGGGCGTCGTCTGTAGTGAAGCCACGGAGGTGCTCCGGCCCCGGGGCGACTTTGCCAGGGCTGGGCCATGACGCCAAGTTCCTCTGCACAGGATGGAGGCGTCCTGCCTAGAGCTGGCGCTGGAGGGCGAGCGTCTGTGCAAGGCGGGCGACTTCAAGACAGGCGTGGCCTTCTTTGAGGCTGCTGTGCAGGTGGGCACCGAGGACCTGAAGACACTGAGTGCCATCTACAGCCAGCTGGGCAACGCCTACTTCTACCTGAAGGAGCACGGCCGGGCGCTGGAATACCACAAGCATGACCTCCTGCTGGCGCGGTGAGTGGGGACGGTCCTGCTGGCGGGTGAGTGGGGCGGCCCTGCTGGCGCGGTGAGTGGGGACGGCCCTGCTGGTGGGTGAGTGGGGCGGCCCTGCTGGCGCGGTGAGTGGGGACAGCCCTGCTGGTGGGTGAGTGGGGATGGCCCTGCTGGCGGGTGAGTGGGGACGGCCCTGCTGGAGCAGTGAGTGGGGCGGCCCTGCTGGCGGGTGAGTGGGGGTGGCCCTGCTGGCAGGTGGACGCTTCCTGTCCTCAGCAGTTACAGTTTGAGGAGGGGGACAGGGCAAGCAGGGTCTAAGGGAACGCAGTGGGGAAGCCCTCACCTGGAGGGCAGCCAGGGCTCTGGGACCCCGGCAGGGAGCTGGGTTTCAGCTGACAGGCGTGAGTGGGTCTGTGTGTCTGCGTGTGAGAGCCTGGGCTGTGACCCGCGTGCTGTGCGTGAGCACTCGTGACTGTGTGTGGCCCATCTGTGATCCTGTGTGGCTCAGAGCCCCACCCTTTCCCTGGCCCCAGGCCCCAGGCCCTGAGCCCCGGGCCCACTCCCAGCCACTGCTCAGTGAGGTGTGGTCCTGCCCTGGGGGCTGTCCCTGCTTTCCCATGGACCCCAAGCTCCCACTCACAGCCTCCTTCCTGCCTGGCGTCATCCACTCCCCAGTCTCCCCAACCTACTCCCCGCCGCCCCTTGGGGTCTTGGGGTCTCCAGTCGGGTCCAGCCCCCAGGCCGTGCCTCACGGGAGCACGCTTCCCTTGCCTCAGCCCTGCCCAGCGCCCTCCCCCTCAGCCCTGCAGCTGCCCTGACCTCTCAGCAGGGCAGAGCTTCTTGGAGCAACCCTCCCGCACTGGCCAGTGAGCTCACACCTGCTCCTCAGCACCCAGCTCAGTGTCTGGTGGGCATGCACCAAACGTCCTCTGAATGAGTTAGCAGGAAGTTAGTTCTCCACCATCAGGCCCCCCAAGTCCTCCCCGGATCCTAAGAGCTGCAGACCCCAGCCCCCTGCCCCAGGCCCAGGCGTGAGGTCCTGTGTGTAGCTCCTGGCACCTGTGTGCAGCCTGTGTGGTGATGGGCAGGAGCCTGTGCCCCAGACACAGCCCAGCAGAGCCCATACCCAGGGCTGCCCTCGGGCCTCACTTGCCCGGCCTGTGGGCCCCTGCCCAGTATCACCTCAGGGGTTGCAGGCTCCTGTCCACTCCATGCTGGTCCCTGAGGCCCAGCTACCCCACCCCATGCTCAGCCTCCCCCCGGGCCCAGAGGCCTGACCAGTCCTCAGCCTGACCCCTCACTCCTCCCTGCCATCCAGGACCATCGGTGACCGCATGGGGGAGGCCAAGGCCAGTGGAAACCTGGGAAACACACTCAAGGTCCTGGGGCGCTTCGACGAGGCTGCCGTCTGCTGCCAGCGGCATCTGAGCATCGCCCAAGAGCAGGGAGACAAGGTGGGGGCTTGGTCCGGGGCTGGGTGTCTCCCACCCCTGCACCGGCCTGCGTCCAGATCCGGGATAGGGGCGGGCGGGTGACTCACCACTCATCCAGCTCCTCATGGGAGGGATGACAGGGAGGTCGGTCCCCTAGATCCCGAGTGACTCAGGAGAGTGTGGGCCCCCAAAACAGGCCCCCCCAGCCCATGCTGACACTGCAGCCCAGGCCCCCACCTTCCACCCTCAGTTCTGCCGCCCCTCTCGGTGACCTCCCCCCGAATCCCTCCACACCCCCAGTCACTCACTCCCTGGGGGGCCCAGCGGGAGGCAGGGGGTGGCTCTGGGCTGCGGCAGTGGGAGGCCGATTTCAATGGCGGTGGTGACAGCAGGAAGAGTGGCTCCGTCTCCGCTTGTGCTGGACCCGAGACAGGCTTTGCTGACCTCCCTCCATGGCCCTGTGAGGCGAGAAAACCAAGGCTGGGGGGACGTGACTTACCCCCCGTCACACAGCTGGAGGTGACCAAGGGGGCTTGAGGCCGCAGCATCTGGTCCCAGCTGGAGCTTTCAGCCTCGGTCATCAGAGGACAGAGCTGAGGACCTGGCACCCTGGCCACGCCAATCCGCAGAGGAGGGAGGGATGGTGAGGGAGGGCGGAGGCTGGCTTCCCGGGTGTGCCGTCCTCAGGCTTCCGCCCCTGCCTTAGTGTCTGTGACTCAGTGGGAGCCCCCAAGGCCCTCGCTGTCGAGGGCTGGGACAGTGAGGACACCGGTGTGCCGGCTCTGCACATCGTGTGGGGGGCCGTGGAGGCATGCCCCCAACCCTCCGTACTGCCCACAGGTTGGGGAGGCGAGGGCCCTCTACAACATCGGGAACGTGTACCACGCCAAAGGCAAGCAACTGTCCTGGAACGCCGCAAACGCCACGCAGGACCCCGGGCACCTGCCGCCCGATGTCCGAGAGACCCTGTGCAAGGCCTCCGAGTTCTACGAGTGAGTGGGGCAGGGCCAGCCCAGGGACCGGGGCTGGCCTGTGCGTTTCTGAGCTCCACAGACACTTCCAGACCCCCGACCCCAGCCCCATACCTCCCGACAGCTCCCAGGGCAGTGACGGCCAGGTCCGCCCACCCCCGCTTTCTCAGCTGCTGGCTCCCTCCCCTGAGCTTGCCCCTGTCAGGGACTTGGGGGACATGACCAAGCCCCAGGTCTCAGAGCTCGAGGACCCTGGAGCCTACCCTAGCCACCCTCTTTCCAGGGCATGGCCCTGAGGCCGCATGGAGGCCGCTACTCAGCTCTTCTAGCCTGGGGTGGGTGAGGACATGGGCTGGGAGGGACACGGCTCAGAGGCACTCGGCCCCCAGGAGGAACCTGTCCCTGGTGAAGGAGCTGGGCGACCGTGCGGCGCAGGGCAGGGCCTACGGCAACCTGGGCAACACCCACTATTTGTTGGGGAACTTCACAGAGGCCACGACCTTCCACAAGGAGGTGAGCCGGGCAGGGTGACAGGGTGGAGGGGCCGGGCTGCTGCAGGGGCAGGGCTGAGCCACCCTCTTGGCGGTCCCTGAAAGGGCAGGGTGGTATGGCCAGGCAGCAGGCCCGCCCCACCGAGTCCTGGCCTCATCTGCACTTGGTCCTGCAGCTGCTAGCTGCTCACCCGGACACACAGATCTCTGGCCGGCCACCTGGGCAGGGAGGCAGCCCCTGTCCGCCCACGTCAGGCCCCGGGGCTGCGCCATGACCACCTGGCCTCCGGTGTGTCTCCGCAGCGCCTGGCCATTGCTAAGGAGTTTGGAGACAAGGCAGCCGAGAGGAGGGCCTACAGCAACCTGGGGAACGCCCACGTCTTCCTGGGGCGCTTTGACGTGGCCGCCGAGTACTACAAGTAGGTGGTCCCCACAATCTCCCAGGGAGACAGCAGGCCGGGGGGGCTGGATGCCAGGCCAAGGAAGTGCCCGCCCCAAGCTGGGAATCTGACTGCCTCCCCTCCCCTCCCCAGAAGGCAAGGTGGGGTTCTAGGCTGCCCCGGGAAGGGCAGACGGACAAAGCTCATGGGGAGGCAGGCGGTGGGGGAGCCGGCCTATGGGAGGTCTGGGCCATCTGCCTCCTGGCCTGAGCCACAGAGCAGCGCCTGCCGGGTGGAGCCCGGCTGTCAGCACGGGGTCCTGTGCCCAGCCCTAAACTTAACCCCATCTCAGCCTGAGCAGTGGGCACAGCAGTCTCAGGTCCTCCGGGGAGGAGTGGTGGCGGCTCAGGGTGGTCAGGCAACTTGCCAGAGCCTGGCAGGACCCCCCGTCCCCCTGGGGCCAACAGTCCCGCTCTGTGGCCATGTGAGGGTGGGGATGAAGCTGGACCCCAGAGAGGCCCCAGTGGGATTCCGGGGCAGGGGACCATCGGGCAGACTGCGTCCCCATTCTTACCTTCCACCCCTCACCCTGGAGCCCTCCTCCTGGGGGCTGACCCTGCCACTCTGCACAGGAAGACGCTGCAACTGTCTCGGCAGCTCAGGGACCAGGCAGTGGAGGCGCAGGCCTGCTACAGTCTGGGCAACACCTACACGCTGCTGCAGGACTACGAGCGCGCGGCCGAGTACCACCTGCGGCACCTGCTCATTGCCCAGGAGCTGGCCGACAGGTGCGTGGGCGCGGACGCGGCGGGCAGACCCGGCCCGGCCCACAGGCTGAATTACCGCGGCCCAGGCGAGGTGGCCTGGGTCCCATCCCCTGCTCTGCCACTGACCATGCTGTGACCCAGGAGTGGCAACGCCACTGTGGGGACTGAGCCAGACAGTGTGGACATTGGGCCGGCCACTGACCCCTGGCACAAGCGGGTGGGGTCCCCCTCCCATCCCTCAATTCGCCACCCTGTTGCCCCCACCACCCATGTATGTATGTAAATATCACTCTCTGGAGAGAGACAGGCTGGCAAACCACAGGCCCCTAAGTACTGTCTTGTGTGCAGGTCTGGGGTGGGTGGTGGCCGGAACAAGGGGCTCAGAGCCACAGGCCTGTGGCCTTTCACAGGCAGCAGAGAGGAGAGGTCTTTTGAAAGGCTGCCCTGCCTGGAGGCTTAAAAGTGGCCCAAGGTTTTCCTTTGTGGCGTGGTGAGGAGAATGTTCTGGAATAGACAGAGGTGCCGGTTGCACAGCATGAATGTACAAAATGCCAGTGGATCGTCCACGTGAAAATGATCAAATTCCTGTTAGACGCATTTCCCTCCAATATAAAAACAACCCCCTCACCCAGTGACTTGGAGGGTGCCCGTAAGGGTGGAGGGAGTGCAAGGGAGGAGGCTTGCCGGCCGCCAGGGGGCGAGCGAGGCCAAGGGCCCAGAAACTGCCCGCAAAGGCAGAGCCGGCCACAGGCCAGGTTGCTTGGACTCTGCGCTAATCCTTTTAATGGGAAGAAAAAAGGCAGAGCTGATTGGGGCTTATGCTTGAAGGTGGCAGAATTTGTGGGAGGTCCAGCTGGGGGCATTATCCTGTCATCCGGCCAATGCCCCTTGGGCCTGGGGGCCCCTGATGACCCTCGAAGCCAGGGTCATGCTGGGGCCGTGACCACCAGGGGAGGGGCTGGGGCTGGGGGCTGGCCTGGAGAGGGCGGGTATGAATCTGGTCTCCCTCTCTGGCAGAGTGGGCGAGGGCCGGGCGTGCTGGAGCCTGGGAAATGCCTACGTGTCCATGGGGCGCCCAGCGCAGGCCCTGACCTTCGCCAAGAAGCACCTGCAGATCTCCCAGGAGGTGAGCCAGGCCTGCCCCCAGAAGTCCCGGGCACTGCCCAGCCCACTCCAGACGGGCCGGGTCCCCTCTGCCCCGAGCGAGCGTGTGCGTGCCTGGGCCCCCCTCATCCTTTCAGGGCCATTGCAGCTGCCTGGTCCTTCCGAGGCCTGGTGATGACATGTCTACCATGCCCGGGGGTTTTTCCTGCAGCCCCCAGCTGGTGCCTTCCTGGGCAGCTGCGTCTCCTCCTCCTTGGAGAGTTTGCACAGGGTCTCTGTGGGCTCCGCCCATCAGCGCCCTCCTACTGTGGTCAGGGCGGAACATCACAGATGAACTGTGGGCCTCCCGGCTCCCGGCCTGTCCTTACATCACCCACTCCCACGCCACCTCCCTCTGCACACCCCGAGCCTGTTCATGCTAAAGACGGTGCCAGCCCCTACTGACCACCATAGACCCATGTAGGAGGTGGCCGGGTGGGGAGGCCTGCAGGTGCCCAGGTGAGGGTGGAGAGGGGCGGGCATGGGAAGGTCAGCAGAGCCCTCGTCTGAAGAGCTTCACTGGCAGCCAGCAGGCAGCCCCCGTGTCCCTCTGAGTGCAGGCTACAGCCTCCAGGGCCTTCCAGGGCTCCATGTGGCCCTCCCCCCAACCCCATGCCACCTCTCTTCTGCTTGACTTAAGCAAACAGTTAGTTCCTGAGTGATGTGGATGTTCCCGGGAGGGTCCCCCACAGAGCCTCGGCGCACAAGGCAGGGGCTGAGAGAGGTGCAGCCGGGCGGGGCCGGGCCCCTCGCGCACCGGAGGGCACAGGCCCAACCGCCTGGGACCCCAAGCATCTCTGGGGTGAACTAGGGGCTGTTGAGGACCTGTGGGGCCACCTCACCCAGGGACAGACCCCCAGACTCCACCTCCGGGTCCACAGTGAGTCCTGGTTCCCTCAGAGGCCCAGGGGTCAGTGACCAGTTCAGGTCACTCAGAAGGTCAGGGACGGGTGTACTGGGGGCCATTAAGGTCCCCTTGGAGCCCACAGCAGGGCCCCCAGCCACACCTGCCCGCTCCGCCACCCCACTCGCCGCAGATCGGGGACCGCCATGGGGAGCTCACGGCCCGCATGAACGTGGCGCAGCTGCAGCTGGTGCTCGGCCGCCTGACCAGCCCGGCAGCCTCAGAGAAGCCTGACCTGGCCGGCTATGAGGCCCAGGGTGAGTTCCAGGGTTGTGGGGGGGTCTTGCTCCCCACAGGCACGGACCGCATCAGGAGCTGCGGAGGGGTGGGATCGAGGCCAGGCCAGCATGGCGGAGGTGGCAGCCGCCAGAAAATGGCGCCTACAAGCCAGTTCTTCTTGGCCTCAGGGACAGCACAGGCCTGAGGTTCACCCTGAGCCCTTCCCACCCGCATCCTGAGTGGCGCTGCAGGGCTGCTGGATGAAGGACAGGAGGTGGTCGCCTGTTGCCCCACTGGCTGCTCCAGGGCCTCCACCCCCACCTCCCCCTGGAGCCCTCGGTGCAGGGAGGGCTTCTGTCCTCAGACCCAAGTAGGAGAGGGCTGCTGGGAGGCGAGAGGGCATCAGCCAGAGGGCTGGGCTGGGCTGGGCTGGGCTGGGCTGTGGGAGCCCTATGTGCCTGGGGCAGTAATCAGGCAAGGCCCAAGGCCATGCGAGGCCACCGTGGTGACCTCATTCATGGACCGCTGGTCGTCCCATGCCGGTCAGCAGTGCTGCAGACACAGGACAGAACGTCCCCTGCAAAGCGAAAAGACTAATAGGTGCCAGGGGGGTGGTGCCAGGTTGGGCCGACTTCCTGAGGTGGCTGGCAGGTGGGTGAGGGGCAGGCTTGGGGGGAGCAGCTGCCCCACCCATGTGTCCCCCACTCCCAAAGGTCTTGAGTTTGCCAGCCCCCGAGAAGGGATGCCTGCCTCCCAGAACGTACCTGGTGCCCCCCAGGCCTGCTAAGGACCAGGCTGGGAACACCAGGCTTGGATGTGGTGCTGGGCTGCCGGAGTTTCTTTTTCTTATCTTATTTTTAATAATTAAATGTTTTTATAGAGATAGGGCCTCACTATGTTGCCCAGGCCAGTGTCAAACTCCCAGCCTCAAGCGATCCTCCCATCTCGGCTTCCAGAAGTGCTGGGATTATAGGCGTGAGCCACCGTGCCCAGCCATCCCCTGGGTTTTTGTGCCACAGTGCTCATGGGTTTCTGACGATGACCTCTCCTGGGAAATTGGGGGTGCATGTCAGCCACCGCAGAGGCTGAAGACAGAGGAAGGAGCAGAGGCTCTGGGGCCCTCAGCGAGTCCGTGGGACAAGGTGCTGTGACCGATGGCAGTGGGTGGGTAGGGGATGGGCTGGAATGTGCCCCCCAGGATGTCCAGGCCTATTTCTACCCATGGCCGGGGTTTCCTAAGGGTGGGGAGCTCTGCCGAGAGCTCCTGCGGCACCCCTAGTACCCTCCTGTGTCCCTGGCTCGGCACTGCCACCATCTGGGACCCCAGCAGCAACTGGCAGCAGGGCTGGGAGCAGCTCTGGAAAGGCTCCGCGGAGGCTGCGGCTCTGGGTCCTCCCGACGTTTTCTTTCTTGGAGCCAAGGAAAAGGGGGGCCGGAGTGGGAGGACGCTGGAACAATGCAGCTTCTGTCCCTCTCTGGCTCCTCTGTGCCGCCCCGAGTGCGGGACCCCTTCCAGCCGGCCGGACGCCTCCTCCCCCAGGGCTGGGGAAGGGTCCTCCTCCCCGCCCAGGGCAGCCCGGCAGCCTGGCTGGGGCCGCCGCCCGGCTGCCGCTGTGGGAGGCAGGCTGCACACCTAGAGCCTGGGCGGCCCTGGGTGAGACCCCGGCTCAGCTGAGCCTGGCAGGGACAGGGCCTTGAGGCCGGGAGTCTGGACCCGGCGTTGCGGGTTGGGGGCGCCACGGAAGGACCCACGCAGCCTCCCCATTCGGCAGGTGCGGAGGGCGGGGTGGATCTGCGAGCTGCGGGAGGGGAGGGGGGTGCAGAGCCGCGCTAGAGCCTGGCCGTGCGGAGGGGGCGCCAGGGCTGGGGGCACAGGAGGGCGCTGCCCAGCGGGGTGTGGGCAGGGAGGAGGAAGTCGTCTGGAGGTGGGGCTTCAGCCCGGCGGGGACGCGGTGGGGCGTGGCCTTGCTGTTGTGGGCGTGGTCCATGGGGGCGGTGGGCGTGGCAGAGGCTGGTGGGTTTGGTGTCCCGTTGATAAACACAAGGAGACTTACGTGCGGCTGGAGGACAAAGAGCCTTGGCGCGGCTCAGTCAGCGTATTAATCTCACCGCCCTCTGCTGGCCCCTCCCCAGCCAGCAGAGAAGCCCCAGAAGTGTGTCTGGGGGTCACCACCCTGCCAGCCACTGCCCTTGTCCAGCTCCTCTGGGTGTGTGGCCTCTATGAGACCCTGACAGCAACCAGCCCCCACCTCCCTGGCCAGAGGGCACAGGCCCGGGCCTCCCACACTTGCTCCTGGGCTGCCCACCCCCCACCCCAGCAAGGGTGCCAGGCAGGACGGAGGCTCTGCTGCCACTCTTGGTGCGGGCAGCATGATTGGCATGTTGGGAGGAGGGAGCCGGCCCTGAGCCCTGCAGGACCGCCCCCTGCCCTTGGCCTGTCCCCGATGGCCCTGCCTGTCCCACAGGATGTGCGACTGCCCTCGGCCCTGCTGACCGTACTTCTCAGCCCTCCACCGTCTGGGCCCTGCTCAGGGCGTTGTGAGCACGGTACACAAGAGTTACTGGGGGAGCATGCCACCAGCCTTCCTGGGAGAAGTCCCCTGAACGTCCCAACGAGTGGCCTTGGGGTCAGGGATGTGCATGGCATAACCTCCCCTGCAGTTTAGGCTGTGGGCTCCAGCCCTGGCCAGCTGATCAAGTGACTTGACCCACTTGTGCCTCAGTGTCCCCATCTGGGGAACGGGCCCATCAGTAGTGCTGGGAACAGAGCTTGGCAGGGGTGAGAGGCCAGCGAGCCTGAGGGCCCGTAAGCCTGTTGCGTTCGGGCCCTGGGTGGACGAGGCAGGTGTGGCTGCAGCACCATCCGCCTGTTCCAGCAGCCCAGTGGCCCTTGGGCAGCCGCCGGGATGGAGGATGCACCCTCTGTCCGTGCGCCTAAGAGGGCCCAGAGGGGACAGTGTGTGGGAAATGGCACACAGGGTCCCGCACGCAGCAGATACACAGTAAATGCCTGCTGCTTGGTCACCAGGCTCCTGCCGTGTGCCAGGCACTGCTGGGGCCCTCACTGGCACCAAGACCGCTGAGCCGCGTCCAGCAGCTGATAGGTGAGGAACGGGGAGCCCAGGAGTGAGCCACATGGGATGAGCTTTGGGAGAAAGAAAAGCCCAACAGGGAGGTGCGGACAGGAACGGGGGAGGTGCGGACAGGATCGGGGGGAGGCGCGGACAGGAGCGGGGGGAGGCGCGGACAGGAGCGGGGTGGGGGCGCGGACAGAAGCGGGGTGGGGCGCAGACAGGAGCAGGGGAGGCGCGGACAGGAACAGGGGAAGCAGGCTGCAGCACCTTTGGGAGATGACCATCATGGTCCATTCCGACTGCCCTCACAAAGCACCGCAGGCCGGGGCAGCAACAGCAGACGTTTACTCCTCACGGCTCTGGAGGCCAGAAGGCCAGGGTTTGGGTGCTGTGTGCTCGGGTGCTGGCGAGAGCCTCTTCCGGGCTGGCAGACGGCGCTTTCTTGTTGTGTCCTCACCTAGCAGAGACAGCGAGGAAGAAGGGGGAGCTTGAGAACACTGGTGGCTTCTCTTAAGGCCACTTGTCATTATGGGGCTCCATTCTCATGACCTCATGTAAACCTCAGGACCTCCTAACACCATCCCATGGGGAGTTAGGGCTTTGATCATGATGCTCCAGCAAAGACTGGAAGTCAGAGAGAAGTGAGCCGCAAGCTTAGACGGAGGAACAGCAGTCTGGGCAGAGATAACAGCCTGTGCAAAGGGCCTGAGGCAGGGGCCAGCCTGGTAGGTGAAGGGACAGGGAGACTGTCTGGAGCTGACGGAGCAAGGCGAGGGCCTTGGCCGAAGAAGGGAGGGCCTCGTGGGCCCTTGTGTGAGACCCCCTCCCCAATGGGGCGGGGCCCTCAGGACCCAGCAGAGAAGGGGCAAGGCCTAGGCCAGCCCTTACCAACCCCATGGTCCTTGCATGGAGAGGGGACTTAGGGGCAAGGCTGGGGCAGCAGGCAGGTGAGGGGCAGGTGATCCGGCTCCAGGGAGGTGAGGAGGGGTGGGACTCTGGATCTGCAGTGAGGCGGGGACAGACTGGATTTCAGACCAGAGGTGGGCGTGAAGGAACCGTGGGCAGCTGAAAATCGGGGTTGCTGAGGTCTGAGCCAAGCCGGCGGGGCGGGTGCTGCCCTGAGGGGTCCGGCAGGCACAGGGGGCACCAAGATGCTCGATGGGCTTGAGTTGGCCATTGCACATAAACGTCTGGAGCTGGGTGAGGACAGAAATGATGATGACAGTGTGACGGTCAGCGTCGGGTGGCCATGGGGCGGTGCTGGGAGAAGTTTCCAAACGTTGCCCTCGCAGGCGGGAGAGACAGGAAGCCAAGCCAGTGGGCCGGGCCTGTCTGGGCAGCTCAGCCAAGGGCGCTGGACTCACACTCAACGCCTCAGCCGACTCTGCAGACAGAGGGTGCATTGAGCCAGGCGCAGCGGGCCTTCCGCCCACCGTCCGTGCCTGGCCATGAGGGCGCCCGCCCTGGGGCCAGACGCAGGCTGTGTCTCAGAAGAGCATTTCAGCCGCTGCTGCAGCCAGGGCCCATCCATGCGGTGTCCTGGTGGAGGGCCAGGCCTGGCAGAAGCAGCTGTGCCGGGCCCAGGACCCGGAGGATGCGGTGGGGAAACCAACTTAGGCCCCCATGGCACTGGGGGCGGCAGAGGGAGAGCCAGGCCCTCAGGCAGTGCACACCGGGAGACGGAGCGGGGCTCTCGCTGGGTGTGGTAAGTGAAGGGCCCGCCCCAGCACAGACGTGCTCCTCTGTCATTTCCATGGTGTGGGGAGCAGGCCCCGAACTGTGTGGGGTCAGCAGCTGTCCTCAGAGCTACCTTGCTCATCTGGGTGGGGGTGGGCAGCTGGTGGCCCTTCAGAGAACAGGCCGTCGACCCCAGCCCCGTTCTGTCCCTTCAAGCTGCACCACCCGAGGCTGGGGCGGCTCCACCTCAGTGCCTGGCCGGATCCTGAATGTGCCGGAGCTAACCCTGATCCCGCTGACCACTGTGGCCACAGGGTGGCGATGGGAGCCCTGCCCCGGGCGTTTGTGTTGGGAGTGGGAGGAGCAGTGGACGGCCCCAGGTCCCAGTGTCCTGCTCAGGCCCCTGATGGGCCCCACGTGTGCCTCTGGCCGCACAGGTTTCCATCCCAGGCCCCTGGAGAGCAGGAGCTTAGGGTGTGTCCTCGGAGCCCAGAGGCCAGGCCAGGGAAGCGCACAGCCCACACTCAGCCAGTTCCCGGTCCCTGCCCAGCTCTCATGAAGCTGTAGGCATTCGCCGTGGGCTGGTCTGGGGCCAGCGGGCTGGAGGCGGAAGACCAGCCTGGGCCCCCAAGTCCTCAGCTCCCTCTGCTCCTGTCCCCTTCCCCCCAGCTGCGTTTAGGAGCTCACCATTTAAACGGGTCACATGGACAGACTCAGGAAGGGGCTGCTAGCAGCCAGGCCGATCCAGGGGCTCCCCTCTGCCCCATAGGTAGCACCTTGCTGTCCACCAGGTGCCTTCTTAGCCGTCTGAAGCCCCCAGTGCATCCTCATCACTGCCATTCACTAGGTGGCAGCAGGACCCCCTTCCCAGTTGGGGGTGGAGGCTTGGACTCCATTTGGTGGCACAATGCTCAGACAGCAGCCCCCCAGCAAGACCCAGGCCTGTTCTCATCCGCAGCATGGGCCTGTAAGGGAGACCCTGAGAGACCCTGACACTCGGGCCCATTTCCTCCCTCCCTCATGGTCGGGGCCAGGCTCATATTTAAATCAGGGCCCTGCTGAGGCTGGGGTCAGGGGGATGTTGGCTGAGTGACAGCTGTGCAGGTGAGGCTGGGAGGGGCTGTGTGTGGGGCCCAGTGCCTGAAATGACCGAGTGACTGCCCGCCTGAGCCGGCTCTCTCCCTCTGTGGATGTTGTGTTCCCCGGCAGGGCCCAGAACCCAGGGCTAACGGTGGGGTCCGGGTGCACCTGAGGCCCCGGCACCCTGCCTGGCCATTCATGCTGCTAACTTTGACGAGTGCCCCAACCCTGGTGGCTGTGCTCCCTGATGCAGTGGGGCCTGGACAGGGTAAGGGGGTGTCTGGGCCTGCCCCCCGACATCTGCCTGATGCAGGCAGCCACCAAGCAGCTTCACTTTAGGAGCTGAGCCTCTCGGGGGGATGAGTGCGGAGGGGAACTGCCCGGCCCGGCCCATCCATGCCGGCGCAGTCTGATGAGGAGGGCGCTGAGCTCCGAGGCGTAGTAATGGGGCCAAGTCTGATGGTCTGGAGGTGCCAGGACTGGATTCTCAGAGTGCCCACTGATGCCAGGGCTGGTTCTGGCCCCGCCCTCGGACTCACACTGGGTGTGCGCAGGGCTCCTGGGCACAGCCCGTGTCCAGTGTGTCCACGGGTGGAGGGACGCTTGGTTCCCAGGAAGACTGGGTAAGGGTGGGCATAGGGGGGTGGGAGCTGTGGGTGAGCAGGGAGGAGGATGAGGGTCCTCCCAGCTGCGAGAGTCTCCCTGGAGATGTGCCAGGCGTAGGGACAGCAGAGACAGGGTCCTCAGTGTCAGCCTCGTTCCGCCGTCGTCCCCTCTGCCTAGAACGTTCTGCTGCCCTTTCCACAGTGGCTGTGCCCCTGTCCGTCCCGCCGCCTCCTCAGGGAAGCGCCCGCAGACCCTGGCTCTCAGCCACAGCATCGGGCCCTTCCCACAGGGCTTCCTGCCTGGTTGAGGACATTCCCCACTTCCCGGATTCCATCCCATTTTTTCCGTTCGCCAACTGATTTCTGATCTGCCAGGTCTGTCGTGCCCTGGATACAGGCTCCTGAGAGTGCTCAGGGAGCGGCTGGGCTGAGGTAGGGCCCACTCTCCCAAACTCCCAAATCCTTTCGGGCCCCGCAGGGCTGAGCGACACCCGTCTCTGCCAGGGCTGTGTTGGGACAGGGCTGAGTGACACCCGTCTCTGCCAGGGCCGTGTTGGGACTGAGGCTTGAAGGTGGGCCTGGCTGTGGGGCTTCCCAGGGGCCCGGGACAGGCACTGGTGGCTCCGCTGAGTCTGCAGCTGGCCAGTGTTGGGTCAGGCAGCTGTGCCCCACCACCCCACTGCGGCTAGAGGGGATGGGGGTCCCTTGGGTGGAGACACGGCCAGTAGGGTGAGCCCCGGGCCAGGAGGGATGGACAGGAGCCCGGGGAAGGTCCCACGGCAGAGCTGGTCTGGGGGATTCATCTGAGGCCTTTGCGTCCCCGACCCTGGCCTGGGCTGCCCGCAGTGAGCTGGGAGTGGACCCACAGGCCCGCCCCACCTGCCTCCGGGGCACAGCATGATGCACCCTCAGGAGGGGGGATTGGGTGGCCTCACAGAGGTGACCAGGGGCCACAGGAAGGGTGATCCAGGCAGAGGGAACAGCAGGACTGACGGGGGAGGCCCTGTGTGCGGCAGGGGAGAGGCCTGTCCAGAGCCGGGCCCTTCCAGCACAGGGAGCCAAAGCCAGACCCCACCTGGCCCCAGCCAGGACGCGCTCTGTCTCGACACCTGTCCCCTTTGACTCTGACAGTACAGTCGGGGAGACGCAGAGGACACTCAGACATGGCGCTCGCCTCCACAAGGGGGGCTGGCTGTCAGAAAGCCATGGCCGGGCTGGTCCTTGGCCCCCCAGAGACTCTGGCCTGGCCCACCCAATGCGAGGTGCCAGGGTGGTGCTGGGCTGACCGGGTCCCTCTGTCTTCAGGGGCCAGACCCAAGAGGACGCAGAGGCTGAGCGCGGAGACCTGGGACCTGCTGAGACTCCCCCTGGAGCGGGTGAGCCAGGGACACGGGACCGATGTCAGCACAGCCGCTGCCAGAGCATGGGCAGCGGGGTTAATGAGGCAGAGCCACCGCCACCCACCTCAGCCCCTGTCTGCTGGGAGATAAATGTGCCCTCCTCGGCCTGATGCCCTGCATGGCCCATCTGCCACCTGCTCACCCATGTCCCTCAGCGTCTGGCCAGCTGTGCCCCAGGCGAGGCATGGTCCTCACACATTTCAGGCCCCCATACTCCACCCAGCTGCTATGCCACCACACCCTCGGGAGCCCACAGACAGGGGCACCCACTCCTGCCTGCTCCCTGCCCTCTCGGACTCTGACCCAAAGTGGGCACAGCTGCTGCAGGTGCAGACACTGGCTGGGGTTCAGCAGACCCACACAGACAGATTCGGGGGCTGCCTGGCGTAGGGCCCTGGGCTGGCCCTGTGCCTGTCGGCAGTGGGTGCTGTGTGGCCTGGGCCAGCAGCCTGATCTCTCTGAGCCTCTGGTTCCTCTGGTGTGGCCTGTGTTCAGTTGTGGATGGCCGTCAGGGTTCTGCTGTGGGGACGAGACCCAAGGACGCCCACAGTCACTGTCATTGCTGGTATAAGCCGGCTGACATTTGCGGGGGCCACTGGCCCTCAAACACCCCACCCTGCCTCTCCCGGCCCCAGCCAAGGGCCCACAGCCCCAGTCCTCTCCTCCTCTCTGGGTACTGGGCACCTACGGCGTGCATCCATGAAATGGAGGCGGCCTGGCCTTCCCTTCAGGGTCCTGGGATGGGGACATTGGTTCACAATTGCCCAGGCCACGCACAGCCTTACCCCTCCCCAGGAGCAGAATGGAGACAGCCACCATTCAGGGGACTGGCGGGGGCCCAGCAGGGACTCGCTACCCCTCCCCGTGAGGAGCAGGAAGTACCAGGAAGGCCCGGACGCTGAGAGGAGGCCCCGGGAGGGCAGCCACTCCCCGCTGGACAGCGCCGACGTCCGGGTGCACGTGCCACGCACGGTAGGCGTCTTTGACGGCAGATCCAGGCCGAGAGGGAGGAGAGCTTGGCAACTGCGCCCCAACTCCACTGCCAGCCAACGGGGCCAGGTCAGGCCCGGGCACTCCGGGGAGGCAGGGGTCCCTCCCCGGTGCACCTGGTGCAGTGCTGTCCTGGGACCCCGGTGGGGGCTCTGGGCAGGGCTCAGTGTTTAGCATTGTGGTCGCACCTGGCCTCAGAGGCCCCGGCCACCGAGGAGCCTCCTGGGGACTCTAGGCTGGGCTCTTCTGCATGGAACGCCCCGCCTCTCTTTGGGCCTCAGTTTCCATCTTGTTCACCAGTTGGGGGCTGGCTCTTCCCAGCCTTCAGGTGGCCTCTCTCTCTGACTCCAGCCCCCACCCTCCTTTGTTGGGACCCTCCAGACCCATCCGCTAGTCACAGGAGCGTGTCCCTGAAAGGAACTGGCTGCCTTCACTGTGAGAGCCGGGCTGCACAGATCCCCTGATGGGGTGCCCCTTCCTGAGGTGGCTCTTGGAGGCTCTGGCCAGTGAGGTCAAGCCTGTGTATCCTACCAGGGCCCTGGAGGGGTGGACGAGGCCAACACAGTCCCTGGGGGAATCCTGGGATCTCTGACACCTGGCGGGGGTCCCTGAGCAGAGGGGCCTGAGGGGCACCCAAGGGGTGGGTGGGAAGCCCCTAAGCCACACCCATGGTCAGGCCCTGGTGTGGAAGCACCTGCAGCTCCAGCTGGGCCAAGGTACTGGGGCCTCTCCTTGTGGGTGCAGGGGCCGGGGCAGGACCGATGGTGAGTGGGGTCATGGAGGGGATGCAGCTGGGTGGCCTGTGCATGGCTGCAGAGCCCCTGGTGAGGGGACAGCAAGGGGCTAGGTCCACTCAGGGTTCCTCCTGGTCAGGGGCTGGGAGGCCCCACCCTGCCCTACCCCACCTGGGCTCAAGGTCACGAGTGGAGCAGAGGGTCACAGCCCAGCAAGCAGCAGCAGCGCAGCCTGGGCGCCACCCGGGTCCTCAGGGCTAGCCAGGAGCCCCCCGCGTTGCTGTGGCACACAGAGGTGGCGGGAGGGGTGGGGCAGTTGCAGTGACTGCCAAGTGTATGGGTGGACGGACGGGGGACAGACAGACTGGTGGTCAGACTCGGGGTTGGTGGGGGGACAGGTGACAGGCCGGGCCTGTGCCTGGCAGGTGTCAGCTGTGCCAGGGCCACCCCAGCCACGGGAGAGCTGGTTGGTGTTCAGGGGCACCGATGGGCCGAGTCCGGGTTCGGAGGTCAGCCTGGAGCTCCCCCGAGCAGGACGGCTGGGTCCAAACCACTAGAAATAGTCTGAAATTGTTCTTCCGTGGGCACCAACCTGCAGAGGGGTGTGGGTGCTGGGCTGGGATTCGCAGCCCCCCGAGGCTGCCCAAGCCCATCCTTCCCACCAGCAGGGCACAGCCTACCTTCCCCTCATTCAGCCCCAGCACTGCCCAACCATCTGGGCTAGGTCCATCCGTCCACTGATGGGAGAGGTGTGGAGGGAAGGGCACCCAGGGAGCACCTGGTCAGGCCTTCCCGGGGGTCCCGGTGATCCCCCAGCCTCCCTGGGCCTGGAGGGAGGAGCAGGACTGGGACCCAGACACCTGCCCTGTCCACAGCTGGCCCTGCCCTGTCCACAGCTGGGTCTGCCCTGTCCACAGCTGGCTCTGCCCATCACATCTGGGCCGCCAAGGAAGGAGTGGGAGGCTGGCAGCATGTGTGGGACAGACCAGTCAGCCGGCCTCAGGGGCTGATGGCTTTCTAGAAAGCACAGCCTCTGAGGGCTTCCAGGCTTCACGTCACCCCAACAAACTGCCCTGGGTCTGGGCCAGCAGGGCAAGGGGACACAGTTCCAAGTGTCCAGCTGCCTGGCCCAGCACTCTGGAGGCCTTGGCCAGGGCCCCAGGGAGCCCCCACCTGCTGCGGGCCCTGCTCCCCTGGCCCCTGCAACCACCGCGGGGCAGGACGCCTGGGACAGCCAAGATCCTGGCCCCAGACAAACGGGGTTCCCAGGGTCTGTGAGGACGTGGCAGGGCCTCTTGGCTTTCTGCTGACCTGAACCCCACTGGCCTTACCGAGGTCAGAACCTTGGGTACCTCCGAGTAAGGACCGTCTGCACCCTGGTGGCAGCCTGTATGGGGACTGCAGCGAGGGTGGGTGGGGGATACATCCCTGGGGCGTCAGTGGCCGGGTGGGCCCCCTTCCCCCTCTGCTGGGGTCCTCAGGGAAGGGCTTTCAGCTCTCAGTTGGGGTCCTCATCTGCAAAGTGCAGCTGATACCAATACTGCGCCGTTGCTGTTGGTGACACCAATACTGCGCCGTTGCTGTTGGTGACACCAATGCTGCGCCGTTGCTGTTGGTGACACCAATGCTGCGCCGTTGCTGTTGGTGACACCAATGCTGCGCCGTTGCTGTTGGTGACACCGATGCTGCGCCGTTGCTGTTGGTGACACCGATGCTGCGCCGTTGCTGTTGGTGACACCGATGCTGCGCCGTTGCTGTTGGTGACACCGATGCTGCGCCGTTGCTGTTGGTGACACCGATGCTGCGCCGTTGCTGTTGGTGACCAACCAGCCCCTGCCCCTCCCCACCCTGTGCCCAGACAGTGCAGGGGCCTTGCAGCCAGCACATTCGGGGCTTTGGGATCTGAGGCGGTGTGGCTGGGTGTGGTCTGGGGGTCCAGAGAACTCATTCTGGGGTGGAGGGTAGGGGACAGGGCAGGGTTGGCCTCAGAGGCTGGAGACAGTGTAGGTCCAACCAGGAATGAGACAGAGAGGCAGCAACCAGAGGCTTGAGTTGAGCTGGCCGGGAGGCCCTTGAGCCAGGGCACTGGGGAGCCACCGAGGGCTGTGGGACAGGAAGGGCCGTCCCGGACAGAGGAGTCCAGATGAGGACAGCAACCCGCCCAGGTCCTCTGCGCCTGCCTCCGTAGTCAGGCTGAATAAAGAGGTGGCTTTCCCCACCTGGCCCAGCTCTGGAGGGAGGCCCAGGGGCCCAGGTGTCAGCGGGAAAAGGGCTCTTCGGCAGGCTGTCTGCCCACACAGCCCTCCAGTGTGCCCGCCCACAGGCACGGGGAGGGGGAGGTTCACTGCTGCACTTGCTGGGGGAGTGTTTACGGAGTGCGCCTGTGTGTGAGTGCGAGCCCACGTGCGTGTGTGTGAGCCTGTGTGTGTGCACGCACTCAAGTGAGCAGGGGCGGGCGCTAGGAGGGCCGAGCCCTTGCCCAGGGTCCTATTTAAGCCTCAGGCATCCCAGCATTGAGGCAGCACTTGGCACTTTGGGCAGGGCGGTGGTGGCCCTGGGCACCTTGTGTCCTGCCTGCGCTCTGTGTGGCCAAGCACCCAGCGTGGCTCCCTGCTGCTGTGGAGACAGCCTGTGATCCGCGTGAGTCTGGGGTCCCTGGGGTCCTAACAGGTGGAGGCTGAGGGAGCACACGGGCCTCTGTGAAGCCGGGTGGGGTGGTCTTGGGCCGGGTGCATTCCCCTCCTCCGCAGGAGAAACTGGGCTTGTGCCAAAGCAAGAGAGACTAGAGTCAGACTGCAGGAGGGACTCTGAGGCCTCCGGGAAGGAGGGAGCCAGGGCTTGGGGCAAGGGAGAGGTTAGAGCAGGGAGGCGGAACCCCGAGTCCCACTGGATATGTTCTACTGGGACATAAATGCAGGGGAAGGTGGCCTTGGGGCCCAGGGTCCTGCTTCTGAGGGGCTCCAGGAGCCCCAAACTATCCAGAGCCTTTCCCCGTACCAGGCACTGAGCCACGGTTTTGCACCTGCAGTCGTGGGCCCCTGCCCCCATGTGAGGGAGGCATCAGCCCCTCAACAGCTGGCCCCAGCCTCAGGGAAGGGGAGGGCTGCCCGACATAGGACCCTGAGAGGGGCTCTGCCATGGGGCCTGGGACATGGCCCCTGACGGGTCCTGCCTTTCCCAGGAGGGACCTTGCTCAGTCCACCTGGGCCCCGGGTCACCTGGGGGAGTCCAGATTGGGCCAGAGGCAGAGGCCCCCCGCGGCTGTGCCCTAGGTCATCATAGCCCAGGAGCCAGTTCCTTTTAGACCAGGAGGCCACATCCTCCTGGGGAGGTACCTGTGTGGCCCCAACTGGCACTCAGGCTGGCAACCCCAGTGCCACCCTCTGCCTGGACCTGCAGCTCCCAGAGCCCTGGCCCAAGTGGATGTGGCCCTCCCCACAGACTGGGCCAATTCTCCCCTCCCTCCTGGCTGGGGAATCCGGGGGAGTGGGGGTGTTGCCTTAGGCCTGAGCCAGGCTGCAGGAGGAGAGCCCTGCGGGGAGAAGGGGGTGCTAGAACTCTCCCTCCTCAGGTCTGCCTCAGGGACAGGAGGTACCTCAGGCTTCCGTGACAGCTGGGGACTGACTCCAGGGGCCAGAGCCAGGTGGGGTCTCTCCTAAAACAGGGCTGTCCACAGGGCCCTCGGCTCAGCTCAAGGGTCTGAATCCCAGCTCTTTTTTGCTCCAGCATGACCTTGGGTAGGTCACACATGTCTCTAGGCCCCACTCTCCTGTGCCCTGGGCCGAGTCCAGCAGAAAACTGGAAGCAGGACGGGAGCCCTAGTCCTGGGCTGTGGGGGTCAGGTGTCGGGAATTCCAGTTGTCTGTCAGACAGCTGTCCGTCTCCTGGGCTGTGGGGGTCAGGTATTGGGAATTCCAGGCAGCATCGGGGACCCGGGAGGTGCCATCTCCACCAACATTGCGTCTCTTGTTAACTCGTTCAGCTGTGAGCCCAGCATTTGCAGACCTGGAAGAGGCCACCAGCCGTGAGATGGACAGGCTGGGGCCGGGCAGGGGCTGCCAGCGCCGGTCGGGAGGTGGACGGGGCTTGGAACCATCACAAACACCCTTCAGCCCTGGGGCCCGGACCAGGCCCTGTGAGGCTGGGTCACGGGGTGGACCTGCTTCAGCTGGGCCCCTTGGGGGGCCACAGGAGACCACGCCCTCCAGCCTCCCTTGTTTGGGTGTGTGGACTGAGGCCCAGGGCGGGGTTCATTCCTTCGAGTTCATTCACACAGCAGACACCGGTGAGGGCTGTGTAGGGCATGGACACAGGGAGCTCATGGCAGGGCTGACACAGGGTGTGGTGGGCACAGGGACAGGAGGCACGGGAGGCTTCCCGGGATGTCTGGGAAGTGTTCCAGGCCAAGGCTGGGGAGGCTGGCCCAGGGCAGGTGACGGACAGAGGCCTGGACTGGGGTAGCACCCATGAGAGGGGAGAAGTCCGGGGCAGTCGGCGGGTGCCGAGGGTGAGTGACACGTCCTGGGGGAGGGGTAGCCGGGTGCCGAGGGTGGATGACACATCCTGGGAGAGGGGTAGCCGGGTGCCGAGGGTGGTGACACGTCCTGGGGTAGGGGTAGCCGGGTGCTGAGGGTGGGTGACACGTCCTGGGGGAGGGGTAGCCGGGTGCCGAGGGTGGGTGACACGTCCTGGGGGAGGGGTAGCCGGGTGCCGAGGGTGGGTGACACGTCCTGGGGGAGGGGTAGCCGGGTGCCGAGGGTGGGTGACACGTCCTGGGGGAGGGGTAGCCGGGTGCCGAGGGTGGGTGACACGTCCTGGGGGAGGGGTAGCCGGGTGCCGAGGGTGGGTGACACGTCCTGGGGGAGGGGTAGCCGGGTGCCGAGGGTGGGTGACACGTCCTGGGGGAGGGGTAGCCGGGTGCCGAGGGTGGGTGACACGTCCTGGGGGAGGGGTAGCCGGGTGCCGAGGGTGGGTGACACGTCCTGGGGGAGGGGTAGCCGGGTGCCGAGGGTGGGTGACACGTTCTGGGGGAGGGGTAGCCGACAGGGGGCAGGTTAGAGTCCCGATCTTGGCCAGGGTCTCAGAAGTGTGTGTGGCCTGGGCAAGCAGCCCCCGGTCTCGTCTGGGGGTCTGCGGGGCTAGCTTTGGCTGCGGTGACCCCACTCCCTCCCCAGAGCATCCCGAGGGCCCCGTCTTCGGACGAGGAGTGCTTCTTTGACCTGTTGACCAAGTTCCAGAGCAGCCGCATGGACGACCAGCGTTGTCCCCTGGACGATGGCCAGGCCGGGGCTGCCGAGGCCACGGCCGCCCCCACCCTGGAGGACAGGATCGGTGAGTGCCCCCCTCAGCCGGGCCCTCCCTTGGGCTTGTCTGCAGGGGCCAGGACCAGGGCTCCCGTCCTGCTTCCAGTGAGGAGTTTTCGGGGGCAGACCAGCAGGCCAGCTGCAGAGCACCCTGTCACTGAGGGCGCCCTCCGCAGCCCCCACAGAGCAGCATCCCGGGAAGCGTGTCATCAGCCCGCCCTCCGGGACACACTCAGGCTGCAGGGGCAGTCTCAGGGAGGGGGCAGGGCGTGGGGGACTGGCGTTCTCCTCCTGTCTCCTCCTGTCACCCCCTGGAAGCCCCTGAGGTGGGCGTGGGAGCCACAGCAGGGGGAGCAGCTGAGAGCTGCCTAGGCCGGTCAGCGGAGACTCCCCCAGGAGCCATGGCCCCAGCAGCACAGTGGGCTGGGCTGGGCTCAGAGGTCAGAGCTCACTGTGGCCGCAGCCCGAGCCTCGGGCTTGACCCCGCACTGGGTCCCAGGTCTCACCCTCTGGCCCCCCGCAGCCCAGCCCTCGATGACGGCCTCGCCCCAGACCGAGGAATTCTTCGACCTCATCGCCAGCTCCCAGAGCCGCCGGCTGGACGACCAGCGGGCCAGCGTGGGCAGCCTGCCGGGGCTGCGAATCACCCACAGCAATGCAGGGCACCTCCGAGGCCACGGCGAGCCCCAGGAGCCGGGGGACGACTTCTTCAACATGCTCATCAAGTACCAGGTGGGCTGCGGCCCTGGGCGGGCGTGGCTCGCGGCCCCTTTGCCATCCACGTGTGTGGAGGCAACTTGTGTCCTGAGGGGTGAGGTGGGCGCTGGTTCTGCCATCTCCGGTCATGTTTGAGGGACTCCTGGGGGACTCAGCCAGTGTCACCACATGACCAGGGGTGTCTGAGCCTGAAGCCCTACTCCTGGGAACCCCGGGCTGCTGGAGACACCAGAGACCCCCCCTGGCAACCCCAGGACACTCCCAGGCTGTGCCACCCCCCTGCCATGCAGGAACTCGGGGTGGGGGCTGGGGGGTCACAGGTCCTGGAGCTCATGGCCTCAGGGATTCCCCACCAGCCCTCCACACCCGGCAGGGAAAACACGGGCCAGATAGCACCCCCAGAGTGGGGAGGGCAGGGGGATCCAGGGCTGCCAGCTGGCTGGTGGGACAAAAACAGGGACCATCCAGGGACCACACAGTGGACGGCATGGGCGGAGGGTCCAGCCCCAGAGGGCAGAGCCAGGGCCGGGGCTCCAGCCTGGCAGCCACGCCAGGAATGACCTCCTCATCTGTGTGGGGGTGAGCCAGGTAGGGTGGCCGGAGTGGAGACTGCTGAGCCAACTGCTATCCCAACTAGGACCTCAAACTCTGGGGGTCTCGCCATCCCTGTGGGGTGCAGCCATTGCTGGGAAGGGGTTCAGGGTCCGTAGACTTGGGAACAGGCTGGGGGTGGAGGCCGCTTGGCCCACCACGAACCAAGCCAGCACGTTTCCAGGTCTGCCGTCCTCCCCACAGCAGAGAGGAAACCTCGGCCCGGGGCCAGGCGTCCGACCAGCCACCTCCAAACCAGCCCCACCCAAGAGGCCCAGAGTCCCCCATCCACACGCATGCCTGCGCCAGCTCCCGTCCCTCCTGCTCCAGGCGCTTCAGAGAAGCCCAGACAACCCCTTGGCCCCCTGGCCTGCACACTGGAGCAGGCGAGGCCCACGGGGTCAGCCACCTGACACAAGGGGAAGCCCTGGGGGGCGCCACACTTCGGGCTCTGGAAGCTGAGACCTCAGGCCTGCCAGGGTCAGTCCCAGGCTGTGCTGGTTTCCAGGGCTGGGCAGAGGGACGGCCACGCATGCCCGTCCCTGGGGATCAGCAGATGTGGGGAGCAGGCATCCAACGCCGCCCTAGCCACTGTCTCCTGGGCCTGGCACACCCATGCCCAGTGGGAATCGCTGGACCTGCTTTTCCTGGGCGGGCCTGCCCTGGGCTCCTGCGGGTTGGTGGCGGGGCCACCAGAAGACTGCGCTCAGGGCCCGGGCTCCCAGCACAAGACCCCAGAGCGAGGCAGGCCCCAGAACCAATTTCCTGGGTGGACAGGGGGAAGCCCGTGAACAGTGCACGCTGGCCTCTGGAACCACCGCTGCTGACCAGCCCCGGACCACTGGGGCTGGGGGGGTGAGGCCGCCAACTGCACTGTGTCCACCCAGTCCTCCAGGATCGATGACCAGCGCTGCCCGCCACCTGACGTACTGCCCCGGGGCCCTACCATGCCGGACGAGGACTTCTTCAGCCTCATTCAGAGGGTGCAGGCTAAGCGCATGGACGAGCAGCGGGTGGACCTCGCCGGGGGCCCGGAGCAGGGGGCAGGCGGCCCGCCCGAGCCCCAGCAGCAGTGCCAGCCTGGTGCGAGCTAAGGCCCTGTGCCCACCGCCAGGCCCACCCTGCCCCCACTCCTGGACGCCGGTCTCACAGTCACAGCCACGTCCTCCCGAGGCCATTGCCGAGGACAGGCACTGGGCATGCAGCCCCACGGCCTCCCCGACCCAGGGCGACAGGCTCAGGCCAAGCTGCCCGTGGTGGGAGGGCGTGCTTCCATCCCGGGCTGGCCCCCATGGCCCTCAGCTTCCTCCCTTCTGCCCCTGCCGCAGGCCGGACGGGGCCTTCGGCATGTCGGCCCCGACCTGGTGCTGTCAGACTCCCGCATCCTCTCCCCCAAGCCCTTCCCGTTCTGCCCTGCCCTGCCAAATGTGAAACCCTGCTGTCTCCCCCACCCTCCCCAAAGGTGTCTCTGAGCCGCCTCTTGGGGCCACCAAGGACAGGGCCATGTTCTGTCCCCCCAGAGCTGGTCTTGGGATGGCCGTGTGACAGGCATGCTCCACCCCTCCAGCTTCGTCCTGGGGCAGGGCTCCCTCCAAGCCTGTCTCCCCACTCCCCGGCCAGAGGTCAGCAACCACAGAAGGCCCCCCAGACCACGCATGGCAGACCAGGCTGCAGTGGCAGCCCTGAGGTGCCCCCCGCCGAGTCCCAGGGCCCTGCAGGGGCCTCGACAGGAGCCGGGCCTATCTCTAAAGCAGAGGGAATGGCTGGGCATGAACTTCGACATTCCAAAACCCCAAGCCAGGAAAAAGGGCAGGGCCTGGTCCTAGGGATGCTTACTGGCAGCAAGAGCAGTGCCCAGTCAGGGTGGGAGGTAGCACCAGGCTCTGTGACCCTCACCCAAGTGGGGGGGTGGTCAGTGGAAGCTGGGGAGGCTTCACTCAGCTCAACCCTGCAGACCCCCCATATGAGAACCCCCCTCCTCCCACCAGCTGGGGGAGATGACATCACTGCTCTCTCCATGGGGAGGGGGCTCACAGGGCACCAAGTTCGGGATCCTAGGACTGGCAGGACCTGCTGGAGCCTGAGATGGGCCCCAGGGGCCTGAGGTTGCCTCCTCCTGTCCAGACCCAGCCTTGGCACCTCCCAAGACTGCCAAGGGCCCTACCATGGCCCCACAGCCCCCAGGGCTGGCAGTTCCATCTAGGAGGGTGCCTCTAGGCCCCACTCTCAGGCTAGGATGGAGAGGCAGATCTGGGCCTGGTGAGGTGACCTGCTTCTGGAGGGGCAGGGCCGCACCCGAGAGCAGGGACAGGTGCCCGAACACAGGGTCTCCAGGACGTAGCGCCCCCCCGCATACTTGAATGTATGTGCGTATTTATTGCTCACGTCTGTGCCATGTTGTCAATGGGTCCTTTCCAACCCAAGAGGTACATTTGTTTTTCTGTTTTTCCTGAAAAATAAAGTCGGCCAAGTGAGTGTGGTCCGTATGGGCTTAGTCCCGGGTGGGGGCCTAACCCGGTAAGAGGCTGCACTGTGCAAAGTGTCCACAGATACCCACTGTCTGGGCCCTCTGAGACCTCAGAGAGATGGAGTTCCCACTGCATTTAACCACGGGGGAGCTGGGGCACAGAGGGGTGAAGTGGCTGCCTGCTGTCACCACTGATTCCTGCACCCCTACCTCCTCACGCTCCCAGCCCCTAGGGAAACAGAGCATGCTCTGAGCTGACACTCACGTGGCCGGGACCAGCCCCCAGAAGCAGCAGCCCCCAGGTCAGCCCCACGACCCCCTGAGGACCCAGCCTGCTGCCGCCCACCCAGCACCCGGGGGAGGGAGGTCCTTTCCTGGAGTCTGATCCGGCTGGGCTCAGGGTCTGGACACTGAGCCACAGTGGAGGAGCCGACGGCAGATCTGCAGTCTTGGGGCTTGTCTGGGCGCTGCTTGTGGTGGGTGGCACCCCCACGGGGCCCCCGTCAGGGGACACACAGGTGCGCCGGGCAGTCCTGCTGCCCCTCGCCACAGCCCACCTGGCCATGTTGGCAGCCACAGCCTCTGTGCTGGTTGACTCCGTTGCCTCCTCCACCCCAGAAGGGGCCTTGGGAACCAGAATCAACGTGTACTCCAGGTCCAGGGTCCCAGCCAGCTTGCGTGTGGTGGTACACGCACACAGGGTCCAAGTAACCGTGCAGGGCCCAGGACCGCGCACAGCCAGGGAAGCGCAGCAGTGCCGCCCACGCTACTGGCTGGGACAGCCTCTGAAGGTGCGGCCGAGGAACCTGCTTGGAGAGACGCTGTGACGAGGGATGCCCAGGCCAGCAACCGTGCCCGGGAGGCAGGGATGTCCTGGGGCGGGGGGGTGTAGAGTGGCAGGAGATTAGGATGGCAAAGCCCCTTGCAGAAACCTGGCTGTGGGATTGGGGCTGCGGGGAGGGAAGGGCGGAGGGAGACAGGGTCCAGGGGGCCTCAGGCAGGAGCTGGCGGGATGCTTCTGGCACGCGGGGGGTAGCCATAGGTCTTCTCTAGGAACGTGCCAGCCTTGGGAAGGATTTCCCTCCAGGGCCAGCCTGGGCCCAGAGGTGCTGGCATCAGACAGAAAAGACATGGTAACGTCCACATCCCAACTACCAGCCGCCATCTCCCCATCCGTAAGAGGAGGGGTTGGCCCAAGCGGCTCTCCTTGCTCTAATTCTGCACTTCCAGGTCCAGACGGCTCCCTGGACCTCCCCACATGCTGGTCCAGGCCCTCTGGAGGCAGTGAGGCAGCCAAGCCAAGCCCAGCCCCACTGCACTTCCAAGCCCCCAAGAGACCCCCAGCCAGTGCCTCCATGGAGGAGCAGGCCTGGGTGCCGGTGGCTCAGCCGAGAAGAGGACAGTTTCCACAAATGGCACAGAAGGCTCTGGGTGGGAATAATAGAGGGTTGTTGGCTGAAAGAAGGACAGGGGGTAATCGAGGCAAAGCCCACGCCACAAGCACACTGGGAACGATGCCGCCGCGCCCCGGCCTCCCACGGGCCGGATGTGAGCTGGCAGTCCTGGCCGTGTCCCGCTGGGAGGGGCCGCACTGGGTCCCTGTCGTGCTCAGTCCTGCCTCCACCTCCCACCTCGCCCCATTCTCTTCCCTGCCGGAGTGTGGCGGGTGATGAATGCTGAAGGTTACGCTGCCCAGAACGCTTCTGCAAATAAACAGGCTGCTGTGTTTGCTCGCTTTCATAAACACGGGAACATCCTGCGCACAGACAAGGCTGGGAGACAAACCCCACACACCTCGGAGGGCCCTGGGGACGTCCAGAGCGCTGTCCACCGAGGGAAGGAGGCCCAGGTGGCTCCCCCGGGAGGGGTCTGGAGCTCCTAACACACGGCCACGCCATAGCTGCTCGTCCTGCCTGGGCCAGCAGGCAGCCTGGTTTGCTCACTGTTTCGCCGACGGCCGGCGGCCGAGGACCAGGGCTCAGGTCTGCACTGGCTCACGGAAGGGAGGCCGCCAGAGCTGGCCAGGGGGGCGGCAAGGGCCTTGCAGAGGAAGGCTGAGGCTCACAGGGGTGGTGACCTGCTCAAAGTCACGCAGCGACAGCCAGGAAGGGCTCTGACGCCACATCCAGCCCCCTTTCCACGCGACTGTGGCCTCTGTGGGCAAGAGCTGGGTGACTCTGTGTAGAAGGAACTGTGGTGAGGCGAGAGGTCCTGCGGCTCCTATGTCCCACCCAGCAGCACCAGGGATTCAGAGCAATCGTTCTAACTCCAGAAAAAGAAAGGCCACGAGGGCCACAGGCCCCAGCATCTGGAAGTAATGTCTGTTTATTGATAGAAAACAGGCCACGTCCAGAGAGGCCCAGGGCCAAAACCTCCTTCTGGAAGGCCGAAGTCCCACAGTGCCGGGGAGCGCAGGAGTCAGCTCGGCTCCGTCTTGCCAGGGCTGGGGGGACCCTCATCCTCACCCGCTTCCGGAGCTGCAGTGGATGTGGGGGCCCCTGCAGCCTCCAGAACCAGTTCCAGGGCCCCCTCGCCCGCCACACGGTGCACCTGCTCGCCTCTGGCCGTCAGGATCTCTTCGATATTTCTGGGGGGCAGGGAGGCAACATGGCTCTTCAGGGCCCCCCAGCCGCCCTGCACTTCAGTCCCCTCAGGGCGCCCCATGGCCAGGCCAGAGCTGCAAGCACCAGGCCCAGCACTCCTGTGGCATCAGGCCACACGGGCACTTCAGACGCTGGCCTGTGTGCCCTCACCAGCCCTGTGTCTCTGCCGGTATGCGCCGCCTCAGGAACCCAGTCTCCTGCTCCTGCCCCCTATGTGCCAGAGGGAAGAATCTGCAGCCCCGGGTCTGATGGGAGGACAGTCCCAGCTCCAAGGGCCAGGTACCACCAAGCACCTGGCATGCTGGTCTCAGACCTGCTGTCGCTGTTACTGTCCTGCCCAGGACCTCCCGGCCAGGCAAGGCCCGGACCAGGCTCCCGGCACCACCTCCACTGCTCTCCCAGCAGCCAGGGCCCAGGCCACACCTCCTGGTCCACACCCCAAGCCTTGCTGTGGGCCAGCCACCCCAAGATGGCAGAGGGCAAAAAAGTTCCACGCTAGAGAGGGACAAGGCTGCCAGTGATGGCAGAGGGCAGGCAGAGGCAGGGAGGCAGGGCCACAGGGCTGGCAAAATTTAACAAATAAAAACGCACCCCCTACTTGGGGCATACTTAAACTCAAAAGCTATCTGGGCTTTATAGGAAATTCTCATTTAACTGTGTGTCTTGTATTGATAAGGTGGCTGGATTTCCCAGGTGAGATCTATAAACCTCAACACTAGGGCAAGGTTCCCCCAGGGAGGCCAGGGTACTTCTGGGTGGCCTTCTGGCCCAGCCCTGGGGTACAGGCCTCACCTCTTCCCATTCAGGTCCGAGAACCAGCCCAGGTTGTCAGCGATGATATGGTGGTTCTGGCAGCCGGGGCAGGTCACAATGACCACGCCTTGGTGATAGGCCAGCTTGGAGATGCGCTTGGAGGACCTAGTCCCGCAGACCTGGCTGGGACAGGGTAGCTGGTGAGGCTGTGAGGGCCGCCACGCCCCTCCCGGGAAGACCCGCCCCTCTAGGGGTAGCTCCAGCCACCTCACCCTCTCCAGAGAAGGCCCCGCCCCCGAGGGATAGCTCCACCCACCCCCAACCTCGCCCTCTCCCGGGAAGGCCCCGCCCCAGGGACGGCTCCACCCCTCCTCATGGTCCGCCTCCGCTCCCTCCCAGAAGCCCCAAGGGGTGGCTCCACTCCTTCCTGTGACTTGACCACGCCGCCTCCCGGATCCCCGGCGGGCCGCTTCTCCCCGCAGGCCGTGTAGCGTCAGATACGGGTCTGTCCCCGGTTCCGTCCCGCCGCGCGCCTACCTTGCAGGTGTAGACGAGCTGGTAGTGCGCCGCCTCCACGCGCCCCAGAGCCGCCGCGGGCCCCGGCCCCTGCTCGGAGCTTGAGCGCCGCCAGCCCCAGGCCCAGGCCCGCCGCCTCCCCGCGACCTCTGGACGGGCCCCGCGGCCCCACAGCCGCCTCAGGCAGGGCGCCCGGGGCTGCACGCGACTCAGCAACCTCGGCGCGCCGCGCAGCGCAGTCCGCAGCATCCCGCTCGCCGGCTCCGTCCGCCCTGCCCCGGCCCCGCCCCGCCGCCATCTTGGAAGTGGGCGCCGGGCGGAAGCGGCGTTCTTGGGCTTCCGTCTTCCGGGTCGGGGGCGCGCTGCGCTATGCCGCCCCCTGGCGGCCTGAGGGGGCCCTGCGTCCACGTGCAGCTCGCACCCCGAGGACACCGCGGGCCGCAGCGAGGAGGGACGGCCGCGGGGCTGCGCGCGAGTGTCCGAGCGGGAATGCGGGTCACCCGTGCTGTTTATTTACGCAGCTGTGTTTTCTAACACTAATACAATGCATGCATGTATTGTGTGTTACATGGTGAAACAGAACAGATCCTGAAGTTACACAGATGGCGTGTGCATGGGGGTGGTGAGCACCCGCATGGCCTCCGCAAAATGAGTGCCGCTTAACAAACGGCCCCAATGCCCGGCAGTCCGGCTGGGCCTTTCAGGGCACCAGATTCCTCGTTCCAGGCCAAGTCAGCGACGGCTCGGGGAAGTCTGCGCCCCAGGGCGTCGGCACCCCCGGGTGGCAGGAGGCCGGGCCGGTGGGTGTGCCCTGGTCGGGGCCTGCGCTGCTGCGGCTAGGAGCCCTCAGTGTCGGTGTTGTCGCTGCCCGTGGTGTTCTCCCGGTCCTCCTCCCCCTGCCGCCATCCTTTCTGCATCTTCCTGAGGGCGCGCTTCCTGTGAAGACAGGTGTCTCAGGCGCGACCCGGCTGCCGCTCCCCAGCCCGTTTTGGAGAAGCCTGGGGGCCGCCCGCCTACCTGCGGTAGTTCTCAAAACTCTCTTTGAGGCGCCGCCGCTCCTTCTCGGGCGGCTCCCCGCTGCTCAGGCCTGCGTCCTGGAGAAGGGGGAAGGCTCGGGCTCCGGCCGGCTCCCCTGAGGGAACCCGTCCTTCTCACCCGCCCCCCACTGGCCCCTGTAACTGCAGACTGGTTGGGAGGCGAGGAGCCCAGACAGCCTCAGCTCAGCGCCAAGCTCTCCCTGTGGGACCTGCCTGTACCCCTGGAGGTGAGCCGGTGTGGGTAGCCTGCATTTCAGATGCCAAGACACACCCAGGAGGCCAAGCCACGGCTCCAGCCTGGGGTCCGGGCCATTGTTTCTACAACAAAGCCCGAGGTGGTGCTTGCTCTCAGGACTCCTGTGTTCACCTCCTCATCCACTGTAAAGGCCCTCGGAAAACCAGGACCAGGCACATCCACGTCCAAAAAGCCCCCCAAGCTGCTGCAGTGCCCAAGAAAGGGGGATCCACTTCGCAGCCCAGACACCGCACCCCGAGCACTGTGGGCAGAGACCTTGTGGTCACTCCTCAGCTGTCGTCGGGGCCACCGCAGGGGGTGCCCAGGGCAGGGAGCCACTCTCCCTGTGATCGGTCACCCTGAGGCCCACGGCTGGGAGGACCCCACCCCGGGGAAGCCTTACATGGGGGTTCCGCAAAACCTGCTCCTGGTGCAGAGCTGCAAAGGGCTGTTTCGGGCTCCCCCCGCCGGCAAGGCAGCCTGGAAAGGAGAGTCGTGCCTGTGGGACCTGCCCATCTGCTGGGCCACGTATAGCACGGCTGCCCCACCCCTCCCCGGCATTGCAGTGGGGCTGTCTTCCAAGGCCTGGTGGGATCCCCACATGGGTCCAGTGTAGACTCTGCTTTCTGTAGATGAGACTGAGGCCTTATGGCCTCGCTTGCCTGTTCATTGCTCCAGGAGGCCGCCAGATGCCAGCCCAGGCCCAACGCTCCCGCCAGTGACCATCCCTCCCCCGAGCTGGCTGCCTGCCAGGGAGGAACGCCTCCCAGACCTCGGGGGAACTTAAACCCTGGGCCTGAGCAGCACCGTCCCCCATCACTCCAAAGCATCTGTGGGCATGGCGGCCCTGGGGAGAGAGTTGGGGACAGCTACAGTGGCTGTCTGGGTCCTCCTGAAGTGGGGGCAGGGGTACTGCAGCAATTGGGAGAGAACCTTCAGGCGGCTGGACCCCCTCAGAAACCGCCAGGACCTGGGCAGACCAGGGATCAGGACCCTTGGGCAGAAACCACGCACGTCCAGTCTCAGCCCCACTGCGGTGAGGGCCAGGCCAGGGCTGTCCTGGCCATTGGCAGCCCCTTAGAGCCAGCCCCTCCCCTGCTCACCCTCCAACCTTCACACCTGCCCCTGCTCCTGCCACAGCCACCCAGGGGGATGGGGGCAGTGCCTGAGCCGGACTCCTGGGTCCTGCTCGCCTCTGTGCCTACATGGGGGCTTGGCATCCCCATGTTCAAGTGTTCTGAGCTGCAGCCAAAGGCGCTGGTCTTCACTTCCCCGTCTGCGGCTCCTCCTTCCCCTTCCGCCTCTGCTTGGAGGCCACGGCCTGGTACTCAGGAAGCTTGTCCAACTCCGGTGCAGCCTCCCAGGACCCCTCTGCTGGGCCCTCCCCAACCCCTACCTGACAGCACCTTCAGTGCAAACACCTACCTCATCACCACTGCCCACTCCTGGACACTCGGGAGCTGCTCCCAGCTAGCCACCCAGTCCTTCCCCCAGACAGGCAGAGGGGGCCTGCCCTGCCCGCTAGAAGCCCCTGCCACTGCCTTACCCCCACTGCACCGGGACACAGCAGGCCCTTGGCCACCCCTGCATTCAGCCCTTTCCCTCAAGCCACGTGGGGCCCCATCTCGCCCCATCTTCTAGCTTCATGCACCTGGTCGTTCGCTCGTTACCACCTCCCTCTGTCCAGGAGGAAGCTTGGAGCAGCCAGGACTGGGCCTGCTCACCTCTGCACCCCGTGGGGGCTGCCCAGAGGGGCCCCACACTCTCAGGACGGTGGGCCTGCTCACCTCTGCAGCCCATGGGGGCTGCCCAGACCCCCACACTCTCCACCCCAGGGGACACTTGTCCCACTAGCTGGGGCCCTGGGTTCCAGCTGGGCTCTGTAGTTTGTTCTCTAGGTGACCTTGACCATTTTACTTATCCCCAGCCCCAGTTTCCCTGTCTGTGGAGTGGGGGTTGTGGGGGTTGACACAGGCATTGCGGCACGGGCTGCCTGTGCTGAAGATGGGCCTCACTTGGGGAAGCTGGGAGGCCTCTGGGTGTACTGCTGTCCCCACCTCACCTTTGTCTGAGAGCTGGGTGTCCTCCAGGTCCTGGGGGAGTGAGAGCTTCCAAAGAGAGTCAAGATGTCCCATTAGGCCACTTCGCCAAGGACTGGACCCGGCCACACTGCCCACCCCAGCCCTTGGCCCTCAGCTGGGTGCAGCCATTGCCGTCACCCCCTGCACAGAGCTTCTCAGAGACTCAGGTGCCCAGCAGACGGACATTGGGCGGCCAGGAGGTGGGCACTGTCCGTGCCTTACCTTACCCCTTGAGCCATCAGAGGCCTTAGCATTTGGCCACCTGCTCTTCCTCCACCCAGCCCAGCCCACCGAGCAGGGCCATGTGACGGGCAGTGTGGGGCTATGCCTGGTGGCAGCTCAGCCAGGACCCCAGGTGAAGGAAGGCCAGCCTCGTGCTGGCTGGGGTCTCACTCACCTCCTGGGACCTCCTGGGTGAGCCATCTTCCAGGTCGGAGCTCTGTGGTCATAGAAAATGGGGTGGGTGGGCTGTGAGGGCAGAGGGCTCCCCAGGCACAGGGTGGGCAGGGCACAGAGCGGGATCCTCCAGGGAGCCCTGGGCATGCCCTCAGCCACACCAGGCCCCCTCCATGCCCAGAACAACCTGCTAGGCTGCCTGATGGCCAGGCCCAGGACCCACCCCGGCCCTGCAGCCCCACTTCCTGCTGGGACCCTGAACTGCTCGTGTGCCCTCACCCCACTGCCAGGAGGGGTTTGGTTAGGTTGGGGCCCGTCACAGAGAAGGGTTGGGTCGGGAAGGCCGGGGCTGAGGCTCCGTGCTCCCCTGGCCCTGCATCCCACGCGCCGGCTCCCCTCCCTGCCGCAGGCCCCAGGCCCACCAGGACGAGCGTCTCCAGCTGCTGCCGCCTGAGCCTGCCCTCCACGGCCAGTAGCTGCGCCTCACACTGGAACACCTGCAGCTGCAGCTCATCCGCCTTCTCGCCCAGCTCCCGCACCTGCTTGCGCAGCGCGTCCTTCTCCTGCAGGCCCCGGGCGTGCTGTGCGTGCAGCTCCTCCCGCGTGGCTATGGCCTGACGGGACAGCACAAGGCCGACCCTCAGTGAGGGCCCCAAGCTTGCCCTGGGCCCTCGGCCCGGCCGCCCAACTCCAAGCAGAGGCTCCGGAGGACGTCAAGCCGCTGGGCGCGGAGGCTGGTCACAGCCCCTCCATTTGTGTGCTCTGCGGACACGAAGTCAGCACGTGGGGGATTGTAAATGTGACAGTTGTCCCTGCTGCCCTTCTGTCTCCTCCCAAGCCTGCACCCCCGGTGGACACAGCGTGTGCTATGTACCCCCACACGTGCACATTTGATAAATTTTGGACGCGGCTTGATATGGAGACCCTGACTGTCCATAGCTAAGCGTCCTTCGTGACCGCAGCACTCTTTACCACCCCTGTCCTCACTGCGGACACTGAGACGCAGGAGCGAATGTGCAAACACGACGGCTTGACCACCCCTGCAGCCGAGGCTGGGAGGCCCTCACCTAACCCCTTCTGCCCAGACTGGAGCAACGGCTGGCAGCTTCCCTAATCCCTGGCCAACGCGCTCCCGGGAAGTCCCGTGGGAGCCCCCGCCCTGGGAGCCACACCAACCCCCATGGGGGCACAGCTGGATCTGCCCTTTTCCCCTGCCTTGGCGTGGGCCAGGCGCGAGTGAGGCTGAGGTGGGGCTGAGACAGGAGCTCTGAGCCTGGGCTGCTCTCATGGGGGCCGGGGCTTCCTTTGTAGCCCCAGGGGTCTCGTTTTAAGGCTCCTGATGTGGACAAAGTGCCATCCAGCATTTAGCCGAAGCAGCAATGGTGTCCATTGGAAACAACCTCCAGGATGGGACTTGGGACGGGGCATGGGAAGCAGACACAGCCCTGCCCCGCGACGCTCCATCCGGCTCACAGCACGTAGCACTGGAGGCCTTGCAGGCCTCACTCCCGTGGCCCAGGCTGGAGTGCAATAGCGCAATGGTGACTTGCTGCAGCCTCAGCCTCCTAAATAGCTGGGACCACAGGCATGCGCCACCACGACCAGTTAATTTTTTTTTTTTTTGAGACGGAGTCTCGCTCTGTCACCCAGGCTGGAGTACAGTAGCGTGATCTCAGCTCACTGCAACCTCTGCCTCCTGGGTTCAAGCAATTCTCCTGCCTCAGCCTCCTGAGTAGCTGGGATTACAGGCGCCCGGAACCACACCAGGCTAATTTTTGTGTTTTTAGTAGAGACGGGGTTTCCCCATACTGGCCAGGCTGGTCTCGAACTCCTGACCTCAAGTGAGCCGCCTGCCTCGCCCTCCTAGAGTGCTGGGATTATAGGCGTGAGCCACCGCGCCAGGCCAATTTTTGCATTTTTTTGTAGAGCAGGGATCTCACCGTGTTGCCCAGGCTGCTCTGGAACTCCTGGGCTCAAGTGATCCGCCCGCCTCAGCCTCCCAAAGTGCTGGGATGACAGGCGAGAGACACCACGTCCAGCCAAGCTTTTTTTAAGATTAAAAAAAGCTACTGGTAAAACAAGACAGAATGTTTCCATTTTTGTAAAACAAAACCAAATATATAAATAGATAGATAGGTGATAGATGATAGACAGATGGATACATGGATAGATGACAGGTAAGTCTGTAAGGTGGAGCGGGAAGGTTGAACACGGTTTTCCCTGACAGTAGGCTGGGGTGGGGAAGTATTGACTTCATCATCGTTTACTTTTTTTTAGTGTTAAGTATTGCTTCTGTCATTTAAAAAACAGACCAGGTGTGGCAGCTCAGCTTGCAATCCCAGCACTTTGGGAGGCTGAGGCCGGAGGATTGCTTGAGGCCAGTAGTTTGAGGCCACCCTGGGTGACATAGCAAGACCCCATCTCAAAAACAAATAACAAAGATTAAAAATCCTCTGACAACTGCCCTCAAGGGCCGTGGCCCTGGTGCACCCACCCGCGAGTGGGGTGCTTTGTCCTGCCCCTGCGAGTGCCCACCTGGTCCCGCTCAATGGCGACCTCCTCCATCTGCAGCAGGATGGCCTCGATGCGGTCCTTGTACATCTTGGAGTCCTTACGTAGTGCCAGGCACTGCAGCTCGAACATCTCCTTCTCCTCCATGCACTGCAGGGGGCGGCAGCTCAGCCCCCACAGGCCTGAGGCCCCCCATTCTGGCCCTTGGGGTATACTCCGGGCAGGGGCTCAGAAGCATGTGGTCAGGCCAGTTGGGATGTCGGGGGAGGCCATAGGAGTCCCCAGGCCCCTACCAGCCCTGCACTTCCAGACCGCGGCAGGACAGGGCCCTCCGGCAGGCCTCAGACACTGCTGTGCCTCAGGCACCATGAGCCCAGAGGTTGGCCTTTGCCATGGGGGGCAGGCGGGCAAGGAGAGGGCACCGTCCACTGTGCCTCCAGGAGTGGGTGAGTGGAGGCGCTGCACTGGGGTCTCCACACCCCACCTTCCAGGCACGGAGTGGGCGGAGCTCAGCCCGTCCAGCCTGGCTTGGACCCCAGGGGCCATGTCTCCCCGCCTGCCCTCCTACCCGGAGGCGTCGGGCCTCGCCCTGGCGGAGGTCCTTGCGCAGGGAGAAGATGGTGTTGGCCTGCTCCTGGTGGTCCCGCAGCGCCTGCCGCCAGTCCTCCTCCAGTACCTGGATGTAGGGGCTGCTCCTGTCCAGCTTCCCCTCCTGAAGGGGGCAAAAGGCAATGGCCTGGCTGGGAAGGCCCCCACTGCCCTGCCTGGGCTGCACCTGCCCTGCCTACGGCCCCACCTGGACGGAGGCCTCCAGCTCCTGCACCCGGGCCTGGAGCAGGGCCTTCTCCTGCTGCAGCTCCCACAGCAGCTCCTGGCTGGGCCGCTGCTCCATGGCGTGCCTGAGCTTCAGCGTGTGCTTGCGCTCCACCTTGCAGTCGTCCTCGGCCTTCATGAGGCTGTGCTTGAGCTGGTCAATCTGCAGAAGGTCCAGTGAGCCTGGCTGTCCCCTCCAGGCGGTGACCGCAGACCCGTGGGGCCACCCCCGACCGCCCCGGCCTGCAGACCCCGCCAGGCCAGGCGAGGGTGGCCTGGTTTCCCGGGGGCAGCGGGCGCACCTCCAGCTGCAGGTCACGGTTCCGCATGAGCGCGGCGCCCTTCTCCTCACTCTGGTGCGCCAGGCGCATGGCCAGGTCGTAGTTCTCCTCCTTGCAGCGCTTGAGCTCGCGGCTGCCGGCCTCGCACTCCTCCTTGAGCCTCTGCACACGCTCCTGGTGCTTGCGCAGCAGGCTGTCCTTCACCCGCAGCTCCTTGATGAAGTCATCTTTGGAGCTCAGCAGCGCGGTCAGGTCCTGCACCTTCTTCTGCAGCTTCATGACCTCAGTCATCAGCAGCTGAGTCAGGCCTGACTCCCCGGACGCGTCTGTGGGCCAGGCCAGTGTCAGATGGTGCCGTGTTCCCCGGTGGCCCAGCTCCATCACGCCCTGCGCTGTGGCAGGAGCTCAGGGCTCCTAGGGATGGGGGCCAGGCAGAGGACCCAACACCACTGCCCGCTCCCCGCCAGCGCCTCCCCTGTCGGCCCCGCCTCCCCCGTCACTCACCGATGATCATGGAGAAGACGCGGGCCGGCTCCTTGCCTGTGACCTTCTTGTACAGCTGCGGGTAGTAGAGCTCCAGGCTCTCGAGGAAGGCCACGTAGCCCTTGTGGCCGGTCCGCTGCAGGATGTCCAGGAGCACACCTGCGGGCCAGAGAGGCCTAACTGGGGGCGGGGCACAGGCGAGGCAGAGGGCTGGGGTGGGTGGGCCTGGGGGCAGGGACAGGTGGAGGCTGGCATGCAGATGAGGTGTGCCGTGGTCTGGGTCTTGGATGAGGTACCCTGCGGGTCTTGGTACTAGGCTGGGGACCAAGTGCTGCCCACCCGCCCCTTGGCTGTCTCAGGAGCCCCCGCTGCGGTGGGAGCCCCGCTGCCCCTCTTGGCAGCACCAAGCCGGCAGGAGAGGCTGGGGGACGGGCCACGTGCCAGGGTTGAGGTTGGGCCTCAGTCAGAGGCCAGGGGCAAAGCCAGGCGGGGCTCTCCTGGGGTTGAGGGTCAGGGTGGCAGAGCGTGCAGCCACCTCCGAGCTGACTCTGTGGTTGGGTTTGGGGCCTGGGGCCCGCGGGGCAACACTGACCCACTTTCCGTTTGCGGATGACCAGGTTGGGGTCGCTGAGCACCTGCTCCTCATCATCGGGGTTCAGGACCTTGCACTGCCGCAGGTAAGGTGTGATGCGTGAGGGGTCGATGACCGAGGTGAGCGTCACCCGGAAGCCCTCCAGGACGCTCCAGCACTCGTCATCGTTCTCGTAGTCCGACATGGCCTCAGCAGGCAGGCTGGGGAGTGTGGGGCAGTGCTGAGAGCGATGCCGGCTCCTGCCCCCACCCGGGCCCAGCTCCCACTCCTTCTCAGACGCTGGGCCAGGGCTCTCGTCAGGGCATCGAGGGGGATCAGCCCAGGGGCATCCAGGAGAGGTGCCCAGCTCCATGTCCCATCCCCACGCTGGATCCCCCAGGGAGGCAGCAGAGACACAGTGACCCCGCTCCCCACCAGACCAGCCGAGGGCCCCTCCGCAGCCTTTCCCAGCCCTTGCTCCTGCCCGTTGGCATCCATGTCACCCAGATACGCAGCGGGGGAGGCACAGATGGGGTCTGAGAGAGGAACTCCCCCTACAGCATGACCCCCTCTGGCCTCTGCCTCCTGGACACTCCCATCACGCCCTGGAGCCTGCAAGGTTAGCCACCTCCATGGCTGGAATGGGCAGAGGAGCTGAGGGCAACTGCCTGGCACTATGGCCAGCCCAAGCTGGGTGAGAGCAGGTTGGCCAGTGGCCCTCCCACCAGCACAGCAGCTGGGGGAGCCGGTTCTTGTGGGACTTCCTCATTCCCCTGACCGACGCCTGCTCACATCCCTGGCTGTGCCCTCCCTCCTCCACGGCCGGCTGCTGATGATGCAAGAGTGGCCACCCAGCCCTGCTGCAGCTGCGGGGTCGCTGCACTGGCCGGGAAGAGCTGCCCACAGGAGCGTGTCTCTGTCACCCCCTGCCGGCCCCGCAACCCTGGGAGGGGCTGTCAGTGTTGCCCTTGGCTGGCCAGGAGTGCTGCTGCGGTGTTTTCTCCAGGTTGAGGTGCCGGGCACCAGTGAATCCCTGGACTCTTCTCCTGCCCCAGATGAGGCCCGGCCCCCATCCCAGTGGCTGCAACAGAACTACCCATGTTGGGACCAGCCACTGCTGTCCCTTTCTGCCAGCATGGTGGGGGCCTCAGCCGCTGAAAGCCACTCCCTCTGAGACTGGGACTGCGGCAAGGCTGGGAGCAGCCACGTGGTCCTCAGACAGCCTCCAGCCCCGCTGGGAAACGCTGGTTTCCAGCCCAGAGGAGCTGGGTCACTGCTCCTGGAGACATAGTTGCCCCAGGCTTGGTCTTTTGAGGCATTTCTCAACTTCCCGCTGCACTTTGTCACCCCATTCAGGACAGTTTTGACAGACAAGGGACTGAATAAAAACACTGGCCACACGGTAGACAGTCCTGGGAACACTGGGCCCCTTTCCTGCTTCCCCAGCTTGAAATGCAGGGTCCCATCTGCCACCGTAATTCCACTGAAATGAACACATCTCCGCCCAGGGGCCGTGAAAGGGACGGGGCCGCATGGCGGAGGCTGCCTGGCTGCCTGTGGGAAGCCTCAGGCTGCTCTGGGGGATCAGTGCCAGGATCCTGAACTAGGCCAACGCCAACCTTCCTGGCCACCTTTCAGAAAGCACCAGACCCACCCACCTGAGGGTCTTCCAGGAGCCACCTGCACTGCAGACACACCAGGAGCCTGGGCCGCGGAGCCTCTGGGAGATGCTGCCCGGGGCTGCAGGGAGGGAGGAGCACGCCGGACGCCTGTGCACTTCCTGATGGGTTCTGCTTAACTCCACAGTCCCGCCAGTCCTCCCACAGGGGGACAGTCCCTGGTGACCTGCTTTCTGATTCGCCCAGCCCAGGAGGCCCCAAGAGGCAGACGGAAGTGGAAGTCCGCTGCCCTCCAGAGGAAAGCTGCTCCCAGCCCTCCCAGCCTGGCCGGGGGCTGGGGGTCCTGGGGATGCCCCAGAGGCCCAGCCCTGGCACCTGGCAAGTAGAAGAGACAGCAGAGACCCCCAGGGGGCTGGACAAGGCCAGCCCGCACCCAGCCACTTTGACCTGGTCACAGGCTTCTGGAGACTTCTTCAGTAAGGCATGCTTTGCTCTGTGCGAACACCCTCGCCCTCGCCAGCATCTCAGGACAGCGGGGCAGGGCATGTGCAGGGGGGCACACAGCCACACGGCATGGCCAGCACACGCCTTGGTCACAGAAGGGCTGCAGCCCACCTTATGGAGCCCAGGAGGCCACAGCAGCCTGCCAGGGGCCATGGCATCGGCCACCACCCAGCTGCACACGGGGGAGAAACGTCCCTTCCAGAAGTGTCGTTATCCTCGTTATCCCCATCATGAGGCATCCCTGCTCTCCACCAGGATGCATGTGAGGACTGAGGCCACTCTCGGGGTCCCCCAAACCAGCTTCAGAAGAGCCGGTGACAGCAGGGCACAGCTCGGCCCCCATCCAGGGACAACGGACAGCAGAGTCTGCCCTGAACTGTGCACTTCAGCGTGTGGGCTGCCAGAGCCTCATCCCTGCAGGCTTGGGAACCCCCAGGCCCCGCCTCACCCGGTAAAGCTGGTTGAACTGAGTTGCCACCCAACAGGTTCGAGAAGGGGCCGCCAGGCTGGAAGGCAAGGAAGCTGGTGTGGAGCTTGCCTAACCGTTCTCAGCCTCCAGCCCTCAGGCCTCTGTGCGGACAACGTCTGACATCACACATTAAGGAGCGGACAGTTAGGGGTCCTCCTGGGCTCTCGGGAATGCCACATTCCAGGGGGCCGTGCCCCTGCTGGACCCCTCACCATCAACATGAGCGAGTGTGCAGGCCGGGGCCATCCTGGGCCCTGCCAGGGAGCGAACCGGAGCTGGCACCAGGCCCTCATGACCCAGTGTTTCCCCAGCGTTTAAAACGCGGACCTTAGTGACTTCCCTGTGGTGTGTGTCCTTAGGAGTGAACACACATACCATGTTCTCTAACCATATCGGAAGCTAAAAATCGGTAACAGATATCGGCAAAATCTCTAAATATTTGGAAATTAAATAATATACCGCTAAATAACCCACAGATCAGAGTGGCCCCCAGACTAGGCACCAGACTAGAGAACCAGGCACAGCAACACATACTCAGGAGTGAGGTCGGCCATGGGACCGTCCCGTCTGCCAGGTGCCCAGGGCTGAGGCCCCACAGTGGCTCCAGTGAAGGATCGAAGCCCAGATAGCCAAGGGCCTGGGGGCGCTGCTGCCACAGAGACAAAGGAAAGGGAGCTAGGGGACAGACGGAGAAGATGGGGGCTAGTCTTATGCCAATAAAGGCCCATGCAAAAGGAACAGTGGAGGGTGGGGGCTGCCGCCGTGTCGGGGTAGCCAGGTCATCTGTTCCAGGGAACCCCCTGGGTCAGCCAGGGCAGCGCGAGGGCTGGCAGCCATCTGGGGAGGGTGCCGGCTAGCCTGAAGGACAAAGCCACAGATGCTTTCCAGGAAATGGGCGAAAGAAAGCCTGCTTCTCTGACAGGAGGGCAGCCGGGGTACGGGAGGCCTTCCAGGACCCCAGCTCTGGGCCCCCAGCACCCTGCTTGTTCCCGAACTGCCTGCACTAGGGTGGCTCAGCCACTAGGCAGCAGCCTGACCCCAGCCAGGTGGGGGGTCCCTGTACACTGCCCGGTACCTCAGGACAACAAAACCACAACAGCCTGTGTCCAGCTCCACAATTAAAAACAGAACTTTATTCCTCCAAGTGTTCAGGTGTGCACTTGGGGAACAGCCATGCTCCATGCCACACAGTCAGTCGGCAGGCCCGCCTCTGTTCACTGCGGACCTGGTCAGTCAGCGGCCAGCAGATACCTGGCCTCTGGCTGCCTCTCTTGCAGGCTGGGGGTGGGCTGTCTCTCGTCAGCAGGGCCACGGGCTTCTGAGAAAGTGCTTGTCCTGGAACACAGGAACACCAGGTGGGGGGTGCCCTTGACCCCAGCCAGACCCCAAGCAGGGCTGGGACAGACAAACAGGAACCAAGACCACCCCAGCGCCGGCCACGCCCAGTCTGCTTGGTAAACCTGACCCACATGCGCCAAGGGCCAGGCCAGGGCACCAGGGCTCCAGCAGTGAAGAGCCAGCCTGGTGGCTGCGGTTGGGGATGGTGATCGTTTTACAAGCTGGGAGACGACGCAGCAATGCACGGGAACAGGGCACCACCAGAGCACAGCGGCCAGGGAGGAGCCCAGACCCCAAAGGCAGGGAATGAGCCTATGGTCAGGGGCACAGTGGTGCCAAGGCCCGAGGCATGGGTGGCCAGCAGGAAGGATGTGGGTTAAATGCTTCTCCCCCTGGAGGGCCTCCATGACCCTGGACCTGCCCACCTAACCCAGCACACCTGCTGTGAGCGCCAAAGAGCCGAGCAGAGGCCAAGGCCCCCTGCCATCTGGACACCACTCTGTCCCCTGGGTTGTAGGGCAGTGGCCTCCCCACTCAGGACTCACCTGCTGCTCACACCAGCCGCCTCCGCTTCCGGGTGTGCCTGGCATGCCGGGTTCTGAGCACGTCCAGGTCGTCAGGGTCATTAGAAGTATCCAGGCAGGAGGAAGCAGAGCATTTACCAGAGTCTGGGGCTCCCTGAAAGAAAATCCAGGCAGTGGGGACAAGAGTGACACCCCCGAGCCATGATGGACGGGGAAGGGACGGGAGTGAGGAGGGGCCCTGTGGGTGAGTGTCCCACTTGGGACAGGGCACCCTCAGCTCAGGCGGGAGCTGCTCCAGGCACTCCTGGGGCCACACGTGACTGTGCACTCCCTCCCTCGGGGGCTCTGACCCCATCCAAGCCATCCCTCTGGTGGGCCTCCCACTCCCCCATGGGACAGCCATCACACCCAGGCAGGGCAGGAGGCTGTACATGGATGGGGCACAGAGGGCCTCTTCCCCTGGCTGGCCGGGGTCCTCCCCAACTCTTGGACATTGCTTCCTCCCACACTTCAGCCCAGGGACTTGCGAGACACAACCCTGGGGAGAGATGGAAGGCCCTCTGCCACACTCCCTATGACAGGCCCACAGGTCCAGCTGAGGCTGCCTGCTTCTGGTGGTTTCTCAGGGAGGCCAGCCTCCCAGCTGCTGCAAGTGGGCACCCTGGCACCAGGGGAGGAGGCCTCTCTGGGGGCCCCAGCTCCACATGCTTTCCAGGGTTCCAAACATGGTTTCACCTACAGAGATTGGAAAACTCTCCCCAAGGACACTCAGAGAGGTGACAGCAGAGAGGGACCTTTGGGACCCCAGAAATCCAGAGACAAACACAGCCACCACCCTCCACTGTGCCCATGGCCCACCCTGGGAGCACACGTGTGTGTGGCGTGTGCGGCTCAGAGCCGGGTCAGCGTCCATCCCAGAGCTTCTCGCTCAGACAAGGCCACCTGGCTGGGCAGCATCAGGATGGCCGGAGGCTCCTGCACGAGAATGAGGCCTCTCTTCTCCCCTTTTCCACACTGCCCCAAAGGGAGGCCACTTCTGCAGAATCTACACGCAACTGGGCAGGCCAGGAACCAGCTTCCTCCTCCTAAGACACCCAGCAGCCAGCCTTCCTGCCCGCAACTTCCACCAGCCCCCACCCCACTGCTCCAGGCAGGCGAGGGCACCCCAGGGACCGCCGCCTGCCATGGGGAAGTGGGGCTGGGCGCCCACCCTACCTGAATGGGGCATGTGGCTGTCGTGCAGCCCGGCTGCCCGTCCCTGTCTGCAAGTTCCAGCTCACTCAGGAGGTCTTCATCCTCACTCTCAGAGCCCACCCTCGAAGGTACTGAGAGGGTGGTGCGGACGCCTTGGGGGGCCAGGGTGGCCAGGAGCGCAGGGAGGGTGAAGGCTGCCAGGAACCGCGCCCGCAACAGGAGGTAGGCCGGGTTGTCCTGGAGCTGCCCCCGCACCAGCCCCAGTGAGGCTTGCAGTGCTCCGGCCGGCCGCTCAGCCTCGCCCCCCACCACCAGGGAGGTGGCCTTGTGCTCCAGGGCCTTCTTGTGGAGTAGGAGACCGGACAGAGCTCGCAGGCTGCACAGGGCTGGGGGCTGATAGGGCAGTCTGCTGCCCAGAAGAGGCACACGCACCCCCCGCTGGCCCCCCAGCCACTGCTGTGTGGCCGCCTCGCCCTCCTGGGACAGCAGGCCCAGGTCCAGGGCCCCCTTCTCAGGCCCAGGCTGGGGTAGGGGCGGCTTCTCCAGGTCCAGGGCCCCCTTCTCAGGCCCAGGCTGGCGCAGGGGCAGCTTCTCCAGGCCCAGAGGCCCCCTGGGCTCCTGTGTCCCTGAGGGGGACCCCGGCGTCCCCCTTGGCTCAGTTGCTGGGATGACACCACCGAAGGCTGGCAGCCTCCCGGACCAAGGGGGTTCTGCTTCAGGAGGGTCAGCGTGGGAGGACGTCCTGGGCTCAGGTATCTCCCTGGCCACCTGGGCCTCTCCAGGGACAAAGGCCACACTGCCATCCGCTTCTGCAGGACTTTGGGAGAGGGCGTGTGTGGGAGGAGCTGGGGTGTCTGTCCTGCAGGAAGGCTCCGGTTCCCTGTTCATATTGGCTGGGGGCTGCCAAGAGCTGCTCAACGCTGGGGCCCTGGGGCCCTGGGCCGCCCGAGTCTCAGTCAGGGGAGGCAGCAGAGTGGCCAGCAGCCCTGCGGGGCCAGGGGTCCCTGCTGGCCTGGGAAGGCTCACCACAGCTGGTACAGGAACAGGGAGAAGCCCCTGGGCTGTGAGCACCCAGGTGACAGGCAGGGGGACACTGGTCGCCACATGTGGCCCTCCTATGTGCGTCAGGCTGAGGGGCTGGACGGGCAGTGGGGTGGGGCTGGGGGCTGCGGGGAGAAAGGGTGGCGCCTCAGGCAGGCCCTGCTTCCGGGATGCAGCGGGGGCCTGAGACTGTCCGAGACCACTCTCGGGGCAGCTCACAGAGATCTGGCCGGGGCCCAGGGCAGGGGCTTGGGAAGCAGCAGGGGCTGTGCCCTCGGCCTCTGAGAAGACAGGAGCGAGGGGCAGGGCTTGCATGGTGGAGAGTCTCTTGTCCTTGGCTGAAGTCCCAGCCTCCTGCCAGGAGCCAGAAGTGCCAGGTTTGGCTGCCGCGGGGGCCCCAGGCCCAGAGAGCGGTACATTTAAGACGGTGGGACCCGGGGCTGGGCGGCCGTGTGGGGTGTGTGGTAGAGGGGGCTGGAGGATCACAGACGAGGAGACCAGCAGCTGGGACGGGAGCACCACCGGGCCCCGGGTGGCCTCCCTGGCACGGGCCTCCTGAAGCCGCTTCTCCTGAAGCAGCTCCGACACAGTCTTGGGCTTGGGCCGGGGGCCGGTTGAAGCCAGCAGGGACGCCTGGGGTAGGGTGCGCTCCACCCGGCTGGACGCCAGTCTTCGGCTCCCTTTGTGGCTGGCACTCTTTGAGGCTTCTTGAGCCGGCACGTTTGGGAAGAGGTGGCCTGTGGGGAGGAAAGACCCACACTTGATAAGCCCCAGGCATCTGGCCCAGGGACAGCCCCTCGCTGCCATCCCCTCATCAGGAGGGACCATGTGGGGAGCCTGGGGTCTTGAGCCAAGAGAGGGTCAAGCGGCACATCCTGGGTCTCCCAAGTCACAGTGGCTACCCCAGATGGCAATGCTCCGGCCAAAGCCAGGGCAGTGGGCACTCTGGGAAACCCAGCCCATTTAATGCTGGCTGAGATCAGCCGGCAGCCCAGCTTGCCGGTGTTGGGCATGGGCGGACGCTCGCTCCAGACGACCCCTGCCTCTGGGCCCCATGCTGGGGAAGCCTTAGGGCTGCAAGGGGAGCCCAGGGAGCTCCAAGCTGGCCCAGCCGGACTCTCATCCCTGTGGTGGGACTCGAGGGAGCTCTGTCACCAGGGGCCACAGGCTGTGCTGCTTGGGGGCTGTGGGTGAAAGCCAGGGCCAGGTTAGGCCTCTTCCCCGCCAGGGCCAGGTTAGGTCTCTTCCCCACCAGGGCAGAGAAGCAGAGTTACCTGGGGTGCTCTGGGCACTTGAGGATGCCTGGAAATGAAAGAGAGGAGAGTCAGCAGCTCAGGTGTCCTCTGCTGGCTTGGACCACCTCTCCTAGCATCTGGACTATCCCCTGCCACTCCCTGAAATGGGACGAGGCCCCAAGGGCTGGTGCTGGCCTCCCACACGCCTCTGTAGGAACTCCGGGGCCACAGAAGGAGCCAAGCATGTGGCCCGATCCCATGTCCAGTGGCTACGGCACAGAGCCACCCAGAGTGGGCAGCGGTGCTGGAGACACGCTCTGCACCGGAGGCTCCTGAACCGCAGGCTGCTGCTGGCTGTGACCCCTTGGGTAGGGGACGTTGTCGTGCCCTGCACAGCAGGCAAAGGCCTGGCCTTGTTCCCCCTGCCAGTGCAGCTCCTCCTAAGGGTGCCCTCAAGAGCTCTTCTGGGGGGTTGGGGGCAGGGTGGGGTCTGCAGGGAGAGGCGGGGGGGCTGGAAGCACAGAGGCCCAGGGGTACCCCACTGCTGTTCCTGCTCCTCCAATGAGTGACACTGCTTTGTCACCCCACCCCCAGGTGACGGGGCTCAAGGGTGAGGAGGCCTCGCTGAACTTCTGTGAGTTTGGTTTCTGGAGCAGAAAGGCAAGAACCAGGCATCCCCGGCAGACAGCGCCCATGTCCATGACCGCCCAGCGGGGCTATGGGGGAAAACAGGCACGTGGGCCCCAGTGTCAGCCCCGACCTGCACCTGCCTGACTTCCCCAGGGCCTCTCAAGGCTGCGTCCCCTCAGGTGGGAAGTGCAGATGCCTCCCTGAGGGGCTGCGGTGGAGCGGGTGGGGCGGGCAGCCAGCCTCCGTGGAAACCCACTCCAACGCCGGGGCGGGCAGTGGCCATCCTCACTTCTCACCCCAAGTGCCTGCTACCTGCAGAAGATGAACTGGTGGGTCCCGAGCACCAGCCTGGGGCAGCCTGGGTGGCAGGGCCTTCCTCTCTCGGACGACCTCCAAGCAGCCGGCAGTATCGATGTGGAACAGCTGCGGGACACAGGAGGCAACCTAACCATAGCTGCTTTCGGGAGCAGCTCCGAAGCTCCAGAGGCCTAGGCAGAACCTGGGGCAGCCCTGAGGCTGGGGCGGCTACCTTGAGACCTCAGCCTTCCTGCCCTTCTGATGCAGATGCAGGGGAGGCCATGAGGCTGTGGACATCCAGGATGGCCTCCCATGAGACCCAGGCCTGCTCTCCTCCCCCGGCATCTTCCACTCATACTGGGGCCCCGGGGACCCCCTTCCCCGGACACTGTTTAGCCCGATGGGGGCAGTGCACACTGTAGCCGGCACCCCTTCCACATTCACTTGCTAACAGTGTAAGGCATGAAAAGTGCATTTTCAAGGCTAGAAAACTTTAGATAGCTAGACTTTAAGGAATGAATCTACTGCAGATTTCAAAACTTCACCAAAAACTTTTTACAAGGCAAAGGAAAACGAAGCTCTGCCCAAGTAGCTTACCTGGGTAAACAGGGTAAACACAGGGGTGCTGGCCAGGCGGGCCTGCTGCAGCTGCTCCCTGAGGCCATCCGCTGCGGGCACAGGGGGATAAGTGGAAAGCAGCCCCAGCTCCCATGGGCACAGGGGGATGGGTGGAAAGCAGCCCCAGCTCCCACGTGCCTTTCGAGGCGGCTCTGGGAGCCAGGCCAGGGTGGGAGGGGAGGCCTTGGAACCAGCACCCCACAGCCACGCCTGGACAAGGGTGGGCCCTGTGAGCCCTGTCACCACCAAGCTGCCACATGCTTGGCCCAGGAAGAGTGGTGGGGTAGGGAGGGAGGGCTGGCTGTGACTGGGTGTCCTGGAAACCTTCAGGGACGGGAAGCTGACCAGAGGTGGCGCCCACCCCAAAAAGACTCCCCTGCTGAGGCCACTTCCCCAAGTAGCCACCGTCTGCTAGGCTGGATGTACTCTTCATCCTCACCCCTCGCCCCCAGGATGCTCCCAGAGGAGCCCCAGGCCATACCTTGAGTCTGCACTACGGCGGGTCTCTGGGAAGCCTGTGTGCAGGGCACGACAACGTCCCCTACCCAAGGGGTCACAGCCAGCAGCAGCCTGCGGTTCAGGAGCCTCCGGTGCAGAGCGTGTCTCCAGCGCCGCTGCCCACTCTGGGTGGCTCTGTGCCGTAGCCACTGCACATGGGATCGGGCCACGCTGTCACCAGAGCTGACCCCTGGGGATGAGGTGGGCAGGGGTGGCTGCCTCAGCTGCTCTTTCTGTAAGGAGAAGGCAGCACCTGGGGCCCATGGCCAGGCTCGGCCCCCGGAGTGGACCCTGCCCAGTGGCCAGTGCTGCCCTCCACCCCCATCAGGGCATGATCGACGGGGAGAGGAATCACTCAGACCAGGGCGGGGCACGTGGTGGCGTGCGCGTGGGTGTCTGCAGCAGGCCTCACCTGTGTGCAGCTCCGAGCAGCCGTGTTGGCCCTGAGCACCCTCAGCACGGTCTCCACAGGCACTGTCAGCAGACGCCTCCCACCCTGATGAGAAAGCTGCCTGAGGCGAGGCACGCGGGGTGTACGGGACACATGGGGGCCCTCCCCTCGCTGCCCACACACGACTGCCTCTTCACCCAGGCTCCAAAGCGTGGCTGTGTACAGCTCTGCTCTGCCTCATGGGAACGTCCACCATGGGAAGCGTGGGTTCCCCAGGCAGGGCCTCCCAGCTAGGCCTGGCTCCTGGGACATTAACAGGGTCCCATGCCCCCCAGCCAGTTCCTCAGGCTGACAGCAGCAGCCCTTCCAGGTGACGCCCCGGCCTAGGGAGATGCTGGCTGTGCAGCAGCGAGCCCCATGCACCTAGCTCTGCCAGTAGCTTCAGTGTCCACTGTCCCTGCCAATGACTCCCAGGACAGACCAGCCTGTTCAACTCTGACTGCTCCCACAGACATGGCCAGAGATGGGCCTGACACGGTGAAGACCAGCCAAGACGAGCAGACACACCACAAGCCAGGCTTGTCCCAAGCAGGTGGACAGGCCCTTCCCAGGGAGGGCCTCCAGGTGCACAGGCTCACGAGGAGGGAGGAGGGGCTCCTCCCACTGCTGCCTCTGCCCTCCCCAACCCTGGCTTGGGGGTGAAATGTTTCAGAAATGCCTCCAGGTCCAAGTGCCCATTCAGCCATACCCCTGAAACAGTCAACAAGCCAGGAAAAATGGAGGCTTCCCCAACAGTCCCCCCGACGCACAGCTGTCCAGAGCTCAGCCAGAAGTAGCACGTTCTGATGCACACGAACCCTGGGGCCCCTGCTGCTGCACTATCCCCAAGCGTCAGCCCTGGCGAGCGAGTGCCGAAAGTGCACTTCCCGTGGTACACCCAGGGCCGGGGCCTACCTCCAGGGCCTGCTTCTCTGCGCCCGCCGGGCGAGTGTCTGCTGAGTGGGAGGCCTGGGCAGACCTCGGGACAGGGCCGTGGGCCCTGGCAGGGACCTGCACCGGACTCGTCTCCTCTCCAGGAGCCGCGGCTGTGGTGGAAGCTTCCTTGCTGCCGCCCTGGCTGGCACTGGACCCCTTGGGAGGGCTGAGGGAGGCAGCGGGGCCTCCCAGCCAGGCCCCTGCCCCTCCTCTCCATGGCTGGCTGGTGCTCTGCCTGGCAGGAACCCACAGGTCCATGTCCGGGACCATGTACTGTGGGGACAGCAGCGCTCTGTCACCCTCCCCGGCCTGCGCCTGCTCTGGCTCGTCCTCCTCGCTGCTGCTGCTGCTGCTGCTGCTGCTCCCTCCACTGCTGCCACTGCTGCTGCCGCTGCTGCTGGTAGAGCTCCACCGGACGCTGTGACGGGCCCTCCGCCGCCGCCTCCGGAGACCCTGCTTCTTCTGAGGGGAGGAAAGAGCTACTTAGAGGCCTTGGCAAGCCCGGTTCACCCATGATGGCAGCAAGCAGGCCAGCCCTTTGGGGAGAGGCCCAAGCGGGGGCGCCTCCGGGGTCAAGAGCAGCCGCTGCCGAGGCAGGGTCTCCCTTTGCCCTTGGCCACCCAGAAGAAGAAATGCCAAGACCAGAAACCGAACGCCCCCCTCCCCTCCCCTCCTCCTGCCTGCTGGACCCCCCAGTTGACCAGGCCATTGTCTGGTTTCAGATAAAGAAGGAGCGAGTGGCTCACCCCCATCATGATCTTCCACTTGCTCAGACACTGGGAGCCAGACCGATGGGGCAGCTCAGAAGCTATTTTTGCCCAGTGACCTGCAAAAGCCAAACCCCATGGAAATGCCTTCATCCAAAGATTCTTCCCCAGGACAGGCTTGCTGTTCCCCAGGAGACTCGCCGTGGCCCCATCAGAGTGGAGCCTCCTGTGCACTCTCACGCTGGGGGGTCAAGCATGTTGGGTGCCTACAATTTGGCAGCATCTGATTCTCATTGGATGCTCAGCCCCTTAGGAAAGTTCTGCCAAACATGTAACTGAGAAGGAAAAATCGTCCTAAGCGCACACCACGGCCCTCACATATCTGCTCCCCCCAGGCTTCCGCACCAGCCACCTCCCACGATTCCCGCTCTTCACAGTGTGGGGCAGCAGGAGGAGCACGGGTGCTGCTCTCACAGGGCAGAGCCACAGTATCTGGTGTGTCCTTGAACGTGGCAATACCACAGCTAGGATTTACTCTAAGGGGACATTGCAAATATAAGCAAAGACTTCGCTACAGAACACTCAGCTCGTCGGGTGTGGTGGCACACACCTGCAGTCCCAGCTACTTGGGAGGCTGGGGCGGGAGGATGGCTTGAGCCCAAAAGTTTGAGGCTGCAGTGGGCTATGGTCGCACCACCGCACCCCAGCCTGGACGACAGAGCTTGCTCTGTCTTTATCTTGATCTCTTTTCTAAGAAACAAAAAACAAAAAAAAGAAACTAGAAGAACAAACTGTCAGCAACTTACCGACACCATATTTTTCTATTAATTCAATTAACTGTTCCTCTTCTTTTAAATTCCACCGACCCTTTTTCAAGCTGAAATGTAATCTCCTGAGATACCTGAACGTGACATGAAAAGCAAAGAACGTTTTAGATGCCGAGACGCCGCCCGCTGCTGCCCCAAGCTTCTTTAATGGTTTCTTGGATATGACACTAAAGGCGCAAGCAACAAAAGAAAACTACAGATAAAGTAGACTTCATCAAAAGCTAAAGCTTTTGTGTCCCAAAGGACACCATCAAAAAAGTAGAAAGTGTACAGGCTGGGAGAGAACGTTTGCAAGTCACGTGTCCGATAAAGGACTTATATCTGAAACATATGAAGAACTCTTACAAGTCAGTCATAACTAGACAAGTAATGTCAAAAATGGGCAAAGGACTTCAACAGACACTTCTCTAAAAACCTATTTCTATGAACAGTCACCAACCACATGAAAAGAGGCTCCACATCAGCCACAGGGAAGCGCACGTCAAAACCACAAGACACCACTTCACACCCGCTAAGATGGCTAGAATCACAGACAGATCACAAGTGCTGGTGAGAGTGTGGAAAACCGGAGCCCTCATACATTCCTAGTGGGAATACGAAATGGTTCAACCTCTTTGGGAAACAGTCTGGCCATTCCTCAAAAGGTTAAACACAGCGTTACCCGGACCGAGCAATTTCACTCGCAGGATATAGCTGAGAGAAATAAACAGATATCTATGTAAAAAAGTGCAAGCAAATGTTCAGAATGTTTTCAGGGTTCATCCATGTTGTATCAGAATTTACAGAAACGCGGTATTTATATGAGAATCCCACTCCCCCCCCTTTTGTTTTTTTTGAGACGGAGGCTCACTGTCGCCCAGGCTGGAGTGCAGTGGCGCAATCTCAGCTCGCTGCAACCACCAACTCCCAGGTTCAAGTGATTCTCCTGCCTCAGCCTCCCGAGTAGCTGGGATTACAGGTGCCCACCACCATGTGTGGCTAGTTTTTGTATTTTTAGTAGAGACAGGGTTTTACCATATTGGCCAGGCTGGTCTTGAACTCCTGACCTCATGATCTGTCCGCCTTGGCCTCCCAAAGTGCTAGGATTACAGGCGTGAGCCACCGAGCCCTGCCAACCCCTTTTTAAGGCCGAATAATATTCCCTTGTATGAAAATTTTATTTTCCACTCATCTGCTGATGAATGCTTGGGCTGCTTCCGGCCTTTCACTCTTGTGAATGATGCTGCTGTGGACATTGTTGTATCTGAGCTCCTACTTTCGATTCTTTTGGGTTTTATGCTTATCAATCTTGGGGGTATAATTCTATGTTTAACTCGCTGACGAACTGCCATGCTTTCCAAAGAGGCTGGACCATTTTACAACGCACAAAGGTTTCAATTTCTCGACATCCTTGCCAACACGGTGACTTTTTTTTTTTTTTAATTAACAGCCATCCCAACGCGTGTGTGGTTTTGACTTGCACTTCCCTAATGACTCATGGCGCCAGGCATCTCTTCATGTGCTCACTGGCCATCTGTGCATCTTCTTTGGAGAGACGGCCACTCAAGTTCTTTGCCCGCGATTAGATTGGGTTGTTTTTGTCGTTGAATGGCTTTTTCGGGTGATGAAATGTTTTACAATTGATTGTGGTGATGGCTGCACAGCTCAATGAATACTAAATACTAAAAACCACTGACCTCTACCTCTACACTTCATTTTTTTTTTTTTTTTTTTGAGACGGAGTTTCACTCGTCGCCCAGGCTAGAGTGCAATGGCGTGATCTCGGCTCACTGCATCCTCCGCCTCCCAGTTTCAAGCGATTCTCCTGCCTCAGCCTCCCGAGTAGCTGGGATTACAGGCATGTGCCACCACGCCCGGCTAATTTTGTATTTTTAGTAGAGACGGGGTTTCTCCATGTTGGTCAGGCTGGTCTCAAACTCCCAACCTCAGGTGATCCGCCGGCCTCGGCCTCCCAAAGTGTTGGGATTATAGGCGTGAGCCACTGAACCTGGCCTTCTACACTTCATTTTAATTAATTAATTAATATTTTTTTGAGACAGTCTTGCTCTGTCACCCAGGCTGGAGTGCTGTGGCGTGATCTCAGCTTACTGCAACATCCACCTCCCAGGCTCAAGCGATTCTCCTGCCTCAGCCTCCCAAGTAGCTGGGATTACAGGCGCCACCCCCACCATGCCCGGGTAACTTTTGTGCTTTTAGTAGAGATGGGGTTTCGTAGAGACGGGGTTTTGACCTGGCCTCAAGTGATCCGCCTGCCTTGACCTCCCAAAGTACTGGGATTACAGGCGTGAGCCACTGCGCCCAGCTTCGGAAATATACACTTTAAATGAACGCATCGCATGGTGTGTGAATTATCTCAACGAAGCTGTTTTTGAAAGGAAAATAAGCAGGAAAAGGAGGGAGCTGCAGCTGTGTGCCCAGAGGTCCTGCCTATCAGCATTCTGAGAGAACTGAGACAACTAGGGTCAGGAAAAGCCGCCCAGGGAGCTGTCTCAAGTGGAGCCCATGCGTTGCTCCGGCAGACAGCAATACAGAAGTCAGGCTTGGAAAACACAGCTCAGCCGGGCCAACCCTGGCAAGCAAGCGCCCACAGCCCACACCAGAGTGCACCTGGTCAGCGACCCACACGGGCCCCTCCCTCGCCCAGCGCTGGCCGCTGTCCCCCAGCCCGCCCACAGCCCACACCAGAGTGCACCTGGTCAGTGACCCACACGGGCCCCTCCCTCGCTCAGCGCTGTGCGACTCACCGATCTCGGCACTGGGCATCGCTCCTACCTGGCACCTCTTCCCGGATTTTAAACCAATCCTGCTCCCCGTATTTGGCAACAGCTTGAAGCAACTTCTGCAGGAAGGGACAGGCAGACAAGTGAAGCCTCTGCAGGTACGGCTGCAGCCTCCCCACCCTGAACCCAGTCAGAGAAGGGACCACTGGGGCACAGCAGCCGCTGAACACAGCCGCGTTACCTTCCCAGAGCCCAGTTCTCCTAGGGTCCCGCACACTTACAGCATCTTCCTCCGGGGCCCAGTAACCCTTCTTCAGACCAGGATCCAAGCTCTTGGTCCATCGGTAGATCAGCTGCATGGAGTCTCTCCCTTCCATATAGTAGACAACTAGGGACAGAGGAACAGGGAGGTCCTGTGGGGCCGAGACACACACCCTCCATAGAGTAGACAGCTAGGGACAACAGGGTCCCGTGGGGCCGAGACACCCACCCTCCAGATGGGTCACATAGAAAAGAATCACTTTGGCCAGGTGCAGTGGCATCATGCCTGTCATCCCAGCACTTTGGGAGGCAGAGGCTGGCGGATCACCTAAGGTCAGGAGTTCGAGACCAGCCTGACCAACATGGTGAAACCCCGTCTCTACTAAAAATACAAAATTAGCTGGGCGTGGTGGCGCATGCCTGTAATCCCAGCTACTTGGGAGGCTGAGGCACGAGAATCGCTTGAACCCGGGAGGCAGAGGTTGCAGTGAGCCAAGATCATGGCGTTGCACTCCATCCTGGGCAACAAGAGTGAAACTCCATCTCAAAAAAAAAAAAAAAAAAGTCACTTGAGTCACCAAGAAGCGAACTGTGGAACAGCCAGGACTGTCTAAGCCCTCGTCTGTCTTGTTGCTTCTCTGTGAATTTTCCCTGCAAGTCTCCAGTGTCCTGATATGGGGCCCTGTGACAGCCTGAGAGCCGTCGGGGTGGAGGGGCCTCACTTCTGCGGTAGGGGATGTGGCTGCCGACGCGCATCTCCTGCACCAGCTGCGTGAGCATGCGGTCCTCCTCCTCTGTCCACTCCTTGCGTTTCAGAGCTTTGTTGTGCTGCTGGAATTTCTGCAGGCACTGGAAGGCGCTGCGGCTGGTCTTCCCAGGCCCAAACAAAAGCAAATGAGTGTTACTGCGCGGCAGGATGTCCAGATCTGGCTCTGAGTGCCCCAGGGCACAGGTGGGCCCATGAGCCACTGGGGTGACCCTTCTGCAGACCCCAGCTCTCCTCCTCCCAGACTCCTGTGGGCTGATGGAGAGCACCCCACGGTAGGAAGACAATACACTCACTAAATAGGACCAGGAAGGACCAGGTGAGAGAGGAATCAAACCTTCACTTAAGAAAATATTAAGAAAAATTCACAATAGGTAAACTGATATGACTCCAAAACCACACTGCAACTCACTCAACAGAAACTCCCAGCTTGGCAAGGGCTGGGAGACGCACTGCTCTGCATGTGGCATGCTCTCTAAATGCAGTTGCTAGCACCTTCTCTCCCTTCTCGAGCTCTAGAGTATCTCTCAGCTAAGGGGTATGGGGTGGAGGAGGTACGGGACAGCCCTTGGTTTGGTGTCCATGTCTCAGGAGACGCCCTCAGAAGAGAGTGCCCCAAAATGACTCTCCCAGCTTCCCTGTGTGGCTCGGCTCAGCAAACCCACCCTCAGTCCACACAGTGGACCATCTGCCCAAATCTTTTCCTCACTCATCTTCTCAAGGGGTTTTCCAAGAGCTGATGAGTGCTACCTGAACCCTGTTCTCTGAAAGTGAGCTGCTGGGTGGCACAGGGCACACAGGGCTAGATATGCTCTGAGGTTTGCTTTTTCTGAAAGTGAGCTGCTGGGTGGCAGAGGGCGCGTGGGGCTGGACGTGCTGTGAGGTTTGCTTTTTCTGAAAGTGAGCTGCTGGGTGGCAGAGGGCACGCAGAGCTGGATGTGGTGCCGCTGAGCTGTGAGTTTTGCTTCCAAGGCTTTCTTCCCCACCAAGTCCTTCCCAGCTCGCTACATCACAGGTCTATCTGAGACTCGTTCACCACAAACAAAACCACCACCCCGGGGTGTGCAAGCTGCAGGGCAATCCTAGTCAACGTGTGTGAGCCTCGCCCGCACGCCCCCAAGAGAGTGCTTCTGGGAACATAACACACTCAAGGCCTCACCCGTCCTCCTACACTCAAGCTGGCGCTTCCCAACCAGTGGAAAGAGAGACCCTTCTCACACCCATCCCAAGCCTGCCGAAGGAGTTGGGAAGGCAAAGGACTGGGGGGTGGGGCGGGATTCAGAGCTGGGCCCTGCTCGGGTAGCTGAGAGCAGCAGCTCTCAAAGGGGGCTGGAGGGTGGCTGGAGTGAAGCTGGAGGGAGGCTGCTGAGGCCTTAGCCTGGCTTTTCTTGACAGTGACTAAAAACACTTCCCTGGAAGGAGAAAGAATCTGGCGGGGGAAAGTGCTGGCGTCACGCTTTCTGATATTAACAGAGAAGCATGTCTGACTATGTGTTCGAAGGAGAAAAAGCCATTAATGGATGGAAGACAGTTGAATTCCCAAAAATCACAAGGAGAAAAACCGGACTTACAGTTTCATCAAACCAGCAAGACAGAGTGGAAGGAAAAGAGGCCACAAAGTAAAACGGACTCGACACACCAGACCCAGGAGGACACCAGGAACACCCACCCTCCCACAAAGCCAGAGGCTGGTCAGGCGGGTGGGAAAGCAAAACCCAGCTGCACGCTGCTTTCATGAAAACACTTGGAAATGACGATTTGTTAAAAGGCTGAAAATACAGGGATGGGCCGGGCGCGGTGGCTCACGTCTGTAATCCCAGCACTTTGGGAGGCTGAGGCCGGCAGATCACAACGTCAGGAGACTGAGACCATCCTGGCTAACACAGTGAAACCCCGTCTCTACTAAAAATACAAAAAATTAGCCGGGCGTGGTGGTGGGCGCCTGTAGTCCCAGCTACTCGGGAGGCTGAGGCAGGAGAATGGCGTGAACCCGGGAGGCGGAGCTTGCGGTGAGCTGAGATCGTGCCACTGCACTCCAGCCTGGGCGACAGAGTGAGACTCTGTTTGAAAAAAAAAAAAAAAAAAAAAAAAGGAAAGAAAAAGAGCTAATGAGCTAACGCAAGCTGGGCTGAATCCCTGGGTGATGGGCTGATCTATGCAACAAACCACCATGGCACACGCTCACCTACGGAACCAAACTGCACATCCTGCACACACAGCCCTGAACTCAAAAAATATGAAAAACAAAAAAGAAAAAAAGAAAGCAGACCCCGATTAAAAAAAGTTATGTGTACCAAACTATGTAGCAGTAAAATATACATAGAAGAAAAACCGATTTGTATTTATTTATTTATTTTTTTTTTTTTTGAGACGGAGTCTTGCTGTCGCCCAGGCTGGAGTGCAGTGGCGCGACGTCCGCTCACCGCAAGCTCCGCCTCCCGGGTTCACGCCATTCTCCTGCCTCAGCCTCCCGAGTAGCTGGGACTACAGATGCCCGCCACCACGCCCGGCTAATTTTGTATTTTTAGTAGAGACGGGGTTTCTCCATGTTGGCCAGGCTGGTCTTGAACTCCCGACCTCAGGTGATCCGCCAGCCTCGGCCTCCCAAAGTGCTGGGATTACAGGGGTGAGCCACTGTGCCCGGCAGAATTAAGCATCTTTAAAGGCAAACTCAATTTAATAGCTGATATAGAGTAGGCCCTACTTACAGAGAACATACCTTTTTCTTAAAAACAGTTTTGGCAAGTTTAGCTGGGTCTGCTATAATCAGGTGCTCTGCCATAAAAAAGTAAAATATATTTGAAAAATGGAGATTTTATACATCTCGCCCCTAGTTCATGTTCCAATCAAATTCAGATAAAGAACCACCACAAGAACTCCCAGAAATCCAACTATTTAAAAACGGAAACATACACTCCTAGATACACCTAGGTCCAAAGAGGCAATAAAAATGGAAACTAGAGCTACTTTGGAAATCTATGAGAAGAAGAGTTCACGCCAAGCTACTCTCAGGGTGGCCTAACAAGCCTCGTTATCAAGACAAGAGACCCAAGTCAGTAAAGAACTGAGTCCTTACTCAGGAAACCAGAAAAGCGGCAAGAACTCACACGAGGAAAAAGCGCTTTAGAAACATCAACAGAATAAACTCCCGAGGCTGATGGAGACAGAAGAAGACTAGAAATAAGAAAGGAGACAAACTCCGGTAAACTGGGCATGCACCGCTGCATGGGGAGACCTGGAGGACTGGGAAGGCCCAGAGGAGCTGCGGCAATGGCCTAGTGGCAGAGAGGGCTGGGCAGGCTCCTTCCCTAGGGCCACAGCCTGGAGGTGGCAACACATAGAAACCTGGCGGTGAGTGAGCACTGGGGACCCCGCACCCGTCCAGCAGCCTCCCGCTATAGGGCCCACACGCCCTCAGGTCTCCTGGCCCCTGGGGTCCAGGCCAGGCCCTTACCCCCAGCTCCTCTGCAATCTTCTGCCACTCCAGGTGGCCGTGTGCAGCCGCGATCGCCTGCAGCCGCTCCTCCTCCTCCCTGCTCCACTCCTGCTTGTTGATGCTGGGGTGCTCCGAGTTCTGCCAGAACTTCCGGATCTCCTCTGCACTGCGGCTGCCTTCAAACTGCACCGACAGAGACACTCAGCCTTGCAGGCCACTGACCCCAGGGGCACCCTAGACGCAGCTCCAGGCTGAGCTGTTGCTCTCCGCCAGCTGGAGGCTTCCACGGCTGCAAGTAAGCGCAATCTTCGTCCAACTCACTAGGCCTTGCATAGCCAAACATGTAGACTTGGCTCCAGATGCAAGGCCGGGAGCCCTCCAGACCATCTCAGAAAGGGCCGTGCACCAGCCTGAAGGCCCTCGTGAGTCCACTCGCCATTCCCGACTGTGGGACATGTGCTTGACCCGGGTGGGTGGGGGGTCACAGCAGAACCTGTTGCCAGGGAGGGTGTGGCCTTACCACCCAATTCCAACTGCACCCGGGCTACAGGGAGCTGTGCTCCAAGCTGCTTGGGGCTCAGACCTGCCCCTGACTTACGTTAATATTGGAAATCTTCTCCCAGTCGTGGCTGTCCAGCCTGTTTCCCAGCAAGGCCTCTTCTGGAAGCTGGCTGGTGGAAGGGATGAGGGTATTGGCACCACGCCTGGCTTGTGGGCTCCCCTGGGCCCTCCCGGGAGGCCCCCCTCACTTGATGTCCTGGATCTCCTTCTCGGCTTCCCTGCCCTGCTTCTCCAGGGCTTGCCTCTCCAGCTCACTGGAGACTTTGCTCTGCTTCTGGTGCAAGTACTCGAGCCTGCAAAGCAGAGCAGAGGCAGAAGGGCTGGGGCACGAGGGCTGCGGGGCGGGGCAGGTTCTCTGCACATTACAGGGCAAGGAGTGTGAGCTCAGCAGAGATTCCGAGCCTCCCTCACCCTCCCTGCCTCGGCCTCCTCACCCATGAGGGAAGCTGTAGCACCCACCTCCAGGCTGCCACCGGGGTGGGAAGGGCTGCAGTGTCTGCTGACACAGAGGCTACCGCCTGCTGGCCCCCGTGTCTCAGAGCCTCGCCACAGCCCTCCGGAGCCTCAGTGCCCCAGCTCCCAGCCTGTGCCTGGCACAGAGACACAGCCGTAGGCAGATATCCTGACTGGTGCCCAGTGAGGAGGCCAGAGGCTGTGAGGCCACAGTAAAGAACCACTCCCCAGAGCAGGCCAGGGAGGAAAACCCAGCTCTCCCCGAGCCTGAGGAGAGACCCACCGTCATCACTGCAAACCCTGACCATGCACATCAGGCCACGGGGGGCAGGCGGGACCCGGGACCCCTGGCATGGCCAAAGCCCTCTCAGTGCCCAGAGATGCCCTGGCAGCTTGTATTCTAAAGGCACCCCCTCTGCCTTGAGAGCTCATGGTGGCCCCACAGAAGACAGATGGGGACCTGCTGTGCTGTTGAGTGGCCAACCAGGTGCTGCTGGGTCTCTGGGCTCTGGGAGCAGCTCTGTCTTTGACCAAAGTCATCAGGACAGCAGCGCCTTCTATCAAGTGCGGACAGTAAGGCTGTGCTGTGCCTTCTTTGGTCACGTGATTATCACCCCATCAGCAAACAGCAGGTTTCAGGAATGGGAAAGGGAAGCCCAGAGAAGCTGCCTGAACCACACCCCTCATCATGGCCGTGTGGACCGACCCCATGCCCCGAGCCACACCTCTCATCGTGGCCGTGTGGACCGACCCCGCGCCCCGAGCCACACCCCTCATCGTGGCTGTGTGGACTGATCCTGCGCTTAGCCGCCCGCCCGGCCATGGGGAAGCCCCCTTCATGGGGAAGGGGCATAAAGTCCAGGCATGAGCATCTCTCCATGGCCTGGCAAGACCCGCTGCAGAGAACGGGCATACAGCTAAGCTGAACCTCTGCCAAGCCCAAACCAACCAGCCTTGGCTTTTCCTGTTGGCCAGGAAAGGCTGTTGTGTTTGTTTTTGAGACAGGGTCTCGCTCTGTCACCCAGGCTGGAACGCAGTGGTACAATCATGGCTCACTGCAGCTTTGACCTCCTGGGATCAATCGATCCTCCCACCTCAGCCTCCCGAGTAGCTGGGACCACAGGTGTGCACCACCACACCCAGCTAATTTTTTTACTTTTTGAAGAGATGGGGTCTCACCATGTTGCCCAGGCTGGGCTTGAACTGGGTTCAAGAGATCCTCCTGCCTTGGCCTCCCAAAGTGCTGGGATTCCAGGCATGAGCCCTATGCCCAGCCTGAAGACCGTTTTTGACTTATGGTTTTAGACTTACTTCAGTAACTTGGGCTGAAGCAATCGCTGCAGGCGGTCACTCACCACTGACTTTCGGAGCAAGGCCTTTTCCCAGTTTTTCCCTGAGGAGAAGCCACAGCATCATCACTGGGGGTCTGGATCCTCTCCACGGCCCAGCCCCCACGGTTGGTGTGCACTTCCCGAGGCAGTGGTGGGGGGCCCCACAGCGAGTAAGCAGCACGCCAGACCTACTGACGTGGCCCCTCCACCCAGCTGACAGAGCTCCACCCGAGGCCTGGCGCCAGCTCACACGTAAAGCCACAGGGCTTTGCGGCCCAAGACAAGGGCGGGGAGACTGAGCCAGAGGGTGGGGTGCGGCCTGGCTAGCCCCTCGTGACTGGTGTTCTGGAAAGGACCTGCTCAGTGTGGAAAGGCAGGAGTCAAGGGGCCAGTCCCAGTGGTCAAGGCCTGAAGGAGCCATGAGGTCACAACAGAGAGAGGTCTGAGAACTTGGGGAGAAACTGGGGAAAGGAGGGCCATGGGGAGGTGTCCCAAGCTCAGGGGTGCCGCAGGGCCGGCCAGGGCTCTTACATTTGGTCACAAGGAGCTCCTCGAAAGCCTTGATCCCCTGGGCAGCCTTCTCTCGTGTGTCCTCGTTGGCAGGTGGCCCCTGTCAGGGTGCACGGCATCACCACAAGCACAGGCCACATGTGCTCCCTGCAGGCCCAGCACATCCCTCCAGAGCCCACAAAAGGACTCGGGCTCCCCCTGCCTCCTGTTCTCCCGTACTGTGAGGCTGTGGGGGTGCAACCCTGCCGGCCACTCCATGAAGCCTGATGAGGTCAGGCCTCGCACAGACAACACTGGCACCTCCACGAGGGCTTGCTCATCGCTTCACAGGGCAGTCCTGGCAGCCCAGCGCAGAGCAGAGGGCAGCTTGCCCACCACGGAGGAGGCAGTTTGAAGGAGGTTGGCCAATGTTATCTTGAACTCACAGGAATTCACGACTCCCTGCAGCAGGACTTGGGGACAAGAACCCTTCCCACGGTGCAGAGCCTTGCCGACAAGAGCAGGGCCTCGGCCACTCACCACGCCCGTGACCTTGTCCTTGAAATACGGCTTCATGAAGTGCCCCATGTATGTGCTTGGGGGCAGGCTTTTGCCATCTTTCACCTTGGTGCCTTTGGACCCAGCCAGATCCCTCATGAGTTCCTCCTGTGACAGACACAAGGCAGGGACCCCTCTATGGACCAGCAGCAATGACTCTCCCTGCGGAGGAGACCCGGGGCAGAGGAGAGGCAGGGAGCTGGGGAGCCCTGGACCTGGGAGGCCCAGCTGTGGGGGGCTCTGGGGGTGGGGAGGTGTGGGCACCGGGGGGCCGAGGCCCATCCCACCTGCTGCTCCCGGTTCTGGGCCAGCAGCAGGTTGGCCTCAGCCAGCTTCTCCTGGATGACCTCCTGGTAGACCATGTTCAGCTGCAGGCAGGTTTCTGGGTCTTCAGGGAGGGTTTTATCCTTGGGATCGTCCTCGTCATTGCTGGCTTCGCCCCACCTTTCTTCTTCCTGGTAACGAGCCAGAAATGGCATGTGACGAGATGAGACGTGGATGCTCCCCTGTCCTCGGCAGCCAGTCGCCCATCGCTGGGCCTCTGGGACACCGAGGCAGCTCTGGCATAGCAACACCCAATGTGGAAGCAGGAAGTGACCCTGGTGGGCAGCGGGAGGGCGTCTGAGTTTGGGAGTGGAGCCTGTCACTCTCAAGGCGGCCTGTGTGCGCCTTTCCTAATCCACGGCAGGCAGAGCCTCCAACCTGGAACACGCCAGGGCTGCGGCTGCTGCAAGGCAGCAGGCAGCTTTCCAGGACCACAGGCGTCCTGTGAACCCTGAACTCTGTCCTGAGCCCCTGTCGTGTGCATCACCAGCAAAGCACGGGGAGCAAGCCTGTGTGGGAGGAAAGTCTCTGCAGAGCCAGGAAGTGGACGCAGTGAAAATGCCCACTGGGAGGTGAGGTGCCCACAGGCTACAGCAGGGTGCTCACTCACAGAAGGTGAACCACACAGCCACGCAAACATGAGGAAACTCAGTACCCACTAACTTTGCAGAAAAAGGAAGCAGCAAATCGCCAACGTTTTCCAAAGTAAACAAAAGGCAGCTAATAAAATAATCACTGGCCTCACAGAGCAGTTGCCAGGTGCTGTTTGGGTGCTTGTGTATTTTTCTTTTTTTTGAGACAGGGTCTCACTCCATCACCCAGGCTGGAGTGCAGTGGTGCAATCACAGCTCACTGGAGCCTCGGCCTCCTGGGCTCAAGTGATCCTCCTGCCTCAGCCACCCAAGTAGCTGCGTCCACAGCCACGTGCCACTGCACCAGCTAATTTCTGTATAGCTGCTCGTGTTAACTGACTTGTGCTGTAAACGTCCCCGCTGCCCCACAGGAATCTGAGGCACAGAGAGGCGAGCTGTGAGGGGCAGGACGCAGGTGCACAACTCACAGCTTTCCGCAAGTGACAGATGCCACACAGGAGACAGAGGCATACAGCAATGAGCTCAGAAAAAACCCAAGGGGTGTGATCACCAAGCTGTTAACAGTGGTTATTTCTGGGGACAATTTCAATGACAAATGCTTTTTAATTTTTTTATAACAAACGTGAATCATTTTTATAATGCAGAAAAACCAATATGGGTTCAAACCACGCCCCCTCCCAGGCTACTTTGGAAGGTGGTGGCAGGCCTGACCCAGTGGCACAGCCAGATCAGGCCAACAGTTACCGAGATCGGGGGATCGGCAGGATCCAAGTCCTCAGAAGGCAGTGAATCTGTCAGAAACACAAGCAACACCGTGTTGGTAACCAGCGTCTTGGGCAGGGTGGGGGCGCAGCTCACCACTGCTTCTTGGGCAGACCTGGGGTTGTGAGGTAGTGACAGCGCCTCAGGCTGAGGCTGGCGGTGAGCGGACCTTCCCTCCCTGACAGCGGGGTGGGCACTGGACCAAGGCCGGGTTAGCCAGATAGAGAAAACTCTGACCACACACTGGGGACCTCCAGGCACACAGGACAAAGCTACACAGGGTTCACTGGATGGCACAAGCTATCTTTACTGGAGAGACAGGGAAAGTTTAGCAGAAAACGGACCTCTCCTTCAGGAGCTTAGCCGGTCAGATGGGAGGCACGGATGTAGAGGCCCTCACCACAGGAGAAAGATAGCAGGTTGCCTCAGAGGCAGGCCCTGGGTCTGGGAGAGGTGGGAAGCAAGGCTGGGGGGGTCTCCTGTCAGGGCAGCAGCTGGTGGGGTTGGGGTAGGCTCAGAAGCTAAAGGGAGCATGGAGGAGAGCATGTGGGGAGGGGAGCATGTTGGGAGGAGAGGCTGTGGGGTGGGGAGCCTATGGGGTGGGGAGCACATGGGGAGGGGAGCACGTGGGGTGGGGAGCACGTGGGGAGGGGAGCACGTGGGGAGGGGAGCACGTGGGGAGGGGAGCACGTGGGGTGGGGAGCACGTGGGGTGGGGAGCACGTGGGGAGGAGAGCACTTGGGGTGGGGAGCACGTGGGGAGGGGCACATGTGAGAAGAAGAGATCCTAGGGGTGTGAGCTGTGTTGACCATCCAGGCATGGACTGTCCAGACTGCCATCTGGTGAGGTTCAGGCCTGCCCCCTCCTCCCAGGATGGTCCACTCCAGAAGCCCTGCACAGGCCCAAGGAGGCCAGGCCCAGACCCTGGGATGCCTAGAGCCCAGTGTACACACACAGCCAGCTGGTTCAGGGGCTAGCAAAGGAGGAATTGTCAGAAGCTCTCTGGCTGGAGTACAGAAAGACACCAGTGTTGGCAAAAAATTGGGTCTGGTCCAAGCAGCACCAGCCATCGTTTATTATTATTATTATTATTTTTAGAGACAGGGTCTTGCTGCGTTGTCCAGGCTGGACATGAACTCCTGGGATCAAACAATGCTCTCACCTCAGCCTCAGGAGTCCCTGGGTTTACAGGCCTGAGAAACCACACCCGGCTACCATCACTCCCTAATGTGCCTGAGAGGAACCCAGGAGGCAGACCAGCTGTTCTTACCAGGACCCCAGGAGGCTAGGTACAAGGGGCTTACCTGCTTCAGAATCTGACTCGAGACTTGATTCTGAGATCTCCACGTGGGAGCCCGAGGAGCCGGGATCCAAAATCCTTTCCAGCTCCTTGATCTCCTGTGTTATCTTCTCTCTTTCAGCATCTACATCCATGACTCCCGCCTGCCTCCAAAACACACCCCGAGATGTTAGAAACCAAGACCGTGCCGGGATCCCATTCTCCTTCAGACACACCCGCCCATGGGGGATGGCAGGAGCCTGCTCGGCAGTGGGCACTGGGCTCCCCAGAGAAAGATTAATAGGCCAGGCACAGAATCGGGGAACCCTGGGACAGGAACCTCAGACCCCACAAACTCCTGCTATGTGCTCTGCCAGGAGCCTAAGCCCCAAGAACATCTCCCGCCTGCTCTGAGGCTGCAACCAGCACAGGCAGGGAGTGGATGAACAAGGACAGGCCCCACTGTCCCGTCTCTGCTCCCACACCAAGCCACATGGAAACTGGCCACCCAGCGTAGAAGGTGTGGGGTGCAGTGGCAAAGTCACTACAGGGCAAGGACACAGCCCGTGACCCACTTTGGCCATCCTGCTCTCCCATGACACAGAGCCGGACCACAGAGGGCATTTGAGAAACGTTCACAGAGACACACACTGAGACTGCCCAGGTGGCAGGCACTAACAGCATGGTTGGGAAGGAAGCTCCCAAAGGGAAGGCTGGCTGTTCTCTGTACATCCAGAACAACGCCTGGAACGTGGCAGTGCCTGACACTAACAAATGTTTGTCAAGCTTTTTTCTTAGGAACTGTGGTCCAGGAAGTCTGAAGGGAGAAGGACGCTAGAGAGAGAGTGGGAGAATGAAACATTAGCAGAGAAAATCTAAAGGAATCACTAGCACAGACCCGGGAGCCCAAAACACCCAACAACAAAGAGAAACGCCCTCCCCCGTCCTTGGCGTGGCTCTCCCTGCTGGAGGCTGACTGGGGCCCTGCCCAACTGGAACAAAACCAAAGCATCCACCCGCGAGCACCGTTAGCCGCATCAGCAGCCCAGGTCCCCTCACTCCTTCACAAAGCCCCTTGTTTATGCCCGAAATGCTTGTGAACCTGTAAACTCAGTTAACAGCCGGCCAGAGGCAGAGCTGGCAGCGACCGCAGGCTGGTTCAGCGCCTCCGGGCCGGCGGAGACGCTTTCCTCTGGAAGCCTCACACGAGGCTGCTGCCTCCCCCTCCCCGTGTCGCTCAGGTGAGCAATGATCAGCAGGAAGGAGGTCAAAGTCACACGTGCTGAGCCACTGACATCAGGGGCTGTCCCTCTCCCCGCACCCCTCTCCCAAGGGCTGGTCATGAGGGCTGCCCACCAAGACGGAGCGCAGCAGGCGGTCCCTCCAGCCCCAGCTGCGGGGACGCCACCCAGACTCGGCTGGGCCCAGGGAACCCCAGGATGCGCCAGGACGATGGGCGTTTAGGCACTGGCTTGGGAGACAGACCCGGCCCAGGCCCAGTTCCGCCTCCTGCTCGCTGCGTGAACTGGGGAAACCCCCTCCGAGGCTCGGCCACCGCGGAATCGCCGGCGCAGTCCCCGAGACGCACGCGGGCGCCCTGCAGCCGGGGCCGCCCCGCCGGAGCCTCCTCGGAGCCCGCAGCCCGCTCCCAGCCGAGGGGCTCCCAGGGCCAGAATCCCCGCGCGCCCAGGCTCGGCCGGACGGGGGCCACGCCGGGCCTCAGTTTCCCCGACTTTGGGCGCTGCCCCGCCCCCGTCCCGGGCCTCGGCTATCCGCTCCTCGGGACAGCGCCCCCTCCACGGGGAGAGCCCTGAAGCTGCCGACGCCACCCGCGCCTCACCTGCTGGGCGCACACCTTACCTGGCCGCGCGGACCCCGCCGTCGCCCGGGCGACTGCAGACTCGACGCTTCCGGCGGCTGCAGAACAAGAGCGCCGCGCGCCGGAAGTCCCGCCTCCTGAGGCGCGGGGCACGCCGGGACGGCCGCTGCGGCCTGCCGGGACTAGAGAGGCGAACGGCTCGATGCTGCCCTCGCGCGGCCGCCCTGGGGGCCGCCTCCGCGCGCTCTGGAGGGGCGCGGGTGGACGCGGGACCTCAAGGCAGGGGACAGACAGGGACAGGCACCCGGCCACCTGGTCACGATCCGGAAGACCGGCCCTTACTGGCTGTGACCTTCGGCCATCGCTGGACCTCTCTGTGCTTGTTTCATCCTCTGTTAACGGACATGTTGGGGTTTGGTTAAGCAACGGATGAGAAAGTCTACGTGAAAGGCTTTTTCCCCAGCCTGCCCTGCATGCTCAGGATCGCCGAGGCCAGGCCGATCTCCAGGCACGTGCAGGAGACTGAGGCCAGAGGGTGGGGGCCCGCACCACACAAACTCGCTTCCCTGGTCACCTGTGCACACCCTCTGGGGTCTCCTGGCCTGGAGAGCTGCCCCGGGGCCCTCCCCTAAGTGGGCATTCATTCCTTCAGGAACGTGCCAGGGCTAACTCGGCCGGGAGCTGGGCAGGGGCCTACAGTTCCTGGCTCCTGAGAGCTTCTAAGTATCGGTGCTGCAAAGACATCCTGGGCCCAGCCAGTTGAGGGGGCCTCCACTCCAGCCTGGGGTGAGCTAGGGGCATCAGCTGGAGAACTATAAAGAGGGTTTGCCCTGCCTACCTAGGAGGTGGGCTTTTGGTGGCAAAGGGCTAGGCCCAGGTGAGGCCAAACTGGGAGCTAGGGATTGGCAAGAAACAGATGGAGGGGATGGAACCAGGCGGCTGGGGGCTCCTCGAGCGCCTCGTTTCAGTCCCTGCATCGGGCTTGAAATCTGGAGGCAGAAGGCAGGCACTAAATACCGCGCCACAAATTGTATTTTTAAACTTCTTACTATCAAACGCTTCAAACACAGACATCAAAAGAGAGGGGTGCGCAAAACCCACATGCCCATCCCCACCGCGCTTCCCTGGGCCCCACCTGCTCCATGAGCTGCTGGCATGAGGGCCAGGGGACCACCCCACTTCACACGCATCTGGTGGATGGGACCCGCCTGGCGATCTGGCCTTTGTGACCCCCACCCCATCAAATGCTGTCTCTCCCAAAGGGCCTCAGGGAAGGCCTGTGGCCTGAGGCATCCTCCCCAGATGCCCCCATCCTGCTGCTACAGGGCTCCCAGAGCTGCCTATACACTCAGAACCTCATTCCGGCACTTCCCAACCACAGCACCCTGTCTCAAGTCAGCTCTGCCAACAGAATCCAGAGCCTGCTTTCACCAACCAGCAGGAGCAGGAGGCGCATAGGGCTACGCAGCAGGACCGCTCCACAGTGACTGCTGGAAAGCTCTGGCCTTCACCTGTAGCTAAGGCTAGGGGTCTAGCAATTCAGACGCCTTGTTTGAAAAATTCAACCACATGATCCGAAAAGATGATCCAATGCTAGAATCCAGTCTGTCCAGCTCTGAAACGTGCAGCTGCGTGACTCACACGTCCATCACGTGTGGGTCCCAGTGGTCAGGCCCAGGCAGCAGTGGTCTGAGTCTGCCCCTAACCCCAAGGGCTGAGGACCTGGAGAGAATCTGCCAGCACAAGGCACCAGTTAGGGCAAGAGCAAGTGAGGTGTGGAAGCCCACGGCGTTCTCCAAGGACTGGCTAAGTCAGCAGAGAAGAGACAGTGCGGTGAACTACAGAATTTATTAAATAAGAAAGCTATCAATTGGAACAGGAGGAAAAAAAAGTTTTAAAAAAAATCTATAGGAAAATAGTCAAAAAAGCATTTAGTGCTCATCGCCGTCCCTCTGAGGGGGGCCGTCAGAAAGGCAACTGGGACCTGACAGACCCGGGCACATACTTGAAATTCCTGAATTCTAACCTGCATTGTACAAAATGCCACTTGAAACGTCCACCAGAACCCCCAGCCAAAGAGGCACATCTGGACAGCTTCACAGCACGGAACGTGTGACCTTGGTCCCCGTGGGTCCCGGAGGAGGACAGCAGCAGCCACGCGGTGGCCCCTGCGCACTCAGGCCATGACTGCAGGGACCACCCACTGGGGCCACAAGAGTGACCCGGGAGCCAGAGGGAGCCCTGAGCATCGGCGGAAGGCACAGGTCCCTGCCCGGGGTGGCCATCTCAGAGGCACATTTAGTGTTTGTTCTACTTATGAAATCAAGGACAACCAATTGTACTTATCTTACAACTGATGTTCTGGGATGGGACTGGAAAACATTGATTCCAGAACCACTCTTTTTCTTAAAATCACTGGCTTTTATGACAATGTCTTCCAAGAGCTCATTAGAATCTATAAGATCGCAGGAATTTCGCCAAGAAGGGCTGCATAGAAACCACAGAGACAACTCGGCCAGGGCTGCTCCCATTGTGGTGGCCAAGAACTGGCTGAGGGCACGACACTGGACTCTTGCGATCAACACTTTACTCTGGGTGAAGACTGCATATTTAAGGACACAACTGCACATTTAGATCGAGCGGTGGTGACCTCAGGGTATACACGGAGCTTCATGCTGAGAACACCCAGGGGTCCTCAAGAGTCTTCCTCCTCGTCTTTAACTTCAGAAATTCTGTCTATAGATTTAAGGATTTCGGCAACAAGATTCAGTGTCTCAGCTCCGGAAACCAGTTGCCTGAAAACAAGCATGGATATCAGGATGGGTGGCAGCAGCTACTCAGCAGCAACAGGGTTCTGGGGGGAGAAAGGGGAGGGGTTGGTAGGGGGAAAAAGGGAGGGGTTCCAAGGGGTAGGGAAAGGGGAGAGGTTCTGAGTGGGAGGAAGGCGAGGGTTTCCAGGGGGAAGAATGGGGAGGGTTTCCACAGGGGGTGGGGGGCAGAAAGGGGAGGGGTTGGTAGGCAGAAAAAGGGGAGAGGTTCTGAGGGGGAGAAAGGGGAGGAATTCCGGGGGTGGGGGTGGGGAAGGAAGGGGAGGGTTTCCAGAGCGGGGAGGGATTCCACAGGGGAAGGGTTCTGGCGGGGAGAAAGGTAAGGGGTTCCAGGGAGAAAGGGACAGAATTCTGGGGGGAGAAACAGAAGGGGTCCCAGGGAGCAAGGGGTGGGGTTTGCCGGGGGGAGAAAGGGACAGGGTTCCAGGGAGCAAGGGGTGGGGTTTGCCGGGGGAGAAAGGGACAGGGTCCCAGGGAGCAAGGGGTGGGGTTTGCCGGGGAAGAAAGGGACAGGGTTCCTGGGAGCAAGGGGTGGGGTTTGCCGGGGGAAGAAAGGGACAGGGTTCCTGGGAGAAAGGGAGGGGCTGGGGGAGAACCACAGGTTTTCCACTCCTAGCTCCTCTTGGAGGAGACCCACACCTGACTTCACAGGAGACGGCTCCCTTGTTCACAGGGAGTGCTCTGGGGGCCAACACCGCCCTGCAGAGCTCAGCCCAATGGGTGGCAGACACTCACCACTGTCACAGTCATGGTGGCTGGCGTGTCCCCAGCCAGGCACAGCAGTAAGGGCCTTCTGGGAAGTGGCTTTTTCAGCAGGAGGGAAACCCCCACTATTTCCTTTATTCAGAGCTTCAGCGCCCACATGGGGTGGGGCTGAGGTTCAGTGCAGGGTGCTGTGGCTGTCTGCACCTCCCAGGTGGGATCAGACACTGCGAGGCAGGTTAGAAAGCCTGTGGTCTGTCCACACAGTGACCCAGAGAGCTAACAGGACCACTGAGCACGCGTCCCTCCCTGCAGCTCCCTGGTCCTCCAGCCACGGTGCCATCAGCCTGGGCCCCCACCCAGGATCACTGACGACCACTCCAATCTCACCCCTTTCCCCGCCAGGCTTCCCGGTGCCTCCCAGGCACTCACTTGATGGAAGCCTGTGCACTGTTCATGACCACCCGGAGGTTCTGCAGGGCCACGTCGGCGTTCTGCTTCACCACGGTCAGGCTGGCACCCTGGCCGCACCGCAGGGCTTCATTCTCTCGCTGGAAGTTGGAGACCTGCGCCTGGGGGGACGGTTACGGCTAAGGACAGAGCAGCTCCGAGGCAACCCGGCTGAAAGTCACCACCTGGCGAGGCGAGGGCTTACCCGTGGGGGCCTGGCACTCAAGATGCATGCTCTGGCCTAACTGGGGGCTCGCCTCTGGGACTGGGGGCCTAATGGCTTCCCCTTCACTCCAGTATATGCTCAGCACCTAGCTCTATGGCAATAGGGACTCCTACAAGTGGATGCCCCGTGCCAGACCCCAAACTCCCAACAGAGCTCCAGGGCCTCCCTCTGCTTCACGCCCTGACAGGAAGCGGCTGCTGTCCTCATTTGAAGTCCTTTCTCTGCTTGGGCTCAGGGGAAACCCCAGCAGAGTCTTTCGCCTCTTTCTTACTGAATTCATTATGTGACTCCACAAATCAAAGAAAAACACTGAAGTCCCTTCCTTTAATTACCTGGAGCAAACTGATTTCCTGTTTTAGTTTCACGACGTGGTTTTCTGCCTTTACAGCCCGTTTCTGTTACCCAAAAAAGAAAAACCACAAAAAGCATCACTGATGTCCTCACATTCATACCGGACACGGGCCCCAACCCAGGGAGCAGGAGGGCACCCAACCTGGCTGTGGCCCTTCACAGCCCCTGTGCCCCTCCCAGTCCCGCCTCCACTCTCAGACCACCCCTGGGAAGGGCTCATCGTGCAGTGTCTGTGCTCTGGCCCCCCACTCCCCACGGATGCCCTCGTGGGCCAGCTATCCCCAGGCACAGCGAGACAGCGACGTCAAAGAACACCAGTCCCAGAGAGCCACATGGCCCCGCTCCCAAGGGCAGGCTGCACCGGCTGCTGAGGACAACAGCACTTTCTCAGGAGCGCTCCTGCCCCACCCAGCTCGTCCGATTCAGAGAAGAAACCCATACGGTCATCAGCTCCAGGTTCTGCTCCACCTGCTGAACCACCGACTCCAGGTCGTGGTAGTCGCTTTCCTCCTTGATCATTTTTGCTTCTAACTTCCGCTCAAGCGTCCTCACCCTTGTTAAAGAAAAACCCGAGTTGTTAATTTCTGTGGCTACTTTTAAGAGGACTACAAAAAGATACCTCATGAGCCAGATAAAACCCGCTAAGAGCCTGTGATGGAATGGGTCTCAGGCACAGAGGGGAGGCAGCGGCAGCCTCAGGCCTGGACCTGTAGCCACCAGGCAGGCGTGCAGGGAGCGGCTCTCACAGCACTGCTGCTCCAACAAGGTGTTTGGTGGCTTTTTGCCTAAAGTTTAAAATAAACCTTGGCCAGGCGCCGTGGCTCATGCCTATAATCCCAACACTTTAGGAGCCTGAGGCAGGAGGATTCCTTGAGCCGAGGAGTTTGAGACAAGCCTGGGCAACATAGTGAGACCCTGTCTCTACAAAAATAAGATTTAAAAATTAGCCAGGTGCAGTGGCAAACGCCTGTGGTCCCAGCTACTCAGGAGGCTGAGATGGGAGGATTGCTGGAGCCAAGGAGGTCAAGGCTGCAGTGAGCCGTGATTGCGCCACTGCACCCGAGCCTGGGTGACACGGCAAGACTGTCTCAAAATAAACTTTTAGGCAGAACACAGAAATGTGTTTGATGCTGAACATTTATATACAATAAAACCCAGATCTGGTTTGACTCTGATTACTTCATTATCATTTAAAAACGGATTTCCCTGTGTATTAGATGTTGTGGATTGCATTCCTAACTAAAAGCTTACATACATTTCTGTTTGAGCTTCAGAGAAGCTCTGAACCTCATTCAGCTTTCTTCTCAGCTTAGAATTTTCATCTTTCAGCTGTGGAGAGAGAACATCCTTATTAGAAAGTCAGCATGTCTGGCTCAAAAGGGCGTGTGCTTCTGCGGTGTGGCTCCAGAGCCTCCTGATAAGCAGAGATGCTGGGTCAGTGCAGCATCCACCTGCAGCCACTACAGAGGGAGACCACAGACGGAGGCAGGCACTTTTCAAAGACCTGTGGTCACAGATGCCAGTTAATTTTACTCAGAGGCCGGGGGCAGTGGCTCGCGCCTGTAATCCCAGCACTTTGGGAGGCCGAGGTGGGCGGATCACAAGGTCAGGAGTTTGAGACCAGCCTGGCCAACACGGTGAAACCCCCGTCTCTACTAAAAATACAAAAATTAGCCAGCAGTGGTGGCGGGCACCTGTAGTCCTAACTACTCGGGTGGCTGAAGCAGGAGAATCACTTGAACTCGGGAGGCGGAGGTTGCAGTGAGCCGAGATCGTGCCACTCCACTCCAGCATGAGCAACAGAGTGAGACACTGTCTCAGGAAGAAAATAATTTTTCTTTTTTTTGAAACAGAGTTTCGCCCGTCGCCTAGGCTGGAGTACAGTGGCGTGACCTCGGCTCACCGCAACCTCCGCCTCCCGGGTTCAAGCGATTCTCCTGCCTCAGCCTCCCAAGTAGCTGGGACTACAGGCGCCTGCCGCCACGCCCAGCTAATTTTTGTATTTTCAGTAGAGACAGGGTTTCACCATGTTGGCCAGGCTGGTCTCAAACTGCTGACCTCAGGTGATCCACCCACCTCGGCCTCCCAAAGTGCTGAGATTACAGGCGTGAGCCACGGCGCCCAGCTAAAAAATTTTTTTTTTTATTCAGAGCTTATAACCTTTTAGGTGATTATAATTTTTTAAAAATTTTCCTCCTCTTGGAATACTTAGCAAGCTGGCGACTGCAGCCTGCCTTTACTGAGGGTACAGCCCTGTAAGTGCCCAACTGCATCCAATTCACAGCTTCTAGCTCACCAGTCCTCTTTAGCCGGTTCTATTCCCACGTGTAACCAGAAGCAAAGTCAAAGGGAAAGTGGATAGCAGGCTGTCACGCAAATCGCCTTGTCCTGGAAATCAAACCAGGCCACCCAAGAGGTAGGATGGCTCCAGGTTCTCCCCGGGAGAAGCCGCTCGGACAGGCGCTGTGCCAGAGGGCGCCGTGAGGCTCACTTACTGCGTCGTAACTTATCTGCAGCGTCCGCAGGTGCCTGTCTCCCAGAGACTCTCCATGAACCGCAAAGTCTGCGCTAGGACTCCCTGCCGGAGAGGCCGGAGACACGCGAGAATCAGTGTCACTCAACGCCCACGAGGGCAGAGACTCAGGCCCTGCCAGCTCCGACGGGGTGGAGAAAAAGGAAAGGTATGTGCTGCAGGGCGACGTGCCGGCAGGGACCCTCTCGGGGTGAGTCTGCTCGATGGCGGACGGCAGGTAGGCCCCACTCCATCCGGTGTCCTCATCCTCCTCCTCATCCAGGAGGTCACCAGCCCCTGTCGGATCCTCGAAAAATGGCTGCTGATACTCCAGGCCATACCCGCCGGTTTGGGAGGGTGGGGAGTTGTGGTCAAGTCCCAGGGAATGCCTCGAGGCTTCCTAAAAAAAAAAAAAAAAAAAAAACAATGGAGGCCATGCTTCTGACTCGGAGCGCATCTTCCTTTCTGTGTTCTGCCTCGCAACAAGAAGAAAGGCCCAATCTCTCTACCGGAAGGAGCCCAGCAGCTTCTGAGCCCAGAGCTGCTCCCCAGCACTGACGCCTGCCTGCTCTGCCACACTCATGCACGATTCCTCCAAAGGAGGCTGCAGAGGCCGGAACAGAAACGTCCCACAGAGCCATCGCCCACAGTGCCGTGGATTTACCTTTGCATAAATTCTGCTGGCCGGATCCTCTTTCGAGAGGCCGAGGTTCTTGGTCTTCAGAAACTCTCTAAAAGAGAATGGATTTGCCTCTTCCAGATCTTCAAATCTGTCATCTGAAATAACAGACATCACAAATGCATAAAGTCTACTGAAGAGCGTTGAAAGGGAACCTTCCTGTTCACCTGTCTTTCCAGAGCATGGCCACATGTGAGATCGGGCAGCCACGCTTGTCATTCTACCATGACTCAGGCAGCACTAGGAAGTGTGAAGGTGGCTGAAGGTGGGCAGTGACACAGACGTGCGTCTGCATTTGCAATCTTCTCCTTCCACCCCTCGGCCCCTGCTCCCACACTGTGCTGCTCACTAAAGCTCCCCTGGGGAGCTTTAAAACGACCCAAGCCACTCCACTGCACACACCCAGCTCCCTGGTGTGAGGTCAACCTGTGCTAGGAGCTCTCAAAGCTCCTCAGGTGGCCAGGTGTGGTGGCTCACGCCTGTACCCCAGCACTGTGGGAGGTCAAGGCGGGCGGATCACGAGGTCAGGAGACTGAGACCATCCTGGCTAACACGGTGAAACCTCATCTCTACTAAAAATACAAAAAATTAGCCAGGCGTGGTGGTGAGCGCCTGTAGTCCCAGCTACTCGGGAGGCTGAGGCAGGAGAATGGCGTGAACCTGGGAGGTGGAGCTTGCAGTGAGCCGAGATCGTGCCACTGTACTCCAGCCTGGGCGACAGAGCGAGACTCTGTCTCAAAAAACAACAACAACAACCAGCTCCTCAGGTGCTGCAACGCTGGGGACCCAGTGCCCCCTGACCCTCTTCCCGACTTTCCTACCTAGGTAGCCTAAATAACGCCCACTTTTCCCTTCTCCCTCTTGCCACCGCCTTCCCACCCTCCGGGGACTTAAGCAGCCACACTCGACCCTCCCAGCTGTGAGCCCCATGTAAAGCTGGCTCCTGTGGCCCCAGCCCCCCAGGTGGGGCTTCCCCGCTCCCTGATGTCACCTCGCTGCTACTCTAGGATCAAGACTGAACCCTTGAAATCCCACCCCCACCTGCTCTTTTGGGCTCCAGCTACACCACATAGCCAGTCACATTGACAGTCCCACCAGACACGTGCCTGGCACTGTGTTGGATGGAGACAAGAAGAAAAGGTTGCTGAACTACTCTACCTCCAAAATGTGTCCCGTGGGCTCCTGACGGGCTCTGCTTAGAACATTTCCCCTTTCCATAGCCAAAATCTGCAAAGAAACAATGTCACCCACCATGCTGGCAGGAAGTCTTTATGACCTCACATTTGGTTTTTTTCTTTTGCACATGGAGTCTCCACTGCAGTGGTTCTCACAGTCTAGAGAACTTTTTTTTTTTTTTTGAGACGGAGTCTTGCTCTGTCGCCCAAGCTGGAGTGCAGTGGTGCGATCTCGGCTCCCTGCAAGCTCCGCCTCCTGGGTTCACGCCATTCTCCTGCCTCATCCTCCCGAGTAGCTGGGACTACAGGCACCTGCCACCACGCCCGGCTAATTTTTTTGTATTTTTTGTAGAGACGGGTTTTCACCCTGTTAGCCAGGATGGTCTCAATCTCCTGACCTCATGATCCGCCTGCCTCGGCCTCCCAAAGTGCTGGGATTACAGGCGTAAGCCACTGCGCCCGGTCAGCCGAGAAAACTTTAAAAAAAACACAAGCTCCCAGACTTGTGACCCTGGAGATGGCCTGACTTGCAGACTGGCCCTGGTGTCCGTGGTCTGAAAGCGGCTCCTCAGCAGATTTTGAAGCCCAGCCGGGGCAAGCGCGTCCTCTTGTCTTGTGACAACCCCCGAATGTCCTCAGATCCTGGCATAACCACACAAACACTCCTGCACACCCCGGGCACCCAGCAGCACTTCTGCTTGGGTAGAACGAGGACGAACCAGATCTGGCCACTGCCCGGCTGTGGAGGCAGATGGAATGCTCCAGCTCGGTTTCCAATCACTGCCCACTAGGTGAAGGCACCCCGACTCCAGCCCCACGAGGAAAGCGGGCGGGCTCCTGTGCTCCCCGGGCACTAACCATCCTGTACTGGAACTGTCTGTCTTGGGGGAGGTCTCCCCGCAACCAGACTGTGAGCTCCTAGCAGGGGACTCCGCCTTTGAATTCCGAGTGCCTGGCACGCAGTGAGCGCTCTGCACATTGATGGGTCAATGGACGAGCTCGTGCTGCAGCGGAGGTGCCACACGTGGCGCGGGAACTGGAAGCGTCCCCGGGGCCGGCGCCCTCGTCTCTCACCTGTGTCTCCCACGGAAGCCAGCACCGGGCTGGGCACATAGCACATAAAGGCCGGCCGAATGCCGAAGAAGGGGGAGTCCAGGTCCCTGCCATGGGGGCGCTCACAATTTAGCTGGGGGAGACAAGACCGGCGCTCATAGAACGCTGGAGCTGGAAGCAACGACAACAGCGACTTTACTGCGTGCCGGGGCGGCCGCCGCCCACCTGGACCGCTGGACTCGGCCCCTGCCCCGCTCACCGTCGGGAATGGCGAGGCTCCGGGCTCGGGACAGCGGGGTGGCGCCCGGGCGGCGCTGGTAGCCCGACATCGCCGCCGGCCCGGCGGGGCACGACCTGCCTAGCCCGGCAGCGGCGGCTCCATGGCCCCGGCTCCGCCCGTGCCGCGGCCCGCGTCGCCCGCCCCCGTCGCCCGCCCCCGTCGCCCGCCGCTCGGCCGCCCCCGCGCCTCCGAGCCTCTCGCCGCTGCTTCCGCTCCGAGCACCGAAAGCGCGTGCCTGAACGCCTTGGGCCGTCGGCGAGGGGGAGGGGAAGCCGTGGGCGGAAGCGGAAGTGACGACTGAAGCGGGGCGGAGACGCAAGATGGCGGCTGTGGTGCTGGCGGCGACGCGGTTGCTGCGGGGCTCGGGTTCTTGGGGCTGTTCGCGGCTGAGGTGAGCCAAAGGCGAACCAGGCTTCGGCCTGGGGCGGGGGCGGCTCGAGTCTTTCTGGACGCTCCGTCTTCGGTTTCTACAGGTGACATGGCGCCCGTGGGACGGGCTCGCACTTCGGGACACTGGTGTCCCCGAGGCGACGGGGGCCCTGCCTTGCTTTGCGCCTCGAGCCCGGGGACGCAGTCCCATCTGTCTCTCCTCTCCCCGGCTGCTGGGTCCTCTCCCCCCCTCACTTCCCGGGTCGACGGGCCTTCTCCGAGGCCATGCCTCATATTTGCCCCCGCGCTTCACCTACCGCGTGCTCCTTCAGGAGGCTGAGCCGGTGGGGGCCCAGCTCTGTTAGACCCGCAGGGTTCTGACACCAGGGTCCAGGCTCTCGGTTGCTGCGGTCTGTCCGTTGATCTCTGACGTTTAAGAACCCTTTCCGTACCCACCGCTCCTCCCACCCAAGTGACCGGGCCTGCCTTTCCCCACGCTGGAACTTTGTTCCGACAGCACAGGCGTCGCCCCTCCCCACACAACGAGCGCCGTTTCAGGGGTGCGGAGGTGCTGCCTCCAGGAGATGGATACAGGCTGGAGCGTAAACAAAATATCGGCAGTCGCGTAAATGCTTTGGAGTAAACAAGCAGCCTTTCATGATAGAAAATAGCAGGAAAGACTAGACTGGTGAGGGATAGTCCTCCATCAGGGTGACATTTAAGGGAAGAGCTGAAGAATGAAAGAAGGGGTAGGCATGGGCAAAGGGCAAGCCCTGGAACGGTGAAGAAGCTTTGGGGTTGATGAGTCAAATGTGTTCCAGGAATTGACAAGAATCAGTGTGACCAGGACCTATGGGAGTGTGGGGGTTCAAGAGATGAGTTTGGAGAGGGAGACAGAGGCCAAGTCACACCCCGCCTTCGGACCAGGTTAATAAGGGATATGGCTTTTATCCAAGACTTCGGTGGTGCTGTTGGAGGGCAGAGCTGTTAAGTGCTTTATGTGTACAAACTGCACTTAGAGTGAGTTACTGTTAATAAGCCCTGTTTTTACAGAGATAGCAACTAAGACCCAAAGGACGGAACCAGCTTGCTCCAGGTCCCGTGGCTGAGCCTTTGTTGTCAGCCTCTGCTTTGTCTTCCAAAGTCTGTAGAAATAAGTCCTGTAGAAAGGCAGATGCTCACTTTTAACCCAGACAAAACATAACTAACCGCACCTAACAGGTCATCACAGGTTTGTTGTCTCAAGCCTGTTGTAACTGGGCCGCTTTCTCTGTTTTAGGTTTGGACCTCCTGCGTACAGACGGTTTAGTAGTGGTGGTGCCTATCCCAACATCCCCCTCTCTTCTCCCTTACCTGGAGTACCCAAGCCTGTTTTTGCTACAGTTGATGGACAGGAAAAGTTTGAAACCAAAGTAACCACATTGGATAATGGGCTTCGCGTGGCATCTCAGAATAAGTTTGGACAGTTTTGTACAGTAGGAAGTAAGTACTGTTGTGTTGTCGTGGGTGGTCCCGCAGTTTTAACATGCACATGCTTTAGTTGACTGTTAGTTGTAATTAGCATGCCAATTATGAATTGTACCCTGAGTGGAAACAAAGTGTACGATTTCATAAATGTTGAGCTACACATATACCTGTGAAACCATCAGCACAATCACCCTCATGTAATTAAATCTGATTATCATGTCATATTGACATCTTAAAATGTTTCTCTTGATTAAATCTTATTTTGAATATCTGATGTAACCTGTCAATTTTCTTTTTACTACTAGTTCTTATCAATTCAGGATCGAGATATGAAGCGAAATACCTTAGTGGAATTGCTCACTTTTTGGAAAAATTGGCATTTTCGGTCAGTACCCAGTTTTGTAATTTTTTAGACTATACTTTTGAAGGATGTTTGAGATTTTTCTTGTCTATAATGGTTATTTTAATAAATTATCAAGTTGCTAAGTTAATGTTAATAAAAGACTTTTAAGTTAAAAGATAATTTTTGTATGTGTGTTAAAAGCAAAAGTAGATTTTAAAAAAAAATTGTGTTTCAGGGATAGCCTGGATTGCTTATTTAGGTTTCCTTATTTATTTTTACTAGTCTACTGCTCGATTTGACAGCAAAGATGAAATTCTGCTTACGTTGGAAAAGCATGGGGGTATCTGTGACTGCCAGACATCAAGGTACACCAGCTTTTGTGTACAAACTGACTTTGGGTCCTTGGGAACTGACGTTCTTGTCGTTGCTCAGATTCCCTCTGAGCCCCTCCCAGCGGGAGGTGTGGAGATTCACGGGGAGAAGGAGCCCTGTCCTGGATGGAGACTTGGGTGGATGGCGCTTACACAGAGAAGCACAGCCCCCAGGAGCTCAGTTGACCCCCGTCAGTTCCTCCAGGCTGTTGGCTGCATGCCAGGGATGTAGAGCAGGCCCTGTTCCCAGATAGAGCAGAGGGCCTTGCATACGTAATGGACCCCGTAGCCAAAGGCGGTAGGAGCCAGGAGGATGAGTGGCTGACTTGGTCTGGAGTTGGGAAAGGAATCATAGGAAATGCAGGGTTGGGCTGGTTCCAGAAGGAGTTTGCTAGACACACGGGGCACAAGGCATTCCAGACCAGGAGACAGCAGGGGCAAAAGGCACCGAGCCAGGGAGGTGCCGGCTGCTTGGTGGAGGGAGGGGGCAGTGTTGCCTCGAGCACAGTGCAGTGGTCTTTGCATGCCAGGTGTGGAGCTTGTTCAGAAAGCACTGGGCAATGTGAGATGGGTGAATATAGATCACAGATTTTTAAAATTGTTGATTTAAGTTTGAATGCTAAAAAAATTACACATAAAAGACACATTAAATGCTAAGAATTAAAGTTAGCTTGGAGGTAACATATTCATGTTCTAAAACAAGGCCTCTTAATACCCCCTGACTCCCAGCTGCCCCTGCCAGGTTCCTGCCTGGTGTGTTTGATTCTCCGACTCTTGCCTCGAATCTCACTCATCCCAGATGAACTCCTTTCTCTGGCCAGGTGGCTGGTGTCCTGACTCAGACCCAGCCCCCCTCGCCCTCAGCTCAGGCTTTTGTTCTTGCCATTCTCCCCATGTGGAGAGCCAAAGTCACTGAGAATGGCTCCTCTTCAGGGTGAAGGTCCAGCCAAGTCCCCTCTTCAGAGGCACTGGTGACTGCGTCCTGCCTCCCAAGCTCCCTCTTCTTCGTGGCTGTTGCGTCTGCTCTGCATGGTCTCCCTTGATCACACTTGATCTCAGAGCACCCCATGATTTCGTGCCTGTCCCATGGGCCAGCTCTGTGCACTTCTGACTGTGCAGTGCCTCATGCCGGGAACAGATGTTACAGTGAGACAAGCTCCATACGAGCCAGCCATTGCTGTCCCCCAAGCCAGCCAAGGCCGGGCATGTTTCCACACTCACCAGTGGGTTCGTTCAGTCAACAGGAGGCTGGGATGAAACACTTCACCTTTTGAGAGAGAGTATAGTTACAAAAATCTGTATCAGAAGTGGCTCCATTTTGACTCAAGCTGTGTGTAGCTGTGAGTCCTGCCTACCAAGCATTCACACTGTAAGACAGGAAAAGAGAAAGGGGAAAAGTGTCTGCTGTTCCCCGATGAAGGGTAGGAGGTGTCCCCTGGCACGCAAAGCCCAAGCGTCCCTGAAATGTCTGCTGGGCCCCAACAAAAGGTAGGTGCCCCTGGCATGCAAAGCCCAAGTGTCCCCTGGCTGTTGAGCAGAGTGTGAGCTCAGGGCCTGGCATTGTCCACCTGGCACGCAAAGCCCGAGCGTCCCCTGGCTGTTAAGCAGAGTGTGAGTTCAGGGCCTGGCATTATGGGCTTGTGTTTTCTTCCAGAGACACCACCATGTATGCTGTGTCTGCTGATAGCAAAGGCTTGGACACGGTGGTTGCCTTACTGGCTGATGTGGTTCTGCAGCCCCGGCTAACAGGTGTGGATCCCAGCCGCTGGCGTTTGAGGTGGGCTTGGACATAGGGAAGACCGGAAAGGTTTGCAGAAGCCCTGTAGCCATGAGGGAGAGCACCATGTAATTGGAGCTTTAGGCCAACACAAAGTGACAGCGAGATCTCATAAGAAATAGCGCTGGGGCTGGGCATGGTGGCTCACACCTGGAATCCCAGGACTTTGGGAGGCTCAGGCAGGCAAATCGCTTGAGCCCAGGAGTTTGAGACCAGCCTGGGCAACATGGTGAAACCCTGTCTCTACAAAAAAGATACAAGAATTAGCTGGCTGTGGTTGCTTACACTTAGAGTCCTAGCTACTCGGGAGGCTGAGGTAGGAAGATCGTTTGAGCCTGGGAGGTTGAGGCTGCAGTGAGCCATGATTGTGCCACTGCCCTCCAGCCTGGGCAACAGAGTGAGGCTTTGTCTCAAAAAAAGAAAGAAAGGAAAAAGAAATAGTGCTAGTAGCCAGGCGTGCTGGCTCACGCCTGTAATCCCGGCATTTAGGGATGTAGAGATGGGAGGATCACTTCAGCCCAGGAGTTCGAGACCAGTCTGAGCAACATAGCAAGACTCTGTTCTCCACAAAAAGGAAAAAAAACCCACTGGTGATTGTAAAAGTCCTTAGTGTTTGAGAGAATGTGTATTTGAGACATCTGTGCCCTCATCCCTGTGGGATGTTTTTAGCGAAATTGGTTCTTTGATTTCGGAAGGGCACCTCGGACCGTCTTTAAACAAGTGGAATGGTGTGTGCCAGAAATTTCCATTTCACTGTTTCCATTACCCTCCTCAGCCTTGCAGATGGCAGGACTTTGAGTCCCTGTCAGGGGTGGACCAGGAGAGGGGAACGTTGGCTTTTCCAGATACCCTAAGGGTGCAGTTTCACAGCAGCTTGCGCTTGGTGTTCAAAGGCTACAGTCCCACGTTAAGATCTTGTGGTCACAACTGATGAAAGGCGCCCTTGACATCTGTCTGTGCCTCTGTTTCTTTTTGGAGATAGAGTCTGTCTCTGTCACCCAGGCTGGAATGCAGTGGCGCGATCTCGGCTCACTGCAACCTCCACCTCCCAGGTTCAAGTGATTCTCCTGCCTCAGCCTCCTGAGTAGCTGGGATTACAGGCGCCCGCCACCGCGCCCAGTTAATTTTTGTATTTTTAGTAGAGATGGGGTTTCACAGTGCTGGCCAGGCTGGTCTTGAACTCCTGACCTCAGGTGATCCACCCACCTCGGCCTCCCAAAGTGCTGGGATTACAGGCGTGAGCCACCGCACCCAGCGTGTGCCTCTGTTTCTAAGCACCTTCATGTCTGGTCTCGTGTCCTCACAGCAGCACTTGGGACAGACAGGTCCAGTGTCTTCGGTGCCTTTCACCAGCAAGGAAGCCAGGGCTTAGCAGGCTCACGTGGCTGCTTCATGGCTGAGGCGGGATGTGAGGCCCAGGTCCCCTAGCTCCTGCTCCCTGTAGCAGTCCCCCTCACTCACACAAGCACCCAGTCTGCCCCTAGATGAAGGCAGAGGTGACTGCCAACAGCCACCAACAGGCGACACTCAGGCCAGCACACAAGCTGTGGGTCACTGCTGTGTTCCTCATCTCTGCCTGTGCAGACTCAGCCCTGGCCTTTGGGTTCTCTTGCAGATGAAGAAGTCGAGATGACGCGGATGGCGGTCCAGTTTGAGCTGGAGGACCTGAACCTGCGGCCTGACCCAGAGCCACTTCTCACCGAGATGATTCATGAAGTAAAATGTCAAACTCGAGAATGCCCCCGCATCTCGAACAGTGGTCCTCGGGACACCAGGGGTGGTGGGGAGGGTGCCTCCGTGATGTTGTCCTTGCAGGTTATGGATATATACAGAACATTTTTTTGTTTTTTGAGATGAGGTTTCTCCACATTGCCTACGCTGGTCTTGCACTCCTGGGCTCAGCTCAGGTGATCCTCCTGCCTCTGCCTCCCAAGTAGCTGGGATTACAGGCGTGAGTCACCGCACTCAGCTTAGAACATTCTTGATTTCTGAGTCTGCTGTTTATACAATGTTCGTATTTTCCAGTTTTTATAGTAACTAGGTCTTTACTACTAAACACAATTAATCTTAGGCTTTTTGTGAATTTGTATTCTGGAGAGGCAGATTTTACTCTTTATAAATACGCACGCAGCTGCTATTGCCAGAGTGCAAGTAAAATATCAGCTTGCGTCGGATTTTCCCAGGGCTGGCTGCAGATGGGCGCTGGTGCTGCTTGTTGGAGGAAGCCTGGTCATGCTGTCTTCAGTCACCTGTGTCTGTGGCTCTTCCCCATTAGGCGGCTTACAGGGAGAACACAGTTGGCCTCCACCGTTTCTGCCCCACAGAAAACGTAGCAAAGATCAACCGAGAGGTGCTGCATTCCTACCTGAGGAACTACTACACTCCCGACCGCATGGTGCTGGCCGGCGTGGGCGTGGAGCACGAGCATCTGGTGGACTGTGCCCGGAAGTACCTCCTGGGGGTCCAGCCGGCCTGGGGGAGCGCAGAGGCCGTGGATATTGACAGATCTGTGGCCCAGTACACTGGGGGGATTGCCAAGGTGAAGTAGCGGGAACGTCTCATGGCCTCGGGTGGGGAACACGTCCCCTGGCCCGTGGTGTGACCTGTTTTTGTATTGATTCTGAGGGTGATAGGTGTTGACTGCATGTGTAGCTTTGCCTTAACACATGCTGTAGTCCCACAGCAGGGCATGGACTGTGTCCCCTGCTGAGAATGAGTGCTGCTAGGCCTGAGAGCAACACAAAAGGTGGATGCGGTTCTTTCTCTAGGGGAGTGGGTCTGCCACTGCGTGTTGCATTTTTTTTTTTTTTTTTTAGAGATGGAGCCTCGCTCTGTCACCCAGGCTGGAGTGCAGTGGTGCAATCTCGGCTTACTGCAACCTCCACCTCCCAGGTTCAAGTGATTCTTCTGCCTCAACTTCCCGAGTAGCTGGGATTACCACCACGCCCGGCTAAATTTTGTATAGAGATGGGGTTTCACTATGTTGGCCAGGCTGGTCTCGAACTCCTGACCTCATGATCTACCTGCCTCAGCCTCCCAAAATGCTGGGATTACAGGCGTAAGCCACCACGCCCAGCTTATATGTATATACATATGTTTTTTTTTTTTTGTCTTTTTGGTAGAGGTGGAGTTTTGCCACATTGCCTAGGCTGGTCTTGAACTCCTGGACTCAAGTGATCTGCCCACCTTGGCCTCCCAAAGTGCTGGGATTTTAGGCATGAGCCACTGTGCCTGGCTGGCATTGGATTTCTGTGTAACCACTCTGAAGATGATCTCATCTGGGGTTTGCGAGCCCTCATTGTTTTTCACATGGCGACACTTGCTTGTTTTCTTGGTTACAGCTAGAAAGAGACATGTCCAATGTCAGCCTGGGCCCGACCCCCATCCCCGAGCTCACGCACATCATGGTTGGACTGGAGAGCTGCTCCTTCCTGGTGAGTCCTGGTGCTGGGTCTGATGGCGTTCCTGATGCAGTGTGGCCGGCTCAGCCAGCCCTGCCCTCTGTCCCTGGCATCCGACAGCGCTCCTGATGGGGCGTGGGCGGCTCAGCCAGCTCTGCCCTCTGTCCCTGGCATCCAGCAATGCTCCTGATGCAGTGTGGGCGACTCAGCCAGCTCTGCCCTCTGTCCCTGGCGTCTGACGGCGCTCGTGACACAGCGTGGGTGGCTCAGCTAGCTCTGCCCTTTGTCCCTGGCATCCGACGGCGCTCCTGACGCGGCATGGGTGGCTCAGCCAGCTCTGCCCTCCGTCCCTGGCGTCCAGCGGCGCTCCTGACGTGGCTTGGGCGACTCAGCCAGCTCTGCCCTCCGTCCCTGGCGTCTGACGGTGCTCCTGACGTGGCGTGGGTGGTTCAGCCAGCTCTGCCCTCCGTCCCTGCAGGAGGAGGACTTCATCCCCTTTGCAGTGTTGAACATGATGATGGGCGGAGGTGGCTCCTTCTCGGCTGGTGGGCCCGGCAAGGGCATGTTCTCCAGGCTCTACCTCAACGTGCTCAACAGGTGGGTTGCACTCTTTTCTGTATCCTCAGGCCACCAGGCCAGGCCAGGTGTGTTTTTGGACCATGAGGCCACCTTCCAGGTGACTTTTCTCCAGTTTCCCATGGCCTGATCCTGGCGAGTCCCCTTCACTCCCATGACTCTCGCTTCCTCCCAGGCACCACTGGATGTATAACGCGACCTCCTACCACCACAGCTACGAGGACACTGGCCTCCTTTGCATCCATGCCAGCGCCGACCCAAGACAGGTGAGGGCCCCGCCTGCCACCGTCCTCAGTGCGGTTGCCTGTCCAGACCTGGGCGTCCCTGCCTAGACGGGTCAGTAGGCCGGCAGGCGCAGGCCACACTGTTATCGTCTTGCCCTTCTTCGCAGGTTCGAGAAATGGTAGAAATCATCACAAAGGAGTTTATTTTAATGGGCGGAACCGTGGACACGGTAAGTGCAGTGTGGCGCCATTTCCAGGCGTACCTGTGGTGTCTGACAGGAGACAGCCACGTTGTAGGAGTGGCCACCTGTGGGCCTGGTCCCTGAGCCTCAGGGCCAAGGTCCCGGCAGGGCAGGGCAGGGCAGGGCGGCCAAGGAGGCACAGCCTGGGGCTGAGCTGCTCCACCTGGGAGCCCGCTGAGGCTGTTCTTCCCTGGTCCAAACCCCGAAAACAGAAAAACAGACCACCGCCCTCCCCCAGTGCTCGGTCCACTACTTCTTTCTCTGAGCCACTGGGTGAGTCGTGGGACTGACCATGTGACTCTCTCAGCTTTGCTGGCGAAACGCTGCAGGAGTTTTTGTGTCCTTCTCAGCCGCCTCTGTGAGGTGACTGGGGTGAAGCAGCTCGCACAGGTGGGCTGCAGCGTGGGGTGTCTCGAGCCTTTCCCTGGCTCCATTCTATGTTTGAAACTGTATTTGTTTACCAATTTTTTTTTGTTCTTTTTAAGATGGAGTCTCACTGTCTCACCCAGGCTGGAGTGCAGTAGCTCAAATTCGGCTCACTGCAACCTCCACCTCCCGGGTTCAAGCGATTCTCCTGCTTCAGCCTCCCAAGTAGCTGGGATTACAGGCATGCGCCACCATGCCTGGCTAATTTTTGTATTTTTAGTAGAGACGGGGTTTCGCCATGTTGGCCAGGGTGGTCTTAAACTCCTGACCTCAAGTGATCCGTTGCCTTGGCCTCCCAAGGTGCTGGGATTACAATTACAGGTGTGAGCCACCATGCGTCCCTGTTTACTAATTTTTTAAGCTTAGTTTTTGATGCTTTACACATTTGGGAACCTCGTTACTTCCTGGACCAGAAGTGGTACAAATAAGCAAGTTTTATACACACACTTTTTTTTTTTTTTAGACAGAGTCTTGCTCAGGCTGGAGTGCAGTGGCATGATCTCAGCTCACTGCATCCTTCCACCTCCCGGGTTCAGGTGATTCTCCTACCTTAGCCTCCTGAGTAGCTGGGATTACAGGCATGTGTCACCACCCTAGCTAATTTTTTTGTTTTTTGTTTTCTGTTTTTTTTTTTTTTTTTTGAGACGGAGTCCTGCTCTGTTGCCCAGGCTGGAGTGCGGTGGCATGATCTCAACTCATTGCAACCTCCGCCTCCCGGGTTCAGGTGATTCTCCTACCTCAGCCTCCTGAGTAGCTGGGATTACAGGCACCCACCACCACACCTGGCTAATTTTTTGTATTTTTAGTAGAGATGGGGTTTCACCATGTTGGCCAGGCTGGTCTTGAACTCCTGACCTCAAGTCATCTGCCCATCTCGGCCTCCCAAAGTGCTGGGATTACAGGTGTGAGCCATTGCACGCAGCCCCATGGCTAATTTTTGTATTTTTAGTAGAGACAGGGTTTCACCACGTTGGCCAGACCGGTCTTGAACTGCTGACCTCAGGTGATCCACCTGCCTTGGCCTCCCAAAGTGCTGGGATTACTTTGGGATCCCGGTGTGAGCCACCGTGCCCGGCCAGGAAAAAAAGCATTCAAGAAATAAAGTTGTGGTTAAATTAATACGCTTCAGTTCCACTAGTGCACTGCTAGAAAAACAGTCCTCCACTAACGTGAAGTCAACTTGAAATAAATATGAAGTATTTAGGTATTTGCCTAAAGTTGCAAAAAGACCTAAGAATTGTTTTACTTAAAAGAAATGGTATAGAGGCCAGGTCCGGTGGCTTATGCCTGTTTTCCCAGCACTTTGGGAGACCAAGGTGGGAGGATCACTTGAGCCCAGGAGTTCAAGACTGACCTGGGCAACATAGCAAGACCCTGTGTCTATTTAAGAAAAAAAAAAAAAAGTGTAGCATCTCTGCGGCCCATCAGTTTTTGGTGTTTGTTTTTCAGTATGCTGGCTCCTAGATCTGCATGTCCTTCTCACAGCACCCCTGCCTGTGCCCTGAGACAGTCTGAAGGCAGCCTAGGACCCGCACTGCCTCCCTCAGAACCTCCCAGGGACTTTGCTAAAACCAGCTGCCTGGGCCCTGCGCCGGAGGCGTCTGGGGAAGCCCCAGAACCTGTGTTTCATTTGTTTTCCCCGATTTTGCCGTGTGGCCACTTTGGGGCCCTGGCATTTGGGAGTTAACTATTTTACCTTCTCCCGCTGCATGTCACACAGACAATGAAGAACTCAAGGGAGGCACATTGCTCCTGTATTTCAAGTGTGGTAGAAGCCGGGTAACACGTAGCACAGCCCTTCCCTAAAAAACCTGAAGGGGAGACCAGCAGGGTTGCCTGTGACTTGGGCCTGGGTTCCCGTTTTTTTTTTTTTTTTTTTTTTTGAGACAGAGTCTTGCTCTGTCGCCCAGGCTGGAGTGCAGTGGTGCGATCTGGGCTCACTGCAAGCTCCGCCTCCCGGGTTCATGCCATTCTCCCGCCTCAGCTTCCTGAGCAGCTGGGACTACAGGCGCCCGCCACCACGCCCAGCTAATTTCTTTTTGTATTTTTAGTAGAGAAGGGGTTTCACTCTGTTAGCCAGGATGGTCTCAATCTCCTGACCTCGTGATCCGCCTGCCTCAGCCTCCCAAAGAGCTGGGATTACAGGCGGGAGCCACTGCGCCCGGCTGCCCTTCCCTTTCTTATGTTCAGCTTTGGGCACAGAGATGGCGTTTTGCCATTGCTCGAGTGGGGGGTGGAAGGTGGCACGGGGCGGGTGTGTGCTCACCTGACTGGACCCTGGCCCCAGGTGGAGCTGGAACGAGCCAAGACGCAGCTGACATCAATGCTCATGATGAACCTGGAATCCAGGCCTGTGATCTTCGAGGATGTGGGGAGGCAGGTGCTGGCCACTCGCTCCAGAAAGCTGCCGCACGAGCTGTGCACGCTCATCCGTGAGTACCGCAGGGGTAGTGAGGGGCTGCCGCAGGCCTCGGCCAGGCTCAGAGGAGGCCGTCTCGCCCTCCCGCAGGCCGTGGTGGGCCTGTGGTATGTCCATCACACCCAGAATCTGGGGCCTTCACCAGTTGTCCTCAGCAGGGGCGGCCAAGGGCAGGGTCGTGGGGTCGCAGACCTGGTCTCACTTCCCGGCCCCACCATGCACCTGCTGCCTCCTTGGCAGGTGACCCCACCCTCTGCACCCCTGGGAGGGGCTGTCACTACTGCCCAGAGTTGTTAAAGAGCACTCAAGTTAGTAGGCGAGAAGGGCTCAGTAGAGGACTGCTACATTGTACGTGGAGTAGCAGTGGCTCGGAATGCCGCTGTACCGTTGCTGGCTCTCGGGCAGGAGTCTCAGCCCCAGGTTTCCGGGGCCCCCATGAGTGACCTTAGGAGGTCTGAATTTCCTGAAACTGCCAAGTTGTATGTGCATCGGACTCTTCTGGGGGACAGGCTTAAAACCTGGCAAGGCTGCCTATTACGTTGGGGTGGCTCGGGCTTATGGTGTCACCTGTGGGCATCTCCTTTCCAGGCCTGGAGTCCCGGGCACTTGCCCTGTCCCGTGTGGGCCCTCGTCCTTCCCTCAGGAGCCCCCGCTTAAATCCTCAAGCGAGTGTCCAGCCTCTCTCGGGCCTCGTTTTCTGTAGAAAACAGACCCACCTGGACCCTATCACTCCTGTCCTGGGGTTCCTGGGTGCAGCCCTTTGGCCTTCTCTCACCCCACCCTTCTGTCCATGCGGCCCTCGGGGGCTGGGGGTTTTTTCTGCAGGCCGTCCTAAAGTGAGTTCATCAGACACGGAGCTCGCTCTTCTGTAAGTGTAACTCTTCTTGGGTGGCTTTGTCCTATATTTTTAAGTCATTGCCATGTCCCCATTTACTGAGAACTCAACGTCTGTCACTTGTGGACTCACCCTTGGCTACACCCAGTGGCTGCCTTTGGGCCCAGGTGCCCCCATCAGCAGCACAGCGTGAGTGAGTGGTACAGACCAGCCGCCCCCTCCGTGTGTTTACTGATGCAGCCTCAGCGTGGGGGCCGTGGCGCGCTCGTGTGACACGCGTTTGCCCTCTGCACTAGGCAACGTGAAGCCGGAAGATGTGAAGAGAGTCGCTTCTAAGATGCTCCGAGGGAAGCCGGCAGTGGCCGCCCTGGGTGACCTGACTGACCTGCCCACGTATGAGCACATCCAGACCGCCCTGTCGAGTAAGGACGGGCGCCTGCCCAGGACGTACCGGCTCTTCCGGTAGAACCGCTCCCCGGCCTGACAGACCCAGGGAGCTGCAGCTGGAGCCCGTTCCCGTGCGTGTTAGTTTGGACACGAATTTAGTCTAAAAAGCTGTCTGGTTGTATAAACGGTGCAAACAATGTCGCCACAGCACCCACGCGGTTTGCATTCTTTTGGAACTCAATGTGCCGATCAGTGGAGTCAGTATCGAGCCTGACCACCGCAAGCCAGGAAGCAGGTGAAGTGCCCAGCGCTGGAGTGCAGCGTGCCACGAGGAGGGCGGTCGGTGCTTCCCTCCTCGGGCTGTGGGCACATGGGGCCCCGCAGGTTCCTTGGAGGAGCCCTGAGCTGGGAGGCAGCAAAGGCTGACCTATCAAAGCCTCCCGGAGGCCACCGTGCTGGGTACCAGGACTCACCTCTGACAAGCAGGAGAAGGTAAGGGCCCGGTCAGCTCCAAGGAGCGCGCTCCACGCGCGTGCACACAGCTTCCCTGGTAATAAAGAGCTGGCATCTTTCTTAGCACGGTGTTTTCCTTCTCGCCTGGGGAGGGGCGGTTCTTAAGGGCTGTCTGAATTGGCAGCTTTTCTAACATGGAGGCCTTCCTCCCTGTCAGTCGTCCGGTTTGACCCCGTGTCTTGAAGCCTGTTCTCGTGCGACGTGCTGATGTCAGGGGTGTCGCAGCATGCATGGGGTGGGGTGACGGGGGGTAATGGTGACCGGCAGCGAAGCCTGCAGGTGCCTTAGAGGTGGGGAGCACCGCCAAGCCGAGGAACGGCCGCAGATGTGGGTGTTTCCAGAGATCCGAAAGGCCGCATGGCTTAGGGAATAGCGGCTACGGGGTAGCCTTTCATGTGGTGTAAAAACTTGTACAAGAGGCCGGGCGCGGTGGCTCACGCCTCTAATCCCAGCACGCTGGGAGGCCGAGGCGGGCGGATCACCTGAGGTCGGGAGTTTGAGACCAGCCGGACCAACATGGAGAAACCCCGTCTCTATCGAAAATACAAAATGAGCTGAGCGTGGTGGCGCATGCCTGTAATCCCAGCTACTTGGGAGGCTGAGGCAGGAGAATCGCTTGAACCCGGGAGGCGGAGGTTGCCGTGAGCCAAGATCGCGCCACTGCACTCCAGCCTGGGCAACAAGAGTGAAACTCCGTCTCAAAAAAAGAAACAAAAACAAGCAAAAAACGTGTACAAGTTAAAACTTGTAACGTGGTTCTCAAACACCCATAGAAACCTCGGGAGCTCCAAGGGGTGTGGGGAGGTCGGGCCTGGGAACCTGCATGGGCCACCTGCGGTGCTGCCTGTAGTCCAAGGGTAGCTTCCTACATGTGTGACTCCGTGGGCTGCACAGAGCTGTGTGGCACAGTTTTGTCAGGAGGAGAGAACGTCTCTGGTCCTGTCTTTTGAGTAGCTGAGAGGTGCAGCCTCTTTGCAGGACCGATGGGAGAGGGAGTGGATATTTTCAGGAAATTAAACTTGTAAGCTTTACTCCTCTTAGCCTCTTACTGTCCTCTGGCTGTTGTAGTTTCTGTAAGACCTGGTGCCTTTACAACACACACACTCCAGCGACGGTGACTGCTTGAATTTGCCCATGTGGGAAGCGTCAGCTTGCTGCCCACCTGGTGGGATTGGAGGGCCGGAGCCGGAGGACGATGGTGTCTGTTCTAACAGTGGACTTCCTGTTAGAAACATCCTAGTGTTAACCACACCTGGGACAGAAGCTCCCGGCAGCACGCAGCCCCTGATGTTCAGCTGCACAGTGAACGCAGAGCTCCGGCGCCACACGCGTCAGGCCTGGGGTTGAGCTTCTGAAGATTCCGGTGAAGCACAGTCCTGCTCCACCTACCGAGTAGCCCGAGGACATTCTAGAAACTGCTACCAATTAGCCCTCGGTGTCTGTGGTTTGGAAGCCGAGGCCAACAAAGGTTCTCTCCATTCCCTGCCACATAGCTGGCTCTCCCTCGCTGCCTCCTCTCTAACCAAAGGTCGCACACCCGCCCTCCCTGCCACACTCCTCCCCACTTCGCTTTTTTTTTTTTCCCTTTCTTTTTTTGAGATGGAGTTTCGCTCTTGTTGCCCAGGCTGGAGTGCAATGGCGCGATCTCGGCTCACCGCAACCTCTGCCTCCTGGGTTCAAGCGAGTCTCCTGCCTCAGCCTCCTGAGTAGCTGGGATTACAGGCATGGGCCACCACGCCAGCTCATTTTGTATTCTTAGTAAAGACGGGGTTTCACCATGTTGGTCAGGCTGGTCTCAAACTCCTGACCTCAGGTGATGCACCCGCCTTGGCCTCCCAAAGTGCTGGGATGACAGGCATGAGTCACTGCGCCCAGCCCCACTTCACTTCTTTGGAACTAAGGTGCACTTGAATTTGTTTATAGTCGGCTGCCTTTTTAAGATGGTCACCTCCCCCAAGCAGGCTATTTGGCTCATTCCAGTGTCCCTGCTGGTGGCTAGACCGTCTGGCCTGGAGCAGAGCTAGGAAAGTACTTGCTGAACAAAAGACAAGCAAAGCATGCTTGAGAGAATGAGAGCTGAATTTTTTTTTTTTTTTTTTTGAGATGGGGTCTTGCTCTGTCGTGCAGGCTGGAGTGCAGTGGTGCAGTCTCGGCTCACTGCAAGCTCCATCTCCGGGGTTCACACCATTCTCCTGCCTCAGCCTCCCAAATAGCTGGGATTCTAGGCAACTGCCACCACGCCCGGCTAATTTTTGTATTTTTAGTAGAGACAAGGTTTCACCATGTTAGCCAGGATGGTCTCCAACTCCCAACTTCAGATGATCCGCCTGCCTCGGCCTCCCAAAGTGCTGGGATTACAGGCGTGAGCCACTGTGCCTGGCCCCGAGAGCTGTATTTTTGAAACCACCCTCACACAGTCGTATTTCACAGATTCTTTTCTTTATTTTTTTGAGATGGAGTTTCATTCTTGTTGCCCAGGCTGGAGTGCAATGGCACGACCTCGGCTCACTGCAACGTCCGCCTCCTGGGTTCAACAGATTCTCTTGCTTCAGCCTCCCAAGTAGCTGGGATTACAGACACCCGCCACCACACCTGGCTAATTTTTTGTATTGTTAGTAGAGACGGGGTTTCACCATTTTGATCAGGCTGGTGGTGAACTCCTGACCAGCCGCCTAGGCCTCAGGTGATCCACCCACCTGGGCCTCCCAAAGTGCTGGGATTACAGGCGTGAGCCACCGCACCTGGCCACGTTTTTTTTTTCTTTTGCCAAATTTAGCACTGGAGGATAGGATACCAAAGTTGACACTAATATTAGGTTCTAAGAACCCACTACTATCGAGCCAGCTTTTTTTTTTTTTTTTTTGAGATGAGGTCTGGCTCTGTCGCCCAGGCTAGCCCTGGAGTACAGTGATGCAAGCACAGCTCACGGTAGCCTTAACCACTGGGGCTCAGCGGATCCTCCCACCTCAGCCTCCTGAATAGCTGGGACTATAGGCGTGCTCATTGCTGTTTTAGAGGTGTGGTCTCACTAGGTTGCCCAGGCTGGTCTCGAACTCCTGGCTTCAAGCAGTCCTCCTGCCTCAGCTTCCCAAAGTGCTGGGATTATAGATGTGAGCCACTGTGCCTGGCCGTATTTAACAATTCTTTTATTTTCCAGAGATTGGCCAACATCATTTGCATTCATTTAAACTCCTTTCTGAGTGAAATTCCATTAATCTAAGATCTAGCGGTGAGTGCCAAGGGAATCACCTGACTTTCGATCCATGATCTTACTAGACACGTCATATCCTGCCCTCCCCACCGCCGCCGCCGGAAGACTTGGAGCCTCTTACTGTCAAGCCACGTGAACACACTCCAGGGTCGGACCAGAATCTCTTTAACAATTGTTTGGGTCGGAGAAGAGGCCTAGGAAGAAGCCATAAAAGCGGACTCATTTGAAGCCCCATTACCATAAACATCTTGGTACAGATTTTCAATGAATTAATTTGAAACTTAGGGCACATTTGTTCAGGCAAAGTCTTTTTTTTTTTGGAGACGAGTCTCACTCTTGCCCAGGCTGGAGTGCAATTGTGCAATCTTGGCTCTCTACAACCTCCACCTCCCGGGTTCAAGCAATTCTCCTACCTCAGCCTCCTGAGTGGCTGGGACTACAGGCGCACACCACCACACCCGGCTAATTGTTTGTGTTTTAGTACAGACAGGGTTTCACTGTGTTATCCAGGCTGGTCTCGAACTCCTGAGCTCAGGCAATCTGCCCTCCTCAGCCTCTCAAAGTGCTAGAATTACACCCAGCCCAAAATGTTACACACGCCACACCCAGCCCAAAATGTTATACATACAGGACATCAGACTAGTTGACTGAAATTAGATGAGATTGGCTGTGCCCTCTCATTAATGGAATTTCTATCGACGACTTTTTTTTTTTTTTTTTTTTTAAGGAGTCTCGCTCTGTCGCCCAGGCTGGGATGCAGTGGCACGATCTTGGATCTTGGCTCACTACAACCTCCGCCTCCCAGGTTCAAGCAATTCTCCTGCCTCAGCCTCCCAAGTAGCTGGGACAACAGACACCCGGCTAATTTTTGTATTTTTAGTAGAGATGGGGGGGGGGGGGCGTGGTCTCACCATTTGGCCAGGCTGGTCTTGAACTCCTGACCTTGTGATCTGCCCACCTGGGCCTCCGAAAGTGCTGGGATTACAAGCATGAGCCACCACGCCTGGCCCAAGAGACTCATTTTTATCAAGAGACTGGGTGTTTGTTTCCCTACTTTTTAAGATGCTGCTAATAAAAGTTTTCTATTATTCACTGAATTGTTGATAACCAGCGTGGTTCATCAGGTCTCAAGTATTTGTGTTTTCCTCAAAAGACTCTTTTCCATCTAACGCTGATCTCTTGGGCAGTGAACTAGGAATGCAGGATTTTATGTATTTATTTATTTTGAGATGGAGTCTTGCTCTGCTGCCCAGGCTGGAGTGCAGTGGCGCAATCTCGGCTCACTGCAACCTTTGCCTCCTGGGTTCAAGTGATTCTCCTGCCTCAGCCTCCCCAGTAGCTGGGATTACAGGCGCCCGCCACCACACCCGGCTAATTTTTGTAATTTTAGTAGAGATGCAGGGGTGGTCGCACCATGTTGGCCAGGCTGGTCTCGAACTCCTGACCTTGTGATTTGCCCACCACTCAGATGATCCATCTGCCTCAGCCTCCCAAAGTGCTGGGATTATAGGAGTGAGCCACCGCACCCAGCCGAATGTAGGATTTTAAAGATAGCAGAGATGAACCGGACAAGATCATAGTCAGCTGTTGAGGGTTGAGACCAAACTTTTTGCCTGTGGATTTTACAGCCTTTCAAACAAGGACATTGTGAGAACGGGATATGCATGTATATTGTTGCTTCCAGGTTTCAGTCTTTGGCCAGAAAGAGATTTTAAGACTCAATATATGCATTTATTTAAAAATATAAATATGGAAAAATAATTTAAAAGACTAGATTGAATGTCCCTAGATTTTCACACATTCAAAGACTACATTTTTTCAAGAGATGGAATGGGACACAAAGCAAGAATGAACGGTTCTATACTCTCGAAGAAAGAAACCCGGGACATGGTGGGGATCCCTGGCCTAGGTGTTCAAGGTGGTGGCATCCTGAACTTCCAGCAGTTCCCTAGCCCGGTTCCACTAATGTCATTCCGCGGCTGGAGTTAAAGAAGCAAACGGTCTACGTCACCAAGACCATGAGACGGTTTCAAAAATGGTCTACGTCACCAAGACCATGAGATGGTTTCACACAATAGGCTTGGCCTATGAGAGGAGGGGAAGCAGCTTCTTACTCAGCTGGGGAGGCCCTTATACTGGGGTGCAGGCCTCCTCGCCCCATGGCAGGCGACTTGCAGCCAAGTGGAGGGGAACCGTGCCACGTCCTGGAGGCTGTGTGGCTTCCTCAGCTGGGCTCTGGGGCCCACTCAGAGGTCTGAGGCCCCAGGGGTCACCTAGCCCAGATCCAGCCTTGCTCTGGATACCCGTGTGACATGGGGTGGTGTGTGTTTGAGGGGCTGCCAGGAGGACACAGATGGACGCCTGCTTCGGGTGTGGAGGGAGAGGCTGGTGCAGAGCACGGGGGTGTTGGGGGGCTCTGTGACTGCCCCCAGGGCACAGGAGCTGCTCAGGAACGGATTCTGACGTCTGCCCCCGAGAGTGGCTGGGGTCCGTGGTGCTGCTGGGCGGGTCCAAACCCTGCCACCCATGCTGTATGGACCTGCCATGGAGACGGGGGTCCAAGCCCTGCCCACCCACACCGTGTGGACCTGCCACAGAGGACAGGCTCGCTCAGGGTTGGCTTCCTTCCTGGGACGCTGGCACAGAGGCACGGTCGCCACAGTCCCTCGGATCCCCGAAAGGCGGCAAACTCTTTGTCCTTCCCAGTGGGTTTTGATCAATACAATCACCCCACGTTGCAGCTGTGAGTCCTCGTTCAGCAAACTTCAAGAAACGGAGCAGATGGTGCTGGAGTTCTGACTCTGTAGTGCTTGCTGCCTCTGAATCTCCTTCGAAATCCGTCTTTTAATTCCTAGTAAGTACAGTTCTCTATCAAATTTGCCAGCTGCCAACGGAATGCTGTGGAGGAGGAGGGGGCGTTAGGAGGGCACCCAGGGCCAGGAGGAGGGGGCGTTAGGAGGGGGCCGGCCCCGGAGGAGGGGGCATTTAAGAGGACACCCAGGGCCAGGATGAGGGGCTGTTAGGTGGGCACTGGCCCAGATTGGCCCTGCCTCTAAGCACACGGAGGCCTGTTCCTGGGACAGAGCCGCAGGAAGGACAGGGCGGATGCCTGAGTGCTTAAGGCCTTCGTCCCTCCAGCTGGCCACACCCAGCCCCCCAGCTGGGCCTCTCTTCACTTTCCAGAGCCTCTCCCCTTCCTGCCTTCTCCTGCTCCAGGATGAGTCCAACCGATCCCGGGGAACACAGCCCTGAAGGTCCCAGAACAAAGCCCCAAGTGGAACCCCACGATGACAGGGACCCTCTTAGCTCATGGGACGACGGCACGACCCCCAGGCCCAAGGGGGAAGGTGAGCGGGAGAACACTGACTTGTCTCGCCCCGGCCTCACTTTCACCCGGAAGAGGCCATACACAGGGCGGTGGTCGGACGTCTTGATCCCGGGGCAGGAAGAGTAGCTCACAGGACAGATGTCACCCTTGTGGCGGCTTCTGTACAAGACGCGGTCCTTTGGGAAGATTGCAGAGGCAGGAGGTCCAGTTACTTGTGAGGAGCCGTGGGGCGTGGCCCGCTCACCTCCCTGCTGTTCTCAAGCGCCCCCCACAAGGAAGCCTTCTGGGACCCCTGACACTCATGCCCATTTTGTTGCCTGGCGTCTGTGGCCAGCTGGGCCAGGGCCTGTCCCTCGCCGCTGGAGAGACCCTGTGGACAGCGGCTGCTCCTACCCTGCCCTGCCTCAGTGGCTTCTTGAGGCTTCCAGCAGATATCCAGATATCGGGACATGCCCAGAGATGCAGCCATGGGCCTGGCAGGAGGGTGAGCGAGGGTGCAACGGGCAGAGGGCAGAGGCTCTGCAGGCCGGAGGCGAGGGCATGGCTGGTGCCCTGTGTGCCAGCCGGCTCACCCAGCCTTGAAAACACCCATGGAGAGGGCGCCGTTCTCCACCAAAGGGGACTTGCCACAAGGCCAAGGTGCAGAGCTGAGTTTCAAGTCCAGGCCGTCCAGGCTCAGACCCCTGACGCCAGGCATCGGTTCCCGGCTGTGGGAGATGCCTGCCCTGGAAGCACTCTGCACCGCAGCGGTGGGCAGGCCTCACCGTGTATGAGGGCGTCCTCTGCTTGGAGGTGCTGTCGTACGTGTCCTTCCCGATGTCAAACTTGTATGATGGGAGGAAGTGGATGTCCGGCTCCTGGAAGCCCTTGAAGATGGACCCTGCCACAGGATGGGCACTCGGACTGGCTCAGACCAGCTTGTGCCAGCCGCCGCACCCCAGGCCCTCACCTCTCCTCATCTCCCACCACGCCCACCCTCCCCCCACCCGCCGCAGGCCCTCACCTTTCCTCATCTCCCGCCACGCCCGCCCCCCCAGGCCCTCACCTCTCCTCATCTCCCTCCACGCCCGCCCCCCAGGCCCTCACCTCTCCTCATCTCCCTCCACGCCCGCCCCCCAGGCCCTCACCTCTCCTCATCTCCCTCCACGCCCGCCCCCCCAGGCCCTCACCTCTCCTCATCTCCCTCCACGCCCGCCCCCCCAGGCCCTCACCTCTCCTCATCTCCCTCCACGCCCGCCCCCCAGGCCCTCACCTTTCCTCATCTCCCTCCACGCCCGCCCCCCCAGGCCCTCACCTTTCCTCATCTCCCGCCACGCCCGCCCCCCCAGGCCCTCACCTTTCCTCATCTCCCTCCACGCCCGCCCCCCCAGGCCCTCACCTCTCCTCATCTCCCTCCACGCCCGCCCCCCCAGGCCCTCACCTCTCCTCATCTCCCTCCACGCCCGCCCCCCAGGCCCTCACCTTTCCTCATCTCCCTCCACGCCCGCCCCCCAGGCCCTCACCTCTCCTCATCTCCCTCCACGCCCGCCCCCCCAGGCCCTCACCTCTCCTCATCTCCCTCCATGCCCGCCCCCCCAGGCCCTCACCTTTCCGCATCTCCCGGATGAGCTGGTCGTGCTGCAGCAGCGCCGGCACGTCCACCACCAGGCCCTGGCACAGGAGGGCGTCCACGACTGTGCGCCCGCCACTCAGGCGGAAGTTGAAGTCTCCAAACCAGAACACCTCATCGAAGCGGGTGGTGACGTCCGCTGCGGCACAGTGGGCCATGTGTGGGCACAGGCAGAGGGACGGCAGGTCCTTCCCCTTCCCCAGAACATGGCCTGGGAGTGGCTCTCAGGGGAAGTGGGTCTTGGGCGCCAGCCGGTGGGGCCGGGCCCTCAGGGGTGGGATTCGCACTGGGACAGTTCCAGAAGGCACCTGGAGCAGCCTCAGGAGCAGACGATGCCCATGGCAGGCGATGGCCACGTCCCTGCTCCTCTCCACACAGCCAGGGGAGGCGGCGGGGCGGGCAGTGGCGAGGACCAGGACCCAGGCTAGTGGGCCACGCCGAGTGGACAGGATCCGCCCACCCCACTAACCGTGCTAAAGAACCGCGAGGGGCCATGCGCTGGGGGCACTGGACGTTTCGGCCCTCGCTTCCCAAAGCTCAGGACGCTGCCTCTTCAGAACTGCCCTAAAAACGACGGGCGCCCGTGTGCGAACCACGGCGGCACCACCCACACGCAGCGTGGACGCCCTCACCTGCGCTGGAGCGATAGGGGTTGGTGTCGGGCACATTTCTGGGCAGGACCAGGGCTTGTACAGTCCTGGTGTAGTCCAGCAGCCGCTCCGCCACCTTCCCGTCACCTGCTGTGGGAACAGAAATGGGGTAGGGACCACAGGGTTCCGGATGCTCGAGTCTCCCTAAAGCGCCGCACCTCTGGACTGTGCCCTGACTGCGCACCCCCGGCAGACGCAACCCCACCGGGCATCCGCTGCCGGGCCCAGCCAGTGACATTTCCGCCTCGGAGGACAGAGCACGGGCCCAGCACGGCACGCCCTCGGTGCCGGGGTCTGCCGGGGGTCCTTGGCGTGCATCTTAGCAAGCGTGGTGCCCACCCCACGGCCCTGGGTGGAAGATGAAGCCAGCGGTCAGGACCCCTGCCTTGGACAGGGTCCCGGTCAGGAGAGGAAGCTGTTCTCACACAGCACCTGCGGTGCGGGCACCAAGCAACTTACAGGTGAAGTGGGACGTGATGAAGAGGAAGGAAGTGCCAAAAAAGGTGAAGCTGATGCCCAAGGCCCCCTTGGTCTTGATCTGAGACACGATGCGTGTGGTCACCGTGGAGCACTCCACCTCTGTGGGAGGGGCAGCCCTCAGCTCACCTGTGGGACGCTGCCACCTTCCAGCCGCGCCCACCCCTCCAGCCGCGCCCACCTGAGCAGAACCAGATGAGGTCCCTGCGGATGAAGAGCGACATGTAGAGCACGCCGTGGGCCGCCGAGGACAGCAGCACATAGTGCGGGCCCAGCGTCTCCTGCAGACGAGTCTCCCACTCCCGCCTGCAGAGGAGGAAGCACGGCCGGCTGGGGGACATGGCCTCCCAGCTCCGCCACCCCCAGACCTGCTGCCCAGAGCCCCTCGAGGAGCTACCAGGGAAACCCCACGACCTGGCCTTGGTGTCTTGCGCGGAGAAGCAATTGCCAGAAGGCCTGGTGGGCCAGAGTTGGGACCTGCCGGGGGCCACAGGCCCCAGTTCCACTTGAGTGGCTCCCCTGGACCCCCGCCGAGACCCCAGTGAGCAGAGCTCCTCCCGCCTGAGGGACTCATGGGCCAGGGAGGTGGGGCCCACCTCAACTCCTTCCCCCAGAGCACCTGTGTGGGCGGCAGCCACCTGCTGTTCCCGCCATGACATGGGGGCCCGGGAGGCCTTGGGGCCCGGCCCTGCTCCGGCTGCCCTTCTACTCTCGCACGCCAACAGTTTGTTACCAAAATCAAATCTCATTGATTTTAAACTCTCCGAGTTGCCACTGGAAAAAAATCTGACCCATGCCTCCCACCCAGGCGTGGAGGCTGCCCGTGCCCGGCCGCCACCCGGGTCTCAGCGCCCAGCAGCTTCAGAGACGGCAGCCCCCGGGCAGGCACTGCAGATCTGTGCCCGGCCACGAACCGGGTATCAGCGCCCAGCAGCTTCACAGATGGCAGCCCCCGGGCAGGCACTGCAGACCCGTGCCCAGCCATGACCACAGGTCTCAGCACCCAGCTGCTTCAGAGACGGCAGCCCCTGGGCAGGCACTGCAGGGCCTGCAGCCGCCCTACCTGTCAGAACAGCCCTCCTGGACCCCGATGACATACAGGTCCTGGGCATAGTCGGCCTCGGCTGGGAGCAGGAACTCGTCCAGGCTGGGCGGGAGCTCCTGGAAGGAGGGAGCATGTGGTGGGCCGGCTCCTCCCGAAACCTGCAGGCGCCTGTGGGTGAATCCCACTGCGGTGCCTTGAGTACCAGCGACTCCTCCGAATGAGGGGAAACTGAGGCCAGGGCCAAAAAGGGAGCTGCCCGGTCTCCGAGGCAGCCTCTGACACACCAAACACGCCTCACGTTGGCCCTCGGCCTGTTTCCCTCTCCAAGCACGAGTCTGTCCAACGACCACCCCTGTATGACCCTCCCGTCACCATGACCCCAGCCCGTGCTGCCCACCCTGTCCCTGAGCCACCCCTACGCGTGCCCCGCTGGCCGCCCTCCCGCTCACCTTGAGCAGGTGATTCTCGGCCAGGCCCGTTGCCCCAACCCCCTCCCCTACTTTCTGCAGCCACGTGGCCAGGGAGGTGCAGGTGGGAGCTCTGGGGGATGGGGGTCCTTACCCACTCTCACCCTCCTGTACTGCGGTTAGCAGTGGGGTGCACCTCGGGGCTCTGCCCTCCTGGCCCCAGGATGAGGCACAGAGCTGCCCCGTCCCCCTCACCCGCCTTTGTCCAGCACCACCCCACCCTTCCCCGCCCAGCACCACCCACAGCCACTCACCTTCTGGCCCTGCATGTTCCAGGTGGCCACGAAGAGTGCCACGTTCCGGTCTGGGAAGTAGCGGGCCAGCTCATCCGCCCCCAACAGGGCCCCGCTGGCCAGGAGGCTGCCCTCCAGGTAACTCCTGTGACGGGAGGACCCCAAGCTCAGGGCCAGGCACAGGACACATCCCTGGGGGTCTGGGCCAGGTCCCCAGGGACAATAGCAAAACCCATGGAATGTCAGGAGCTGCCCCCAGCCCCAAGCAAGGACTCTCCTGGCCCCCGCGGCACTGCTGTCTGCTCTCCAGGAACACAAGGCCTGACCTGGTTGCACAAACACCCAGAGCGGGTTCACACCCCCTCCCTACCTCCCGGGAAGAGGCATGAGAGGGTGACGGTTTGGGCTTTTTGGTGGTGGGATCCTGGAAAAGCCACAGAGAGGAGCTCCCAAACTATAAGCCAAGGCAGTGGGCACAGGGTGCTGTTCGGGGAGGGGCTGGTCCTCCTCCTTTCTCCTTTGGCCCCAGCACCAGGCAGGACGGTCTAAGATACAGAGACCACACGAGCCACACGGAAACGCGTCCATCTCCTCGACACCCCGTGGCTTTGACGCACTTTTGGGTTTGCTTGTTTTGGTTTCTAGTGGGGACAGGGTCTCACTCCGTGCCCAGGCTGGAGTGCAGTGGCACTAACACAGCTCCCTGCAGCCTCTACCTCCCGGGCTCAAGTGATCCTCCTGCCTCAGCCTCCCGAGTAGCTGGGACTCCAGGTGCAGTGCCACCACGCCCGGCTAGTTATTTATTTATTTTTTATTTTTGTAGAAACAGGGTCTCGCCACGTTGTCCAGGCTGATGCTTTCAGATTTTAATACGGCGGTGCACACAGATGGTTAAACACCGTGTGGCACAGCAACGTCCCTGCCCCTCCCCACACTCAGCACCTTCTGCCACGAGGGCTGGTAACCCGTCAAGAGGCAACCGCACACGCCTGCCGCTCCGTGGGACATCCAGTGTCTGTCGCCGTGGGCTCTGCTACGGTGGTGCAAGAGCCACCAGGGGATGTGGACACAAGGGGTGCAGCCGTGTGCCCGAGACGCTTGATTTACAGACACTGAAATCTGAATTTTACAATTTTCTTGTACTATGAAACATCATTAGAATGGTTTTGACTTTTTCCAACCATTTGGAAATGTAAAACCCGTTCTCAGCTCGCCGACTATACAGAAACGCCGTGGGCTAGGCTTGCCAGCCGTCCTCCCCGCTCCCTCTCTAAGTAACACTTGTGCGGCTCCTTCTGGATACGCCGTCTTCTGACATGGTTCCCTTCCGCAAGGGGACACGAGAGCATAGTGCCGGATTCCTGTGACCTCCCGCGAGAACTTCTTCAACCCTGGCTGCGGCTCACCAAGCTTCACTGGACACGTTAAATCATGTCAGCAGGGAGGAACCTCGCTACCTCACCCCTAAAACTGTCGACAATCCCGGTCGGGACAGCTGTGTTCACACAGTGGTCATTCGGGACAGAGAGCGTTCCTGTGGGCACCCCTGTCAAGTGATCCCGGGCCCAGCAGGGGCTCCTCGGTCACCAGGCTGGAGGCCCACGGCCCCTTTGCCGGCAGCGCCCATCATGTCCACACCAGCAGCCACGTGGTCAGTCTGCCCAGCTCTGTCCAGAGCATGGTTAGTAACAGCAGGCCAGGGGCGGCCCTCACAGCCATTCCTGTGTCTAGACACGGGCAGGGGCAGAGCTGCCTCGGACCCCCATCCAGGGCCAGGACACTGCACAGCTTCTGCATGAGGACGCTCAGGCTGGCTGCCACAGCCTGGGCCAGCTCTCCGAGCAAAAGGAACGGGTGGGGAAAGGCCCCCTAACCCGCCCTGGCAGCCCCAAGGCACTGGCAAAAGCCAGCAGCCATTCTCAAACAGGGCGGACCCAGCCCGTGCACACGCGGCCCGCAAACTCAGAATGGGTTTTACTGTGTGGAACGGCAGAGAAAGAAAAAAGAGCGAGGTTCCAATGTATGTCCCTAATAGACTCACTGGCACACAGACGCCCTTTGGTCCCCACTGTCTGTGTCTCCCCCTTGACAGAAAGAGTGCGCCGACTCCTATTCTAGAACAGACCGGAGGTCTGGAAATGGGAAGCTGTTAGGCAGCAGAACTGGGTTAAAGGATCCACGTCAACCCTCGTTTCCTGGTTGTTTGAAAACAATGACTTGAGGGTCCAAATTTGAGACACGACTGTCCTTTTCTCTAACAGGTGTATCTACGTCAACCGGATCTAATTTTAAAATGTGATGCTTTAGATGCACTAAGAAATCTCACTCTTTACGAGAAGCCCTGCAGTGAATTATTTTAACAAAAGCAGCAGTCTTGCCCTGGATGTGATCGCACCTGCTCCATCCATGACAGGAGGAGAGTATGGTGGGGGCGCCAGGCACGGGCCCTCACTCCAGGCCTGAGCCCACCTGCCTGCTGGTGCACCACAGACGCGGGGAAGTGAGGCTACCTTCGGGGACTGTGGTGAGCTGAACAGTGATCCCCAAAGCCATGTCCACTCCCAGAGCCCCAGAACCTTGGAATGGGACCTTATTCGGAAACGGGGTCTTTGCAAACGTGTTTAATTAAGGATCTCGAGATAAGACCACCCTGGATTTAGGGTAGGCAGTAAATTCAATGACTGGTGTCCTTATAAAAAGAGAGGGGAACACAGAGAGACAGGGAAGAGGCCACATAAAGACAGAGGCAGAGACTGGAGCATGCGGCCACAAGCCAAGGAACAAGTGGGGCCCCAGGAGCGGGAGGCAGCGGGAGGACCCTCCCCTGAGCCTCTGGAGAGAGGCTGCGTGGCCACACCTTGATTTTAGACTTCTGGCCTCTAGAACTGGGAGAGAGTCCAGCTCTGCTGTTGCAAGCCTCCCAGTCTGTGGTCATGAGTTACAACGGCCCCAGGACACCAACACAGAAACCACCTCACACCTCTCCCTTCTCACACCTGTCCTGCCTCCCGCCGCGGCTGACAGACAAGACTTGGGCACCATGGCAGTGGGGTGGGGGGAGGAAAAGAAGGGTGCAGGTGACTCTGCCAAGTCATAGTGGGAGCATCTCAGGACAGGCCCCCAGACTGAGACCCCAAGACAAGACCAGGCTTGGGAGAGGTCATGGGTTCAGCTGCAGTTCCTTCCAGCAACAGCTGGAGCCCACCAAAATGTTCCTCATGAGCAAGTGGCTAAACGAAAGTAGCCTCAACACATCTGGGGCCTCTTGCCGCAGAAAAAAACAAAGGGGGCAGGCCGGGCGCAGTGGCCCACGCCGGGAATCCCAGCACTTTGGGAGGCCGAGGCCAGGAGTTCGAGACCAGCCTCGCCAACACGGCGAAACCCCGCCCCTACTAAAAATACAAAATTTAGCTGGGTGTGGTGGCGGGCGCCTGTAATCCCAGATTCTCAGGAGGCTGCGGCAGGAGGATCCCTTGAACCCAGGAGGCAGAGGTTGCAGTGAGCCGGGATCGCGCCGCTGCACTCCAGCCTGGGCGACAGAGAGAGTAACAAACAAAAACAACCAAAGGGGCGGATCGTATACATTGACGACATTTCCCAAGACTAAACAAGAAAAAGCGCCAGATACGTAATTGTATGCAGGATGCCATCCTGTCTACCTTAACACAACGTCACGCCCACGAATGGTTCTGAAACGCACAGGAAAAGTTCTGGGAAGGGCGCTGCTGTGGGGTGGGGCTGGGAGATGGGGTGGCTGCGGGAGACCCGCTTCGTTCTTTCCGGTTAGGCATCTTAAACGCTGCTGATGGGAACGGTCTCACGAGGTTCCAGCAGCCTGAACACTACAACGAAGGCGGCGCGGGCGCTGCACCCGCCAGGCCCTCCCTACCTGCTGCGGACGTCCTTGCTGCGGATGGGCGCCAGGAGGCTGAAGGAGGATTTGGCCGAGCGAAGGGAACAGTCGTCGCAGGCCAGGGGGCTCCGCGGCCGGCCGGGGCCCAGGCTGCTGTGGGCCCGCACCAGGAGCGGCTGCGCGCGGAGCTTGTAGTCTGCAAGATCCGAGTCGACCTTGTTTGCTGTCCTCAGGGAGTCGGAGGCGATGTCCAGGCTCAGGGCAGGCGGTGGGCGCGGGGGCAGCAGGCTGGGCAGCCTGGGCGAGCTCCCCGCCACGGCGGCGTCTCTGTGCGGGAGGTTCGGGGAGCTGCTGGCCACCCCAGAGAGAGGGTTACCCCCCGAGGACGGGCTCCCTCTCTCACTGCTCAGGACCCCGCGGGACTTGGGGATTTCCTGCAAGGAGGTGCTCAGGCAGGGCGGGGAGCAGCTGTGGGCGGGGGCCCCGGGGCCCTCGCTCTGCACTGAGCCCCTGGAGGGACTGGTCCCATTCCGGGCTTCCAGGTCCTCCTGGCTGCCTCGAAAACGCCTCCTCCTCCAGCCCTTGTCGTCCAGGGACAGGGCTCGCTCCAGTCGAGGCCTGGCGGGGGGCCGCGGGGCGATGGGTGCTGCTCGGGCTGGCGGGTCCTCGCCGCTGGGCGTGGCCGGAGTGCTGCAGGCAAGCGCGGGGCTCTCGGAGCCCGGAGCATCGGGTGGGGACCCCGCGCGCTGGGCCGGCGGAGCGCCGGGAAGCTGTCCTTGGAGCGTCCTCCCTTCCGGCGGCTGCGGGGCCGGCTCGGAGGGCCGCAGATTCTCCGCCTTGGACGGCATGGACGGTCTCTCCCGGGGCAGGCCTCGGCGCGAGGCCGCAGGCAGCGCGAGGGGTCACGGGTGCCGGGTCCGGGGTCGCCGGCGCAGCGAGGAGCAGAAACGCCGCTGCGGCTCCCGCTTGGGCCGGGGATGGTCGCGGAGGGGCGGGGGCGGCTGCCGCATGGCCCGGGCCCCGAGTCCCGCCAGCCCCTCGGGGCTCCCAGACGCCGTTCCCAGGGCGGTCCGCAGGCAAGGCCTGGGGGAACAGGCGGCTGGGCGCCTGTCGCGGGGGAGGTTCGACCCCGACGGGGACGCCGCTCGGGGAGAGGGGTGGGAAGCGGGCACCCCTGGCTGGGCTCGCAGACTCCGAAGTCGACCCGGTACTCGCGGAGGCCCGGCCGCCCAGAAGCGGAGTCAGCCCGGCCGGGACCCAGCAACCGCCGCCGCGGGGCCGCGCCCGGTCCCCGCCCCGCGCCCCGGCCCCGCCCACAGCGGCCCCTGGCGGCCGGAGGACTGCGCCGCACCGGACCCGGACGGGTCTCCCACGCCCCTCCCAACCCGGCAGCCCCGCAGTCCGGCAGGTCCCAGCGAGGCAGGTGCAGGTCCCCGGAGAGGACCTGGGTGCGGTCCAGGACAGCGCCGAGGCCTGCGGACACCTGCACTCACTCGCTTCCAGCAAACCAAAGGGAACCACAGGTGAAGGTGCTTGAAGGAGCGCAAAATATTTTATTCAACAATTTGCAATGTAACAATTCTCATTTAGGAAAAATAGCCGCTCCCGCCTGGAGGAAGCTTCTTGAATCAAAAGTCGTGGCAGTCGACCCCAGAACAGCGGGCAGAGCCGACCGGAAGAGGTCCCAGGATTCACACGAGCTGACCGAGGGACAGAGAGGGCTGCCCCGTCACAGGGACTGGCCTTTCTCCAAGTGACAAGGACAAATGGATCCAGCGGGACACGCCTGTGGAACATTTTGGAAAACATCCTGGGTGGTCTGGGCTAAATGATCAAGTGAAACAGAAAGCCAGGAAGGATCTGTGCTAATTCCACATTCTACAATTTCTACACTTAAATTTAAAACACCAAACAGTTTGTATTCCTCCAGCAGAACCTACAGAAATTATCTACTGATTTTTATTAGTATTTAAATCTTTTCTTCAGTCTCTTTAGACTTGACAAGAATACGAAGAGTTTCAGAACAGTCAGAGAAGCCTTAAAGCTTTGCATCAGTGAGAGGAGGCCCGTCTCTGAGTTGAACAGGGTTGAGTCCACCAGGAGCTACTCAAAGTCTCAGTGTGGCAAAACTCGGGGCAGAAATACTAAGTTCCAGAGCTGCTGTCAAGAAACTGTGTTAAGATACTCTCCCCAAGTGCTACCAACCTCTGAACCAACGTCCCCCAGGGGAGAAAGTGGGTCATGTGGATTGTACCACGAAAAGTGCTCACGGAAAGTGCAGCCTTTTAGAGAAGTGCATCCAGCTTCCTTAACAGTGAGTCTAACCGTGCTCCTACACACGAAATGAAGCCCAAATCAAACATCACACGGTCAGTTTTCAACCTGGATGACCACCCTGAGCCATCATGTCAGACAGCCGGCTCTCTGGGGCTCCTTCCCAGTGACTGGGCCACACGGTGGGCAGTCCCCAGCGCTTTGGGTACACAAAATCACCCATGGTCCTCATCAGGCCACAGAAAGTAAAGTGAGGCTGGAAGCGTCTTTGCAACAGGAAAGAAATTCACTGCAGTAACTAAGGCCTCTCTCAAAAACCGTGAACTAATGCCGAAGGAACCCCACGGCTCCTCGGAGGCGCTGATTGAGAACACAGCGCCCTCCACTCATTCAGCCAGGTTCAAACACGGCGAGGGCCCAGATGGTGCAGAGCAGGGGTTGGGGTCTGCCTCAGTCACCCTCTCTTTGCTCCCAGCACCTTAAAGGAAGCGCGGGACTCACTGGGCAGTGACTCACAGCTGGGCTTGGAGAGGCCCTGGTTACTACCGACCATGTGGCTCTCCTGTGGCAGAGACAGCTCCGGCTTCAATGAATGAACATTCTTAAATGACCAGGAATACTATATCCTTAAATCATCCTAAATGACTAAGAAAGTCACATCATTCTTTTCGGCAAACAATTCTGAGTCAAAGATTCAGTCTTTCCATCCAGAATCTGAAAGGATGGTGGAATTAATTTTCAAAATAATTCATTACGATGGGCGGTGAGGAGGGAGGCACAGTGTGCGACCAGCTCTGAGTCACTGCTGTGTCTCCCTGGGGGCGGGACGGAGATCGCGGAGGTCGGTCGGGTTCTTCGGGGAGAACAGCAGCGTCAGGGCTCCAAGTGCAAGTTCACAGCAGGGCAAGCCTAGTTCAGCACCAGGTGCTTCCTCTGGCCAATCCTCCCTAGCCTTGAGCTCCCGGAGGTGGCGCAGGCCTGGAATGAAATCAACAGCATGACCTCTGCATGCCTGCCCCCAGGGTGAGCAGTGCTCGGCTGCAGCGTGGCAGGGGCTGGTCCACATAATGAACCACACGGGCCATTGGCGCTGACAAGCTGAAGGCTTCGTTTTTGTTTCCAAAAGCCTCTGGAAACCGACAAGTCAGTGCCAAGTCCTGGGCTCCCTTGAAAGCACTGTATCCTTAACCATCAATGTTTACTGTGAGGGTGGCCAGGAGGTGCCGTGGTTTCATCAGGGCCATGAGACCTGGAGCTGCTCTGCAGAGCCAGCCTGGCTGTCCAGAGTCCAGGGACAAGTGGTGGCCAGGCCTGGCCTACTGCATGGGACGCGGGGACCTCAGTTGCAGACAGCTGGCCAATGCAGGCATCCACTCTTGCTCCCTCGCAAAGCCTCATGGAGGGGAAAGCCAAGGAATTTTTGTAAAGGCACTAACCACATGGTAAAGGGAGCAGGACAATACCAAAATCGACTAGTCTGGATGCTGAAAAGCAGGTGACAGCCAGGGGCCAGCTTGGGGGCAGTGGTCCTGGGAGCCTCGGCCTCGTTTGTAGAGGACCAGGGCAGGAGTGCTGGGCCCCAGCCCAGGAAGCCTGCAGTCAAGAGTGTGTGAGGCTGTGAGGGCAGGCTGGGGTGACAATGGGGCTGAATCCCAAGAGGCCCCAGACCTTGGACCCCGCTCAGCTCCCCTACACTGGCAGCCAGTCTATACTCCACAGGCAAGGGAGAGGGGAGGAGAGACGAGGCTGAGGGAGGGAAACCACAGGAAACATTCTAGAACACTCCCCAGCTGAAGGGCATGCAGTCAGGCCCAAGGGGGCTGAGGGTGAAGCCCTCCAGGTCCCAGGGAAACGGACCCTGAAAGGGGCTGCAGGCAGAACGGCCCTGGGGTCTCAGCAACCACAGGCAGCAGGAAACCTAAGGCCACTTGCAGTTCTGAAGAAAGTGACTTTGGCCCAAGAATTCTACCAGCCAGCCAGATAGGCCGGAGGAGAAAGGCAGCTCCAGACGTGAAAGGCATCTCCCAAGTCACCCTGGGACCTTTCTGTCAAGAAGCTATTAGGAAAAAGAAATAAAAAACATACAAAAAAAGCAAGAGCTACCAGAGGATGTGTGTCACCAAGACAAACAGAGTAACTAAGAAAGGCAGCAACATAGGATTCCAAAGCTGGGGGACCCACTCCGGGGAGACCCGGGTGCCCGGGCCAAGGGAGGAGAGATCACGCTCGGCTCAGAGACCACGGGCTCCAGGAGAACAGAATAGCAGACGTGGCAGAGCTGGGGGCTGAATGAGGGATACACAAGTAGAAAGCCAAGCACATTTTACAAACTACAACCTAGGAAAAGGCAAAGCGAATACAGGAGCACGGAGGGCCTCGTGTCGACAGAGCTCCACACGGGAGCACGGCGGGCCTGGTGTCCACGCAGAGCTGAGCACGGTGGGCCTGGTGTCCACACAAAGGGAGAAATGGCAGCCGGGGAGGGCCCAGCCTGGCTCCTCACAGTGCCCTGTGGACTGCCACCCAGTAGGTGTGCAACTTTCATTCAGAAAAGAGAAGCTGGGCACGGTGGCTCAAGCCTGTAATCCCAGTGCCTTGGGAAGCCGAGGTGGGAAGATCGCTTGAGCCTAGTAGTTCAAGACCAGCCTAGGCAACAAGGTGAGACCGTCTCTACAAAACATAAAAAATTTGCCAGGTGTGCTGACCATGCCTGTAGTCCCAGCTACTCAGGAGGCTGAGGCAGGAGGATTGCTTCAGCCCAGGAAGTTATGGCTGCAGTGAGCTGAGATCAGAGATCGCACCACTGCACTCCAGCCTGGGCAACAGAGCAAGACCCTGTCTCAATAAATAAATAAATATATTTTTTAAAAAGAAAGAAAAAGAGGATCTAGGGCAGAAAGCTGCCATCACTGAGCAGCAGGGTCAGGTCGTCAGTGGGCGTGTTAGGGTCTCGTAGGGAAAGGTAGGAGTCACTCACCTGTGCCAGCTGAGCAGGGTTGTAGAAGGGCATGGCCCCGCTGGGAGGGCCCCCTGCAGCAGGGAGGTCGCCAGGAGCCTGAGAAGCACAGAGAAGTCACCTCAGCAGGGCTGCGCTGCACAGCAGCTGTCACTTCAAGTGCAGATACAGACACCGCTTCTGGGTGGGATTTACAGTACTTTTACATAAGCTACAGAAGCAGATCCAAGACACTTCTTGCAACACTGGATTTAGTTATTTAATGGTTCAGAGAAAAATGGTGAAAATCAAAGCAACGTGCAGAGCCAATGTTTTAAGCACCGGAACATGCAATGGGAAGGTGCACACAGCACTGAGGTGGCACCGAGCGTGCGAGGTGGTGAGGAGGTGCCCACGGCTGCAGCTCTAAGGCTCCAGCCATGACACGAGGCCCAGGGCTCTCATTTGCAGGCGGAAGGGTCGCTGCAAGCCTTTCTGCTGAGCCACGGCTGCAGCTGGTGCCTGGACAGGCAGAAGATGAAGCGTTCGTTCACCTCCCTCCCACATTGGCCGCAGGTCACTGCTGCACCCGCCCCGGCCTCAAACCAACGTTCTCATGCTTGATCAGAAAGGAGCAATCTTCCTTCCAAAGGAGAGCATCCTGACCGGGGAAACACTCACTCGGCGAGGCCACGACCCAGGCCCGTCATTGGAAAAACCAATTTGGAAAGAGCAAAATGACAGAACCCACTCATTGACTAGGACACCTCAGGGTCGATCCAGTTGCCCCATGTATGTGGAGACTGAACAGCAAAACCCCCTTTAAGGCCATTTAAAGGAACACTGCTGTAATCTCAGCACTTTGGGAGGCTGAGGCGGGCGGATCACCTGAGGTTGGGACCAGCCTGACCAACATGGAGAAACCCCGTCTCTACTAAAAATACAAAATTAGCTGGGCGTGGTGGCTCATGCCTGTAATCCCAGCTACTCAGGAAGGCCGAGACAGGAGGATGGCTTGAACCCAGGAGGTGGAGGTGGCGGTGAGCTGAGATCACACCATTGCATTCCAGCCTGGGCAACAAGAGCGAAACTCCGTCTCAAAAAAAAAAAAAAAAAAAAAAGGAACCCTGTACCCTTGGTCACGTGACGCTGAGGGAGACAACGGGCGAGGTTAGTGGCAAAGCGCACGTGGCGAACCGGCACCGCGTGCTCAGGAACACAGGCGGCACACGCCAGCTCTCATGTTAGTGAGGACCACCAGCCGCAGGTACCTGATTAAAATGCTGGCTCACTTCACGTGATAATGAACTCATTGAACTACAGCGCGAAAGCTACAAAACAGCAAGAACACACATAAAACACGGACGAAAGTCAACATGCACGTCACTGTCCAATCCAAGCTGTCAGTTCCATTTCAAAAGCTTTGTGATGCCATTAGAATCAACATAACTCAAAAGGGAAAAAAAAGCCAGTGTTAGCTTAAGATTCCTGTCTTAATGTAAAGCTGTTATCCCGAAACAACCATTAGCTTAGGGGAGGGCTGGGAGGAAAAGTCCAGCCTCGGCCTAAGCCAGCTTCACCTCCTGACACCTCACAATTCAAGACAATTCCCGTGCTGTTGAAGGGAGAGGACCGGGACTGAGGCGACAACTCAAACCCCCTGCACCCCTCCTGGAGCTCCCAAACAGTTTTGTTAAAACAAGTGCAATTTTTTTTCCCCCAGGAACACCACCTTCGAGGTGCTCTTGTTTCTAAACTGCCTCTTCCTACCCAGTACCGCCCCTCCATAAAGGAAGAGGCGCCTGGACAGTGAGCTGCTGGGGAGGCCTGGGCTGCGGGGGGCCCTGGCGTCGGCACTCCTTACCTCTCCTCCCTGGGAACCCTCAGGCCTGGAGGAGGGGAGTTCAGAGCCAGGGAGTGACGCTGCAGAGCTTAAAACCTGCCGAGGAAAAGAAGAATTGCAGCAACCAAATCCCAGGGAATTTAAGTCTCTCACACCAGGCCAAAAAATATGAAACTGTTCTGGCCTGGGTTACAAACGCCCTCTTCCACGTAAAGTGCTCCTCAGAGAGAAGTGAAAAGTGCCTCACACGTGGGTCCAGCCGCACAACCCTGTTGACTCTAGACCCCTGCAGCTCTCTACCAGGTGCCTGTGTGTGCCCATGACAGGCTTGCAATCTGGGGCTACTGTTATTCCCATTTTACAGAGGGGAAAACTGAGGCTTAGACAGGTGAGTGACTGCCCCATGCTTTACACAGCTGATGAATGGAGAACAGGATTAGGCCCAGGCCTGTCCCACCGTACAGAGTGCAGTCTGAGCTGGTTTTTTTTTTTTTTTTTTTGAGATGGAGTCTGGCTCTGTTGCCCGGGATGGAGTGCAATGGCGCAATCTCAGCTCACTGCAACCTCTGCCTCCTGGGTCCAAGCGATTCTTCTGCCTCAGCCTTCTGAGTAGCTGGGATTACAGGCACCCGCCACCACACCCAGGTAAATTTTGTTTTTTTTTTAGTAGAGATGGGGTTTCACCATGTTGGCCAGGCTGGTCTCGAACTCCTGACCTCAGGTGACCCGCCCAGCTCAGCCTCCCAAAGAGCTGGGATTACAGGCATCATCCACCACTCCCGACTGGTCTGAGCTGTTCTACTTCACATGGGAGTCATTTGTTTTTTGTTTTTTTTTTTTGGATGAAAATATACTTAACTTTTATTATCGGTAGGTAATTTCTCTGTAACTTAGAGTAATTAATTTTACTTTTTCCAATTTTAAAAATTGTAAAATATACATACTGTAAAATTTGCCACTTTAATCATTTTTAAGTTTTAAGCACATTCACCGTGCTGAGCAACCATCACCGCCACTATCCCCAGATCTCCGTCTTCCCAAACAGCTCTGTCCCGCCCGGCACCCTGCATTCTACCTTCCGTCTCTACCATACATAAGTGTGAGGCGTTTAAGGCGGAACACTCTACGTACACATTGGATACTGACTTGCAGAAGGCAAGGCCCTGTCTGGCAGGATGGGGAGGTGCCTCCTCACTGGGTACCTTTCCCCTTTCCCACCGTACCCGCTCACCTTGGGCTCTGGGGCAGGCTCTGGATTGGCCAGGCCCCTAGCTGCTGCAGGCCCTTCCCTGCCAGTCCCGTCTGGAAGCTGTGGTTCTTCTGCATCTGGGGATGAGAGAGCGAGGAGGCCATCATTCCGTCCCGAACGTCCCTGGGGTCTCACTGAAGACACTCCGAGAGGAAGAGAGTTTCACACTGCACACGCGGCACACTCATGCAGAAACAGGCAAATCAAAAAAAAAACCACAAACCAACCCCAGGCTCTCTGCATGCTGGCCAGGTCATTCTTTTAACGGGAGATTTAGGAGAGACTCATAGAAAGAGGATCAAAGGTCAGGAGACTGGGGGCTGACCTGGAGGGGCTGGTGCTCGTGCTACCTACCTGGGGTTGGCACGAACAAGTTAGAAGGAATTGGGAGTGGCGCGAGTGGAGCGACAAAGTCCGCAGGAGCGAGAGCCGGCTCGCTCCGCTGGGTCCCGCTTGGGTTCAGGACGTCAACGTAGCGAGCTCTGGTTCCTGCTGCAAAGGGGAGGGAAGCAAATTGAGGTGAACGCGCCAGGTGGCCTCCAGCTTCCAAATGCTCTGCGCTCACTGCGTCAGAGGAAAAGCACGCAGGGACGTGCGGGAAGCCACCTCCTCCCCACGCACAACAGCTACACATTGGCCTCTCTCTCTGGGACAGTTAATCGTTCAAGCAAGCTCCCACTCCAAGGCCACCCTTACCTGCTCTTCTAGAGTACATGTTCACGGGGGCTCCAGGAGGCCCTGGGAGGGCAGGCGGGGCAGCTTGCACAGTCTTGGGCATCGAGGTTGGAGGTGGGGGCGGGGCTTTCTTCTGCAGAGGGAAACACAGCTTCAGACACCCACTGTGTGCACAGAAACCCACTGGGATGGCACAGTCAGGAGGCTCCAAAAGGGGCAACAGCCACCCAAATATCACAGGGCCACATGAGGCTGTTCCCTCCACTCACACCTCACACCCAACAGGAACTAGAATGACAATTTACCTCCTCTTCTGGCTCATTTAAATTCACCCACTGGTTTTTCTTTTCATCCCAAACAATCTGCCAAGATTTTAAAAAGAAAAAAGGTCAGCAGACTGAACCTAAACAGAATTAGCATCTGATTAATGATGACACTTCAAAACTTCAGGAAACACCTACTCAGGTCTGCTCTGAAAGTGACAGAAAAATCATTACAATTCTTCGGACGTCCCGTGCGTATTTGACAGCACTCACCGATTTGTTCTTGTCATCTGGCAAATAAGCTTCTGTCTTTTTCTTTCCAGGTAGCCAACGAAAGAACCAGGATTCACCCTAAATATAAAAAACACGAGAACAACTTTGAAAACATTATGTTCCATGAAATAAGCCAGGGCAAAAAGACAAATTCTACATGACCCACTTCTGTGAGGCCCCAGAGTCGCCAGATCCACAGAGACACCAGGAGAATGGAGGTGGGAGCAGATCCACAGAGACACCAGGAGGATGGAGGTGGGGAGCAGATCCACAGAGACACCAGGAGGATGGAGGTGGGGGGCGATCCACAGAGACACCAGGAGGATGGAGGTGGGGGGCGATCCACAGAGACACCAGGAGGATGGAGGTGGGAGCAGATCCACAGAGACACCAGGAGGATGGAGGTGGGGGGCAGATCCACAGAGACACCAGGAGGATGGAGGTGGGAGCAGATCCACAGAGACGCCAGGAGGATGGAGGTGGGGAGCAGATCCATAGAGACACCAGGATGGAGGTGGGGAGCAGATCCAGACACACCAGGAGGATGGAGGTGGGGAGCAGATCCACAGAGACACCAGGAGGATGGAGGTGGGGAGCAGATCCAGAGACACCAGGAGAATGGAGGTCGGGGGCAGATCCACAGAGACACCAGGAGGATGGAGGTGGGGGGCAGATCCACAGAGACACCAGGAGGATGGAGGTGGGGAGCAGATCCACAGAGACACCAGGAGGATGGAGGTGGGAAGCAGATCCAGAGACACCAGGAGGATGGAGGTGGGAGGGAACCGGGAGTTGTTTCGTTTCAAGGAGACAGAGTTTCTGTTTGGGAAGGTGAGACAGTTCTGGAGATGGATGGTGGTGATGGCAACACAACAGTGTGAATGTACTTGGTGCCACAGAACTGTGCACTCAGAAAATGGTAAAAATGTGCATTTTGTTCTGTGTATTTTACTGTCATTTAAATAGGTCAGAACAGTAACGTGCCTTCAGGAACTTTTTACGTCTAAACACTGACAAAGCTTCCGACGTCCTCCCCTTTGAGAAGTGGAAGGCGGGCTGTCCAAGTCAGTGTGTGTCGGAGGCAGATACAGCCCTCTGTGTTTCCCATGTGTGGAGAATTCGGTTATTAGGAAACTTTACTTTATTCTTCACATGATGCACTTCATTTTGGTTTGTTAGTTTTCTGAGACAGAGTCTCGCTCTGTCCCCCAGGCTGGAGTGCAATGGCGCGATCTCGGCGCACTGCAACCTCTGCCTCCCGGGTTCAAGTAGTTCTATGCCTCAACCTCCTGAGTAGCTGGGATTACAGGCACCCACCACCATGCATGGCTAATTTTTGTATTTTTAGTAGAGATGGGGTTTCACCATCTTGGCCACGCTGATCGTGAACTCCTGACCTCATGATCTGCTCGCCTCAGCATCCCAGAGTGCTGGGGTGACAGGCGTGAGCCGCCGCACCCTGACTCCCAGAATGCTGGGGTGACAGGCAGGAGCTGCTGCGCCCGGCCTCCCAGAGTGCTGGGGTGACAGGTGTGAGCCGCCATGCCCGGCCTGATGCACTTCACTTCTACTGAAGAAAGAGGAGAAGCCTCAGCAGCTACTACACACCCTCAATTCTGTTTCTCTGTGAGTTCTACTGGCCAGACAAGCTGTCCCGGGGAGGCCTGTGATAGCCTATGCACTGGAAACCTGCTCAAGTATCATGTTTTATCTCAGAGCTCACACAAATTTGGAATTAAATGTGTGTTTATTTTCAAGACAGCAGCCATAAAAGAAAAATCTGATCACTGAACTTTATTAAAATGAAGAATGATATTTTTCATAAAATACCATTACTAGGCCGGGCATGGTGGCTCACACCTGTAATCCCAGTACTTTGGGAGGCCAAGGCAGGCAGATCACTTGAGGTCAGGAGTTTGAGACCAGCCTGGCCAACATGGTGAAACCCCATCTCTACTAAAAATACAAAAAATTAGCTGGGAGTGGGGTGGGCACCTGTAATCCCAGCTACTGGAGAGGCTGAGGCAGGAGAATTGCTTGAACCTGGGAGGCGGAGGTTGCAGTGAGCCAAGATCATGCCAATGCACTCCAGCCTGGCTGACAGAGTGAGACCCTGTCTCAAAACAAACAAACAAACAAACAAACAAAAAACCATTACAAGTAAAAAGGCAATCTACAGATTGGGAGAAGATATCACAATAAATACACCTAACAGAGGACTTATATCCATAATACAGAAAGGACTCCTGCAAGTCCTGAAGAGAACACCATTAAAAATGGAAAGGAAAGCCAGGTGTGGTGGCTACACCTGCAGTCCCAGCTACGAGGCAGGAGGATCACTTGGGCCCAGGAGTTTGAGACCAGCCTGGGCAATAGTGAGACCCCATCTTTATGGGGGAAAAAAAAAACAACGGATAGAGACTTGAACAAGCACTGCCCCAAAAGAGTGGTGAGATGGTAACAGGGACACGAGAAGGTGCCCAGCGTCACACCTCGCTGTGGAGATGCAGAGGAAGACACAATGAGATGTCATCAGCCCCAGCACAATGGCTAAGTTAAAGAACCGGCACTGCCCAGTATTGGTGAAGATGAGGGATATCCAGGGCCCTTGTCCTCTGCTGCAGGATGTGTGACTTGGGGCAACCAACCATTTAGGACAACTGCTCAGCAGTGTCTCCTAAAGCTGAACACACGCTCATCCTGCGAGCTAAACCCTCAGCTCCTTGGCACGCACCTAAGAAAAACAAGCGCATTCGCCAATAGATAGGCAAGGAGGCTCCTGGGGCCTGACGGATCCCAGCCCCACACTGAAAGCAGTCCCAAAGTCCACGGCTGGGAGAAAGGATCTGTGAGCCGGCAGCAGGCACACACCACAGTGACAAAGCAGCGGCTGCCGTCTGGTCCCTTGCGGGTGGGTCTGACAGGTAGTGGCCAGAGGCGACCTCTGGGGGCCGGGCTGTGTCCCCATGCTGACCTGGGTGGGCTATTATCCTATTATCTGAAGGCACAAATACACAGACACCCATCATGCCGTGTGCACTGTAGACACTCGGCTGTTTGTATCAGGAGGCTATTTGCATGTGTGGTGAATTAAGAGGATGGCGCTCTGGGAAGCGTGCCTCCTGCCCAAACCCTCCCGGCCGCCAGGCGCACCGTGGGCAGGCTGTACTACCTTCTTAGGTTCCTTCGTTTCTTTCTTGGCTGCCTGTCCGGGTCTCTTTGTTTCGGGAGCGGGTGAGAGAGACAGAGGTGGCTGCGTGGGACCCGAGTCGGCACGATCCCACCCTGGGGGGGCCTCCGAGTCTGGCACCGTCCTCGAGGGGGTCTGTCGCAAGGAAATGCAGAACAGGCTCTCCTGGGGCTCCTCACAGGAACCGAAAGAGAGAGGGGGATGCAATTCCCCAGGCGTGTTTCCTAAATACATCACTGAGAGGCCGGATGACTCTGGTGACCAGAGGGAGGCAGGAAGGGGGCTGGGGAGAGCAGCCCCCTGACTGGGCCTCCCAGAGCCTCTACCTGGCCTGACTAGAGAAGAGCCAGCCGCACTTAATAAGCAGCTCCGTCTGGGAGCACTCAGCACTCAGAATGCAAATGAGGGCGTTCGATGGAGATTCCGGGCTGGAAGAAACGGAGTGTGAGCATGCACTGAGGGAAGACTGGCCAGAGGGGGGCGATGGGTGTTCTCAAAGATACAATGATTTTTAAAAATATTTATTCCTGGGTCAAGTCCCAATTTTTAATAGCTCAACCCTCATTTTTACTTTTCCAGGGACACAGTATTTTAAAGGGTAAAACACCTAATGCAAGTTCAAACTATAGCAATCGCCTACTGATGGGATGCCCGTGAAGGGCTGGGTATCTGTAAAGAAGGTTCCAGAATGCGGTCTGTATAAAAGCAACCATCCCTCCTGGTTAGGAGTAGAGCAAACAGAGGAGGTATTTATACCAAACATGTCTAATGAGATAAATCTCACTTTCAGGAAAACCAGTGACAATGTTAGAAATTCTACTGAATTCCAGGACATCCTCTTGTGAGATCAAAAAATTAGAAAAGAAATTCTACTGTAGAAAAAGAGACGGCCGGGCTGGGCGGGGTGGCTCATGCCTGTAATCCCAGCACTTTGGGAGGCTGAGGCAGGTGGATCATGAGGTCAGGAGTTCAAGATCAGCCTGGCCAAGATGGTGAAACCCCATCTCTACTAAAAATACAAAAAAAAATGAGCTGGGTGTGGTGGTGGGCGCCTGTAGTCCCAGCTACTCAGGAGGCTGAGGCAGAGAATTGCTTAAACCTGGGAGGCAGAGGATGCAGTGAGCCAAGATCGCACCACTGCACTCCAGGCTGGGCGACAGAGAGAAACTCCATCTCAAAAAAAAAAAAAAAAAAAAAAAAAAAAAGAGATGGCCAGGTGCAGTGGTTCACACCTTAATCCCAGCACTTTGGGAGGCTGAGGCAGGCAGATCACTTGAGGTCAGGAGTTCGAGACTAGCCTGGCCAACATGGCGAAACCCTGTCTCTACCAAAAAATACAAAAAATTAGCCAGGCATGGTGGCACATGCCTGTAGTCCCAGCTACTTGGGAGGCTGAGGCTGGAGAATCACTTGAACCTGGGAGGCGGAGGTTGCAGTGGCCAAGATGGCGCCACTGCATTCCAGCCTAGGCGACAGAGCGAAACTATGTCTTAGGGAAAAAAAAAAAAAAAAAAAAAGGCCAGGCTTGGTGGATCACACCTGTAATCCCAGCACTTTGGGAGGCTGAGGCGGGTAGATCATGAGGTCAGGAGTTTAAGACCAGCCTGGCCAACATGGTGAAACCCCATCTCTACTAAAAATACAAAAACTAGCCGGGCATGGTGGCACACACCTGTAGTCCCAGCTACTTGTGAGGCTGAGGCACAGAACTGCTTGAACCCAGGAGGTGGAGGTTGCAGTGAGCCGAGATCGCACCACTGCACTCAAGCCTGGGCGACAGAGCAAGAATCTGTCTCAAAAAAAAAAAAAAGAAAAAAAAAAGAAAAAGAGATGTAGAAATCAGAGAAGGTACCCATTTTGGAAGAATTAAAATTAATAAGGGGATTTCATGATATTTGGGTATTTCTTCTACTTAAAGTAACTGTTTTTACACTACTGAATTCTCTCTTCCCCATCTTTCCCTGCCAGTGTTTTCACCAACTCTTCATATTTTAAGGATGAAAGCTATTTAGAAGCACTTTCACTTTAAGAAACAATTTTAGAAACAATTTCATAGTCCTCACTACCATCATCTTACAACTCAACAAGGAGTCTGGGTGCCCACTCGATGAACTTTATGGAAAACAAACAGTTTAAGAAAATGTGACAAAGTACCAGATTAGCAAATTTTCCATCAAAATTTTCTTCGCTTAGCTCGGAAAGTGAGTTTCCAACAGGCGCCTCCTGCGGCACTATCCCTGTCAACGGGAAAGAGAGCAACTATGATCTCAGTCACGAGAAGGCGGGACGTGTGTGTGGCGCACAGATCAACAGGCACACCACCTTCCCACCCAGCTACCGCCACACCAGCATGATCTGCAGAAACCAAGGCTGAACATCTTCCCACATGTGTGCACACTCTTTCATTTTTAAAACTAGGCCTATGTTTTGCTTTGTCCATATACACACATGTAGACATAGGCACAGACCAGGGACAAGATCCACCAAATCGAGTTCCAGACAGTTCATGACCTGCCCCTGTGCATCTCACCAGGCGTCCAGCAGGGCCGTCTAAAGACAGACCCCAGGAGACCCATGGCCACCATGCCCTGCCCCAAATGGCCATTTAAGCTTCACAACAAAAAGCCAAGTTACAAAAGGAACTGGCATTAACACTGCTGTTGTAGTGAGACTCTGAACCCATCCAGTCTGTAACTTCCAGAATTTCTGGTCTACGTTAAGACAAGTAATGTAAGTTGTTTCAAGCTCAAATAACTTCAATCTCTTCCACCAATCCCCACAAACACCACACCCCATGCTGCTTCTGCTCTCGAGACAGCATCTCTGCAGCCCCACCTGGGTCTGGGCTCCTGGCTTCCTGGAGCAAGTGTCTCCTTTCCTGCAGAGGTGGCACACCAGGTGGGAGGCCAGGCCCGGAGGGCTCCAGGAAGCCAAGTGCAGGCCCTGGGGTCACACAGCCAGGACCCGGCTCCAGGGGCCCCGGGGGCAGTGGCACTGGGAACATCGGCACTCTGGCAGGACTGGCCAATGGGCCGTCAGGGAGCGTCTGCGGAGCTGCATGGGAACGGTGGAGAAGAGGTCTGGGGTTACTGAGGGTAGCTTGAGTTACTGGAAGGAGCTGACACTCGACGTGTTTATGACAAGTTATTTTGTACAGCCCCATTTCTTTTATAAGGGAGGTCCAACAGAGCAGAAAGCCTGAAGCCACCACCCCACCGCACCATCCGTGGTTTGCAGAAAAGCAGAGTATCCGCTTCCTTTTCTAGGGGAGGGGCACTTGAGCAGTCACAGCGGCACGCGGGCTCCAGGGCCCGGCCCACACGCAAGCCCATGGCGGCCGCCTGGCACAGAGCTCTGCTAGGCCCGAGTCCCCTCCTCCACGGCCAGGGGTCACACAGGCCACTCGTTCATTCCTTCATTCTTCCGACTCAACATAAAACCTGAGAGGGCTGCTGCCTACCAGCACCATGCTGGGCCCTGGATGCTTCAACAACAAAAGAAATGCTGGGTCCTCATGGGGGTCGGGACAGATGAACTGAGTAAGAGAAAGCGCTAAGGACAGCAATCAACCAGGAAGTGGTAACGGTGTCTGAGGACGAAGCAGACTGGACATCAGGCAGGGAGGGTGGGCAGTGGGCCCAAATCAGGAGTGTGGCTGGTCCACAGCGTGGGAGTGGACATGGCACGAGGGCAGGAGGGCTCAGGGCCAAGCTTGGAGGGCCTGTGGCCACCGTGAGGACCCTGGCTTGTCCTCAGGTGAGATGGAGAGTCTGGAGGGTCTGGGGAAGAAGCAGGAGGCGAGCAGGAAGGAGCCCGTGCTCATCCAGGCATGCGGACCTGCGTGCAGGCCGCGCTGGTGAGGTTCACTGACGAAGGAAGCCGAGAAGCGCGAGAGAGGAGGGGGCATCTGGACTTGACTCCCTGGAGCTCTGGGCTGGCCCTTCCACCGACGGGGCCGACTGGGAGAAGCAGGTTACAGAGGGGCACAGCCGAGGGCGCCGCCCAGACACGGTGCGGCTGAGGCTCCCGGAGAAACAAGCAGGGAGGCTGAGCAGGCAGCGGGCGCTCAGGGCAGTGTCGCCAGCACATGGATATTTATGGACATGGAAAGCCATGAGCCTCCCCTCCATGGGCTCCTCAGGGGAGGAAGCATGAAGGGAAGAGGGAGGAGACCGAGGAGCCCCACAACCACCGAGGTGGTGTGAGACACTGCCTCCAACAGTCCACATCTGAAAGCAGTTCTCCAGGAGGCAAGGGTGCAGGCCATGGCTCAGCCCACAGGAAGCAGGGGCTTGTCTGAGGGCAGCAGCCGCGCACCTGGGCTCACCTGAGGGCAGCAGCCGCACGCTCGGGCTCGAGTGCTCAGGGCTCGGTGCAGGCACCGCCAGCAGAGGGTTGGCGATCCCCAGGGCTCCTGGCTGACTGAGTCCTGGCCTGTCCAACTGCTCCATCTCGGAACTCGGAGTGCCAGGACACTGCTGCGGGAGGGCTCCATCCTGATGCCATACTCCAGCCCCCTCCTGAGGGAGAACAAGACCTGCCCTGTGGAAGCCGCCTGTGGCCGCTCTGCAGCGCTGCCCGCCTGCCACCACCGCGCTTGCTGTGTCCCTACTTCAGGACAGGAGGCACTCAAAGCCCTTTCTGGGGAATTAGGGAATTCTCATAGGCACACGTTTGCAGTTACACTGTCTTTACAGATACATACTTTCAGTGTGGAAATGACAGGGACAGAAGCCACCTTGCCAGACGCCTCTGTGCCACCCCAAGCCAAGGCTGTACCTTAATCTGCCGCTCCACCTGCTGCAGGTGAACCAGCCACGTGGGTGCGGCCAAGGACTCCTCTTCTGGCTTCTCTTTCAGCTGGGGATCGAAGAGTCGTAACTGGGAAGCCATCTAGACACGGGCAAAAATCAAAGGCCCCTGTCACCACCGGGTGATGGCAAGTGAGCCGTCTTCAAAATGCCGGGCAATGCAGCTTCAGTGTTCACTGGCAATAAAGTTTAATTAGCTGCCTATATGTTTCTAGTATGTGCTTAGGTGACATACACAGCACATGGGACGCTGGGTGACTGGGAAGTTGCTGTAGACGACCTCTTGGCCCACGGGCACTGGGTTGGCAGTGCTAGGCACCCCCCTGGAACAGGCCTGGCCCGAGACTACCACCTGACCACGTGGACCTGACTCAGCAAAAGCTGGACTCCCCCAGGAATGTCTGCATGCTTTCATCGGGAATTTGGGGGATGCAGAGCGGGACAGAGGGGGCAGAACACAAGTTTGGCCCTGTGTTCGTAACCACTAAGGTGGGGGATGAGCACCTAAGGACGCATGCATGAATGACTCTCTGAACTTTGAAATGGGTCTAAAAATGTCCCTAATACAGTTTTTGGGTATCCCATGAGCACGTTCTCACAAATGGAACTACTGACAAGAGGTGAAGATCCTGATGCAACACGGGCGCCTCCCATACTCTCGTCAGTCATGCCGCCTCTGTTTTACAGGCGAAGAAACTGAGGCCTGCAGCAGTACAGCCAGGACTCAAGCAAAGGCTGCTGGACTCTGGACACTTAAGCTATCAACCACCAGACTAAATTGCCTCAAAATAAGAATATCCTGGCCGGGCGTGGTGGCTCACGCCTGTAATCCCAGCACTTTGGGAGGCCAAGGCAGATGCATGCATCACTTGAGGTCAAGAGTTCGAGACCAGCCTGGCCAACATGGTGAAACCCCATCTCTACTAAAAATACAAAAAATTGGCCAAGCGTGGTGGCAGGCGCCTGTAATCCCAGCTACTTGGGAGGCTGAGGCAGGAGCATCACTTGAATCTGGGAGGCGGAGGTTGCATTGAGCCGAGATTGCACCACACTGCACTCCAGCCTGGGTGACAGAGTGAGACTGCGTCTCAATAAAAGAAGAGTATCCTACAGGTAGTTCCTTCTGATTGTGAAACTCGCTGCCAAGGCTCTGTGCTGGCACACGGTGCCTGAGAGTTCCCAGGCTAAGACGCAAAACACGAAGCCATTCAAAGATCTTTATCCGCCCAAGAGGCAGGTTCTGAGCGCCTACCACAATGCGCGTCTGAACCATCGCTACCCCCATGCCCGGGGGCTCTGGCAAGCCCTCCTTCCCTGCAGTCAGCACAGCATCCCGAGGACAGGCGCCAGGGGCAGCACCTGCACAAGCTGGCTGATCAACACCGGGGAATACAGGTGCGGCTGCGTCAGGATGCTCTTCGCGATGGCCTCACAGTAGTGGAAGGCTTGCGTGGCCAGCCCCATTTCCGCCAGGCGGCAGGAGTAGATGAACTTAAACACCTGAAACGACAGAAGCCTTGCTGCCCTGCGGCTCCCCCGCGTCCGAGCATCGCCGATGGACAAAGCCTTGTACTGCCCTGAGGCTCCCCTGCATCCGAGCATCGCCCTGTGAGCTGTGAACTCTTCTGGACACTTCACTCATCATCGTCTCCCACCCACCACGCCCGCTGACCACAGTCCTAGTCCCTGTTCCCCAAGGGATTTCAAGAGCAAAGTAAACGACTAAGCTGGTAGCAAACTCACTCTGCTTTCCCCCCAACCCCTTTCATGGGGCCACTCGGCTCTCACAGTCACAACGCCCCAAGAGCACGGCACTGAGACCACTGCCTTCCGTGTAGCTTAAGCTGCTCCACAGACATTCTCTAGATACTTCATTCTTTTTTATTTTTTTTGACAGGGTCTCACTTTGTCACCCAGTCTGGAGTGCAGTGGCACAATCACAGCTCACTGCAGCCTCAATCTCCTGGGCTCAAGCAGTCCTCCCACCTCAGCCTCCGAGTGGCTGGGAACACAGGTGCATGCTGCCACGCCTGGCTAATTTTTGTATTTTTTTTTTTTTTTTTTTGTAGAGACAGGGTGTTATTATGTTGCCCAGGCTGGTCTCTAATTCCTGAGCTTAGGTAATCCACCCACCTTGGCCTCCTAAAGTGCTGGGATTACAGGCATGAGCCGCCATGCTCAGCCTCTCATGTATGTTTTATAGACACCACCCCCACACTGCATCAGAGAATACCGCCCTCAAATATTAAAAATAGCTCGTACGGCTGGGCGCGGTGGCTCACGCCTGTCATCCCAACACTTTGGGAGGCTGAGGTGGGCAGATCACAAGGTCAGGAGATCAAGACCATCCTGGCTAACACGGTGAAACCCCATCTCTACTAAAAATACAAAAAATTAGCCGGGCGTGGTCGTGGGTGCCTGTAGTCCCAGCTACTCGGGAGGCTGAGGAAGGAGAATGGCGTGAACTCAGAAAGCAGAGCTTGCAGTGAGCGGAGATCGTGCCACTGCACTCTAGTCTGGGTGACAGAGCGAGACTCGGTCTCAAAAAAAAAAAAAAAGCTCATACAGGCTAGGTGCGGTGGCTCACGCCTGTAATCCCAACACTCTGGGAGGCTGAGAGGATGACTGCTTGAGCCCAGGAGTTTAGGATCAGTCTGGGCAACACAGTTTTTTTCTACAAAAAATAAAAAAAATTAGTGTGGCATGGTAGTGCTGCTTGTAGTCCCAGCTACTCTGGAGGCTGAGGTGAATCACTTGAGCCTGGGAGTGATCAAAACAGTGCACTCCAGCCTGGGCAACAGAGTGAGACCCTGTCTCCCTTAAAAAAAAAGCTCATGAAAATAATTGAAATCAAATGCAAACGGAAAGCCTCAATTCAATGGGATCTTGTTTCTTAGCATTTTAGATCAAATGTCTTCTCAAGATCCTCCCCCAAAAAACTCACATCATTTTTTTCGATACCAATTCAAACAATCTAAGTAGCCAAAAGCTTGTTAGCACTGAGTGCCTGCCCAGCCATGACAGCTGCAGGCTGGCAGCACCTGCTTACCTGGAAACTAGGCAGGGGGCAGGTCTCGGCACCCAGGGACTGGGCGTACTCATAGGCTTCCGTCCTCTGGATTGCTTCGTTGGTTGCGAACTTTAAGAATGGCAAACTGTAGAGGAAGTGAATTATTTTGATTTGGAAAAAATGGCCAATTATTGGCATAGTCAACCTTGGAGCAAATCATCCAGAAGTGTGTCCCACCACGTGACAAATAAAGACATGATTCTGGCCATTTCTGAATTCACTAAAGGAGAAGGATTTTGTTTTACTTTGAAAGGAAAACTTACAGGACTACACTGACTTGGTTCTTTACCTGTGATTGGATCCGATTAAGACAAGCTTTGTAGTTTTCTTCGTGTAAACACCAAATCCCGCCTGGGCCATGAGGTAGCAGAAGTGGGCCGCATCCAAGAGGCCCCTTGAAGCTGCGGAGAGACGACACGACACACGGCGGGGGCTCAGCGACCGGGAGCGCTTGCAGAAGTCAAGGACGCGCACAGAAGGCACCAGAGACGCCAGCCGGACCGAGAAGGCCGGGTTCTGGTGATTTCTGCCAACGCCACAGACAACCGGGCCTTCGGCGCTCCATCCGCGACACCCAATGCCCATCTCCACCCCTGACCTACCCAGAGTGTCGCCCATGGTAGCCATCGTCCTGGACTCGACGTCCATGTTGTTGTTCAAGTTGGACAAGACCATGGCGAGGTGCGGCCTCCAATCTCCCCATTTCTCGTCTCCACAGCACTAACATGAGGAAAAACAAAACGAAGCCTCATCCCCGGAAGCCAGCGCCATTTCAATTCCACACAGCTGGGCTCACCAGGCACCTCACGGCCTGTGACAGCGTCACCCACGAGCAAACTCCACACAGGCAGTGGAGCCTGTGCAAGCCACCAGGCAGTGCCACTCACCGTGGACGCGGCAGGCATCCGTCCGGACATGAGCTGGTAGACTGTCTGCAGAGGGTCGTTGATTGGGAGGCTGTTAGCAAACCTAGGCAGACATAAACACAGAAAGACCCCATGCTGGCTCAGCTAAAAGAAAAAAGCCGGCCGGACATGATGGCTCACGCCTGTAATCCCAGCACTTTGGGAGGCCAAAGTGGGCGGATCACCTGAGGTCAGAAGTTAAGAGACTAACATGGAGAAACCCCATCTCTACTAAAAATACAAAAATTAGCCGGGTGTGGTGGTGCACACCTATAATCCCAGCTACTCAGGAGACTGAGGCAGGAGAATCGCTTGAACCCAGGAGGCAGAGGTTGCAGTGAGCTGGGATCGTGCCACTGCACTCTAGCCTGGGTGACAGAGCAAGACTCTGTCTCAAAAAAATAAATAAATAAAATAGTAATAAAATAAATTTTTTAAAAAATCAGCCCTAAGCCCTCTGATGTAATGATTAGACTTATATTTCACTTAGGCAAAGTACACACATCTCAATATTTTATTTTTCTTTCTTATCTCAATATTAAAAAAAAAAAAAAAGCTGTAAAAGATAAGGCCAGGTATGGTGGCTCACGCCTGTAATCCCAGCACTTTCAGAAGGCCAAGGCGGGCAGATCCCTTGAGGCTAGGAGTTTTGAGACCGGCCTGGCCAACATGGCAAAACCCACCTCTACTAAAAATACAAAAAATTAGCTGGGTGTGGTGGTGGGTGCCTGTGGTCTCAACTACTTGGGAGGCCAAGGCGTGAGGATCACTTGAACCTGGGAGGCAGGGGTTGCGGTGAGCTGAGATCGCGCCCCTGCACTTCAGCCTGGGCAACAGAGCAAAACTCAAAATTTAAAAAAAGCTATAAAAGATGAAGACTGAGGAATTCACTGAGATTTTACATGAAGTACTAAAAACCATGCAGTTAATTAAAAACTTTTTAAGCTCTCCACAACACGACCCAAGGAAGCCTCGAGGCCAAGGAAGCCCGAGTTCGTGTGGGAGCACAGCACAGTCAAGTGAGATCCGCCTGCCGCCTGCCCCCAGGGTGCGGACGCCGCGTGCTACAGGGAGCCAGCAGGGCTCGCCACTGGACCAGGCCACTGTGGGACTGTACCTGGTCATGACTCGGGCGTGTGTCCGGCTGTCCATCTTACTTGCAAGTAGCAGAGCGTGACCCCACAGGCCATTCTTCATTGCAGACTCCAAAGCATCCTGCAAAAGGCATTTCAGGGACCTTGGTGGGTTATCGGCGGCGCTCACGTGACATGAGTCAAGACAGGCCATGTGTCCTCACGCAGCAGCAGATACACAAACAACCCAAAGGCCTCAAAAACACACTTATTCACCATTTGGAGACTAAAGACACGTAGCGATTCATTATTTTCCTGAGTTTCAAAGTCCCTGTGGTAGTGGGTATTTGTAGATATTTGCTGCTTTTATCCATTTTCAGCATAAAACACAAGCACGCTAATCACAAACAGGGCTAATCACGCAGCGCTGCCCACCACGCCGCCCCATCCACTGGGAAACACGCTCGAGTCAACTCCCCAGTTCTAACAGGAGGCCTCCGCGAATATCCTGTCAACACGGAGAGTGACTCCAGTAAGGCAGCCTCCCCTTTCACCAAAATCATCCAGGGCATAATTTAGAACTTCTGGCTGGGAGGCAAAAACGTTACAGTAGAGAAAGATGTTAATAAAAGCTAACAGGTTACATGACTTCAATCAGTTATAAAACATCCATAATAGACTCATACTGATCAGGCCGGGCGCGGTGGCTCATGCCTATAATCCCAGCACTTTGGGAGGCCAAGGTGGGCGGATTGCTTGAGCCCAGGAATTCGAGACCAGCCTGGCAACATGGTGAAACCCCGTCTCTACAAAAAAAAAAAAAAAGTTAGCCAGGCGTGGTGGCATGCAGCTGTAGTCCCAGCTACTCAGGAGGCTGAGATGGGAGGATCACTTGAACCCAGGAGGTCGAGGCCACATTAAGCTGTGATCACGCCACTGCACTCCAGCCTGGGCAAGAGTGAGACCCTGTCTCAAAAAAAATTAAAAATAAAAAAATAAAAATACTGGTCAAATATGCCCTTTCTGAGTTTATCATGATATAAAAGGACAGAAAACTCTCAGCCTATCCCATGTCTCTGCTGTTCAGGGCCACACATGCTTCTGAGACTGGCCTCTCTCCTGCTTAGCACATCCAAAGCAAACATCATGCACCCTAGACAGCCCCTCCTGTGCACATAGTGTCACTGCTGCAGTCACTATGGACCCCCCAACCCCACTGTCCCAGAGCAGGCTCCTGTCTCAGGCCCCCCACCTGCCCCAGTCCCCACGCTGCTGTGACCCCAGTCACTGGACGCTACACGCACTGGCTGCTCTCTTGCCCATGGCCTTTCCATGCACTGCGCCTCTGACAGGTTCAGTGTGCCCTCCCAACTCCCAATGACTTCTGGGCTGTGGACTCGAGTCTGACTTTGTGAGAATGCCACAACTTGTGTCATGCACATTTCATCCGAGATTTGGCACACACAGCAGGGGCACGGCCTGTGCTCAACATGTGCATTTATCGAATAACTGAAAATTTAATCTGCAGGTCTCCAACACTGGAAACAGTTAGAAGGAAACCAACATTAACACCTCCAGAAGGATGGCATACAAGAGTCAGGCATTGTTCAGGAAACAGCAAGACCCGAAGCCCCACACTGCAGCGCGGATGCTCCCAAGAGGGGGCCACGTCCCTCCCTGAAGGCTGCAACCCCGCACCAGGCCCGACCCAGTGGACATGTGCAGGCGCCAGGTGCCATGATGAGGAGGCGCACCTTCTTACGGCCATACAGCAACAGCTCCCTGAACCTCTCGGTCTCTCTCTCGAGCGAGCTGGCGGCAGCCGCCGGACCACCAGTGAGGAAAGAGAGCTGGGCCTCACCAGACTCCTCCTCTTCCACCTGCTCCACTGCCTCATTCGTGAAATCAATCAGGTTTGCTTCATTGGGCGACTTCCCAGGAAGCCACACTGTTCTGTGGTCTCGTAACAGAAGCTCCGCAATGTCGGTCCCTACCACGGTCTGTTTGGGTCAACAGGAACAGGAAGGAGAACAACGGCTCTCAGGTGAGGACGCGTTGGACCACCACAGGCACAAAGCCCCACCCTGGACACAGCCAGACCCACAACTACCCGAAAGGCTGGCAAGGCTGGGCTGAAACCTCATCCCATCCCAACCGCACGTTCCCTCTCCCTCCCTACCCAGCCACTACAGTGTGCTTCCTAAGGGGGCCCTCGAGGCTCCCATAGCTGGCCACGCGGATCCCGCCCTGCTCCTTCGGGAGGCTGAGCATTCCCAAGACGAAATGAAGACCAGCAAGAAGAAACACTCTAGAAGTAGAAAGAAACATACCCCATTTTGTCTGCATAAGAGAACAATAAAATTCCAAAGAAGACTTGCAGACTCTTTGTCAATTAAGTTTTCATTCTGCAAACATTTCATAGCTTTGTTCTGTGCAAAATTAATGACATCCACCTTATGGGTGTCGTCTCTGCAGAAAGAACACACAGTGAGCAGTGATGTCTGCAAGGCCGGGCTCACAAAGAAATGCCTCAACAAGGAACATACTTGGCCAGGGGTCCCGGGAACGCCCGCATCTCCTCCTGCTCAGACGTGTGCTGCAGCAAGGCCTACGAGGAGAGGGCCGTGGGTCAGTGGCAGCCAGTGCGCAGCCACCCTGCTGGCAGGCCGGCCAACCCAGGCACGGATGCTGCCCGTGAGAGGAGAGGATGGCATGGCCCACCTGCCCCGCCCCACAGCAGGTGAAGGCTCTGTCGAGGCTGTTACATGGAACATGGCCTGTGTGGACCACAGCCATGATTTCAAACTTTATTTTAAGTAGTGAAATCCATTTTCTCTCCCCAAATACTGAGGCAGAACCCCAATACATGTGACAGAAGCCTGCAGAAGCTGCAGGAAGAGGCGCATGCCAGCCCCCGTCACCTCGGCAGCGCCGTGCACGTCCACCCCACCCGCCCCCCTCACCTGGGCAGCACCGGGCCCACCCACTGCATCTATCATTGAAAAGCACCAATAAAGCAAACATCCCCAAAACGAGGACAGAAAATGCATATACAATCAAACCACGTTGAACACCCAAGGCAGACGCTTACAATACTGACTTCTAGGAGGAAAAATATATGATCAAATAGAAGAAAAACCCTACAAATTGAAAATTCACAGGAATAAACATTTTCCAAGGACGTATGTCCAGAGACAAGGTCTGACAATTGAAGATGACAAACTGCAAAGCAGAGAGTTCCCCAGGGCAGCAGAGCAGTGACGCCACGCTTCTGCGTGTGCCATTACCTCCATGCTGTGGACCTCCACCAAGGCCGGCTGTCCTTCTGAAGGCAGATTGGGAATCACTTTGATAAGCTGACCGCCAGGGCCAAACCTGGCACAGACATGAGGCACTGAAAATTTTTCAGGAGAAGTTGGTCTTGATGAAACTGCATTTAAAATAAATTGAAAAAGAAACAATCAGCTTGTCACTGATGCTTCTGAGCCTAGATTTTCAATGTGCTCACACAGCTTAAATCACAGGTTAGATTTATCACGACAGACTTCCAACTCAAAAGTCGGTAATTGTTTAATATCATACTTAAAAGTAGAACTTCAGCATACGTCAGGAAAAGAAAAATGTCTGAATCATTAAGCATGAAAGCTGTTCCCTTGTACACTGAGAAAGCTCCCGCAACACCCTCATGAGCCGCCCTGAGGCTCCTGCCACGGTGCGTAATCCTCCCAGGCCTGGCCCACTCCCGAGCTCTTCCATTTTCACAAAATCAAATTCAGACTGCGATGACCACACAGCACCCAGCAAAAAGGACAGCAAAACACCTCAAGCAAAAAAGAAAATAAGGAGCCAGGCATAGTGGTGCATGCCTGTAATCCCAGCACTTTGAAAGGATCCAAGGCAGGAGGGCCACCTGAACCCAGGAGACAGAGACCATGACCGTGCCACTGCACTCCAGCCTGGGTGACAGAGTGAGACTCTGTCTCTTAAAAAAAAAGAAATGAAAAAATGTTAACTGAAACAATACTTTAAGAAAGTAAGGCCGGGCACAGTGACTCACACTCTAATCCAAGCATTTTGGGAGACCGAGGAGGATGGATCACTTGAGGTCAGGAGTTTGAGACCAGCCTGGCCAACATGGCAAAACCCCATCTCTACTAAAAATACAAAAATTAGCTGTGCATGGTGGCAAACACCTGTAATCTCAACTACTCAGGAGGCTGAGGCAGGAGAATCGTTTGAACCCGAGATGCAGAAGTTGCAGTGAGCCAAGATCACATCACTGCACTCCAGCCTGGGAGACAGAGTGAGACTCCATCTCAAAAAAACCAAAAAACAAACAAACAAAAAAACTCAGCCTACCATTAAATTCTGTAACTTTATATCTTTACGTATATTTCTGCAATTTGCCAAGAAAAAGCATTTGAGCATCCTGGAAGGGAACTCTGACTGACACGCGGGACAACTGCAGGAGCGGAGTCTCCAAGGGGAATGAGCAGCTCCCTCCTGCACGCCTGCTGAGCCACGGGGTCTGCGATGGGGATGTGATCAGGGGCTGCCCAGAGCCTGGATATGAGCTGTCCTCAGAGTCACACTTTAAAACGCATGTCGGGGCAGGCAGGGCAGCTCTCAGGCCTTAAACCAAACTGCAATCGAAGAGACAGCATCGGCCCGTCCTGACACACCCTGCTTCTCGGAAGGACGGATTGGGTCAGAGCCAGGCCAGGACATCACAATTCCAATCCCAGCCCTGACTCCCGTGTTCAGATGCCAGGCTGGGTGGCCGCCCCAGTGGGGTTAGCCGGTATCCCTCTGTCCTGCTGAGCACACACCTTGCTCCATGGCAGGCCAGACGGTGTCGGCAGGGTAGCCATACTCTGGGAAGCCGGGGCCACTGCTGAAATTGCTGCGGTAGGTGCCGTAGGCAAAATCGCCGTGAAAGGAGCCTGGAGGAAGCGGGGCCTCGTAGGAACCGGCAGCCACATTGTGGCTTCTGTAAATCTGACTCTTAGAAAACAAAGCAAACGGGCAAAATCAATTCCCCAGGCACAGCAGTAAAACTTTAGGTACATTGCAAACAGGATGGTGGTTCTAAACACAACCGTCCGCGTGTCTGTGAGGCGCCGCCGCGTACCTGGTGCGAGTGGGAGCTGAGGCTGCTGCGGCGGCTGGCCAGGCTGTGTGCGCTGTGCAGGCTCCGTGCCGAGTGCTCGCTGTGGACGCTGCGCCGGTCCACCTCTTCCCCATAAGGGTCTCTGTGCGGATCGGGGTCATCGTCAAAACTCCCCGTGAAGCGAGGATCGTACCTCCAGTTGTTGTCACGTTTCTCGGGCCTAGAGGAAGCCGGGGGACAGAGGCAGAGGAATGGGAGTGCCGGAGGCCCCGTCCCCATGTGCCACGCAGCTGCCCAGGAGCTGAGACCGAGACCCCTGGGGCCGAGGCACAACACAGCACACCCGACACTCAGGGCCCTCTGACGTGCAACGTTAGAGAAGTACTGCGAATGCGTCTCCAGTGTGGTCACTTCTCTGGGCTGCAGGGCGCGACCGGTAAGAAGGGACGATGAGAAAGAGTGAGCCCAATCTCCCAGGTGCTCCCAGAGGTGCTGAACAGTCCTCTTGCTGAGGCCAGTTCTCCTCTAACAGTCCAAGCTGGGAACCCTGGGAGGGTCTGCTCCCTCCTTCCTTTCAGACAGGGACCAAAACATCAGGCAGATGCTCACCCAAACTACCACAGCTCTTTGTTAAAACCCAGACATGAGGGCAGAGAAGCACTAGCGCGCCCTGGCTGCCCCCAGCCTCTGCCTCCCCAGGGGTGCTCCACCAACCTGTCCCCGAAGGCAGAGTGCTCTCTCCTGTATGCGTCATACTCTGCATCACACCAATACCTCCGGTCATAGGTGCGGGGGTCCCTGACTCTAGCACTGTAGTGGTAACGATCCCAGTGACCTGGATCTGTGAGCAAGGAATTAATGATTAATACAGTAACATGCAAAAGAAGAAATGCCTCAGATATCACTAAAGAAGCGACACCACCCCAGGACTTTATGCTCCAAGGACTCCTCGAGAAACCCAGCTTCTTCCTGGAAACCAGCACGACACCAGGAAGCCATGAGATCTGGAGGGCCCTAGCTACCTAAAGGCAACTGGCTGATTTTTCTCTCAATACAAGTGTTTTAGATTAAAAGGAAAAAATATTTTTAGAAAAGGTGCTAAAAGATTTCTTTATTAAGTCCTTTTTCTTCTTCTTTTCTTAAACAGAGATGGGGTCTTACTATGTTTCGCAGGCTGTTCTTGAACTCCTGGGCTCAAGTGCTTCTCCCACACCTCAGCCTCCCTAAGTGCTGGGATCACAGGTGTGAGCCACTGTGCCCAGCCAGTTCTCTTTCACGGTTGCTGCTTTTGACTAGTTAATCCCCTAACTGTAAATTTTACTACTATTTCTTCTCCTTAATGTGACTCATAAGGTTTTCAAAAATAATCTCAATATTAAAAGGTTACTTTAAAAGGGCTCTAAACAAACTGGATATACCATTTTCAGCAAGTGTTTTTAGCAAGTATTAAGAAAAAGTTCTTAAAAGGTCTTTTATCATCTTTTCTAAAGATGTCTTTTCTTTTTTAAATTTATATTTAAAACAGGTGCAAATATCAAAGAGGATATTTGATACTTGTCAAGGGGATTCAGGGCCCAGAGCACTAGAGGCCACAGCCAGGGCAGGAGTGACCGGAGGAGGCTCTTCCCGGGGACATGGCCACTGTGCCGCACACACTGCATGGAGGACAGATGTGGCTGCAGCTGGACGTCGCCAGGGAGCACCCAGGTCGCTGCCCGGTGGGGTGGCCCATGTCCACACCGCCCCAGGCAGCAGCTGCCAGCCTCCTGTGGTCAGGAGTGCGGGAAACACGGCTGGTGGGACCGAGGAGATGGTTTTTCATTTCACTTCCTTTTCATCCGTTTATGTTTACGAAGGCACGTGTGGACACAGCAGCTCTCGAACTGCTAGTTATGTTCCACTAGAAAATCAGAGAAATCTGCCAATATGACAAAGATGCACTCATGCTAAGATTAAGATGTAATTTAGTAATGAAAAATATCAATATAATTATTTCCAAATACAAAGTATTTTCAACTATTTTGGCTTTTGGGCAAAAACATAAAGAGATTAATAAAAGGGGACATTTCCTGGAAGTCACCAGCAGGTGCTGGCTGGCCAGGGCTGCATGTCATCAGTGTCTTTTGCACAAGGCACCTGCTAAGGCCAGCTGCTTGGAGTTCCTTGACATACCTCCATAATCGTACTGGCTGGAGTAATAGCTTGCATAGTAATCGCTCTGACTGCTCCATCCACTTTTGGAACTATAGTATCCTTCAGGATATCCTTGCCTGAAAAAACACACAGTGCTGTTAAAACACAAATTACCTATTTCTTAAAGTGTGACATCAGCCAATACAAATCATTCCCAAAGCAATGGGCATTCATCAAAGCACTTTGGTTGTACAAAAATTCCAATTAGAAGATTCAAAACAGTAGCAAGGATGAGACTGTGGAATTTCCCACCATACGGCTAATTCAAATTCATCTTGGTAAAATAACTAAGAGCCGTTCGGCTAAAAAGAACTGACCCTTTTTGTGTTCTCATTGCTGTAGCCTATAAAAGTCAATGCTAAAATAAGTCCTAGAATTTTTGATATTATGCTCAGTAGAGGACAAAATGGACTGAGCTTTCTTTTTTTTTCTTGAGACAGGTTTCACTCTGTCGCATAGGCTGGAGTGCAGTGACATGATCTCAGCTTAACACAACCTCCACCTCCCAGGCTCAAGCAATCCTCCCACCTCAGCTTCTGAGTAGCTGGGACTACAGGCACGCGCTACCACACCTGGCTAATTTTTTATATTTTTCATAGACATGGGGTTTCACCATGTTGCCGAGGCTGGTCTCGAACACCTGGGGTCAAGCGATCCACCCACCTCAGCCTCCTAAAGTGCTGGGATTGCAGGAGTGACCCACAGTGCCCGGTCTCACTGAGCCATTCAAACCAACCTAAAATGCCAGTTTCACAGCCTCGACCCCAGACCACTGGCTGTTGGTACTCCCTGTACCCGTGCAGGGTACCCCCGTCAGAGCCCGTGTGTGTGCTCCTGGAGCGGGATTCTAATGGCCCCACCTCCCCCTCAGGTCTCCTGGAGCTGACGTGGTGTCAGATTCCTACACGTGCCCCAGAAAGGCTGGTTTTGTAGACCAAGCCATGATCCTGACTCTCACTACAGGAGAAGCACAAGTTAGTACAATGATCAAGTATCAGACCTTCTGGTACCTTCAAGATTCTTGAAAGGCCAGCCTGGTAAACACAGTGAGACCCTGTCTCCATAAAACAGTAAAAAAATTAGCCAGGCATGGTGGCACACACCTGTAGTCCCAGCTATGCAGGAGGCTGAGGCAGGAGGATGGCTTGAGCCCAGCAGGTTTTAAGGCTACAGTGAGCTATGACGGCACCACTGCACTCCAGCCTGGCTAAAAGGGTGAGACCTAAAAAGACTCTTGAAAGGATGTAAGAGCATTTTATAATTTTCATACAATATTTAATTTTTAAAACGTGACCCTTCCCACGCCCCTTCAGGAGACATCACGGGAGCTGCACACCCGCCGCTGAGGTTGGCTGCTCGGTTGGCGCAGCACCTCTGCATGAGACGGGGCTGCTGCTGGGTGGCATGGGGCCCGGCCCACTTGTCCCCCTACATCCAACTGCTCAGCCACAGTAACGAGCCCTGCTGACCGACAGCCTGAGTGGCCACAGCAGGTTCTGGAGAAATTATCTGACTTGGGGTTTCCAAGGAGCCGCCGTGTCCTCAGCCGACCTTTCCAACCCCAGTCATTCATCAGGAGCAACACAGTCTCAAAAACAACAAGGCTAAGACAGGCAGTGCCTGCGGGGATCTGACCACACCAGGCCCAGAGAGTTGAGTCCATGCCACGCACAAGCACGGAGGCTGAACAAACATGCAAGACGTGTGCTCCCCAACCAAAGCGGGGGAAGGAGCAGAAAGGATTCCCCAGAGCCTGCGCAAGCCAGGGCTGAAGGCAGCCGCAGGATCCGAACACAGGAAGGAAGAGTAAGCCTGCGGATCTGGTGACAAAGCCACTCCTGTGGTGACCTGACCCTGCCTCTGGTGAAAGGCCTTCTCCGTAGCACGAGCCACCACTGGCCTCTCAGAATCGGTTCCTAGGTGAGCCTGGCAGGGCGGCCAGCAGCAGAAGGAAAACGGAACAGTGAGAATGCTCCCTGGCTGTCTCTCCTCCGTGCTCTCGCCTCTCAGGGCCTCTAGGAAACACCTGTCTGCTCACCCTCACCCGGAGCTGGAAGGCTTTGAATCGGAATATGATCTTAACTTCAAACCCCGCTTCCCAGGTGACAGGGTGACACACAGTAGCTCAAATCCTGGGAATTTTCTCACAATTACAGCCTCCAGAGAGGTGAAGCCTCACAGTGCCGCCTGCTTCACAAAGCACCTCCAACATCCAGCTGCACACCGCCCAGTGCATGCCCTTGGAGCCGAGTACACCAGGGCCAGCTGCGTGGGCAGAGGTTCACAGACAGAGCCTTTGTCTTTAGGTAAGCTCCTAAAAACCTCTAATAAGCACGAGGAACCTTTCAAAAACAAGTGCAGGTACAAAGTCTTCATTAATGAGTAGCTTTTTCTCTATTACCAAGTTTAAGAAGCAATATCCCCTTGCAGGAAGGCTCTATCTGTGAGACAGTCTCTCTCAGATCTCACAAGGAGCAAGTGCAGCTAAGGCCCTGGAAGGCGCAGCCTAGCGCGGTGGCCAGGACCACGCCCACCCCTCGCAGGGCTCTGCGCACCTCCCTGAGTGGAGATGAAAATCAACAACAGCCTCCTCTGCTCTAGGGCCCAGGAGGACTCTGACCTGGCTTAAAGGGCTACTCAGCTGAAGCCACAGTGCCACAGGTCTTTCCAAACCCCTCTTCTGTAATGGCAAACAGAGGAATGGCTGGCCTTCAAGCAGAGGCGGCAATGTCAAGGAGAAACATAGGCTGGCCGGGCGCAGTGGCTAATGCCTGTAATCCTAGCACTTTGGGAGACCAGGGCAGGAGGATCCCTTGAGGCCAGGAGTTCGAGACCAGCCTGGCCAACATAGTGAGACCCTCGTCTCTACAAAAAAAAAAATGAACAAAATTAGCTGGGTTTGATGGGGCATGTCTGTAGTCCCAGCTCCTCGGGAGGTTGAAGTGGGAAGATTGCTTGGGCTCAGGAGGTCAAGGCTGCAGTGAGCCAAGATGGCACCATTGCACTCCAGCTTGGACAACAGAGTGAGACCTGCCTTAAAAGAAAAAAAAAGAAGAGGAAACACAGGCTTTCAAGCCCTGCTTTCTGTAGCCAGCCTGACAGGTCTAAGAATTAAGTCACCTCTGTGACCAGTCCTCCCAGGCCTCCGGAGACCGGTGAAAAGCTGCCGTGTCTCTGGGGAGCCTGAACACCCCATTAGCAAATGGCCGGACCAACAGACGTGCCCCGTCAAGAGGGGCTCACAGACAAGTCAGAGGCTGCTTCTCTGCAGCCCTGAGCAGGGTCTGGCCCCAGTAGGGGTGGCGCCAAATGCTAACTGACCAGCACAGCTAATGACCACCTGGGGCAGTGTTTAATTTCATTTAAAAACACACCCTACAATTTGTCCATACCAAGAAAATGTCAACATATGTTAGATAAGTTTGTACAATTCTTCAGAAATACAGAACTTTTTGAGTCACTAAGTTATCCCCATAGCAAGCAACACAGACATGGGTCTGAGTAGGACAGAGAGGCAGCCAGGGTGGGCGCGGCCGCACCTGGGAGGTGGCCGTTCCGAGGAGTGGCTGGCTCGGGAGCTGGGCCGCTCGGGCTCGGGATAGCGGTAGTTCTGGGCGTAAGCAGACGCAGCACCATCATAGGGCCTGTATCGAGGCTCATAGAGGCTGTAGACATCCTGTGGGAGGAAGCATTTGGGCAGGATTAGACACCAATCAAGAGCAAGCTCGTCCAACAGCCAGCCTGAGCTGGAAACATTGCAGAGGGCGGGCAGCATTAGATACCTACCAAGAGCAAGCTCGTCCAACAACCAGCCTGAGCTAGAAACATCGCAGATGGCTGCTCTCCAGCAGGACTGAGCGTGGCCCTTCCCTCATACACAACCACACAGACCTCCAAAGCACAGCCACACCCACAGGCAGCAGGGTGTCCTAAGACCCACAGCCCTGGCCCTGTTCAGGAGACCTCTGGATGGACCCAGGGCACCAGCATGTCAGCAGACAACCCCAGGGGGCTGTGGCGACTTCTGGAAGGGGCTGTTAGGTTTCTGCTTCCTGATAAGTCCAGTGTGGAGATGCCATGATTTGAACAACCCCTGCGTCCCGCTTCAGATGCCACCTCAGTTAAGTCAGAGAACCAGGGTCCCAGTGAACAGAGCCCCAGCCAGGAGCAGCCTCTAAAAGCGGACCGTGCTTTATTCTCGGGAGGCTTCAGCCCCATCACCAACCAATTCGTGGCCACAGAATTGTTCCCAACGGGGCCCATGTGGACACATGAGGATCTGAAGACATGCAGTGCCCCGGACACACGCCAGAATTCACGCTTAAGCGCCTCAAAGCCTCAAGGCCTCGACGCTGCCGCTGCCTGGCAGGAAATGTGAAATCACAGCAAAACAGACTCATCCTTGGCCACCCGGACACCACAGCAAGAGGCACGGCGGGAGGAGTGCACTCCTGCGGAGGGAGGTGGCTCGCAGCAGGAGGACCGGACAAAGGACCCGAAGTGAGGCCACGGCTTCCCGTCGCTCTGCACCAGCCCCACCCCAGGGCTCCCAGCAGAGCTGAATGTCCTTGTATGGAAATAAAAAGTGCCTGGGCTCCTTCTGGAACCTACACAGGTCTGAGGGGTCAGGTGTGCACCTGGTCACACGCACACAAACCATGATGCTCGAGGCCCATGGGGGAGGCCCAGCCCCATTCCCCGGGGCAGTACCCAGCAAGCCACGGCAGCCTTGCTCCTCGGGGCGGGCCCCCTTCTGACTGCAAGGCCTTCCTGTGTGGCCCCAAGTCTGGTTCCAACTGGCCTTACATACCGCAAGACCATGGTTTTCCAATTCCCTATCACACAATCCTTCTACCTGGGGTGACACTGAATCGGTGAACCCAATCGGTGTATGTTGAACTGGGTTAGAGGGTAGGAAAAGCAGATAATGATCAAATGTGTACACAGACACTTTTCGAACGACTGCAGGATTATGCGGAACCTAACTCAAATGTCACTCATGAGCTGGTGTCCCTGTGAAAAAGAGGCACAGAAGAATCTTCTGCACGAGCACAGCCGGTCCCCGAGCCGCTGCCCGCACCACCACGTGCTGACAGCAGCTTGCGGGACTCCGCCTCGCTTAGCTGATGCGTGTGGCTCATGCTCCAAAACTATTTTCTCTCCATGTTTTTATTCTCCAGGGGCATTTAAAGGACTATGGTTATACCCAATGCTTCTGACGTAAGCTTCCAGAGGCTAGCCCAGCTTCCCAAGGCATGCAAGACAGAACTTTTCTGCAGACAGCCAGCAGGAGCAGGGGTGACAGCAAATGGAGGGCTCTTTTTGTCACATAAGCTGGGGAGGCTGGTTCAAATCCTAAGCAAGTATTATAAGCAATTCAAGATGCTAACGCGTGGTGTGAACTAAGGGTGGCCTGTGCTTGGGAGAGTAGGTTCTGGAGCCGGGAGCCCTGTCCTCAGGAAGCGTTACTGGAATACTGTTCTCACGCCTGCGGGACTGTGGGTGACCCCGGAACCAAGCGAACAAACACTACTAAGGAATACACTGTGAGTGAGACTCAACTGGTCAAAGCACAGACAGAAAAGTGGGTTACACATACGACTCGACTCTTACCTGGTAATAGAGGGAGGCTGCGCCAGGCTCCGGTGGGTACGGCAAAGAGTACTGAGGCTGGTAGGCATCGTACAAAGGCCGGTAGTAGTAGTAGGCGGCCAGGTCCTGAGGCGGTGGGCCGGGGGCAAGTGCAGGCACTGGCTGTGGCCACGGCTGCTCTGACGGCACAGCTGCCTGGCCGGAGCCACTGGACACCAGAGACACGCTAGAGGACTGAGGAGGCCGAGGGGGCAGCTGCTGACCCGCGTCGACCAGAACCAGACTTGCTGGTGACTGTGCTGAGTTCTGGGCCTGTCCCTGTGCGGGCAGACTTTCTGGATTTGACAGCTCCGAAAACATGGCTTTGGGTAGTTGTGGGGGAGAAGCCTGTTGCTGGGGTGGCACCAGCTCCTGCTGGGCTCTTTCGAGGCCAGGCTGGCCCTGGGCATCTTTCGTGACCTGCTGATAAAAACGGTCAAGGTTAGGCGCCCCAGGCCCAGATTGTCTGGGATGACTGGCAACACTTTGCTGAGAAGCGAGGCTGTCAGAATGGGACGGGTTGTACACGTTTACAGGATTTTCCAAAGTCCTGCTTAAGGTAAAGTCTAGGGCTCCGTAAGTGTCTTCCTGATGACTGGAATGGTTTGCCTTATTACCATCAGGCACCAGGGTGCCGTGTGCAGGTGGAACTAACACCACACTTGTGCTTCCAGCAGGGCTATTAGCAAATCCGGGAAGAGCACTTCCTGCCTTACGATCCTTTTGACTTTCTGGAACCAAGTTCTCTGGAACTGGCTGGGATGGTGGTTGAACCAGCAAATTAGCAGGCTGATTAGAAACCATTTCGGAAGCACCAGAACCTTGTGGAAAATTACTTTGGGCAACACTGCTAGGCAGAGACAAGCTAAGGACAGAGCTGGTTGGAATCCCAGACAAAGAAGTGTTCTCCCCAGAATCACCACCGAGAGCCCAACTGCTGACTGCAGGTCTATCCCCCACCAAAGCCTCTCTCCAGGACTGATTCTTCTCATGAGAGTTCGATAAGGACACAGAAAAGTTAATGGGCTGAGCCAGATTATAGCTGTGATCAGGCTGAGCAATCAAGACTGGAGGATTCTGCAGAGACTCAGTGGGCGGTGAGGATAATAAACTTGCATAACCAGAACTCGCCTGGGACTGAAGGGCCTCCTCCTCTCCCATTTTGGGAGGATTCTCAAGGTTCTCAGAAGCACCAATGCCACCTCGGCTCTGCACCGGGGCCGCCGAGCTTGGGTTCCGTGACTGCTGCCCGGACATCGCCTCTTCTGGAGGCTGAACAACAGGTGGCTGAGGTTTTGCACACACATAAAGCGCCGGGGCTGCAGGGGCCAGAAGGACGTTGCCTCCAAAATCTGGCAGCTCACTTTGCGCCCACAGAGTCGTTGCTGGGCTCTCACACTTCACGGGCCCCTGGGTCCTGGCTGAAGGCCTCTTCTCGGGTGCTGGATACACAGTATCCAAGGGCGGTGCCCCTGCGTGCGGAAGCATGTGCACAGCTTCCGTGGTGGAGTTAAGAGGCAGGGGACAGACCTGGGGTGCACAGAGGGTCTCCATGTTGTCTGGTGGCTGCTCCAGGTTGCCAGGGGAAGCATCGGGCAGGGCGGCAGCTGGTCTGCACTGCTTCTGGCGGACACAGGTCTCCCTTACTTCACCAACCACGTTGGCGCGATCTGCCTCAAATGGTTTTACCCCAACTAAGTGAGATTTTACCGGTTCGAAAGAACTATTTGCACTTGTCTGAAATATTCCTGTAGGTTTCGGGGGGCTCGGGGTTGAGGGCTGGGACACGCTGCCACGGTAATTCTGGCTCACAGTGGTCTCGTCTGTTTCACCTCCTACGGGAGAAGAATCGATTTGCTTAAAAAAACTACCTGAAGCTTCATCCTCGGGTTTTCCAACTTCTTGCTGAATGAATGTGCCAACCAGCTCCTGGGGCCTGGCTGAGCCTGAGAGCCTTCCGTGGCTTCTGCTGCTATAGCTGGATGACACGCTGTCAGGGTGCACTGTATGCAGTGTGGCATCAGGGGCTCCGGTGTGGCACACAGCACCATGCCTGGGCACAGCTGGCCCAGGAAGGGGCCCATATCTGAACTGGTCACTCGGGGAGGAAGGGTCCAAATTGAGGGGCTCACTTGGCAGAACTTCTTGATTCTGAACAAATTCTAAGTTCTCAACATTCTCATACTGCGAGCCGCTGGCATCCGGCACCCCTGTGCTCGCTGTGTCACCCCACACATCACCAGCAGCCTCATTGCTGGGGCCTGGGAGAAGGGCCTGGCAGAGGCTGCCTGCCCCCACGTGTGTAGGTGCGGGCGGACGGCCTAGCCCAGGGCTGGAGCAGAAATCGTCAAAGTCCGCTTGACCAGATAAGCCTGCTTTTTCAGATGAGAGATTCTCCTCATTTTCTGTCTCTCCCCCTTGGAAAAACATCGCCAGAGCTCCTGAAGCTCCTGAGTCTGCTTCTAGCGGGGCACAGCCAGACCCGGCCCCAGCCCCCAGTGGGTGGTGCGTACGGTTTTCTGGGCTATCTCCCCGGGCGAGGGGGTTCACAAGAGCAGAGGCGGGCCGGTGCTCATTCTTCACTCCTGGATTCTGCCTGAGCTCTGGGCTTGCCCAGTGATTCACAATTCTGGGATTTTGCCTGAATGTACTTTCAGGATCAGAGTTATTGGCCAGGTGGCTTCCACTTTGCAAGTGGCTCACCTCGTCTCTTCCGTCACTGGGCAAGGCTGCTGGGGGAGCCACCAGAGGGCTGTGTTGCTCATGACCAGGGCCCTGATGTAGGATGGACGGGGTGGGGAAATGAGGAACGCTGGTGGCACAGGGCACCCCGCTGGGAACAGGTCCTTCAGGGCAGGGTGAACGATGTTGCCCCGAGGGCTGTGGGCCTCCCTGCACTGGCCCCCACTGTCCTGGCATCTGCAGACCAGGCTGAGGGAGGGAAGGGGATGCTGCTGGGGTGACCACACCGTCATGTGGGTTTTGCCTGCTCAGGGGTCGGTCGAGCCCAGGCATGTTCCCATGAGGGTGGCCCCCATGAGACGTTTCAGGATCCACTCCTGGAATGTAGTGAGGAAGATATGGCAGAGTCTGAACTTCAGGCTCTGAACTGGGACCGACCTCTGCACTCCTGTTCATCTCAGGCCCAGGAGGTGCTGAAGGTGTCAATGCACCAGAAAACGGACTGGCATGTGCTCTGGGCTGTGTCAGAGGTCCAGGCAGGGGCTCACAGGGTCCCTGAGAGCTATCTCTGGCATGTGTGTGAGGAACAAGCAAACCGGGGTGCTGAGAAAACCCTGCGGGGGCTGGGCCTTGCAAGACAGGTGGACTGCTTTTGGACGAACTGCCCAGTGGTGTACTTTGGAGCGCCTGTCTACTAAAAGCAAATGGATCCGTGACCGGCTGCAACGGGCAAGTTGTCGGAGCCACTGCTGCATTATTATTAGCCCGTCTCCTGTAAGGGCTGCTAGCCCAGAACACGCTCCGAGGATTCCCGGCTGGAGGTGGCCCAGCCATGCCAGACGGGACCGTCTGGGGCGGTGGCTGCATGACTGAACCCTTGCACAAGTCGATGCTGCTTACAGAAGGAAGCAGGATATAGCTGTTCCTTAATTGGAGCTGGAAAAGAAAAAGAGAAAATCAGCATAAAATCCATATATTCAAAGTCCTAGCTGCAATCAGGAAAACTAAGGAAAAAGAGAAACATTGAACATGATTTTATGTCACTTAAATCCCAAGGACTCTCTCTCCCCTACACCCCACCCCAGCAGAGAACACCTGTCCCTGAGGAACTGTTCTGGGGGGCAGGGGACAGAGTGAGAACCCTGGATGGCCTGGCTGCGAGCTGATGGAGTATGTCTAGATGGCCACTCCCTCCCCTGGGATCCTCTACTCACAGGGCCCATTGCTGCCGCAGACCCGCGCCACAACAACAGGGACAGTGCGGAACCTGACCACTGCTGTGATATGCTACCAGACCCACAGATACTCAATGTTTTCCTGTAAACCATCCCTAGATCCAGGAAGAGCCAACTCTTCTATTAAGAAAGAAAAACTGGCCAGATATGGTGGCTTACGCCTGTACTCCCAACACTTTAAGAGGCCAAGGCGGGAGGACCACTTGAGCCCAGGAATTCGAGGCCAGCCTGAGCAACAGGGGGATCTCGTTTCTACAAAAAATACAAAAATCAGCCAGGCATGGTGGTGCACACCTGTAGTCCCAACTACTCAGGAGGCTGAGGCAGGAGGATTGCGTCAGCCTGGGAGGTTGAGGCTGTCGTGAGCTATGACAGCACCACTACCCTTCAGCCTGGGTGACACAGTGAGTCCCTAGCTCAAAAAAAAAAAAAAAAAAGGAAAACTTTATATCATACTTTCCATACATGTTAATTTTAAATTTCAAAAGGGATACAAAAGTTTAAAATTCATTCTTCCATTTTCTTTGATGAAAGAGCATTATGAAGTATAGTTATAAAAGCTGCAAAATAGGCTGGGTGCAGTGGCTCATGCCTGTAATCCCAGCACTTTGGGAGGTCAAGGTGGAAGGACTGCCAGAGCCCAGGAGGTCGAGACCAGCCTGGGCAACATAGCAAGACCTTGTCTCTACAAAAGAAGAAAGTTAGCCAGACATGGTGGCACACACCTGTAGTCCCAGGGACTCAGGGGGTTAAGGAAGGAAGATCACTTGTGTCCATGAGTTCGAGGCTGCAGTGAGCTATGATTATACCACCGCGGTCCAGCCTGGGCAACAGAGCAAGACGGTCTCTATTTTAAAAAAATAAATAAATAAAAAGTGACACAATCATTTTTTTAAAAAGCACTGCAAAATAAATATATTCATCTAAATGCCTTTTATCACACCTCTTCATAGGTCTCCGTTTTTGTACTGTGACTGGCTTAAGGTCTGAAAGGACCACCAGCAAGATGTTACCTTTGAACTGGAGCCGTAACTGTGCCTGGAATGGAAACTCCCAGGAAACTTAAAGCAGCTTTACAAGGCACAGACTGGATTCCAACACTTTCAACAACAGGCAGAATTGCCAAGAAACCTCTTACAGAAAAGAAAGGGGCAAAAACCTCCATCAGTTTTTAAATAAAACATAGTAGATACAAACTTGAATAGTTAACCTGGCCTCTTAAGGCAAAAATTCAAGGACTATATCTTTAGGAAAGTTCTTTTCTTTCTATCAGTCTTTCTTCTTGTCAGCACCACCCTCATGAACAAACAGATAAGTTTAGCCAATCAAAGGAAAAATTAAACCAAAGGGGAGGACTCTGTAGTTTAATCCACACATTTTTTTTTTTGAGACGGAGTCTTGCTCTGTCGCCCAGACTGGGGTGCAGTGGTGCGATCTCGGCTCACTGCAAGCTCCGCCTCCCAGGTTCATGCCATTCTCCTGCCTCAGCCTCCTGAGCAGCTGGGACTACAGGCACCTGCCACCATGCCAGGCTAATTTTTTGTCTTTTCAGTAGAGATGGGGTTTCACCATGTTAGCCAGGATGGTCTTGATCTCCTGACCTCATAATCCACCCGCCTCGGCCTCCCAAAGTGCTGGGATTACAGGCGTGAGCCACCGTGCCTGGCCAATCCACACATCTTTGCAGATGTATATTATTTTGGTCTCTTGGAAATCTTTCTGATATTCAGATAAAAGAAGAAAACACTGGCCAGGTGCAGTGGCTCACACCTGTAAGCCGAGCACTTTGGGAGGTAGGAGGACCACTCGAGTTCAGCAGTTTGAGACCAGCCTGGGCAACACACAGCGATACCCCATCACCAAAAAAAAAATGCCGGTCGTGGTGGTGCGTGCCTGTAGTCCCAACTACTCGGGAGGCTGAGGTGGGAAGATCGCTTGAGCCAGGGAGGTTGAGGCTGCAGTGAGCCTTGTTCAAGCCACAACACTCCAGCCTGGGCGACAGAGTGAAACTGTCTCAAAAAAAAAAAGAAGAAAACACTGATCAATGTATTTTAAGTCAAGCTATTTACTAGGAACAGCAGCAAAGGCTTCATGGAGGTTTTAGGCTCTCATCTGAAAACAAAGAATGTTCACAGCTCTATTTTATATGGACTGAAAGGAGAACAGGCAGAGCATCTTCCTCTGATCTGTGCACTGGCATTATCTTCCACTGGGTCCTACCAGCTGCACAGCCACAGCAGACACAGCGACACCTGCAACCACGGCCAGAACACGCAAACTTCCAAGCACCTCCTGAAACTCTGCTGCCAGAACTGGGGTCCTACCTCATCTCTCAAGACATGGCCTTCCCCGGGAAGATCCTTATCATCCTCAAAAGCTTTTGTTTGCTTTAAACACAGAGCACGGGCCTAGAGGTTTATTCCTTGGCTGCTGCTGTGAGAGCAAAACTGAGTGTCCAGGTGAGTGGCTCGAGGCAGCCACTCCTCTTTCTGCAATGTATTTTTGTCTATAAAATGCGAGAATCGATGTGATTATTTTTTCCTAAAAAACCCGGGTTTAATCTTATGAGATTCTACTCACAGTGGATTCTGGGATGTCCTAATCCCACCTGCTGTTTAACAGGGGTGGCCGGGCACGGTGGCTCACACCTGTAATCCCAGCACTTTGGGAGGCCGAGGCGGGCAGATCAAGAGGTCAGAAGATCGAGACCATCCTGGCTAACACGGTGAAACCCCGTCTCTACTAAAATACAAAAAATTAGCCGGGCGTGGTGGCGGGCGCCTGTAATCCCAGCTACTCGGGAGGCTGAGGCAGGAGAATGGCGTAAACCTGGGAGGCGGAGCTTGCAGTGAGCTGAGATCGCGCCACTGCACTCCCGCCTGGGCAGAGCGAGACTCCGTCTCAAAAAAAAAAAAATTATTCCGCAGCTCTCCTAGACTAAGAGCTTTTTTATGGCAAACATTATCACTTACAAGGAGCATTCCAACCTTCATGCTCCCTAATTGAGAGCTTTTTAGCAACATGCCACTTTCATTTGGAACAATCTTGTGACTTGAACTGATTTTTTTGATCTTTTTCTCTACTCACCAGGAGAAAAACAATGCAACTGCCTATCACCTATGTCACCACTACAGGGAATTTTATTCTTTTTTTTTTTTTTTTTTTTTTTGAGACGGAGTCTTGCTCTTTCACCCAGGCTGGAGTGCAGTGGCGCGATCTCGGCTCACTGCAGGCTCCGCCCCCCGGGGTTCACGCCATTCTCCTGCCTCAGCCTCCAGCGTAGCTGGGACTACAGGCGCCCGCCACCTCGCCCGGCTAATTTTTTTTTGTATTTTCAGTAGAGACGGGGTTTCACCGTGTTAGCCAGGATGGTCTCGATCTCCTGACCTCGTGATCCGCCCGCCTCAGCCTCCCAGAGTGCTGGGATTACAGGCATGAGCCACCGCGCCCGGCCCAGGGAATTTTATTCTGTAACCTCAAGTCATCTAATTCTTTTATTGTTCCAAAGAGGCCAGCTGATCTTGAAAATGCAGTATTCATAAACCTAGCTAGTCAGTTAAACTGCCTTGTAACCATGTGGATACCTAAGCAAAACTCTTTTTAGTACAGTTCTGGCTACAGAACTGAGGCATTTAAAATGCATGCACACCCCTCTCCTCTTGCTGCCACTGGCTTCATATTTTAAGTGAGGAAAACAATAGTGTGCCAGGAAGCCCCTGAGTTTACCTACTGCCTACAGTCTCCCTCACGGTGGCTGCTAGTGACGCCCTGTCAGACTGTGGGATGCTTGACACAAAGACATGATCAACTCCAACTCTTCTAAGTTAGAATCGCAACCACATACAGTTAGATGTTGAAGAGGAAGCCAGCGACAGAGGAGGCCAGCAGCCTAACACTGATGAAAATGACGAAGACCCTGGTATTCATGAAAGATGCTTACAGAAGAAGAAATCACATTAACATTTACCCACTACCATGACCTCTTGCTGGATTTGGCAAAAAAAGACAAAGAAAAAGAAAAAAAAAGTGCCCACTGCCTCAAAGAAAACTTTAAGTACAATTTTGAGACTCACTGTAGTAACCACTATTAACAGTAAACGAGGAACAAGGAACAAGAAAGACACGCTATTTTGCCTCTTGTCTACAAGATACCAGCACCTGAAACTTAAGAAAGGGGATGAGGAAAAAACGCAGGGAGGCTGCATTGTGCTGAAACTTGCAAAAGTATCACTTCTAGGAAGAACCGTCTGCGGTTCCGTTTGCTTCGTATTGCCACATGGGGGATGGGAAATACCTCTTTGGTTAACATCGGCATCACACATGTAAAACAAAATCTTAATATACAATCCACACCCAACTTACAAGCCATTTAAAAGTGTTCTTAAGCGGCAAAAACTGACTTTAAATGGCTCTGATGTTTCTGAAGGCTCTACTGTAACACTTCCATCACAAAGGGGCGAGCCGGATCACACACACTCCTCTAACCCTCGGCCTCTGTTGCAACATCCTGATCGCCCAATCAAGAAATTACAAACAAACAACTCTGCTCTTTGGTTCAAATGTAAATGTGTCTCTTCACCAGCATCGCTAAGGAAGCCTTCTAGCCGGTGAGGACAAGACACGCTCATTTGAAAAGTTAAGAGTCTTACGAGGGGTGCCTGGGGGTCCAGCCTCCCGCCCCGGGAACCGGCGTCACCGCAGCCCAGCCGGGTCCACGTCAGTCCCTCGAGTCCCACGGCGGCCCGCGCCGCGTCCGGCCTTCCGCTCTGGCCCGGGGGCCCGGACGTCTGTCCCCTCGACCGGCCCCGGCGGGACCCGAGATGCACCGCCCGCTCGGGGCTGGGCCCAGCCGCCTCCTCTCCTCCGCGCCCCGACCTCCACGGCCTGGCTCCGCCGGCCGGCCTCCGCCTTCCTCCTCCCGCGCTCGCCCCCTCACCCGCGCTCGCCCCCTCACCCGCGCGGCTGAGACCGATCCCTCAGGAGCCGCGGGCGAAAGCCCACCCGACGCTGGCGACGAGCACAGACACCTCAGCCGCCGCAGCCATCTTGGCACATCCGGCTCGGGTCTCCGCGGCCGCCGCGCCGCCGACGTGTCCGGCTTACGACATCAGCGCGCGCCCCGCCCCTGGCCCCGCCCCTCGGCTCGTCGGCCCAGACGCGTTCTCTTTCAGCCCTTCACAGCCCATCCCTCGGCCCCGCCCCTCGCCGGCGTCCGTCCTCCCCGCCTCATCCCTCTGTCCCGCCCCCTCTGCCCCCGCCCCTCGCCGGCGTCCGTTCTTCCCCGCCTCATTCTTTCGTCCCGCCCCCCGCCCGTCTTCCACGCCTTATCCTGTAGTTCCCGCTCCCCTTGGCCCCGCCCCTCTTCCGTCGTTCCTCGCCTCATTCTTTCGTCCCGCCCCCTTAGCCCCGCCCGTCGTCCGTCTTTCTCCGCCTCATCCTGTCGTTCCCGCCCCTTTGGCCCCGCCCCTCGGCCGTCCTTCCCCGCCCGTGGCCCCGCCCCCCTCCGGCGTCCGTCTGCCGCCTCACCGCTTGGCCCCGCCCCTCGCCACCTGCCCGGCCAGGCGCGCCGGGGCCGTCCCAGTACGTCGCCCTGTTTACGCTGGCTCTTTCTCCCAGTCTTTTTTCGTTTTAAGATGTGAGAAGAGATGGGATTCTTCAATCAAGGCCACAAGCGGGAAATCAGTCTGCAGGACCGATGCCAGCAGGCTCACGCACCGAGAACGGCTACTCCGCCCAGCTGAGAAGCGCGGGGCCCTGACGCGGGCGCGCTCCTCGCATTCTTCCGTTGGGCTGGGAGGCTGGAGGGCAGGCGGCGGCGGCCGCGCATGCGCCGGGAGCGGCCGGAGCTGCGGGACGCGGAGGGCCGACTGCGCCTGCGCGCTGGTTGCCTGGTTACGGCGTGGCCGCGGGCACCGAGCGGCGCCGGAAGTTGGTCGATGGCTGCCGCCAGTCCCTGGCCAGCGTCCTGGGGTTTCCCCGACGCATCCTCTACTGTCCCTTCGCTCTGCACAGAGGCCCGGGCAGGGAGGGGCGGCCCGGCCACCGCGCGGAGCCGGGTGTCCGCCGACTCGCAAGGGGGACGCGCGGGCTCCTCGTCCCCAAGCTCCGCCCTGCGCCTTTGCTGCGCCGGGCCCTCCCAGGCCCACCCTGGCCCCAGCCCTGCTGTCCTCCCGGGGAGGTGCGGCCTACTCGGTTCGTTCCCCCGGCCGCCAGCCCCACAGGGGCGCTGGGGTCCCAGCCTTGGCTGAGTGCACGTCGGTGGCGAGTGGGCCCGGGCGCTCGGGCGGCCAGAGCGACCCAGCGGAGGGGTGAGGCGGGTAGGCGCTCCTGTGCCTGCCACGGCCAGGCCAGGCAGCATCCACGCCCTCCCGCGGAAGATCGCAGGGAACAGGTGGGCACTATCCTCTGTGCCCTCATTTTTCGGAGGAGCCGAGGGAGGCTGAGCGGTTGAGGAAGCGGCCAGCCATGCCGGGCCCACTCACCTGCACACCTGCCTGGCAAGGGCAGGGAAGAGCCGCGGCCTTCCTCTGCTGCTCCTTCCAGAGGGCAGGCGCCGTGGTGGGGGTGCCCGCCCGATGGCATCGCGGGAGGCTGAGCTCCCAGCAGCGGCTGAGGTCCTCCCTGGGTGGGAGCCACCCTTGTCCCCAGCTGGGCCGGCGGCTGGTGAGGGAGGGGGTGATATCCGTGCCACGCCAGCAGGGCCGCAGGCGGTGCAGGGAGAGCTTCAGTCCGGCTGACGTGGCACCAGGGCCAATCTGCTCAGCTAACATTTGCCTTTCAGGAGTCAGATTCCTGACCTGTTTGAACAGAGTTAGGGAGCACGTGGTAGGGCCCAGCCCCAGCCCCGCTGCCCCCATCTGCTTCTTCCCAGTGGTCGAGGCGCTCTGCACCCTCCGCGGAAGGAGGTGTCATTGTTTGCCCTTTCCAAAGAGGGGGATGCAGAGGTGGATGCTGCCTCTCAGGCGTGGGGCTCGCCTTTTGCCGCTCGCGAGTTCAAAGAACCCAAGAGCCAGGAGCCCAGGGCTCGACCCTCTAGGGTCCTCCGAAACCCTGTGGTCCCACCGGGGTGGGCACTAAGCTATGGGAGAGACCATAGCTGCAGAAACCAACCCTGCCCTAGGCATAAAATGCAAGGTCTCTGGACCTCAGGGCAGGGATGTTAGACAGCGGCTTCTGTTGGCTCCTAGGGGTGTGAATCACCACATCACCTGCAGGGGGCGCGGCTGTCTTTCTTCCCCCTCTTCTCCCTAATCCTGAGTGCACGGAGACAGCTCTCAGCAGTTTGTAGCCTGATGTGGAGTGGAGGGTTCCTGCACCCTACACCCGAGCCCATCCAGCCTCTGGGCCATAGACCCTTCCGTTGAAGGCCCAGCCTGCCCCTGAGACGCTGTGTGCCCTTTTTCAACTTCCTTAGTCTCTGAGCATCAGGTCTTCATCTCTAAGATAGAGCAAGATGAGCACCTAAACGTTTCAGGGCTGAAATGGGGTTGCCAGGACAACAAGCATGGCAGGGGCGAATGGGGACATCAGGTGACTGACTGCGAGCCAGCAGAGGCCTCCACCCAGTGCTGGGAGGTGTCCCGCCGGTGGTGGCCATCACTATTCCTGGTGGGGCTTTGCTGCTTTTGCCTGCAGCATCCGCTGGTTTCTCCATTCTCCAAGTCTCTGCCCCTGCTCACACCTGGAGGCTGGACACAAGTGTCACCACTTCCCTGAACCCCCCTAGGTGGGCTGGAATCAGCATCTGGTGCAAAGCTCTGTGACCACTGCTGTACCACATTATGCAGAGCACACAGGACAGGCTGGTGCACCTCCAGGCTGTGCCAGGAAACCCGCTGCCTTTGCGTCACCACAGCCTTGGTCACAGCGTGACCTTGGTGCCTCCGACGGGTCAGCTCCTCCCATTAGCCATGCTGTCCAGCACGGGGGCCGCTGGTGCTTGCTGTGAGACTGAGCTGGGCTCTGAGTGTAAACTACATGGTAGGTTGTGAAGGATGCAAATATCGAATCAATCATTTTTTATTGCATATTAAAATGACAATATCTTGGATGTATCAGATTAAACAAAATACTATTTAATTTTATTTCACCTGTTTCTTTTGTTTTTGACATAGCTGCTGGGAAATGTAAAACTCCACATGGGGCTGGTGTTACATTTCCACTGGACAGTGTTGGTCTAGAAGGCAGGCACTCAGCACCCCTAGCCTGTGCTTATAGCCTCCTATGATAGGGGCCTGAAATGCCAGAGGCTGATGGGTGGACCTGGCTCTTTGCTGACAACTGGCGGGCCAGTGGCGGTCCTCCAGGGAGCCCCCAGCAGAGCAGCAGTCTCAGTGAACGCAGGACGGCCCCTCACTGTGAGCTTCTGCTCCTCTTTCCTACCTGGTGTAAAATAGCAGTGGCGAGTATGTCTGGGTGCTTGTGGAGGTTTACTGGGCAGGCCTGCTCCCTGCCGGACACTGTCCTCAGCCCCTGACACAGACCCTTAGTCCTGGACGCTGAAGCTGGAGGCTTGGCCTGGAGAGAGGAAGGGGCAGTCTCTGTGAGACGGTTAGCTGGGTGGTCCAGGCAAAAAAACATATGAAGGCCTCCAAGGTGGAGAGCACTGACACGGAGCTCTTCCTGGAGGAGGAGGGAATAGGGCTGGGAAGCTGGAATCAGGGGAGAGGAAGCAGATCTGGAGGCAGGGTCCGTAGAGTTTGTTCTGTGGCGTTTGTTCATCAGGCCCCTGCAGGGGTTCCCTGTCAGCATGCCACCAGGCTGGCCAGAGGGTGGGCCAGGCTTCCTCTTCTTACCCTCATAGAGGAGAGGAAGTCACCTCTGTGAGGGGAAGGCCAGACCCCCAGGGCCATGGTGGGCAGTGTGGAGGGAGCTTCAGTCCCACTCACTTCCATGCACAAGGCCTGCCAAGCACACAGCATAGGGTCCGCAAACATGCTCACCACGCTGCCACCCCCTTCCCGTGTTCTACTCACCTCTGAGCCCCACCCTAACCTGGAGTGCTCGCCCGGTGTGCTCGCCAGGGGTGTGCAGCGAGACAGCACTGTCCACTTTCTAGGCCTTCCCAGGGCTGACATGAGGCTGAAGGTGCATCCCCGCCCTGGCACATGTGCCCTTGCTCTCGGCTGCTGGGGAATGGGTCCCACAGCGCCTCCTCCCAGCACAGGCAAAGGCATCTCCTTTTGGGCGCCCACCTGGCTAGCAGAGCACAGGTAAGATGGCTCCAGCAATGGTGGGCTAACTACCGTGTGTCCAGCTGTACTGCAAGCTTCCAGAAGTCAGAGACCCTCAGCCACTACCCAGGTGTTCAGCCTTGGGCAAGCTACCTGGCCTTTCCAAGCCTCTGCCTCCTCCCCTGTAAAAGAAGGTGACAGCCTTGCCCTTTCCCGGCCTCCTGCAAGGACTTCCTGGACCTGACCTCACAGGGTGGCAAGCGTATCCTCCACACCAGGCCTCCCCGGAGGCACAGGGCACATTGACGGCATTGCCAGCAGCCTCGTTACTGCAGGAGCGTCATGCTCCTCATCTCCAGCATCTTCAAGCATGTTGGGCACATAGCAGGTCTCAGAGAACATTTTTCTGGAATCATTGAGCCAAGTACTTACCATGTAAGGTGCTAAAAAGCACTAGGAATGAAGCAGAAAGCTCAAGGCTGATGTCGATGTCACAGTAACCTGGGACCGCAGGCCCCCAGGGCCACAGGAGGAACTGCTGGCTGTCCTTGAGCTGAGGCAGGGTCTTGGTAAGCTCACGAGTCCTCTATCCCCAAACCATGCACAGATGTCTGCTGAGTCCCTGCTGTACCCCAGGCACTGCTAGGAGCTGGGCTGTGGCCGTGAGACAGACAAGCCCAGACTCTGCCTCCGGGGAACATGGATGCTGGCTGGCCACAGAGGTGCCCATACAGAGGGCACCATGCAGTGTCTGCTGGGGACAGGCAGGAGGAGAAGGAGCATTTCTGGCTGAAGTGAACAGTCCACATGAGGCTTCTGCGGGGTGAGCGGCCAGTGGGCGTAGGCTAGTGTGGACTCTGTAGGCTTGCTAAGAGACCCGCAGGTGGTGTCTGGAAGTATAGGAAGCTTCCAGAGGCTTTTCAGCCAGGAGCGATGCAACCAGTTTGGGCCCCAAAGGCTCTCCAGGTTAGGGTTCGAGCTAGGGGCTAGGGAGAGCCAGGGCCCAGGAGGCAGCCTTGGGTGGCCTAGGAGAAAGAGGCGCTGAACCCAGGAGAGTCCCCAAGAACCCGGGAGAGTCCCCGAGGGCACAACCCCAGCACAGCACGGGGTTCACACACAGCAGGCAGGAGACAGTCCTGAGCATTGAGTGATGATTTAAGTGGTGGACATGGACTTGGTGGCCTGGGGACTGTAGATAGGGAAGAGAAAAGGGCCCGGGTGGAGCTGGGAAGAGCTCCAGTATTCGATGCCAGGCCAGTCGTGGCATTAACTCCTGGCAAAGTATCCGATGCCAGGCTGGCCATGGTATTGACTCCTGGCAAAGTGGCCCAACAACCCCCTTCTCCCCTCTGAGCAGCCGTCTCCCTGTCTGAAAAGTCACCAGGCTGGATGGCATCAACTCTACAGGCCTTCCTGCTCCTCTGAGGGCAGGTGACTCCTCGTGGTTTGACACGGACCGGGAATCACATAGCCCTGGCTCAGTGAATGGGCGAACTTGGCTAAGTCGCCTAACCTCTTTGAGCCCCAGCTTCCTCATGTGTAAAACAGGATAATAGCAGTGTCGCGGGGGATGGCCCTGGGCGTGGGGTGAGGGCCATTTCTGCCCTGTGGTCACTCGGGAGGACCTGTGGGGCGCTGGCAGAGCAGTGCCACCAGGGGGAGGCAGAGAGCCGCCTCTGAGTCGGCCAAAGTAACAGGTGCACGCTTGCCAGGTGAGGTTGCTCCCATCTGTCGTCTCAGCATTTTGGGAGGCCAAAGTGGGAGGATCACTTGAACCTAGGGGTTTGAGACCAGCCTGGGCAACATAGCAAGATTCCATCTCCACAAAAAGAAAAAAAAGTAAAGTTATACACTTTTCTTTTTTTTTTTTGAGACCGAGTCTCACTGTATCCCCCAGGCTGGAGTGCAGTGGTGCAATCTCAGCTCACTGCAACCTCCTCCTTCCGAATTCAAGCAATTCTCCTGCCTCAGCCCCCCCAAGTAGCTGAGATTCTAGGTGCCCACCATGGTGCCCAGCTAATTTTTGTATTTTTAGTGGAGAGGGGGGTTTCACCAGTTGACCAGGCTGGTGTGGAACTCCTGACCACAGGTGATCCTCTCGCCTCGGCCTCCCGAAGTGCTGGGATGACAGGTGTGAGCCACCACGCCTGGCCGTAGTTATAACTTTTCTAAGGTTCATTTTATTAAATGGAAAAATGCCAAACAGAACGACAAAGGCTGTGGTAGAATGTGCACGTTTGTGTGGACCCAGGGCACATTTTCACCAGAAAATCCCGTGCGATAGAGTGGAAGATATACCAAAAGCCACAGCAAATATCACGCGTGACTCCGCAGAAAATTATAGATTCCTAACAAACACTGAGAGTGTGTCCTGTGCTGTAAGGTCCAGGGATGGGCCACAAGTTCAAGGTTGTGTGAAGAACAACGGAAACCCACCTCTGAGGCCCTGGGCACCTGGCACCTGTCGTGTTGGGCATGAATAAAGCTTCGCAGCTCAGTCCTGCAATCTCCATGAGCCTAGACTTGTCCATCTTAAAATGTAGACGGTTAGGACACCTGCTGAAGGGGCCGCCAGGCTTAACTGTGCCAACACGGCATGCAGGTGGAGAACAAAGAATGCGATTGAAAACCTCCTAACGATAACAAGAGCTGTTCCCTTTCTGAGCCCTCACCCCATGCCCAGCGTGCACCAGCAGCTCACCATCGCAGGCCCAGGGCCAGCACCCAGGTCCCCACTTGACCCACGAGGACACTGAGGTACAGCAACAGCCAGGACAGCAGCCGCCAGGTGGAAAGCAAAGACACAAAGCAGCCAGATCGGGAGTCACGTCGGGGCAGGCGACTGAGGCGCCACCCAGCCACCTTCAAGATGCAGATTGAAGAACAGCCTTTCCCAAAGCTCGCTCACTCACTGACCCTGCGTCTTCGTCTGCAAAGCCTGAGTAACGTGGGAGGCCCTGCAACGCCCCCTCTGAGAGACCTCCACTAACGCCAGCACTTTTTTTTTTTTTTTTTTTTTTTTTTTTTTTTTTTGTGAGAGTGTCTTGCTCTGTCGCCCAGGCTGGAGTGCAGAGGCATGATCTCTGCTCACTGCAAGCTCCGCCTCCCAGGTTCACGCCATTCTCCTGCCTCAGCCTCCCAAGTAGCTAGGACTACAGGCGCCTGCCACCACGCCCGGCTAATTTTTTGTATTTTTTAGTAGAGACGGGGTTTCACCGTGTTAGCCAGGATGGTCTCAATCTCCTGACCTTGTGATCCACCCGCCTCAGCCTCCCAAAGTGCTGGGATTACAGGCGTGAGCCACCACGCCTGGCCAACGCCAGCACTTTCAACGCACCGGGACCAAGCTGGACCCGGTTTTGTTTTGAAACACTTTTACTTTTGCAGACGAATACGTCGGTGTCCCACCAGGAACCGCTGCTGGTGGATGCTCACCACGGGAAACAGCCGCGTGACGCTCCCCCTTGTCTGCCTCTGCCCAGTGCTGCCCCCTCCAGCAGAGCTCCTCATGTGTGGTTCGTGGATTTGGGTCCACGATGAGATAAGGAGCCACACAGAACGAAATCAGTCCACCGCTGAGCACGCAGTTGAGCCCCACGGACACCCTTTGCAAGTGAGACTTTTGGGATGAAGGCAGCACAGGCCTGTCGATCCCTGGAGCAGCCCGGGGGCTACGGCACCGTGCTTCCCTCTTGGATGGAGGCAGCCCTGCCTGCCGGGGGCCTGATTTGTGGGCCCTGATGAGTTGGTGCCTCCGGGCTCTTGGGACCCTCCTTTGCTCTATCCAGAGGGACGCAGCGCCACACTCGGGGTTCACGCCGGCAGCGGCGTGGAGTGAGTCACCAGGCTGAAGATACACTTGGTGTTTTCCTGCGCTGGGTGGAACTGTCTGGAGCCCCCTTGGCATCCTGCTGAAGAGTCCGAATCTGGACGTGAGCCTCCTGGAGATACTGAACACCTTTTAAAGTGTGGCCAGGCCCAATCTAGGGTGCTGTGAGTGTACTGTACATCCTGGGTTTCAAAGACACAGTACCAAAAACAAACAAACAAAAAGAATATAAAACATCTCATTCACGGCCGGGCGTGGTGGCTTACGCCTATAATCCCAGCACTTTGGGAGGCCGAGGTGGGCCGATCACGAGGTCAAGAGATCAAGACCAGCCTGGCCAACATGGTGAAACCCCCTCTCTACTAAAAATACAAAAATTAGCTGGGCGTGGTGGCAGGTGCCTGTAATCCCAGCTACTCGGGAGGCTGAGGCAGGAGAATCGCTTGAACCCGGGAGGCGGAAGTTGCAGTGAGCTGAGATCGCACCACTGCACTCCAGCCTGGGTGACAGAGGGAGACTCTGTCTCAAAAAACAAAAAACAACAAAAAAAAACTCATTCACTTTTTATGTTGTGTTAAAATAATATTTTTGATATATTGGATTAACTAAGCTGTAGTATTAATATACACTTTGCCTGTTTCTTTTTACCTTTTTAATGTGGCTACTGAAATATTTAAAGTTGCATATGTGGCCAGGCGCAGTGGCCCACACCTGTAATCCCAGCACTCTGGGAGGCCAAGGTGAGGAGAGGACTGCATGAGCTCAGGAGTTCGAGACCAACCTGGGCAACAAAGTGAGACCCCATCTCTGCAAAAAATAACAAAAAAATTGGGTGGGTGAGGTGGTGTGCACCTGTAATCCCAGCTGCTAGAGAGACCAAGGTGGGAGGATCACCTGGGCCCAGGAGGTTGAGGCTGCAATAAGCTATCATGGCACCACTGCACTCCAGCCTGGGTGACAGAGCAAGACCCTGTCTCAAAAACTTTTTTTAATTAAAAAAAAAAAATAACATATTGAGGTGAGACTCACAGAACCTAAAATTAACCACTTTAAAGTGTACGAGTTAGGCCAGGTGCAGTGGCTCACGCCTGTAACCTCAGCACTTTAAGAGGCCGAGGCGGGTGGATCACTTGAGATCAGGAGTTTGAAACCAGCCTGGCCAACATGGTGAAACCCAATCTCTACTAAAAATACAAAAAAATTAGCCGGGTGTGGTGGTAGGGGCCTGTAATCCCAGTTACTTTGGAGGCTGAGGCAGGAGAATCACTTGAACACAGAGGCGGAGGTTGCAGTGAGCCAAGATCACGCCACCACATTCCAGCCTGGGTGACAGAGCGAGACTCCGTCTCAAAAAAAAAAAAAAAAAGTGTCCGCGTTATTGGCATTTAGTGCACTCGAAGGGCTGTGCACGCACCACCTCTCCCTGGGCCCAGAACATTTGCGTCACTCCAAAGTAAAACCCCGGGCCGTCTTCATCCACGTCCCTACAAAGGACATGAACTCATCATTTTTTATGGCTGCATAGTATTCCATGGTATATATGTGCCACATTTTCTTAATCTAGTCTATCATTGTTGGACATTTGGGTTGGTTCCAAGTCTTTGCTATTGTGAACAGTGCCACAATAAACTAAAACTTAAAGTATAAAAACAAAACAAAACAAAAAAAAACCCCGGGCCGTTTAGCAGCCACTCCCCTTTCCTCCTCCCCCCGGCTCTGGGAACCATCAATCTACTTTCTGTCTCCATGGGTTCGGTGACCACAGGCACCCCATAGAAATGGAGTCACTGCACCTGCGGCCCTTTGCGGCCGGCACCCTTCACTGAGCACCGTGCTTCCAAGGCTTGTCCGCATGGTGGGTGTCAGCGCCTCCTTTTCTACGGTGGAATCATATTCCCTCGTGCGCATTCGTCAGGGTTCTTCCGGCAAGCGGAGCCCATAAGACGTGCCACTGGAGAGGTTATTGCAGGGAATTGGCCACACGACCTCGAGGCCTGCAGTTCCCAGGGTCTGCAGTTGCAGGCAGGAGGCCTGATGGCGTTGCGAGTCCGAAGGCCGGTGGGCTCCAGGCCCAGGAAGAGCCCACGTTTTCAGTCCAAGTCTGAAGGCAGGAAAAGACCAATGTCCAGTGCAAGCGGTTGGGTGGGAGGACCCCTGGCACTCGGCCTATTGTTCTCCCCAGGCCTCAGCGGACCGCACGGGGCCCACCCACACTGGGGAGGGCGGACTGCCTTACCCGGGCTGTGGATGCAAATGCGAACCTCATCCAGAACACCTCAGAGACACACTCCGTTTGGCGAAATGGCCCGGCCAAGCTGACACTAAGGTTCACCGTCACAGCAGACGGTTTTGCTGACCCGTCGTTGGCAGTGGACGCTCAGGCTGTCTGTGGCTGTACTGAGTGATGCCGGGACAGCAAGTGGCCACGTGCGTTTGTTTGAGTCCCTGTTTTCACTTCTTTCGGACAGACCCCCAGGAGTGGAATTTCAGGGTGCTGGGAGTTTTATGGGCAGGACTCCGGCTGGGTCACCCCCTTTGAAGACAAGAGTCAGGCCACTCACTGCAGTTCCACGGTGGCCCCTCCTGGTCCTGGTGCCCAGCGCTGGCTGGCAGACGCAGCCCCCAGCCATAGTAGAGGCCTCGGGCTCACATCCCTCCTTGGAGAGACTGGGCCCAGGGCAGGCAGTGCTTTGCAATCCAAAGAGGGATCTCAGACTCCCCACCGCTCTGGTTTGAAGCCACTGGCCTGCCCTGAAGGTCTGGGGCTGGGCAGAGGCCCAGGCAGTGGGGAGAGAAGGGGCCCACCCTTGTGTGAGGCTGGCAGCTCTATTCAGGGGCAGGGCCCCAGGACCAGGCCGCCTCTGCCTCGCTCAGCCAGTTCCTTAGGATCACACAACTTTCCAGACTCTGCCACGACCCATGCTGCCCTGCTCATAGGCTTCGACAGCTCCCTTTGCCCTCCTATAGGGGCCAGAGTCCTCCCTGTGGTCTCCAGCCCGTAGAGGGGTCATGCCACTGCCTCAAGGCCCTCCCTATGCAGCCCCCTGCCTGCTGCAGAGCTCCCTGAGGGGCTGTCCCCAGGATGGCTGGGTGGGACCTTCATCCCTCCGAGGCTGAGAGGAGAAGAGCCCCGAGCTGCCAGGAGGGCCAGACTCACGCATGGTGTCCTGGGAGCCGTGTCACCCCAGGCACGAGCCCCACCTCCCATAGGGCTGCAACCCCCTTGCTGCTGTGTGTCCATCTCCCTACAAAGGGCCTGGACCAGGCAGGCTGCAGACACCATGGAGTCCCTGGAGGCAGCGTGGTCCCCACACCCCCGTGGGCCAGGACTAGGCAGCCTCACCGTCACTCTCCCAGCAGAAGGGGCCCTCGACTCCTGGCTCCCTCAGAGCATAGCAGCCCTGCCTCCCTCCCAGAAAGGGAGCCAAAGGCCAGAGCAGAGGGGAGTGGAAGCCAGATCACCATCAGTATCATTTTTATTGCAAATCAGTTAACAAAAAAGATGAAAAAAATACATCATCTACAGTTCCTCATGTAGATCACTTTTAAAGTCTTTTTCTGTAAACTACACTCTATTTTATAAAACACAGTAAAAATCAACATCTTGGGACGCATCTGGTCATGCCCCCTGGGGATGGCACCACGCGGCCCCCGTAGAGCCGGGGGAGGCTGCCCTGAGGAGTGCAGGCGGCACGGCAGCGGAGCGTCCCCAGTGCATGGGCGGCTAAGGCTCCCCGAGCTGAGCCAAGTCTGACGTCCCTCACTGGCATGACACACAACAGACTCATTCATTAAGATTTTTTAAACAAAATCCACCTTTAAAAACATATTTACAGACATTTTTTCTGCCATAGGCTATACTTGGTATTGCAAAAATCTGCTCCTCCCAAACTAGGAGGGGTGGCCCAAGGGCAGCCCCCGCCTCCCTCCAGCCCCTGCCCGACCGCATGCCCCCTGCCAGGGCTGCGGGGACAGGACCAAAGGACGCAGCCCACGGCGTTGCACAGCTCAATGTGCCCGGCTCTGGCAAGTCTCCTACAAAACACGGGAGCCCACGGGGGGTCGGGTCCCGCGAGCTGGGGCCCAGGCTGTGTTGCTGGAGCATCTTCTTCGGAACCTGGGGGACACTGTGCAGGCTGAGGTGCTGGGGCCGCCACCGGGGTCAGCCCAGGCAGTGTCTTTCCCCAGAAAAGGGTAGGATGCCTCCGTGTGTGACCCAGGCAAGTGCCACAGTCCACACATCTCATGTTTGACATGCATGATGCCTACATTTCAAGAACGGGCAGGGGGCCGGGGTGGTTCTGGAGGGACCAAGAACTTGTATAACCAACGAACAACTACATAATACTGAACCTGAAACAAAGATTCATGATTGGTACCATGGGTGCACTCTTGGCATACACACTCCGAGAACACATTTTCACAAGCATGCTTGCAAGAAACCATCTAAAACACATGGCAACATCTAACCCATATGCTTTCACTTGTTTCCTATTTCAGATGCAAATTAATCCGCGTGCGGAAGGTGAGCCAGCTTTGCCTCCGTTTGCCTCTGGATGCAGCTTCTCCTAACAGGCAGGTGATGCTGGTGGAGCGGCCGGGCTGGCTTGGGGTTGGGTGGGCGTCGGGGAAAGGGCGCGGCCTGGACGCCCCAGGAGCTTTTTGGACTATGCTCGTTCAACTTCCCTTCTCCAACATCATTTCTTTTTGGATTTTGAAAAAAGGAATCAATAAATAAATGGCATTTATAAATCATGAATCTTTGTTTATATTTTATAAACACAGAAGAATCTTTTCATCCTACGTAGGAAAACCCTGGCTCTCAGAACTTGCTTGTTTTCTCAGAATAGATAAAAGTTTCTACCTGGGGCCAGATAAAACAGTACATATAAATAAAAAGGCAGTGTTTCTGTGTAAAATAAAAGTACATAAATAAATACTAAAAAAAATTAAAATCCTCGTTCTTATTTTGTATAAAAACATGTGTTTTAAAAAGGCTCCTCTGGTCGGCCCTGGCATCCACAGAGCGCACACAGACGCCCGAAGGCTTGGGAAAGGAAGCCGGGGTCTCGTGGGGCGCGCCGTTTACTTGAAGGCCTCCGGAATGCGGGCGATCTGGGACTGCATGCTGGTGGGAGGGCTGGAGACGCCCTCGGACCAGTCGGAGACGTTGGAATGCGGGGACGAGCTGGACCACTGGTCAGGGGACTCAGGGGACGGGGTGAGGAAGGGGTGCTCAGGCACCTGTAGCTGGTGGCTGGGGGTGTTGTCCACAGGCGAGGAGTAGCTGTGCTGCGAGGGGGGCGTCAGGAACTGGGCTGCGGTCACGGGTGGGACCAGCGAGGATGGCAGCGACGTGGGCAGGGCGGGGCTCTCCTGGGGCAGAATAGTGTGCACCGCCAGGCTGCTGGGGCCCAGTGGCTGCACGTCTGCCTGGCTCGGCTCTCCACTCAGGAAGCTCCGGCCCAGGTGGCCGCTGGCTGCTGAGCTCACGCCAAGGTGCGGCTGTGGTGGTGGTGGTGGCGGCTGCAGGCTTTGCTGCTGCTGGATGTTTGCTGGCTGCAGGTTCTGCTGCTGCATCTGTAAGTTTTGTGGCTGCACCTGCTGGGTCTGCACCAGGTGAGGCTGGGTGGCCAGCCGGGTGCTGGGCAGGCCCTGGTAGCTCATCATCTGGGACAGGGCGCTGGCAGCAAGGCTACTGTGCAGCGGGCCTACCATGCCATGCTGCAGGGAGGGGGCCTGTGTGCTCAGGGGGCCTGGTGCCACACTCCCCCGCAGAGGGTTGTATTGGTTCGGCACCATGCCGCTCTGCAGCCGGGACAGCCACTCGCATTGACCATTCAAACTGGTGGACCCGCCCACAGTGAAATTCAGGGCCCCTCCGCTGCTGGAGCCCAGGACGGTGCTGGTGCCAGAGGCCACAGGCAGGTGGGAGAGACGAGGTGGGCCAGTCTCAAAGGCCAGCCGGCCGCCCCCACCCAGCGCCGCCATCTCGGGCTTGGCCGCCACGTTCAGGTGCCCGATGCCCAGGTGGGTGTCGGGCATCCCAGGCAGGTGGTTGAGGGGCACGGACGGAGACTGCTGGAACGGGGAGGGCAGCAGTGGCGGCGAGGCCACGTCTGACAGGTAGCCATGGGGTGACTCCAGGGAGTCCACGGGCGAGAGCATGCCGGAGCTGTCCAGCAGGCAGCCCTTGCCGTCCTGGGACTTCTTCCTCCGTGCCTTGAGGTCCTTGGCCTCCTTGCTTCCACAGGCCAGGCCTTTGCTGCTGGGCTTGCGGACCTTCTTGCCCTGCACGCCGGGCTTGAGGCTGCCCAGGTAGCCGTTGGGCGAGCAGAGCGGGGGCGACAGGGTGGGCGTGCCCCCCAGCGGGGCTCCGTGCAGCTGCGGGCTGCGCACCAGGTTGTACTCGTCCAGCAGCCTCACGATGTCGTGATGCATGCGCTCCTGTGCGATGTCGCGCGGCAGGCGGTCCATATGATCCGTGATGTCCCGGTTGGCAAAGTGGTCCAGCAGCACCTTGGCGGTCTCGTAGCTGCCCTCCCGGGCGGCCAGAAACAGGGGTGTCTCCTCCTGGGGGATGAGGGCGGGGGCCGGTGAGGGGGGCCAGGCCAGGCGTGGGGACCCTCCCCAAGGTTCCATCACCAGAGGAAGCAGCAGTACAACCTCCTCCGCGGGGTGGGGGCAGGCAGGCTGCTCCTCAGGACCCCACCCCAGCGTCCTGCAACCACCTAGCCTGACTCTTGTTAAATGTTAAGGCTTTGATACATCTTCTGAAACCCACCCAGAGAGGGGATCTGTGCAGTCCTCTACCCTAGATCAGCGGGGCTCCACCTCTATGGGGGGGTCACAGACCCCACTGAAAATCTAACCAACTGCAGGCCCTCTTCCCTGCCCCCAATAAGGCACAAAAGGAAATTCCTGGAGCGGTTCAGAGGCACCGGCGAGGGCACCAGGGAGGGAGCTCGTCATCTGGACGGCCATCAAGCCACCCTGGTGGCCACCAAGCTCCTTCCTGGGGTCTCCTCTGTGCGGTGGACACGTCACAGGTCTGGGTGAGGCTGCTGTGTGGGAGTGGGAAGGGGCTTCCCAGGCCTTGATGCCCTCTGGGGCCCAGTCTCTGTGGGGCCATGCTGCCACGGACTGGGGAGCGCCTGGGCCAACATGCCCCGGTGCCCAGGCCCGCTGTGTGCCCTCACCCAGGAGGGAGAGACGCCTGAGCCTGACATGCCAAGGGGGCAGCAGGAGTTGGGGGCGGGGGTGGGGGTTCTGGCGGCAGGGAGGTGGGGGTGTCTGCACCTGTGCCCTGAGCACCCAGGGGAAACCAACAGCAGCTGCAGGGCCAGGAGCTGCAGGGCCAGGATGAGGGCTGGGGGTGGCTCCCCTTGGATATAGTCCTGAGACTTCTTCCTCTGAGCCTTGAGGTCCTTGGCCTTGGTGAACACACCAAGAGGCCCCGCCCCGCAGGGAGCTGCCGCCACGCGTGTTCTGGCTCAATCTGCACCACCTGCGTCACCACATTCCCATCCCCACCCCCGCCTGGTGACAGCTGGGGACAGAAGGTGAGGTCCAGGTGACGGTGACACAGCAGTGGCAGCAGCAGCGTTCCCCACGCCAGGCTGTGTGCCCCGCCATGACTGCCGCCCAGGAGGGTAGGGCTGGGTCTGAGGGGCGAGCCGCCGTGTCCTGACAGCTGGACCTGCACTTGGAAGGGCTCCATAAACGGGGGCTGAAGGAAGGCAGGAGCACTAACGAGGTGCCCGCATCATGCGGGTGGGGCCCACATGCGGGCCCAGCGACCCTCGAGACCCTGTGGGTCAGGCCCTTGTGTCCCTGCGCCCCGTGGGTTTGGCCCTCACTTCTCTGTGGATTCAGCCCTCACGTCTCCCCTGGCATCCCAGCCTCGCGCTCACCCTGTTGTTCTGCATATCTTTGTTAGCCCCGTTCTTCAGGAGCACAACTGCGGCATCCACATTGTTCACGGCGGCGGCCCAGTGCAGGGCGGACTTGCCTGCGTGAAAGAAGCAGATGGGGTAGGTTGGAGACCAGCTGGAGGCAACCCAGTCCCACCCGTCCCTGTGGCGGTCCCGCCCCACGACAGAGCAGCCGTGCCCCCGTGGGCTCACCCAGGTCATCTACGGCGTTGACGTCGGCGTGTGAGTTGATGAGGTCCTCCAGCATGCCCTCCACGGCCAGGCGGGCAGCCAGGATCAGTGGCGTCGTGCCATCATGCATGCGGGCATCCAGGTCTGTGGCTCGGTTCCGGATCAGGATCTGGGCAACAGGGAGAGGCTCAGGCGGGTGCTGGGCAGACGTACACCGATGCCTCCTGCCCAGAACGAACGCCTGGACGGGAAGCCCCACTGTCTTCCGGACACAGACGAGACCCTCCTGAGATCGGCACGGCCGGGCAAGACGAAACGCCATGGGGCTGCCCCTGAGGAGGGGCCCGGATGGGGGCAGGGGCTGTGCTGCCCACAGACAGGCCCCTTGGTGACAGTGGGATCCATCGTGACCACGTGTGGCCTCATTTAATCCTCACTGTGGTCCTAGCTGCCATGACCACCTACAAAACAGAGAGGTCAAGTCCCTGCCCCCAACGGCGGTTACAGCTGGCACTCAGGAAGCCGGGCTCACGGCCCTACAGCCGTCTCAGAACCGCCGAGCTAGTGTCCGGCTCTGCCCAGAGAGGGGGTGGGCAGCCCTTGTAATGCAGCCGGGTCTTGGCATCTGGCAGGAGGAATGGCCCCTGCTCACTGGCGGGTGCAAAAGGCAACTTGGCCTGATTCCTGCAAAGCACCTGGGAACTTCCACATCTGTGCAAAGAAGGCAGCTGAGAGAGGCACACACCAAACCCGCACGGGGCTCCCTTCCACGCTCTTTCTGCTCACCTACATTTATTTCTGCGAGATGACAATGTGTCACCTGAGCTAAGAAATCAGGAAATGAGAAGCTCTGTGGTAACTCCCCGGGCTGTGCCCATCTGAACCTGCTTGCTCCAGGGCCGCCTGGAGCCTGGGGACTCGCAGCAGGGGTGACTGCAAAGGCAGCCCCTGCCAGGGACACTCCCTGGAGACCCAGGCATCCAAATCCCTAAATCCATTCTTGCCACGAGCTCACCGGCAAGCTGAGCCCTAGGTCTGCAGGCACCGAGCGGCAGCCTCTAAACCCTGCTTCTCACTGCCACAGGCTACGCCGGCAGCCAAGGTTGAGGGAGGGGCGGGGCTGCGAGGGGCTGCAGCAGTGGAACCTGGACCTTGAGCAAGGCCCACAACCCTGATGGAGCCTGTTTTGCTGGGGGTGGGGAGGTGCTGCCTCACTCAGCAGATCCCCCAGGCCTCCTGCCAGACCCGCCTCTGCCTGACTTCCCTGGAGAACACAGATGGGCCCGACGCCCTCCCCCTCGCACCTCGCTGACTGCGAAGGTCCCAGGTGGAGGCACCAGTTGTCCCGGACTCAGCTGTGCTCGGGGTCAGGCTCCCAGGGCCACGTAAGCCTGGCCACTGCCCCAGACCACCAGGCGGCCCTGAGGAGGGCAGGTGGGCACACAGGCAGCCACTGCCTACCTGGAAGACACCTTGTGCGTCGGCAGACACAGCCGCATGCAGCGGGGTGCGGCCCATGTTGTCCTGGATGTTGGCATCTGCGCTGGCCTCCAGCAGGCGCTTGGCGGCATCAGAGCGTGAGTAGCGGGCGGCCAGGTGCAAGGCGGTCTCGCCCGTGCGGTCTGTCTGGTTGTGCAGGCTGGCGCCCTGGTAGATGAAGTCGGAGATGACGGCCGGCGCGTCCTCCTCTTCCTCGCTGTTGCCCGTCTCCAGGCCGCCCCCGCTGCAGGAGGCGATCATGAGCGGGGTGAAGCCATCTGCAGAGGCAGAGACGGGTGCTCAGTCTGGAGGGCCGGTCCCCAGCTGCAGCCCAGGGGGAGGGGGGCAGCAGCCCCAAGCTCAAGGGGCCACGGTGTGGATGCACCACCCAGCACTTGGTGGCCCCGTGCACACAGCCACCAAGGGGCAGCTGAAGTCCGCCTGGGCTGCTCAGTGGACAGAGCCGAATCCAGCTTAAACTCCTGGCGGGCAACTGCTTCCTGACCTGCCCAAGACCTGGCACCCAAAATCCACCCAGGAAAAAGAGGACCCCAGAAGCATGCAGTTAGAAAATTAATGCTTCAGCAGGATGCGGAGGCTCACGCTGTCATCCTAGCACTGGGGGAGGCCGAGGTGGGCGGATCACCTGAGGTCAGGAGTTCGAGACCAGCCTGGCCAACATGGTGAAACCCCATCGCTGCTAAAAATACAAAAATTAGCCAGGTGTGGTGGCAGGCGCCTGTAGTCCCAGCTACTGGGGAGGCTGAGGCAGGAGAATTGCTTGAACCCGAGAGGTGGAGGTTGCAGGGAGCCGAGATCGTGCCACTGCACTCCAGCCTGGGTGACGGAGCGAGACTCCATCTCAAAAACAAAAAAAAAAGAAAAAAAAAAAGAAAAAGAAAATCAACGCTTTCCATGTCTCAAGAAGGTTTCAGAAAAGAGTAATTTACAGGGACAGAGTGGCCCTGCGGTATCACCCCAGGAAGGGGTTGGTGGAAGAACAGGAGGACTCCAGGACCCCCCCACGTCTACTCTGAATGGGAAACACCCCAAGGATGAAAGCTCTCACCCCCAATTCTAAGTTTCCAGAGTATCAACTGTACCCCAGCCTCGGGGCTTAGGGGAGAGAGGCAGGTGGGCCACGGGGCTAGGGAAGCCCTGGCTGCTGGCACCCTTACCAGGCCCGCGGACATTGACGTCCATGCAGTCGGCGTCAACCTCACCCTGGGGCGGTGTGGGGGCCATGGCAGACATGCGCAGGTCAGCGGCATCCAGGTGCTGCTGAGTCCACTGCCGGTGGTCTGTCTGGTCGTCCAGGTCAGGCAGAACCACGGGCTCCTCGAACTACATAGAGGGAGTGAGCAGAGCCTGTCAGGGCAGCCCGGCAGCAGGTGCCCGGGAGCCCAGGAGCCCGGGAGCCTCGCGACTCACCCGGAACTTCTTGGTCTCCAGGTCCTCGTCCCCCCACTCATTCTGGTTGTCGTCCATGAGGGCACCGTCTGAAGCGTTCTTCAGGGGCCTGGGGGGTGAGGGGTCGAGAAGTGAGGCTGAGCGAGCTCCCTAGGAAGCCCCCAGAGACCCCTGGCCCGGGCCTGGCGTGGGAGGTGGGCCCTGGGTCGGGAGGGGCAGACTCCCGGTGAGGATGCTCGGCCAGGTCCCACCTCCCACCGGGGACCCAGAAGCAGGGGCGGCGTCCGCTCACTTGAGGCCCACGGAGTCCTCGCCGAGGGGCTCCCGCCGCTTCTTCTTGCTGGCCTCAGACACTTTGAAGCCCTCAGGGAACCAGAGCTGGCCATGCTGCCGCCGGCGCTTGCGGGACAGCAGCACCCCGCAGCCCACGAAGAACAGAAGCACAAAGGCGGCCGCCGCCACGTACATGAAGTGCAGCTGCGCCGGCGGGGGCGGCTCCACGGTCTCACCTGCGGGCACGGGGGCCAGGGGCAGGTGCCCGGACATCAGGCAGCGGCTACGCAGCAGGCTGGTGGCCGGGGGGCGGCGGACTGGCTCCGCGTCCGGGCGCCTCCTCACCCACTCTCCTCCATCCCGCCCTCCAAAATAAGGTCATTTTCTACGCGATTAATCAGAATTGCAAACTATCGCTAAATTCTCTCCTGCACCAGCCGACTCTATCTGGAGACGGCTTTTACTTTTTTCTCCTTTAAGGAAGGAGGATTAGTCAACTTCAAATCGCTGCACTCGCACTGAGCTGTTAAGACAAAGGATTTAGAGGGATTTTCAAGATACAAACTTCAACACTTCACATGACACCGATCAATTCTTCTCTCTCTCTCTTTTTTTTTCTTTAAAAAAAGCCGTAATGATTTTGAAATAATACCCAACAAAGAAAATTCAGGAGGAAAGGGTGGGGAGAGAAGCAGGCACCCACTTTCCCGTGGCTGGACTCGTTCCCAGGTGGCTCCACCGGCAGCTGTGACCGCCGCAGGTGGGGGCGGAGTGCCATTCAGAAAATTCCAGAAAAGCCCTACCCCAACTCGGACGGCAACGCTCACACCCGTGGGTAGCAACTGGCACAAACAGCCAGCGTGTCTGGGGCACGGGGGGATGGCACCCCCTGCAGGCAGAGCCTGTTCCCGGGATGGGGCCACACTTACTCTGCACGGCCTCGATCTTGTAGGGGATGTTGAGGCTGCCCAGCGAGGCGAGCGCTCCCAGGAATGCGGCCACGTCGGTGGCACTCTGGAAGCACTGCGAGGAGGCCTGCACACACTGCCGGTTGTCAATCTCCAGGTAGACGATGGAGCTGGGCGGACAATCAGAGAGGGGCTGGGACCCGAGGCTTCCTCCTCCCCCGCCCACCGGCCAGGGATGCTGCCGCAGGACACTGAGGCCCATGACGCCACAGTCAGGACATGGTGAGGCAGCCTGGGGTGGTGGGAAGCCAGGTCTGACAGCAGCTACCCTGCAGGGGACTGGTGCCAGCCCCCCGACTCCGGCCAGTGCTGATCACGGCTCATCCCAGATACCCACCAACGCGCTCTCCCTGGCCCGCCCTGACACCCTCTCTGGCTCCTGCTGGTGCCACAGACACGTTTCCTCATCTCAGGACAGAGTATGTGCCAGGAGCCCAGTCCTCCCCCAGGAGCCATCCCCAGGCCCTGCAGGAAGCACAGGCGTGAGGTGGGGGTGGGTGCAGCGGTGGTGGGCTGTGTGGTGAGGCTGGCTGGGGGTGAGCTCTGCTCCCCAGGACTGGGTTCCCGTGAGCAGGATCCCATCCAGCCTGTGAGATGATGCTTCTGACCTCCAGGATTGCTCCAAGCCAGCAGAACTGACAGGCAAACCCACCAGGGTCAGGCACACGAAGGGCACAACCAACCTGGCTCCTGGGTCCAGCTGCCCCAGATCGAGTAGGCATGGGCGGGAGCCTTGTGGGGTGCCCCCTGCACTCAAGCTGCTCCTGCCTGTGTTCTCCCACCGTGGGACCCCCCACCCCCACCAGCTCCTCCTCCAACTGCAAGGCCCAGCAATGCCCCCTCCCAGGACCTCCACCTGCCTCCTCTCCAGCCCAAGCCAGGCAGACGCCATGACCAAGCGGCATTCTTGTCTGGGGTGGGGCTGTTCAGCCCTGTGGGAACCCCTGGAGAGCTGAGTGTTTTGTTTTTTACTTCTTTTAATACTTTTTTAAAAAAAACAGAGACAAGGTCTCCCTATGTTGCCCAGACTGGTCTCGAACTCCTGGGCTCAAGGGCTCCGCCTGCCTCAGCCTCCCAAAGTGCTGGGATTACAGGTGTGAGCCTCCTCGCCTGGCAGAGGGCTGAGTTTTAATCAGTGTAGTATCCAGTGCCTAAGGCACAGCTCAATCTCAAAATCACCTACTGGGCACAGGAGTGCCGCCTGTCCAGGGGAAGGCAGTGGCCCAGGAAAAGGGTGTGGCTGTGGGGTCAGGGCCCTGAGCTGGAATGCTGCCTCTACTCCTTGCCTGCGCAGGCCCTGAAGTCCCAGGTCCTCTCGGAACCTCCGTCTCTTTTACCATAAAGTGGGGAGAGTACTGCTTGCCATGGCGCCGGCCGTGAGGGGCAGGGAGGCCGTCGGGGAGGGCCCAGGAGAGTTGCGGGGATTGACCGTGGGCGCCGGGTCTCACTCACCCGCGGACGTCCATGGGGTCCAGCTCCCTCCGCCGCCGCCCACCCTCGCTGCCACCAGGGAGCAGCGAGGCCTTCACCTGGCCCAGCAGGGCGTCAGGTGCGGCCCAGCCCTCGGCGGCACGCTTGATGGGGTGCTTGCGCAGCTCCTCCTCGCGGCCGTAGTAGGGGAAGATCATCTGCTGGCCGTGTGCGTCACGCTTGAAGACCACGTTGGTGTGCAGCACGCGGCTGAGCTCCCGCAGGAAGTGGAAGGAGCTGTTGCGCAGCTGCTCCGGCGGCATCAGCACCACCACCACCAGCGTGCCGGCCGCCAGCCTCTCGGGTACATGCTCCGCACAGTCCAGCCCGTCCCACTCGCACTCCGCGCTGTTGCAGCCCTGGTCGCAGTGCCCGTCGCTGAAGTGGTCCTTGCAGTACTGGTCGTACAGGGGGCTGTGGGGGGCGGGACACGCTCAGGCCGCCTTCCTCGGGGGGCCTCGCACCCGCCGTCCGGTGCCTCCAGCCCACTGGCCAGCCGCGGGGGACGTCCCTGCACCCCCTGAGCAGAGCCTTAGAACTGCATGCTGGCCTCCGGGCCCAAGCCAGGCCACATCCAAGTTCAGGTCCTCCCTCAGCCCCATGAGCCCCGCAGCCTTACTTGCACTGGCCTTCCGCACGCTGGCAGTCAAAGCCGTCGAAGAGGCAGCCGGCTGAGTTGCACTGGCTGTCACAGTGGCCGTCACTGAAGTACTTCCAGCACTGCAGAGACTGCGTGCAGTTCTTCCAGGGGTCATTGAAGTTGAGGGAGCAGTCACCGCCGTCCCAGCCGCACGCGTGGTTGTTGCACTGCAGGCTGCAGACCTTGTTGCCCGCGTCCTCCTGGCACTCGGGCAGCTCGCACGCCTCCTCGATCAGCGGCGGGGGGATGTCGCGCCCGGCCCCACCCCCGAAGCTGTAGTCCAGGATGTGGCACAAGAGCCCGTTGAATTTGGCGGGGCACAGGCAACGGTAGAAGGGGCTCTCGGATGTGGGCTCACAGGTCCCCTGGTTGTAGCAGGGGTTGCCGCCCAGGCAGGGGCTGCTGGCCGGGAACTGGCATTCGGGGCCCGTGAAGGGGCCCAGGCACAGGCAGGTGGGGCTGCGCGGGCCGGAGATGCATGTGCCGCCGTTGAGGCAGCGCAGGCTGCCGCAGGTACGAGCGTCATTCTCACACGTGGCGCCCTCGAAGCCCTGCCCGAGAGGGAAGACAGGACGGTGTCGGGGTGGGCCACCCCCCGCCCCCCCGCCACCTCACACCCAGCCCTCGGCCAGCAGTGCCACCGCTCTCCTCTAACCTGGGAGGCGGCCTGCAACCTTGCCCCCAGCAGCAAAACCCTTTACACACATTCTACCAACAGAGAAAGATCGGGGGTGCCAGGGGGTCGGGAGATGGAGGAAGGGGTAAACTGGTGGAGTGCTGAGGACTTTAGGGCAGGGACTCTCTGCCGTGATCCTGCGAGGGTGGGCAGGCATGTCATACCTCAGCCCAAACCCACAACCACAAAGCCAAGGGCAAGCCCCAGGTACAGGAAGGGCTGCTGTTGGTAACAATGTATCACTGAAATCCAGAGTGAAATTGATGCAAGCTGCTAACCAGGGGAACTGCGTGCAGGGGACAGCCACCCCAGGGAGTCTACTTCCTGCTCCATTTTTCTATAAATCTAAAATGTCTCTAAAATCATTTATTGAAACTAAAAAAAAAAAAAAGACATCAGGGTGAGGAGGAGGATGAAGGCCGGGAGGATCACTGCCCGGTCTGCGCCCCGAGGCCCCCACGTGGACCTCTCCAGGTGTCTCCCCTGGCGGGCCCCTGCCTCCCTGCACCCCTGCACCTACCGCAGGGCACTTGCAGATGAACCCGCGGGCGGTGTTGGAGGCCACGGCGCAGGTGCCCCCATTCTTGCAGGGCTTGCCTTTGCAGCCATTGATGACGGACTCGCAGCGGCGCCCTAGGGGTAAGAGCAGGGCAGTGAGAGGCTCACCCTGCTGCCCCACACGCCCCACCCGCCTGGGCGCGGCACCCACCGGTGTGACCAGCACGGCACTCGCAGTGGAAGTCATTGACGCGCTGCACGCAGTTCTGGGTGCCACGGGCGTCGCAGGGATTGGACAGGCACTCGTTGACATCCCCCTCACAGCGCTCACCCACGAAGCCCGGCGGGCAGGTGCAGCTGTAGCCGCCCACCTGGTCCACGCAGGTGCCGTTGTTAAAGCACTTGGGGCTCCGGGACACGGGGTCAACGGGGGGATTGCAGTCGTCCACGTTGATCTCACAGTGCACACCTGCGGGGCCAGGTTTCGTCAGTGGCCCAAGCCCGCCACACCCCGGCCCTGCCGTGCCGCGTGTCCGTCCCGGAAGACGAGCGCTCAGGTCTGGGGCTGCACGGACACTCGGGAGAGGCAGGTGTCAAGGGTGCCGTGGAGACGCCCTTCCCACTGGGACCCCCGCTCTGGGCCCTTTCCCTGGGCAGCTGTGAGTCGGCCTTGGCCTCACACAGGAAAATGGGAGTTTCTGGCTGGTTCCTGGATGCCTCTGGCCGGTCCCGGGGTGCCTGCCCTGCCCCTGCCCTGGCCATGGATGGCCAACACCAGCCCTCCGTGCAGCGGCCCTTACCCTGAGTGCCCCGTGGGCAGGAGCACTTGTAGGTGTTGGGGAGGTCGAGGCAGGTGCCCCCGTTCTGGCAGGGGTGGGAGAGGCACTCGTCGATCTCCTCAGAGCAGTTCACCCCGTGGTAGCCGGCCACGCACTGTGCAGGCGACAGAACGAGGGGCCCTTCGGCTCAGCCGGCGCCAGGATGCAGTGCTCCCACACCCCACTGTGAGGGCTGACAGGGCCACATGAGCTGCCCTCAGGTCCAGCGAAGCCACGGGCCCCTCGCTCCTGTCAGACCTGGAGAGAGACCCAGCCCAACAGACCCTGGCGGGGCCTCGGTGACCGGAGTCACTGCCTGTTGGGGGTGGGTGGACCCCGTCCCATAGGATAGAGGTGAGGGCCTCAGGGTAGGTGTTGGCCAAGCCCAGACACAATCTAGGGGAAGGGAAAACCCCATCCCACTTCTCAGTATAGGTACCCTCCTTCAGGCTTTCCACAGGCCACCTCTTCCAGGCAGTCTACCCTGATTACCCCAGCCCTCCCCTAATGAGACTGAACAGTGCATGGGCCTATCAGGTTCAGTTTTCTCCACTGGGCCAGCTCCCAGCCAGGGCCTGGTGTGTGGCAACACTCGTGCCGGCCACAACCCTTACCCTAGGAGGGACCCCCACCTTGCAGGAGTAGCCGCCCAGGTAGTCCGTGCAGGTGGCCCCGTTCTGGCAGGGGCTGGGTGAGCACTCGTCCACCAGGTCCTCACAGTAGCTGCCTGTGTAGCCCGCCTGGCAGCGGCAGTGGTGCGTGTTGCCCGCGTCCACACAGAGCCCTCCATGCTGGCACAGGCGGGCAACGTCAACACCTGCGGGGGATGGGGTGGTAGACAGGTGAGGCCCAGGCCCACAGAGGACCTTGATGGGCTGGGACCCGAGCTGGGTGGGCACAGCAGGTTACCTTGTCGCTGCGCAGCCACCTCACAGGACACGCTGGGCACGTCGCAGTAAAGGCCGGTCCAGCCGCTGGGGCACTCGCAGCGGTACTGGGTGTGGGTCTGCCAGCATTTGCCGCCGTTCTTGCAGGGCGAGGAGTCACACCAGTGCACAAGGTTCTGGGGACAGATTGGGGTCAGCTGGGTGCCCGCGCCCCGGCCATTTCCCCGGTAGCTCAGAACGCACATCTGCCAAGGGGCCTACTCCAACCCAGGCTGCAACCCATTCTACAGAAGTGGAAACTGCCGCCCCTGGACTCCCCACCACCCCCACACCAGGAACAGCCTGGGCTGGGTCTCCCTCAGGGCCCTCAGCAGGTCCAGACCACCCTCGGCCTTTGCTAGAAGGAACACTTTTCCTCAATTCCCCAATTCCTGAGCTCCTGCCCCGGCTCCAGAAACCTGGGATTGAAACGAAGGTGCCTGCTGCTTCCGCATCAGGTTCCTTCACCGGCTGCTCAGATCCCCAGAAACCCTCTGCCCGGGGGTGTGGGGGTGACCCCGAGCCGACACAGTGGGACCTGGGGTGACCGTTCCCACCTCCCGCAGGTAGGCACCCACCCAGGGCCCCTCCTTCGGGCACCTCTGTGGCCGGCGCACTCACCTGGCAGTTGGGGCCAGTGTAGCCCTGGGGGCAGGTGCACCTGTAGGAGCCGCAGCCGTCCTGACAGGTGCCGCCATGCAGGCAGGGCTGTGAGTCGCACTCATTGACATCGTGCTGGCAGTAGCTGCCCGTGAAGCCGGGTGGACACAGGCAGGTGAACGAGTTGATGCCGTCCACGCAGGTGCCACCGTTGAAGCAGGAGCTGCAAGGGGGTGGGCAGGCGGGGGCTGAGTGGAGGGCATTGGTGGGTCCCCGCTCCAGCAGATTCTGCCTCGCCAGCACCTCCCCTTCTGCTCAACCCTAGGGGCCTGATGGCCAGGACAGGCCCAGGGCAGCCTGGCTGACCCAGGGAGGCCAGTGGGAACCCGGGGCCCGGCTCTCACACCACGTCACACCTCCCTCCCCTGCTTTCTTTATAAGTCAGGTCGAGAGTGGTTTTACCAAACGCGTGGGCATAGGGTGGTTAAAGTAAATGAGGGAGAAACCAGAAACCGTCCTGGTAACACGGGAGGTAATTACGTCAGAAACCAGGGACGAGACTGACGTTTACCAAATGAGCTTCCTGGCAAACACGGCAAAAAGGAAACAAGAACGGACAGAGTTCTCGTTGTCTAATAGAAGGAAGCGCACCAGTTCTTCAGGACAGACTACCGGCGCTCCTGGTGCGGGACACAGGAGGAGGTCACAATGGCCCTCTCAGGAGGGACAGGTCGGTACAATGAACAATGTCTGGACTCAATGCAGCCAGCGCTAAGTGCCCAGCCGGCCTAGGCGGACGCCTGCATGGTGTGCCAGGCTGCCAGCTACTGCGTGTGGCCCGCACCGCCCGTTCCCTTCCACGGCCTCACTCGAGCCCCGCACACCTCTCTGTGCAGTCAGGCGTGTTGTTCTCACAGTGGATCCCGCTGAAGCCTGCGGGGCAGGTGCACGTGTAGCTGTCCACGCAGTCCGTGCAGTTGGCCCCGTTGCGGCAGGGGTCACTGGCACACTCGTTGATGTCCTCCTCACAGAAAGTGCCCCGGAAGCCGGGCAGGCAGTCGCAGAAGGCCGTGTTGATGCCGTCTGTGCAGGAGCCCCCGTTGTGACACGGGTCTGGGAGAGGACGGAAGGGTGAGTGTGAGGGGCAGGCACAAACCCACACCTGCGGGAGGGGGCCGGGAAGGCTGCATGGCTGGGGACAGCCCAGCCTTTCGTTGCCGAGGCTGCGGCAAGCAGCCCTGTGACAAAGGTGTCTGGTGGGGAGCCCCAGCACCCACAGGCTGCGTCACACCCGTCTCCTGTGCTTGGGGTCTCTCTCCCCACCTGCTCCTGTCCTCAAGCTCCAGGGCAGGGGGCAGCTTTGCAGGCTTCACAGACCGAGCAGGGGAGGAGAGACAGTTCTTGCCTCTGCCTGCCAGGTGATGCCAGCAAGACCCCCGGCTTCTGCCAACCTCAACCTCTGTGAAGCAGGGCTGGGAGGCCTGAGAGCCCTGGCCTGCAGCGGGGCCCGATGAGCCAGGCGGGAGTGCAGGCCGGGCCCGAGCCATCCTCGGCTCAGTGAAGAGCCGTGGGAGGGGCTCTCGTGACTCTTCCGCGAAGTGCAGGGAGGAGCAAGCCGGCTCTGGGGCCCTCCTGAACCACCCTGGCCATCCCTCAGCACATCCCCCACACCTGACCCAACCCTCCCCGGCCACACTCCGGCCTCCCTGGGTGCTTATGGCCAGCACCATGCGCACCAACCCTGCCCGGGGGAACTGAGGCCTGAGAGCTTCCTGGAGGAGGCCAGAGCCGCGGGGCTACTCACTGGGCCGGCAGTCGTCGATGTCGGTCTCGCAGTTGCGCCCACTGTAGCCGGCCTGGCAGTGGCAGCGGTAGCCGCCGTGGGTGTTCTGGCAGGATGCGCCGTGCCGGCACGGGCTCAGAACGCACTCGTTGATGTCGACCTCACAGGTCTGCCCTGCGGGGCAGGAGGAGGCCGGTTGGTCACCAGCGGCCCCTGGCCCTCCAGGCCCTTCCCAGGCTGGCCCACCCACCTACAGTGCCTCTCCCGACCCAGGAGTAGGCTTCCGTGACCCCAGGACCATCCCCTCTCCCCTAATTTTGGCCTAAGAAGGTCACAGGAACTGGAGTTGGGAACGGTGCTCCCAGGTCAATTCCTGATTCCAGAACTTCTCCGACCAGGGCCTCCTCAGCACCCACCAGCTCCTCTTCAAAGACTCATCTAGCCTGCCTGGGAGCTGCCTGTGTCCCGCAGACATCCTGACCTCCCATCCCAGCCCTCACCGGGCCCTGGCCAGCCTCACCTTGCCAGCCCGTGGGGCAGACACAGGAGAAGCTCTCATAGTCCTCGGATTGCCTGCACTCCCCGCCGTTTCTGCAGGGGCTGGGGGCACACGGGGCCAGCACCACCTCACACGTGGCACCTGCGGGAAGGAGACACACGTGACCCCGGGAGCCTCACCCAGAGGGATCTCCCAAATCGGCCACCGCCTGCTGGTCTTTCCGCCATCAGAGTGCCGTCTGCTGGTCCCGCCGGGAGGCAAATGTGCACCGAGACCCCTGAGCGCTCCCGGCTGTGCCAGGACCCTGACCCAGGGAGGAGTGGAGCACAGATGGGGGGACGCTGAAGACAAGCTGCACAAATGTCACGCTCAGAAGCCACCCCTCATTCCCGGTTGGCAGCGGGGCACAGCCTAGGCCTCACCCCACCAGGCGTGCCCAGGAACAAGGACTGCACCAGGAGAGGCGGCCTCAGTCGGGTGGGCTCCACGACACTGCAGGGACCTGGGCCCACCCCGGACGCAAGCCCCCTCATCTCTGGGTGACGAGGAAAGGCCCTGGCCTGAGACCGAGGCCTGAAACTAATCCTGGGGCTCCGTGTCACAGGCAGCAAACGCCCATCACGGGAGGCCAACAAACAAGGGCTGCGATGGAGGGGACAGGCCCAGGCCCCCAGCACATCCTGCGTGTCGGGGCACGGGGCACGGCCTGGAGACCTCCAGGGCCACGCAGGGTGTCTGGCAAAGGCTATGTGGGAACCACGTGCACAGCCGAGGGCCTTTTTCTGCACAAGCCCATGGCCGAGCTTCCTGTTTATAGCCGTGGGGACTGCGTTATCTTCCCTGTCCCCCATTATCTCCCTGGCCTGCTGGGGCGACTTTCCAGGGCCTCTCTTCCTATTGGTTTCCACGGTGACCCGGGCAGGCAGGAACTGCGCCAGAGTTTCCGACAATTGTGCGAAAGGAAGCAGGAAGCGGGCAGATAGGAAGCGGGTCAGCACCGCCGCTCCTCCTGCCGGCCCGATCGACGTGTCTGAAAGGGACAGGGGCGCCCAGCCGTGGAGGGAGGGTCCTCACTGACTGACACAGGAGAGAAAACCCAGGTCCTTAACTTCGGTCAAAGAAAACAGCGTTCTGGCCACAGGCTGCTGGATGTCATGGGAACCGCAGGCGTGGGACCTCCAGCCCGGCTGCCTGGCCCAGGCAGGCCCTCCCTGACCAGGCCCCGTGGCAGCACCCTCTGCCCGCTCCTGGGGAGCGCCAGGACCCCGGTGCTTGTGGACTCTTCTTTGTCTTTTCTAGAGGAGATCATTTCCTGTGATCCCCTTGGCTGGGTTCATAGCAGGGGCTGGACAGTTGGGGGAACATCCCCCTCCCCGCTCAGCCCAAACAGAGGGCTCCTTGTTCCGCTCACACAAAGAGAGCCCGCCATCAAAGGAATCCCTCAGGTCCGGCTGGCGGGGGTGGGGAAGCCCGGCCCCCAGAGACCCCAGCAGGGTGGGCGCCGGGAGCACGGAGCCCAGTGACCCAGGCCCGGCCCTGCTAAGGATTCACCTGCATCTTACCTGTGTCTTGCGGCAGGCTTGCCAGGTAAAACACATGCTTGCATGAAAATTTTCTCCCAGGCATCCTGTATCTTTGCTAATCTGCCAACCCCACCCCCGGGAGAAGGCCCACATACTGCAGGGGCCTAAGGCACTCAGTGAGGCGCAGAACCTTCTGGAAGGCCCCGCCCCAAGAAAGCCACCACTTTACCCTCCAGTCACGGCTTCCCAGGCCGCCCCCACCCCTGGCCCCACCCTCTCCAGCACAGGCTCCGCCCTCTCCAGCACAGGTCCCGCCCCTCCCACATAGGCCCCGCCCCCTCCAGCACAGGCCCCACCCACCCCTCACCTGTGTAGGGCAGCAGGCAGTTGCACTTGTACCCGGCAACGTCGTCAATACACGTGCCCTGGTTCAGACATGGGTTGGACGCACACTCGTTGATGTTGGTCTGGCAGTTGGGACCTGGAGGGAAGGGGACAGCACTCGGCATGTCCAGCACTCCCAGGCACCTTGGCAGGGCCCCACAACAGCAGCCCTGGGCCTGCTCCCCACCCCAGGCCCCTCCTCATCTCCAAGAGCCAGAGGCCTGGAGCTAAGGCTTTGCCACGGGAGGGAGACACCATGCATGGTGCTGGCTGGACCTGGGTCCCGATCCTGTGTCTCCAGCTCCCCAGACTCGAGGGCGGCCCTCTGCACTGAGAAACGCGCAGCCCACTCACCGCTGAAGCCCTCCCGGCAGGTGCACACGTAGCCACTGGTCATGTCTTTGCAGGTGCCGCCGTTGACACAAGGGTTGGATTCACACTCATTGTTGTTGATGTCACAGTTGGTCCCACTCCACCCAGGGTCACAGTCGCACTTGTACCTGCAAGGGGGACCACACTGCAGGTCGAGGGAGGCCCGAGCAGCACGGCCGGGGCCTGGGCACTCCCGGGTCTGCAATGCCCTATGGGCTGGCGGAGGTGCCCATCCACTCAGACTCGCAGAGTCCTTTAGTGGGGGCAGGCTGGGCGCTGTGGCTCACACCTGTAATCCCAGCACTTTGGGAGGCGGGGGTGGCTGAGTCACTTGAGGCCAGGAGTTCAAGATCAGCCTGGCCAACATGGCGAAACTCCCCCACCCCATATATACTAAAAATACAAAAATTAGCCAGGTGTGGTGGCACATGCCTGTAATCTCAGCTACTCGGGAGGCTGAGGCAGGGGAATCACTTGAACCTGAGGGGTGGAGGTTGCAGTGAGCTGAGATCATGCCATTGCACTCCAGCCTGGACAACAGAGCAAGGCTCTGTCTCAAAATAAAGAAAAAAGTGGGGGCCGCAGCGCTTCCCATACCCAAGACTGCGGCAGGGGTTTGGTTCATTAGCGAGGGGACCATGCCAAGTGCAGGGCAGTAGGGTGCTGCGAAAAGCCCCCCACCACTTGCCCGCTGTGTGGCCCCGAACAAAGCACGTGCCTTCTCTGCGCCAAATGAGGGCAATGGGGTCCCTGCTGATTTAAATGGTCCCATCCAGGCAGAGTGCTGCCAGGCACATCATGGGCATCAGAAACACTTGCGGCTGTTACCATGGAAACGTGTTCCAGGGTCACTGTGGGCCTGTGTCCTGAGCACACCATGCAGCCCACAAGGACACGCAGCACACAGCTGCTGGGTGTGGACTGTAGTCTGACTGAGGACCCAGAGGCATGTGCGTCCCCGAGGGGAGCTCCCTGCCACCCAGCCCCGTCCGAGGCCCGTTTCTGGCCCATCTCAAGCTCTGTGCAGGTGCCACCCTCCTGGCAGCAGAGCTCCCAGGGTTTAGGACTGATGTGTCCCCATGATCGGCCCCGCCGCATACCCGTTGAGGCTGTCCCGGCAGGCCCCGTGGACGCAGGGGTTGCTGTTGCACTCATTGACCTCAGACAGGCAGGTGGGGTCGTGGTAGCCCTCGGGGCAGCGGCAGGTGAAGCCATTGATGCCGTCCTCGCAGGTGCCCCCGTTGTGGCAGGGGTTGCCCGCACACTCATCGATGTTGATGTTACACATGCTCCCTAAGGGCAGGGCGGGTCAGACTCCGAGGCCCAGCGCCCAGGGGGTCCCACCCACGTCAACCTCGATTTCCCTGTCTGTTGAGCCGGGGCGATCACCCTTCTGGCCACATCCTTCCAGGTGTCAGAAACCATCTTGGATCACAATGTGCCATGTGCCAGCCTCCCCGGGCACCAGTGCCCACTCAAGTCATCCTCCCAGGGGCCCCAGGGGCAGGGGCTACTGCAGCCCTGACTGATGAGAATCTGAGGCCCAGAGAGGCAGAGGGACCTGCTCAAAGGTGCTGGTGAGCCACAGAGGCAGAAGGTACTTAAGCCTGGCCTCAGGGCTGGCTGCTCCCTCTTGGCCTGCTGGGCCACTCTGCCAACACGGCCTGGGACAGCTCTGACCGGAGACAAGAGGGGTCGGGGGGACCCATCGTGCTGCCAGTTATAGCCCTGGTCCCGCTGCAATCTCTGCTGCAGACCACGGTCTGCCCAGGTGGGCAGCACCAAAGCCCTCACCCAACCCCTCAGCAGCCCCAGGGCAGAGTGGCTGACCTTGACCTCTGAGCACAGTGCAGTCAGCCCCCACGTGCAGGGCCGCTCACCTGTGTAGCCCGGCTCACAGGCACACTCGTAGCCATCGATCTTGTCCAGACAGGTGCCCGAGTCGCAGGGGCTGCTGGCACAGTCATCCAGGTTGATCTCGCAGTTGGGTCCTGAAGGGGTGGCACGTGTCGGTCAGTCCTCAGGCCCGCCCTGCCCACTGGCCCCCCGCCGGCCACCCGCCTGGCCGGCCACCTGTGGTCCCCTTCAGGCAGAAGCAGAGGTAGGCGTTGTCGCGGTCCTGGCAGGTGCCCCCGTGGCGGCAGGGCTGGCTGGAGCACTCGTTGATGTTGGTCTCGCAGTGGTGGCCCGTGTAGCCTGGGCGGCAGAGGCAGGTGAAGGTGGCGACGCCGTCCTTGCAGGAGCCGTAGTGGCAGGGGTCGGGGTCGCACTCATCGATGTCCACCTCGCAGTGCGTCCCCGTGTACCCTGGACCGTGGGAGGGGCGGGCACAGGAAGACTTAGGACTGGCGGCCCCCGGGACACCCATGACCAGACCTGGGGTCACCTGTGCCAACCTGAGGAGGGCTCCGAGCGTGGCATTCCCACCTACTCAGGATTGGGGCTGAGCTGTGCTCTCGGCCTCTGGACCAGGTGGCCCAGACCAAGGTGTCCATGACCTTGTCAGTTTCACTGCCCTGAGTGCCCTGTCCCGTCCCCAGTCCCTCCCCGCTGGTGGGCGCCAGCCCGCACCTTCCGTGCACACACAGGTGTAAGTGTTGGGTCCGTCCAGGCACTTGGCACCATTCTTGCAGGGGGTGCTGGCACACTCGTCCACATCGTACTGGCACAGATGCCCAGTGAAGCCTGGGGCCGGGGAGGGGAGGGGAGGGAGTCATGTGCAACAGCACTATGGCCCTTCAGGGACCCCTGGCCAGACCCCAGCAGTGAGCGCCTGGCTGGGCTCCCCAGGGCACACTCAGCCTGAGCTCAGCCAGCTCCAGCTCTCCCTGCCTCCCGCTGCCCGCTCCCCGGATCAAAGCCCCTCCCCCAGCACCACACGCCCTCGCTCCCACAGAAGGGGCCTTTTTCCCAAACCGACTGGGTTGCTATGGCTACAGTGGAGCCGGGCTGAGAATGGGGCTCCCCTCGCTCCAGTGTCTGGGACGGGTAATCTATGTCTTGGGAGCCTAGGCTTGGGCTGGCAACGCCTCCCTGGGCTCTGCGCCCCGGCCCCCAGCTCTGGGACAGATGGAAACACCTTTCACCCAGGCCCCTGAGAGTTCCTCCAAGTCCGCCCCGGGCAGCCATCATCTCCATTGCAGGCCAACCTGCCCCACGTGGTTCTCTGCATACCCTTGTCGCTGGCGTGCCGTTGGGCAGGGGACATGGCAGGACAGGGCAGGCTGGCCTCCCTCCCAGCATCGAGCCCTCAGAAAGCCAGGCTGGAGCCTCCTCCCTGTCTGGGCACTGCAGCTCCTGGTATACCCTTCTCTCCAGGCAGAAGGGGCTGCACCCAGATCAAGGAGGATCTCCTGGCCCTGGGCTCCACCGCGACCCCTGGGCAAGCTCCCACTCCCCACTGGGCCCTGCCCTTCCTTCGGGGAAGTCTGAAAACACTCCCATCCACTCATGAGGCAAAACCCTCGCTCTCCTGGGAATCTGAACACAACCAATGGCCAGGCCCCCCTCAGAAGGCCGGGGTGCAGACGGCCCAGGGGCAGGGGACACAACCTACGGCCAGGCACCCCTCAGGAGGCCGGGGTGCAGACGGCCCAGGGGCAGGGGACACAATCCACGGCCAGGCCCCCCTCAGGAGGCCGGGGTGCAGACGGCCCAGGAGCAGGGGACACAACCCACGGCCCTCACCCCTCAGGAGGCCGGGGTGCGGACGGCCCGAGGGCAGGGGGTGGGGGCGGCCCTCACCCCTCAGGAGGCCGGGGTGCAGATGGCCCGGGGGCAGGGGACACAACCCACGCCCAGGCACCCCTCAGGAGGCCAGGGTGCAGACGACCCGGGGGCAGGGGGCGGGGGTGGCCCTCACCCGTGGGGCACTCGCACTGGAACTCATTGATCTTGTCCAGGCAGCGGCCATTGTGCAGGCAGGGGCTGCTGGCACACTCGTCTGTGTTGACCTCGCAGTGCACACCCTCGTAGCCTGTGGGGTGGGGCAACAGTGAGGGGGGCACGCGCGGCCCCAGTGCCCCACTGGGCACAGCTGTGGACTTGGGACAGAAACGAACCCTGCCTCCAGCCCAGTGTCCCAGCCACCACGGGCCCCCTGCGCACCCGCTCCCCTGCAGCCCGTGGCCCCTGGCCCGGCACCCTCATCTGCCTAGCACTGCCCCCGTGCTCTGCTGGCCCTGTGGCCTGGCCTCAGTTTCCCCATGCCCTGTGCAGGCTGTGGGCCCAGAAGGCATGGAGGCTGGGGAAAGCGGAAGCAACCCACAGATGTTCCCGGGGCTGCCCCTCCAAGGCTGCCCAGCCTCGACTCGGTTTCCCGCCCTGGCCCCGGCCGACGCACCGGGCATGCAGATGCACTGGAACTCCCCAATCTGGTCCAGGCAGGTGGCGTCGTTCTGGCACGGGTTCGAGACGCACTCGTTGACGTCGATCTCGCATCGGGGGCCCGTGTAGCCCTGCAGACACTGGCACTCGAAGGAGCCCAGCGTGTTGATGCACTTGCCCGCATGCTCGCAGGGGTTGGCACCTGGCGAGGGCACACGGGTGAGAGGCTGCTCCAGGCACCCTGGCCCCTGCAACACCTCACTGCACACCACCCCCATCGGACTGGCAGGGTCCCATCCCCCATCTAACTGGGCACCCCCTGAAGCCAGAATCGACTTCTCATCGGTTCTGGGGCCAGGCTGCCACCCCCACCTGGCCGCACCCCCTGTGCTGGCACCTACCCAGCGAGCACTCATCCACGTCCTGGCTGCAGGCCGGGCCCGTGTACCCCGAGGGGCAGGTGCAGATGGCCTTGCCATTGACAGGGTTGGTGTCGCAGTTGGAGCCCTCGTTACAGGGGTTGCTGATGCATGCGTCGTTGAGGTGGCACAGCAGACCTGGGCAGGCAGCGGCGGTCAGTGGGCACGGCCCCTGGGCCAGGCATGGCACACCACCCACGGCTGGGGTCCAACCCCACTGACACCCCAGGAGGAGCTGCCCGCCGTGACCCCGTCGGGCATCCCGTGACACTTGGGACGTTCCGGGGGACTCACAGCGACCACCGGCCTCCCTGACCAGAAAGGCCCTTTCAGGTTATCCTGGGTGCAGGAGGGCCACAGTCCCTGGGTGAGGTCACACAGCTCAGGCCTGGCCCATGTGAGCCCCCTGCGCCCACCTGGGCCTCAAGGCACTCACCTGTGCGGCCATGGGGACACTCGCAGTAGAAGGAGGCCACACGGTCATGGCAGGTGGCGCCGTGGAAGCAGGCGGCGCTGGCACAGTCATCAATGTTCTCGCTGCAGTCCTCACCAGTCCAGCCGTTGACACACACGCAGTTGTAGCCACCGTGGGTGTTGTGGCAGGTCCCGCCGTTCTGGCAGGCATTTGGCATCAGCTGGCACTCGTCCACATCCTCGGTACAGTACTGACCTGCAGGGAACAGGAGCTGTCGGCCCCGGGCAGCTGCCACTCCCTGAGCTCCCTGTCCCCTAAGACGCAGGGTGGCAATGCCGCCCCCTCCAGGAAGCCTTCCTGGGCTGACTCCTCCACCCACCGCCAGCCTAAATCACTCCTTCCTCTGCAGGCCCAGCACCATGGAGTCTTGCCTCCTCTTTGTGCTCTGTGGACACTGCTGCGTCGGGGTGCACCTTTGCCCGTCACCCCACCAGAGGGTAATTCCCGAACACAGGGCCTGTCTGTTCATCCAGGCATCCCTGTGACTGGCCCAGGAAGCGTGGCCTGAGTGGGGTGCTGAAGGCCCTCAATGCCAGGACACCCCACTGGGCACAGGGGCTGCCTGGAGCCAGGTTGCAAACGGCCCACACAGACCAACCAGGGCCCTGTCTGTGCTGACCCCCGAGGTGAGGGGCACCAGACCCTGGCCACGGGAAGTGGGGCCCCCATCATGTTGTCCTTCTCGGCCAACCCTAGTCTGCCTGGCCTGGGACAGGGTCTCGGCTGCTCCCCGCTATGCCTGTGAGTGCAGTTTAGTAAGTGGGTAGCAGCCCCGCCCCGGCTACCCCGCCCTGCGGCGACCCGTATACGCGCCTGTCCACTCTGGCGGGCAGCGGCAGTTGTAGGTGTTCACGCCGTCCACACAGGCACCCCCGTTCTTGCAGTTGTTTCCTGGACAATCGTCGATATTTTCCTCACAGTTCTGGCCGGTGAAGCCTGCCGCAAGAGGGGCCGGGTCAGCCTCTTCCCTGAGGTCCAGTCCGGCTCCTGCCTGGACCCCCGACACACTGCTCTGGACACAAGAGCCTGGCCTCCACGGCCCTGCCCTGGGGCCCCCGGGGTCTGTGCCCGTCCCCTGCCTCACTCCAGTGCCCAGAGGGACACGCCCTGCTTGAAAGAATCATTTTGGACAGGACTGGCTAAACAGGGACTCAGGAACACAGGGTTCCAGAAGATTCTGTCACAAAAACCCTTGGGTCTCTTTTAAGAGGTTCCGGCAGCTCCTGCACCTGGGTGCCGCCTGCATGCTCAGAGCTCCCTACAATGTCTCCACAGGGGGGCCGCACACCCCATCTTCAGGGGCTGACACTGGGGCCTGGGCTCTGAGCAGCAGGGGGACATGGGGCCAGCAGGCTGCTGGCTGGGGCAGGGTGGGCCCCTCGCAGCCCCAGGGAAGCTGCAGAGATTCAGATGGCCCATCCTCCCTGGGGCAGAGCTCTGGTGCCCACCTCCTCCTCCCCCTCCTCCTCCACAGGCTGCCAGGGCCCCCTCCCCCGAGGTATGGCCCCACCCAGGCCTCCAAGGCAGCCAGTTAGCTATTAATCCACTCAACTCCCGCTGGTTCAATGATCAACCCAGAAAGGCGCGTTCGGCAACAGCCAAACCTGCAGCCGGTTACTAATTGCCGCCCTCCCGAGATGCCTTTGAACCCCCGTTGCCCTTGGAGCTCCCACCTGCTCGGCCCCTCCCTCTGAGACATTGCCCCACCGCCACCACCCCGTCCGTTCTGTCTGTCTGCTGGACCGGAGCAAAAGCAGGCAGCCAGAGACAACCAAAATCCAAAATGCAAATCAGCTTGGGGAGCACCCAAAACCAGACCCCAGCCCTGGCGCGGTGGCTCACGCCTGGAATCCCGGCACTTTGGGAGGCTGAAGTGGGTGGATCGCTTGCGCCCAGGAGTTCAAGACCAGCCTGGACAACATGGCGAAACCCCGTCTCTACAAAAAAAAATACAAGAAGTAGCAAAGCGTGGTGGCGCCGGCCTGTGGTCCCAAGCTACTTGAGGGGCTGAGGCAGAAGGATCGCTTTAGCCTGGGAGGTCAAGGCTGCAGTGAGCTGAGGGCACGTCACTGTACTCCAGCCTGAGTGACAGAGACCTGTCTCAAAAAAAAAAAAAAAATTCAGAGCCTGGAGCCTGAGTCCCGGTCCCACTCATGTGTGGGGCCCTGCACCCCGGCTCCGAGGCAGATGGGGCCCCTGGCTGGGCCTGCGACCCCAGGGCTGCCCTGCAAAGCACTGGCTGAGGCACACAGTGGGGGAGAGGGCGGGAAGCCAGCGAGAGCCCCGTGGACCCCAGCTGGACCCTCTGCGACGTAGCCTCGGCCAGCGACCCCACGAGGAGACAGTGCTGACGTGCCAGGCAGGCTGTGCGACCCCAAATCCCAGCCAGTTCCCGGGCCTGCAGAGCTCAGGGCCGCCCCCATCTCGGTTCCCCGTGACTCCACACACAGCTGTCTCCTGGGCTCCTGACCACCCAGAGGTGGCTGAGGGCCCTTCAGGGGGCCTGGGTGCAGGGGCCGCCGGGGACAGTCTGAAGCTGGGGTCTGGCAGGCCTGAGTCATTTGGGGAGGCCCCCGGATGGTCATCTCACCCTGAAACGGCCAGACTCCACAGCAGGCAGTGAGCACACCCCTCACCGGACGGGTGACCCAGCCCCCAGCACCCCAGCCTCTGAGATCTACCCACACTCAAGTGAGTGAACCCCACCAGCCCCTCCCCTTCCCTCCCTGCCCACTCCCCAGGGCCCTGAGCTGCCCCTGCACGGGCAGTGGCTCTGAGCCGGCCCAGCACCCCTGGCATCTCTGCCGCTGGGCCTCACCAGGAGGTCCTCACCCACCCTGCCCAAGGCGGGTGGGCATCAGCTCTGCACACAGGTGGCCTTGGACAAGGCCGCACACACCCCACCTGCCCTAGCCTGAACCACGGCCCCCCAAGAGCTTGGCCCCTCAATCCGTGTGACTGGAGGTAGGGTCCCGTGCTGCTAGGAAGGCATCTGAGCCCCCACCAGCAGAAGGGCTCTGCGCCCCACCCTGCAGAGATCCAAGCTGGCCAGGGAGTGTCTGTCCCCACCCCACGCTCGCCCAGTGACTTGCAGGAAACGCACACGTCTGGTGTCTGCACGCAGAGGTGGCTGGGCTCAGCTGACTGGGCAGCCAGGGAGCTTCCCCTTTGCAGGGGCCAGGCCAGCTTGGGGCTTCCAAGGGGGTGGGGCAGCCCTTGGGCCACCCGTGGGTCAGCCAGGACCCTGTGCACCCTCCAGCCCCACCCCTGCCTGAATGCCCTCTCCCCATTCCCACCTAACAGCCATTCTGTGCAGCTGAGATTGGAGGTTTTCTTTTTTCTCTTCACTTTTTTTTTTTTTTTTTTGAGACGGAGTCTCGCTCTGTCGCCCAGGCTGGAGTGCAGTGGCGGGATCTCGGCTCACTGCAACCTCCGCCTCCCGGGTTCAAGTGATTCTCCTCCCTCAGCCTCCTGAGTAGCTGGGACTACAGGCGCGTGCCACCATGCCTGGCTAATTTTTTGTATTTTTAGTAGAGACGGGGTTTCGCCGTGTTAGCCAGGATGGTCTCCATCTCCTGACCTTGTGATCTGCCCACCTCGGCCTCCCAAAGTGCTGGGAGTACAGGCGTGAGCCACCACGCGCGGCCGAGACTGGAGGTTTTCAAAACTCTTCCTTATTTTTAGAGCTGCTGCAAAATTTACTCAAACAAGAACTACAGCAGAGAGGCTCCTACGTACAACACGGGGATCGGGGAGCACTGGGGACACGGGCAGGCGGCTGCGCCTACCTGTCACCCACACCCGCAGGAGACCAGCAGGATGGCAGGAAGGGCCATGGCTTGGGAAGTGATGGTGCCCCCGCAGCTCCCACGCCCTCTCCGGCCCCAGCCCCACTGCAGGGGAAACCCTGGGGGTTGCGCAAGTCAGGGTGCCTGCACTGGGGGGAGGCAGGGCGTCCTACAGCTCGAATGTGAGTTCCGGGAAACTCCAGAGACACGGGCTGGCACCTGGACCCTGTGCAAGCCTCCTCCCAGCGCACACCCCGCTCCAGACGCGTCCCCCCGACACCACACGCAGTCTGGGGAACTCGCCATCCCGCCTTCCCAACTCCCCGCCATGGGCCCTCCCAGGGCTGCCCCTACACCAGGCGCCCCGTTCCCACCCCCTGGGCCTGGCAGCCGGGGAGGGGCTCGTGCACCCCGGCCAGCGGGCAGCACTACCTGGCAGGCAGGCACACTCGTGGGTGACGTCGCCCGTGGGGCGGCAGGTGCCCCCGTTCTGGCAGGGCGAGGGGCTGCAGGGCACGTAGGGCCGCTCGCAGTTGGGGCCAGTGTGGGTGGCGCGGCAGACGCAGCGGTAGGAGCCGACCTCGTTGTGGCAGGTGCCTCCGTGGCGGCAAAGCCCGGGCTTCTGGCCACACTCGTTGACATCCTGCCGGCAGGTGGGGCCATGGAAGCTGGGTGGGCAGTGGCAGATGTAGGAGGCCTCGAAGGGCAGGCACTGGCCACCGTTGGCGCAGGGGTTGGAGGCGCACGGGTCAGCCTGCTGGCACGATTTCCCTGGAGACAAGGGGACAAGAGGGTCGTGCTGGCCTCACTGCTCCCCGAGGCCGGGCCTTCCCTCCCTTCAGGCCACCTGGAGGTGCCAGCCTGGGCTCCACCTTAGGTGCTATCACATTTGATCCTCAGGACCTGCCGTGAGACCGGTCGCCTTTGGCAGATGAAGGACCACAGCTCCCAAGAGGCCTGAGCCTGGGCCGTCTCTTCCCAGAGCTGACACCTCCAGACACCCTTCACCCTAACAGGTGAGGGCCAGTGCACGGCAGGAGGAAGGGGGCAGGGGCGGCCTGGACACAGAGGCTCCCCTTGTCTCGCAGAAGCGGGGACAGCAAGAGTTGGGCCAGAGCAAGCAGCTGAAAACGAGGCGATTCCAGGTCTGGGAGGGGGGCAGGGACCCTGGGGCAGGGGCTCCCAATTACTTCCGGGTCAGAGACCCGGGCCTGGATCCCGCCAAGTACCTCAAGTTGCCTGGGCAGCTGGCGGCGGGCCTGGGTCTGCCCACCCCTCAGGCTGTGGGTCCTCCCTCACCTGACCAGCCGGGCGGGCAGCGGCACTTGTACTCCGTCAGCGTGAGCAGGTCGCAGGTGCCCCCGTTGCGGCAGGGGTTGGTGAGGCAGGCATTGTCCAGGGGTGTCAGGCAGAGGGGCCCAGAGAAGCCCAGGGCACAGCTGCAGGCATAGTCTGCCACGCCTCTGCGGTCCACCACGTGGCATGTCCCGGCGTTCTTGCAGGGGGTGCTGAGGCACGGGTTGGGGTCCTGGCATCGCGGGCCCACGAAGGCCCCGCCACAGCTGTTGGCAGATGTGCCAGGGCAGTTAGTTCCCACCTGCTTCCCCAGCGCCCCCGCCACTCAGCACCGGGAACCTGTCATGGGCACAGCCGCCTCCCCCCACACCCCGGGCACGGGCACAACGGCTGCTTAGCGGGGTTCCCTTAGGGCTGATAAAATGTTCTGGAACCAGACACATGCCGCGATTGCACAACTTTGGGAATGTACTGAATGCCACTGAATGAGGCTGAAGCAGGAGAATCACTTGAACCCAGGAGGCAGAGGTTGCAGTGAGCCGAGATCACGCCACTGCACTCCAGCCTGGGTGACAGAGCAAGACTCAAAAAAAGAAAGAAAGAAGAAGACAAATGACTGCTAACTTGGGGAACAAGCTAGAGACTAGGATGTTCCAGCAGAACCCAGCTTGGACTCCACAGCCCGGGCAGGGGTCTGGGTCTACACCCGCGGAGAGCCATGGAGAGGAGCCGGGTGCATTAGCTCCGTAGAGCCTCCGGGTCTGCAGGCCTATCTGCTTTTCTTCCCAGCTTTGCTAAAGCGAACAGGCATTGCTTGGGCAGTAACAAAGGCCGTGGTTTTTCCAACCTTCAGGTGTCAACATGATGGCAGCCACGGAAAGTGTGGATCAGCCCCTTCCTACGTGGAAGCCTTTCTTTTTCTTTTCTTTTTTTTTTTTTTTTTTTTTTGAGTCTTGCTCTGTTGCCCAGGCTGGAGTGCAGGGGCGCGATCTAGGCTCACTGCAACCTCTGCCTCCCAGGTTCAAGCGATTCTCCTGCCTCAGCCTCCCGAGTAGCTGGGACTACAGGCACCTGACACCATGCCCAGCTAATTTTTGTATTTTTAGTAGAGACAGGGTTTCACCATGTTGGCCAGGCTGGTCTTGATCTCTTGACCTCGTGATCTGCCCGCCTCGGCCTCCCAAAGTGCTGGGATTACAGGCGTAAGCCACCGCGCCCGGCCAGGAAGCCTTTCTGATGGGACACCTCAGGCTGAGACTGCAATGGGGATGGGACATCTCATGTCAAGATCGCACTGGGGATGAAGGCTGGCCCGTTCCCTGCCCACGCTCAGCCCCCAGACACGTTTCCCTTTCGGCATTGAGTCTTCATAACTCACATCCAGGCACATCAGCCAGGAGCAGAAGCACCCACATTACAGCCGGGGAAACCAAGGTGCCAGGAGGAGGTCCCTCTGCCAGGTCTCTGCAACCCCGTCAAGGTGGGTGAAAGGCTGCCCCTCACCCCGGACACACAGTCTGGGCTCAGAGAGAACAAGGGGAGCCAGGGGAGGGGTCCTGCATCTCCACCCAGGCCTGGTCTCACCTGTTCCCTGCGGCAACAGGCGCAGAGCCTGCCCCCCCCAGCCACCTGCTGTGGTCATAAATCTCCGGCCCCAGTCACCTCCTGGCCTTGCGCTCCGGGAAAAGGTCTGGGACCCGCCGGGCGCCGCTCTTCCCAGTGGTGAAGCCTCTGAAGCAGAACATGCCACCAGCCTCAGCGGCCCCAGCGGCCCGGGAAGGCAGCAGCCTCACGGCTCAGGCCCTGGGTGGGCATGGCCTCCTCCAGATGGGATGTACAGAGGGAACCGTCCCGCCTTCCGGAGCCCACCTGGGTGCGGGGCTGCGGCGGCCGCCTGCCCCAGGACCGGCCCTGAAGCTGCCGGCTTCCCACAGGACCCCCACCGGCCCCCCAAGTCCTCGCCTCCTCTCCCGCTTATTCCCACCCCAGTGTCTCCAATCAAACCTGTGCTATGTGTGGCAGTGGCCTGGGGGGGCCTTACCCCGAGGGGCTTGTGGAGGCTGGGGGTGGGGGTTCCTGTGCGTTTCTCAGCAGCCAGCCACGCCCCTGTCCCAAAGGCCCGGGAGGCATCTGTCTTCCCCGAAGGCTTTTACCCGTGACCACGGCTTGGGTAGAGAGAACGCAAAAGGGCCACTCTGGCCGACCATCTGTTGCCAGAAGCCAAAAGTCCCAAACCAACTGGCTTAAAGAAAACACATGTCACCCCTTCCAAAGGGGCTCTGGGGAATTCACTCAGGCCTTGCTACGGCTCCTGCCAGCCCAGTGAGCGACGGGCACAGCCCCGGAATGAGGCTCCCCCTCCTCCATCCCATGTGGCCGGTCACTCCGGGGCTGCAGCGACAGACCTGCCTCTGCGGGCACCTGTTGGGAGGGCAGACGTGGTTCCCACTGCATGCAGATCCAGTTACAGGCTGGCCGGTCCCCGAGGTGGAGCGGCCGCTGGGAACCCGTGGAGTGCACAGGCTGGGCTGGGCTGGGCTGTGGCCACAGGAGGGGCGCCCTCCCTCCACATAAATGCCCCATTGTCAGGCGGGAGTTGGCCACAGCTCCCGCTTGGAGAAAAGGCCCTTTTTGCTTTCCCAGCCGCTGAAGTCGGCAGGGGGTGGGTACAGGACAGAGGGCGCTCGGTCATCAAAGCCGGGGCTGGAGGCTCCTCAGCCTGGCCCATGCAAGCTGGTCCCCTGCCTCCCGGCCCCTCGAGGCTCCAAGGAGCGGGAAAAGCTCACCTGCTGGGCAAGACGGGGAGGAGGGGCAGGGGAGGCCCATCCCACAGCTTTAGGGGACCCCAGAGGGGAGACGCTGGAGGTCCGAGCCCCTAGAGCAGTCTCCCACCAAGTGCCCTGAGGTCACAGGACATTGGCTGTCCCTGAATGGACCACGACACTCTGCCCGGACACCGGGCCCCACTCCCCACCCTGAGCGCGGACCCCAACGTGGAGGACTGTGGGAGAATCTGCCCAACCGGACGCATCCCAGTTAACGAGGCTGTATCACGCCGGGCCAGCAAGAGGAAAACACGCCCCATAAATCAGGCGTCGGTGCTCGGACAAAGGGCGGCTGGGAGCAGGTGTCAGACGTGGCGGCAGCTGCTCCCAGCGGGTGGGGCAGGAGCCCCAGCCGGAGGCCTGAGGAGGCTCCCGTGGGGGAATGCAGGCTGAGAGGGCCCATTGTCCGCCCCCACTCCCAGCCTGGGCATCGGACACCACAGGGAAGGCCCCTGCCACGGCCCCACAGCCACGGCTTGGAGGTTCCGTGAGACGCGCTAGCTGGGGGGAACCGGGCCGAGCCTGGAGAAAGTTTTGAGCCAGGTGTGGGGGTCTGTGTGTGGGGGGCAGCTTTGGGCCCAGTCTCCCGCTGCTGCTGTGGGCAGCCTCCAGCCTGTGCCCGCCCCAGTCTGTACCTCTCTCCCACATGGCCACAGAGCTGGAGCACCCTACAGACGGCGAACACCTGCCCTCCGCACAGCACCCAGACGTCCCTGAGAAGGTGGGAGGGACCTCAGGCCTGCAGCATGGCCATGGCCAGGACCACCAGCCTGTGAGCAAATCCTTCACAGCTTTGGCGCTGGCCACACCCCCGGTACCCGGGCCACTCTGTCTTCAATGCTGTCCCGGCGGCCAGGTGGGTGTGGGCCGCGAGGTGGGCGCCAGGGCTTGGCCGAGTGAGGTGGCACCCAACAGCTGCCGCGCCCACGGGGATCCTCAGGGCTTCCATGAGTGACCCGCACCCCACCTTCCACCGTCCCCGCATCTCCTCCTATCAGGGGCGGTGGGGAGACCCCTCTGGGGCTAAAAAGTGAGGCTTGAGATAGGGAACGCCAGTCTCCCCCGACTGGACGAGAGAGCTGCCCTGTCCACCAAGCCACCCAGCTCTCGGGCTCCCACGGAGGAGACCCAACCCACGCCAGGTGTGCCCCCGTGGACTCCCCTTCCGTGCGTCCCTCTTAGGGTCACCCGGCACCTGCCTGTCCCATCCCCCACGCTCAGTGGCCTGGCGGCGCTGGGGTAACCTGTCCTATCTGGGCCCCCCGCAGGTGAGCGGCGGGCGGGGACTCCAGGAGGGCTGCGGGGGGAGGGTGCCAAGTGGCCCCGGCGCCTGCTGTGCCGCTCCCGCCACCTCTACCGCCACCACTTTGTTCCCGCCTCAGTATTTCCACTGTGCCACTCCCACCCTCCCTGCCAGGGCCGCTCCATGGAAATGCGACTCCAGAAAGCAGCAGGAGGCAGATGCTGCCGAGACCTTTCACCCAGGACGAATTCTAAATTGTGCTGTTTTCCTTTCTAAGCTAAGCGGCCATCTGCCACCCCCAGGGGACAGAAGACAGTTCCCTCCGCCCCAAAATGAGAAGGAGGGGTGAGAGGGACTCAGTGCGGGTAGGACTCACTCACTTCCTGCCCTCAAGGAGTTTATGGTCATGCAGGGCCAGGGATGGGGGCACAGGCAGAGGCCGAGCAGAGGGGTGGGGGTGTGGGGTCAGCTGGACCCAACCCAGCTGGGGTGTCAGTGATGTGGCTGGCTCTGCACCCGCCACAGGAACCAGAGACCCTGGGTGGGAGAGGTGCTTCCCATGGCTCCACCAGGTGACAGCACCTCCCAAGGCAAGGATGGGCAGGGACAGTGGGGGGGGATGGGCAGGGACAGTGCGGGGGGGATGGGCAGGGACGGTGAGGGGGGGATGGGCAGGGACAGTGTTGGGGATGAGCAGGGACAGTGCGGGGAATGGGCAGGGACAGTGAGGGGGATGGGCAGGGACAGTGGAGGGACGGGCAGGGACAGTTGGTGGGACGGGCAGGGACAGTGCGGGGGCCTCTCCGGTGCACAGGAGCTGCACTTCCCAGAGGGGAAGGAACGGCCCTGCACACCCCGGCTCCCTGGGAAGGGAAGGGGAGGAGCTGCCCGGCTGAAATCAGCATCTTAACACATCCCACCTGCTCCCCAGCAGAGCCACAGGTCCAGCCCCACCTGCCCTCCTTGGGCCTCACTGCCAATCCCGGCCCACTGTCCTGCCACAGAAGCCCAAGGGTCCCCTGGCAGCAGTGTGGTCCCTCACAGGGCAATAAATGGGGGTCTTCTCCCCAGACACCCCCAACAGCTGCTGCTCCCAGGGAGCCCGTGGCCACGTCCTGCAGGAGCCAATCGCTAGGCGGCCAGCCTGAGGGTGCCCCTGCCCCTGGGACCCCTCCCTCACCAGCAGGACCTGCCCCCAGCCTCAAGGGGCTTTCTGCCCAGAGGGGAGTCTAGGGCTCCCACTCTGCCTGCTCCTGTGATGGCAGGGGCACCCCCACGCCCTCCCCAGACCCAGATCCTGCCGTGCTCTGCTAAGACCCAGCAAGGCTGACCACCTTCTACCTACGCCACTGACAGTGGGCCCCACCAGGTGACCTGGGCCACACAGACAGGCCCACCCATCGGCCTGCCCAAGCAAATGGGGCCATATGTGGACTGGCTGGGGGGACACTGTGACCCCCTACTGGAGACGGGGAGACAAGGCCAGACCTGGGTGGGGATGCTTCCCAAGGCAGGCTTCCATGAGGCCAACGAGCCCAGCTCTAGCCCGGACCAAGGCTTCTGGGGCAGGGGGAGTCCTGGGACCTCAGCCCCTCCCTTGGGTAGAGGCTAGACCAAGTTTCCCCAATCCCAGTGGGCACCACCCACCTTCCAGGAGGCACCGGCTGCTAAGAAATGAGCTGGGCAGGGGGCTCGGGGTCCCACCTCGGGTCCTCTCCCACTGGAACGGCCAAGCAGCCCAGCCCTGGGGGATGGAGGAGGCTTGGGAAGATGCTGGAACCTCGTTGCTCACAGCCCCTTCCCTGGCCTCCCCAAATCCCCCAGAACAAAGAGCTATAGCAAGGAAGGCCCCGGGCTCCTCAAACCTGCCAGGACCCTGTGTCCCAACCCCTGTTCAAACAGCTGGCTGGAGCCTCTGCGGTGGCTAGGAGGCCCTGAAAGGCGCCCTGCAGCCGCTGGGTCTTTCTTCCCTTTCTGCTCCCGGCTTCCTTCCCCATCTTGGACAGGAGAGAGGGATGCAGGCACCGAGGGGGCCAAGGGGCCCACGACAGCCCAGCACCACCAGGCCTGTTCACCGTTGGAGCACAAAACCACGAGATTGGGGGCTGCGATGTGGGATGGCTGCCTCCAGCCACCACCTGCGGTCCCACCTGAGCTGTGGTCTTCCCCAGCGCCTGCAGCCGTTGGGCTGGAGCTGCTGAAAGCTGCACGGGGGCCCTGCCCTGGCTCCCAGGGCCCCAGGAAGGAGGAAAGGGGCAGTGGGGGCTTCAGGGAGGTGGGGGCCCAGAAAAGGAGCCAGCCCCAAACAGCCGCCGCTCCGGAGACAGCGGGCAGCAGGGGGCGGAGTTGGGTGGGGCGGGGGTCGCGGCCGGCCCGCCACAGCGCAGGGACCCAGCCGGGGTCTGAGCCGGGGCCAGGCTTTCCGGCCCAAACAGCTGTTGCCGGCACCCCCAGCTCTTTTGTCTGCAAATCTTTTCCCCCAGTTGCATCCTCGGATGGTTTAAAATGTGCGAAGGAGGAAGTGCAGGAAGGCCAGGTTTCCTCCTCTGGCTCCGGGGAAACCCTTTGTGTGGGAGGCGGGATGGGGACAGAACCTGTCCTCCCGGGAAGCTACCTTTCCCGCAGCCGGGAAAACAATGCCCTCACCCGACATGGGAACGGCTGTCTGCATCTGACCGACAGAAGGCCCGTGGAGATGGCGGAGCTGGGGTGGCCACTCTGGGGGCATGTGGCCAGCCCCTCCCCAAAATGCCAAGACACAGCCCAGCAGGCTCTGAGACCCCAGGAACTAGGTGTCACCAAAGTGCCCCCGCAGGCTGTTTGGAGTGTGAAAAACGCCTGCTGGAGCCCCACCTGCTGCTCCACTGCGGGAATTTCCCACGCGGATCCCCCAAAAGCAGGCATGTGTCTCCTGCCCTGGGTCACCCCAACGGCCCCTAGGGACCCATGTGGACAAACCTCTTGAGTTGGAGAGGCCAAGATGGTCATGACACGCCGGGGCTCTGCTCCCAAGAAGACCCAGCCCAGCCCTGCACCCCACGATGGCTCAGAGGCAGGGAAGGCAATGGACAGGCCCACAGCAGCGCTGCTGGAGGGCTCAAACCACACTCCATGAATGAAGTCGGGCATCACAGGCTGCGCTCCGGGCCAGCGCCAGACATGCTTCTGGCAACCTCCCACCACTGCTCCTGAACAGATCCTGTCGCTGGGGGTGGCAGGAAGGGGCTCCCCGGAGGGGCTCCTGTTCTCCTCTGGAGTGAGCCCCACAGCCAGCAGGGCAGTCGCCCGGAGGTGCTGACTCCATGTCCAGCGTCCTTGTTAAGAATGCTGCAGGGAGGGAAGGGATCCCGAGACATCTGTCCGGCACACACCAGCCCAGCAGTGAAGAAACTGAGCCCACAACCCTCCTGGCCTGACCTACACTCGGGCTTTCCAAGCTCTGTCTCATGGGACCCCCACAACCGCCCTGGGGGCGTGTAATGGGCCCATTTCACAGGTGAGAAAACGGGGCAGCTATGCCCAGCACACCACCCGGATCTGAAGGCAGCTCAGAACCACACCTGCTGATGGGGACCAGAGCGGGGCAGGGCAAGGCAGCTCCCCAGGGTGGCACAGGAGTGGCAGAAGCTCCCTGGGAAAGAGGAGGAAGGCGCGTGTCCCCCGCACCCCCAGCCCCACCCAGACGGTCTGGATGTTTTGCCTGACCACCTGATCTCCCAGGACCGGGAAGTCTGGAGCAGACAAAGCATTCTTACAGCTCCACCGAAACACAAAACCCTAGGGTGGTGGGGGCAGAGCCCTGGGCGAGAGAGACCCAGCCTCCCGCTCCCCTTCCTTCCTCCCGCCCAGCAGGAGGGCACCGATGCCCCTTCACCCACAGCACCCGCGGGGCGTCGGCACTGGTGAAAGAGGGACGAAGCCGAAGCCCACGCTGCCGGAGGAGCACTCCTGGCATCCCGGGGGCAGACGCCGCCCTCCTGCGCCTCCTCCCGCCTGTCCCGGGAAACCACCAGGACACCTCTGTGTGCCTCCCGATTCGGCCGCAGATGGACGGCGGCTTCAGTGGTGGCCCCAGAGGTCACCTCATCCCCATCACACCCGCCGGCTCCCTGCTCTCTGACCACACGAGGCACAGAGGGGCCTCCGAGCCCAGGAATCCTCCTCTCGGAACACCGCTCGCCTGCCGGCCCAGTCCCAGCGCCCAGCCCGGCTCACATACTGGCCCACTGTGCCCCTGGCACCCCCTCAGAGCCTCACTCTGCCCGGGCCCAGCGTGATCACCGGGCGCCTGGGATTACCCCACACTTGGGAAGTGGGATCCAGGCAGGTGCCTGCAGCCCTGGGAGGGGCCCATAAGGAGGGGCACCTGGGGGAGGGGCCTGCAGTGCCACAACCTGGGGGACACCAGGGTGTCCCAAGACAGCTGGCACAGGCTGGGGACTGTCTGGGGTACCTTTCCCTGTGGGGAAAGTTGGGGATTCTTGGGCTGGACTTGGCAGGTCCTAAAACTTCTGCCCCTCCAAGGCACTGAATAATGCCCAGCCTCGCCCAGTGCCTCGCGGCCTCGCCCAAAGATCTCGCACTACCTCACCCAATCCCGCAGGACCTCGCCCAAATCCCACACATGACCTCGATCAAATAGCACACAACTGCATGCAAATCCCACACAGTCTCCCCAGAGCCTGTGGCTGGCCTCTGGGAGAGACCTTCCTGGAGGGGCCCCCACAGCACCAGGAAGGGGCTCCAGGGTGGATGACACAGATGACACATCCCCGGGGGAGCCGGGCGTGCCGCCCGAGACCCAGCTACACCTCCCACAGCCGCCATGACTCCGTAGCCAACTCAAAAGAAGGCGCAACAATTCGCGGCAGTCGCCCAGCCACGAGGACGGCAGCTGGGGCTGTCAGGAGCCCTGGGGGACACTTCATGGCCCCAGCCGCTTCCCATCTCCTAAGGAGGAGGGGAGCTCAGAGAGGTGGTGGCGGCCCGGGGTCGCACGGCCCACGTGGGGGAAAGAAGTCCGTGGCCTGTGTTGTTGACCCAGTGCCACCCCACACCTGGAAGGGGGAAGGTCTCGTGGGGGTGGCCGGCCTGGACTGCAGCCCCTGCAGGCTGGAGCCAAGCCTTCCAGTCACCTGCAGCCACCCACCTGCCTCCACCTCCATTCCCACTGCCCACCTGGCCCCAGGGCTGCCGACAGCCCAGCCAGGCCCGTCCACCAGAGAGCTGCAGAGCTCTGTGCTGGGCCAGACCCTGGAGGCCCAGGACAGGACCTCGCCACGGCCTGAGCCCCGCCACCATGTGGACCCTGGACACTCAGCCCCGCCCGGCCTCCCCACCTGGCTCTCCGTCAGACAGGAATGAGGCCAGCCTCCTTCTGACCACTGAAGGGGAAGTAGGAGGGGCCACCCAGGGGCTGCACCCCGGGAGCTGGGACCAACCCAGGTCCCTCTATAAGGATGGAGAGTGGAGGCCCAAGGGGGGGACTCTGGCCCAGCCCCCTCCGCGCACCAGCCAGTGCCCAGCCTGAGCTCAAGCATCTCTTACTGAAAAGCCGTCAGGGAAACCACACATGTTCAACCCCTGGCGGCTCCCCCAAACCTCTCATTTCCAGTAACTGTGTGTTTCCGCTCGTCAACAGCTGAAACCGAGCGGAACTTGGGGGGCCCCACCACGCGGCCCTGCTGTGCGGCACGGGGCTCATCTGTCCCCCGGCTGCGGGGAGTCAGCTCTCACCGCCCACCTCCTTCCCAGATAGTCTCTGTGCCCACTCGACGGCCCGGCAAGCCCAGCCCCTGCCTGCCACGGCCACAGCAGCCTCAGAGAGCTGCCCTCTCTGGCCAGGGTCAGGGCCTGAGCTGCTGCCTCCCGCAGGGTCGAGGGCAGGACACTTGTCTGAGGCTTGGGTGGGGCAATGGCACCTCCTCAGGGCCTCAGCCCCCGGGCAGGCTCGGTGACCATGGGCCTACAGCAGGGAAAATTCTGGGCCAAAAGCTCCAGCCTCCTACTAGGGCATCTGTCTGCAAATGCACCTTAACCTGACCGCTTGGGCTGTGGGGGAGCCTGTTTCAGGGAAAGTGAGGGACGCGCCAGTTTCCTCCTTTGGACTTGATGAGGCACGAACGCATCTCTAATAAAGCCAGGTCTCCCCGCCGTGGCTCCCTGGGCGGGTGCCTGTGGCTCGGGCCATGAGTCACGCTGGGTAACCCCACTACGGGGAAGAGGGCAGGAAGCTGGGAGCCACCGCCTCTGTGCCCGGTTGTCATCTCGGCACGAGGGCGACCGTCGGCTTCGTCCTGCCCTCATGGCTGAGGGCTTTTGGGATGTGGCGGGAGACGGGGGAGTCCACTTCTCAAACCCGGTGCATCCTGCAGGGCCGCTGCACTCACAAAAAGGCTGACTCCACACAGGACCTGCCTCCCTGGGCCTTGGCTCAGGCTGGGGCGAGACTGGCCTCCTGTGCTACCTGTGGAAGAGTTTGTTCAGCAAATTGACAGTGTCAACAGAATGTCAAGGGGGCATTTACCCAGCTTTAAACAACCAATTCAAGCCCTTCAGAGATGCACAATGGACTCCGAGGCCAGGGGACTGCGTAGACAGGGTCGACATCTGATGACAAATTCTCATCTGCCAATTAGAGCAAGGTCGGGGCGTGTCACCAACCTCAGTGCCAGGCGGAGCAGAAGGAACAACACGACTATTTCTTGGGGAAAAATCTCAACTAGCAACCAAGGAGCTGGCAGGCCTCCCACTGGGCGAGAACAGCGCCCACCTGGTGCCCACCAGACTGAACAGCCCCGTGCAAGTGAGGCCGGGTGAGTGTTCTGTGGCCATTGGTCCCTACTGTGGCGGCAGGCGCTGTGGGGGTTGGGTCCGGGCAGCATCTGGGCCTGGCCTGATCCGGAGACGCCCTTGGTAGTGGCCACTCACAGACTGTGATTGCGAGGACCCCGATGGGGCCGCTGTGTGTGCCTGGGAACTGCAGGTGTGGATGTCAGAGGCAAAGCCTCCCCTGTGCACGCCCAGCACATCAGAGCCCCCCAGTTCCCTCTCACAGAGCCCCCAGTCCCTCCCCACAGAGCCCCCAGTCCCTCCCCACAGAGCCCCCCAGTCCCTCCTCACAGAGCCCCCGAGTCCCTCCCCACAGAGCCCCCAGTCCCTCCCCACAGAGCCCCCCAGTCCCTCCCCACAGAGCCCCCAAGTCCGTCCCCACAGAGCCCCCAGTCCCTCCCCACAGAGCCCCCGAGTCCGTCCCCACAGGCCCCACTGGACACCAGGCCCCAGACCTCCTTCCAGGAAATTGCAGGAACCACAGCAGGGCAGCCCCACAGACCTGAGGGAACCGCTGCCCCACCCCCGCCCCACAGAGCCCTGGTGTCTGGGCTGCAGCTGAGGCTGAGGGGCTGAGGACTCGGAGGATGGGATCTCCCGCCCAGCGGGTGCAGCCAGGTGGGAGGGGCCAGGCCCCCAGGGTTCACAAGGCCCCTTGGGGACCCACCCGAAGCCACCGCTTTGCATTAGGCAGGGCGTGCGGAGAGGGCCCTGTTTAACCGTGCGGGCTCAATCTGGAGTGTAGACGGCAGGACGCCCCCAGCCCTGGGCCCCTGAGCCTGTGAGTGGGGGGTTCAGAGGTGAGGCCTCTACAGAAGTCTCCCTCCCAGGGGCAATGGGTGCAGGGTAGGCGGGGAGCACTCAGGATCCCTCCCAGGGGCAATGGGTGCAGGGTGGGAGTGGGTGGAGGGGGGAGCACTCAGGATCCCTCCCGGGGCAATGGGTGCATGGTGGGTGGAGGGGGGAGCACTCAGGATCCCTCCCAGGGGCAATGGGTGCAGGGTGGGTGGAGAGGGGAGCACTCAGGATCCCTCCTGGGGCAATGGGTGCAGGGTGGGTCGGGGGGAGCACTCAGGATCCCTCCCAGGGGCAATGGGTGCAGGGTGGGAGTGGGTGGAGGGGGGAGCACTCAGGATCCCTCCCGGGGCAATGAGTGCAGGGTGGGTGGAGAGGGGAGCACTCAGGATCCCTCCCAGGGGCAATGGGTGCAGGGTGGGTGGAGGGGGGATCACTCAGGATCCCTCCCAGGGGCAATGGGTGCAGGGTGGGAGTGGGTGGAGGGGGGAGCACTCAGGATCCCTCCCGGGGCAATGAGTGCAGGGTGGGTGGAGAGGGGAGCACTCAGGATCCCTCCTGGGGCAATGGGTGCATGGTGGGTGGGGGGGAGCACTCAGGATCCCTCCCAGGAGCAACGGGTACAGGGTAGGGGGGCGCACTGAGGACACTGCTGGGGAGTTTCTCCTCCCAGAATTCCACAGGTCTCGGAGATACACTGAAAGCAACCCCAAAATGCTAGGACCGCCTATAACCGCCCTGCACCACCCCTGGGGCAACCAGGCACCCCGATGCTAACACGCACGCATCCTCCCGACAGGGAGAAGTCCCCCAGCTGCCTGCAGACAGGGCCTCGCTGTCAAGGGCCACTGGCTGGCCTGGTGCCCTGCAGGGGACATGGCGCTTCCCCGTCCCAAGGGCAACTTGGAGAGGACACCATCTGTGTCTCAGAGTGAGGGGCCAGGTTCCTAGCTCTCTCCTGTCACACGGGCCTGGATCTAGGCCAGGGCATAGCCAGTCACTCTAAGCTGACCCTGAGGGTCCAGGGGGAGAAGCAGCCTGGAGCCAATCACACAGAGCTCTGTCCAGGGAAGGGAAGGCCCCGGAGCAGGCAGACTGGGCGGGTGGGGGCTGAGATGCCTGCCCGCCCCATGGATGTGTCCAAAGCCTCACTGCCCCCCGCTGCCCCAGCCACCGCCGCTCCTTTGGTCTGGAGCTCCCTGCCGCTGACCCTGTCCCAGCCAGCGTGGAAGCTGCTCCGTGGTGGGCCTCACTTGAAAGCCACAGCAGGTGCACCCAGATGGGGTCCCACAGCACTGACTTTGCACACAGGAGGCCATGAAGGCTGCAGTGACTACCCCTAGCTTGTGGCCAAGCCCGTCCATCCTGTGGCCTGGTTCTTAAGGGGCATGCTCCTCCCCTGCCCAGGGGGGCCTGCATCTGCCGTGCCCACCCATACCCCAGGGTTCAGCATGTAGTAGATGCTCAATAAAGACCCTCTACTTTGCATTCTTACAGCACCAGGCGTGTGGACGCTCAGTGACCGCGGCCCCACTGTGTGCCTCCTGGGGGCTAAGGGATGCTGAACAGCTTGGCGGCTGGCATGAGTGAGGCCCAGGGACAGGTTGTGAGCCTGTCTCGGAGTCCTGAGCAGGACAGGGGCCGCGGGCACGCCAGTCCATCCTACAGGTTCACCTGGGAATATGCCAGGACTCCCTCTAGGGGGCTCTGTGGCTGTCGGGTGGCTGCACCGGCCCAGAGTGAGCGCCATCTCTTCCAGGAAGCCACCCCGGACGCCCTCCCAACACCTGCCTCCTCTGGACTGTCTGGGAGCTGGGATGCTGGGGTCCACCTCTGGCCAGTCCCTGATGCTTCTGGAGGCTAAAATGTAGTCCTCAGAAGAATGCAGTTCTAGTCCACGCGTGACATGGATGAACCTTAAACACATCACGCTCAGTGAAAGAAGCCAGGGGCAAAAGACCACCTATGGCACAATTCCATTCATAGGCAACGTCCAGAAGAGGCGAATTCAGAGGCAGAAAGCGGGTTAGTGGTTGCCAGGGGCTGGGGCAGTCAGGGCAGAGTGACAGTATTTGGGTACAGTTTCTGTTTTGTGCAGTGAGAAAGTCCCGGAACTAGATAGTGGTTGAATGAACTTGTGAATGGACTAGATGTCAAGCAACAGCATGCTTTAGTTCAAAAGTCACATTTTCAGCCTGGACAACATAGCAAGACCCCGCTTCTGCAAAAAAATTTAAAATTAGCTAGGCATGGTGGTGCACACCTGTGGTCCCAGCTACTCTGGAGGCGGAGGCAGGAGGATCGCTTGAGCCCAGGAGTTTGAGGCTGCAGTCAGCCGTGATCCCACCACTTCACTCCAGCCTGTGTGACAGGGTGAGACCCCATCTCAAAAAACAAAAAAGTGGCCATGCACAGTGGCTCACGCCTGTAATCCCAGCACTTTGAGAGGCCAAGGCAGGTGGATCACCTGAGGTTAGGAGTTTGAGACCAGCCTGACCAATATGGTGAAACCCTGCCCCTACTAAGAATACAAAAATTAGCTGGGAGTGGTGGTATGTGCCTGTAGTCCCAGCTACTCAGGAGCATCGCGTGAATCTGGGAGGCAGAGGTTACAGTGAGCCAAGACTGCGTCACTCTAATCCAGTCTGGGTGACAAAGCAAGACTCCATCTCAAAAAACAAACAAAAAAAGGCAAATTTTGTAATATGAATAAGTCATCACCCAGAATCCCTCCATATACATATCCATCCCCAAACCAGTCCTTAGCTCCCTTTGCTCCCAGGGAGCAGGGTGGGGTGGGGCAGGGCCACAAGGAGAACCCAACCAGGCAACTTTGGAAAAGGGCTTCCCTCCACCCTCCCACCCCTGCAGCCACTGCCCCTTCCCCAGCTGGGGCGACCACCGAGCCCAGCGCAGGCCTCGCCGCAGGGCCCACAGCCACCACCACGCCTTCAGCCCGCCCCAGGGTCCCGCTGGCTGTAGTTGGAAGGGGAATCACATACAGATGGGGAAACTGAGGCCCAGGGAGGGGACAGTGTGGGGAGCACAGCAAATCAGAGCCAGCCCTGCTTCACAGCCCCTCGGAGCTCCGGGCCCCACAGGAGAAAGCGCCAGCGCTGCCTGGGAAACTCGAGGCCGTCAAACGCAGCCCGGCCCACAGGTGTGATGCCCCAAAGCCAGCCGCTCGTTAAAGCTGCTGGTATTTCCTCCTCAGCCCGGGGAAAGATCCGGAAAGTTCTGGATATGCCTGCACATGAAGGTGAAAGCTGACGCCAGCCTGCCTCAGATCCCCACGCCCTCGCAGCCACAGCTTTCCCACCTGTGCGCTGGGGATGAAAACTGCACTGGCACACCTGGAGGGTGGGCGGCCGTCTGCCAGGGCTTTTACGAGGCTGGGTAACAGCGGCGTCCTGAGTGTGGAGCTGTCATCGCTGCATTATTGAGGAAGGCAAGCTAGACGCCCAATCGATTCTGCAAAGCCACATCCTTTCACTATTTATAGACGAGACATGAAACAGGAAAGGTCCCCTCCCCACAGCAAAAGGGTGCAGTCCCTCGGCCCGGCCTGGAACTGCCCAGTGGGCACCGGTGGCCGCTGCTGCCCATCACAGGTGCAGGGAATGAGGAATGAAGCCAGTCCCGGCTCCTGTGGGGTCTCCAGTTTGCCGCCCGCATCTGGGGGTCCCCGCACCCAGCTCTGCCCTGTGGAAGCACTTCCCCTGGTGCACTGTCTGCCCTGCCCTACCCTCTTCCTGCCAGGGTTGCTGTTTTCTTTCTCCCTCTCTCTTTTTCTATTATTATTCTTTTCAATGGAAAACATGTTGGCTGCTGTTCAGAGGCAGGGCCTGCCCCAAGGAGCCAGCTTCCTTCAGAGCACTCCAGGCTCCCACCCCAGTCTCCGCCCCAGGCCTTCCTGTTCCTGATGTCTCCCCAGTCTGAGTAGGTGAGACTTTCTATTTGACACTGTGTGGGGTTTTTTTTGTTGTTTTTTGTTTTTTTGAGACAGAGTCTCACTTTGTCACCCAGGCTGGAGTGCAGTGGCACGATCTCAGCTCACTGCAGCCTCCGTCTCCTGGGTTCAAAGGATCCTCCTGCCTCAGCTTCCCAAGTAGCTGGGATTACAGGCACACGCCACTGCGCCTGGGTAATTTTTGTATTTTTAGTAGAGACGGGGGTTTCGCCATGTTGGCCAGGCTGGTCTTGAACTCCTGACCTCAGGTGATCTGCCCACCTCGGATGCTGCATGTTTTTAAACATGTTTTTCTAACCCTGGCGCCCTTGAAGACCAGGTTCTGCATAAACAGGAGGTCCTGTCACAGGCCTTTCCGCTCAGCTCAGCATGAGGAGGAGAATCAACCTGTTCCTCCCCTGGCCACGCCCAAGACGAGGCAGGTGACTCAATGGAAAGAGCCAGACCGGGTGACAGGAGCTACCCCGTCCCTCCCCAGCCTCCCAGGCCGGCTGCAGGGCCAAGTCACTTCCCGCCTGAGCCTCCTTCCTCTTCTTTTAAGGGGAAGCCACGCCCCCAGTCCGCTTGTAGTCGGGAAATGACGGGGCAGCTCAGGCTGGCTGGGGCTGTGTTTAGGGACATTCGCTTGGGAGAAGGAGAGGGGCAGGGCTAGTAGGAATTCTGCCACTGCTGTGTGACCCTGGGGCTGATGGCGACTTCTCTGGGTCTCTTCTTCTCACTTATCGGTGCCTGATCCAGACAGCTTTACGGGGCTGCCGGGAGCTATGCCAGGCCACCACCGGGCCGGCACACCCCCAACATGTCCCACATGTGAGCTAGGTGCCTCTCTCACGCCTTGCTGGGAAGTGAACTCCACAGGAGCAGGGGCCATGTCTGCCCTGTCCCCACCGGGGGCCTGGCCTGGAGCAGAACGCAGCACACAGCAGGCGCTCAAACGTGTCTGTGAACTGGAGCCACCCTGGGAGATGGACTTCCCCGGAGCTGGAGCCATCCTGGGAGATGGACTTCCCCAGAGCCGGCAAGTCCCTCCCCAGGCAGTGCCAGGCCCAGCCCACCAGGCAGCACCTTTAGGATTCTCTGAATTCACTCGTCAATCAATTAAACATTCAGGAAGGAGGCTCTGGAAACCAGCACTGTCAGCCAACGGGGAGAAGGCGGGGAAGAAAGGAGCGCTGACCAGGTGCCCTCTCCACACGGTTCTCATGCAATCCTCACACACCACCAAGAGATCCAGCGTGTATCAGCCCGGCTGACATGCTGGGGAAACTGAGGCTTGCATGACCTGATGACCCAAGGTCACAGAGCTAGTGGCCAGGCCAGGCCTCAGACACGAGGTTGTCCAAAGCTAAAGCGCACCACCCAGCAGGCAGCTGGACATCCTCCTGGAGGTGCTGGGTGTGACAGCCTACCCCCATTTCTCCCAGCTCCTGGAAGACGCCCCGTGCCATTCTGACTCTGCCGTCAGCAGCCAACATCTTAGCTGCCCCCTGCCTCAACGCCCAGCCCAGACGCAGGCAGCCCTGGGAGAGCGTTTCAGACCAAGGACGTAGTCTCACCCAGACAGATAGGGTCCCTGCAGCTCTTCCCAGCTCTCCTCAAAACAAAGAGAAAAAAGGTGGAGCCCTCTTCAGTACCCCTTGCTCACACTGACGGAGCTGATGAGGGGGCTAGAGAAGAGCCAAGGGCCACAGTGACCCCCTGGGCCTGCTCAGAAGGCCACCATCTCCGACCACAGCCACCACGGCCACACCTCGCACAGCAGCTGCCCAGAGACCAACCATCCTCCGCCCACCAGCATGTGCTGCCAGGTGCTTTCTACCTGGCCACTGGCTGACCAGGCCACGGCGACACTCTGACCTCCTGGGAAGGCATTTTGCACCAACAAAACCACTTTTTCCAATCCCGGGCCCTGCAACCACCTGATTGGCAGCTTCCGGTGAAGGTTCCTTCTCTTTGGGATGGAAAGAAATGATTCACCCAGTACTAGTGAGCCAGGCACTGTGACGCCCATCATGACCATGCCCCTTCTACAGCGGAGGCAGCAAATGGCACCAAAAGCCAAAGCTCTTTCCGGGGTCACAGCTGGATACCACGGGGCCAGGATTCCCACTCAGGCTGGCAGGGCTCCAAGAGCCTGCACCCCAGACTCTTTCGAGAAACAGTGTGGGTTTCTCCCCTTGCTGGGGGAGCCAGGCCTCCTGCAGGTGCCCTGGCTAACTCCTGGACAGACCTCCTGGGCCTTCTGAGAAGGATGGGCAGGAACGGGAAGGCAGAGGCACCTGAGGGGTGTATGTTGGGTGGGGCTCAAGCCCAGGGAGGGAGCCCGGGGCCTTCTCCGAAGCGGCTGCAATGTCCCCCAGACTGCTGTGTGAGCCCTGACCTGTGCCTCCACAAGCCGGGCTCGGCTGTGGCCCTGGCCTCCAACTCTGCGGCCCAGAAGCAGGAGCCTGAGGACGCGCTTCCGTCCCATCTTCTCGTTGGACTTGTGGGGTGTGCACAATGGGGTCTCTGTGGGCTGAGCTCGGCTGCCTGTCAGGCCAAACTGAAGCAGGCTTCCCGCCAAGAAGGAGGGGGCGCCAGGCCCCAGCAAAGGGGACAAGGCCAGGCACCAAAGCCATGGTCGGCGGCCTGCCTTGGGCTGGAAACAGCTCACCGGGATCCCAGGTTTGGGGAATGGGAAAGTGGGCCCATGACACCAGTGTTTTGCGGCCCTGTGGCAGGGTTTTAACCCAGACACCAGGGAGCTGCAGCAATCTGTACCCCAAAGCACAGCGCTCTGGCCCAGGGAGACCTCAGTCCCAGACCCCTGTGGGCCAGGCTGTGCCTACTCCCTGGTGCCACTGAGAAGAAGCAACAGGCCCCCAATTTTCCCAGCACGGTGTTCCTCCCACCCTCCCAAAGTCCTCTGCAGGAGCAAGAAGCTTCTCCCAGAGCCCCGAATGGGTGAGAGGCAAAGTCCGAGCCGGGAGCGCAGTGGCGGGGAAGGGGGTTATACATTCTGGGAAGCCACGCATAATTAATCACACGGCATTAATCCGCCTCCCCCAACAATAGCTGCTGCACTTCCCCTGGATCCCAGCTGTCGGTCTCTGAATGAAAGGAAACAAGATTTAGGGCATCAAGCGTCCGTGCGGCTTCTGCAGAGGGAGAAGGGGGCCCCAAAAAGCAAAAAAAAAAAAAAAAAAAAAAGTAGTGCGCATTCATTAGTGTCTGACAAAGACACAATCGGCTTTGTCCATTAAACTGCTCACAGACCTGCTTAATTGGCTTCAGTTTGGGGAGGGTGGGGGCCGGGGAGGGAGGGGGCCTGCTGCCCACAGGCTGGGCAGTCGGCACAGGCAGGAGCCGGGCTGGGGTTGTCAAGGGAATGGGACCTTCTGCAGTTGGAATGAGGGCGCGCAGACTGGCTGGGGAGCCATTTCTTCATCTGTAGCTCCTGGGGGGCGGAGGGAACTCTTTTTCCAGACACCAAACACCTCCTCATTATTCTCATCAGGGATGGACTCAAGTTGAAGGGCATCGGCCACAGCAGAACAGTTCCCCACGGCTGATGGGCACTCACAGGCAGGCAGGAGGGAGCGGTTCCGCACGACTTCCCGGCCCCCTCAGTGCCCATTTTACATCTGAGGCTGGCAGACCAGAAGGGCCACGGGATTTTGAGGTCAGAGTTTGCAGATGCCAGGACAGAAACCAGACTCAATAATTACCCCACACCCCACGCCAAAACATGAGTTCCACCTTCTCTTCCCCAGCCCCAGCCTGAGGCCGGGAAGAGGGAGCTGGGGCAAACAGAGAGCCCAAAGGCGGGTCCGATTTTGAAGAGTCAATTTCCTTTGAAGAGGCATCACCCACCCGGAGGTGGCATCACCTGCCCAGGAAGTATCACCTGTGCCTAGAGGAGGCATCACCCGCCTAGAGGAGGTATCACCACCCAGAGGAGGCATCACCCACCTAGAGGAGGTATCACCACCCAGAGGAGGCATCACCCACCCAGGAGGTGGCATCACCCGTGCCCAGAGGAGGCATCACGCACCCAGAGGAGGCATCACCCGCCCAGGAGGTGGCATCACCTGTGCCCAGAGGAGGCATTGCCGCCAGCCCAGGAGGCATCACGCACCCAGAGGAGGCATCACCCGCCCAGGAGGTGGCATCACCTGTGCCAGAGGAGGCATCACTACCAGCCCAAGAGGCATCACCACCCACCTAGGAGGCATCACCCCCGAGAGGAGGCATCACCTGTGCCCAGGAGGCATCACCCGCCCAGAGGAGGCGCCCCAAGTTGGCAGGGTGGTGGGGGCTGGGCCTCTCAGTAAATGGTCCAGAGCTTCCCCTGGCAGATCAACTGTTTCTTGGGGACTTAAAGAAGAATTGGGGTACTGGGACTCCCACTTAGTGACCCCGGAGCCTGAGGTGGCCCACGGAGGAGTGCCCAAGCCCTCAGCAGCCAGACCAGCTCCACACGCAGCATAATTGCTGGTGATTAAGTAATTGCCAGACTTTGTCCAATAAAAGTCAGCACGTGACCGTGCCCAGACTCTGGGCCATCTCCAGAAGACAATGGCCTAGTGTTCTGTCCCCTGCGCGGCTGCAGAAGGCAGGGGCTCTGCCCTCGACAAAGCAACAGGTCCCGCAGGGGTGGTACTCACACGCAGGCCTCCGTGCCATTGGCCGCTTCACACTTCCCGCCATTCAGGCAGGTCTCACCGGGCTGGGAGCATCGCGGGCCTAGGCAGGGGCAGGAGAAGAGAGGTCAGTCTCACCCGCACCACCACCACCGAAGGCCCTGGTTACCCTGGGGGCGGGGACCTGCACCCAGCCAAGGGGCATCGTCCGCCCCCTACCCCGGACGCACTCTGCTCAGTATCATGGGTTGCTGGGGCACGGGTCCGCAGGAAGCCCCTCCATGAAACCAAAGGGGCGTCAACATTCTGCCCAGAGTTCTGTAGTCAGAAATGGGGGGAAGGGGAGCAGCAGGGAACACGTCCTGCTTGAAGCAGGGTGGGGTGGCCTGATGTGCCGCCTGGACGCAGTGGGGGAAAAGCAGAGACAAAGTGGGCTACTCTCCAAAGCGTTGCCCCCCACCCTGGAGGCTCACTGAGGAGTCTGGCAGGGCAGGGCCCCCCATCCAGCCGCCGAGATTGCCTCTGTTCAAACCCGTTCTGCAAGGGGGCAGAGCTGGACGGGGGGAGGGGGGGTGGCCACACTCAGCTCCCGCCCGTGGGAAAATGCGACAGCTGCTCGCCCGCTACCCCGCCCGCCAACAAAGCGCCGGCCTCCGCCTCAGAATCAGAGCGGCCCATTGTGGAGTCGGGGCCGCCTCCAGGGGCACCGGGACAGCACCCTGGGGACGCGGCCCCGCCTCCGCCGACACCCAATACCTGCCTCCGCGGGCGCGCATCTCCAGGGCAGCCCCCATACACCCACAGGAGGGGGATGAAGGTCCCCCATTCGGAAGGAATTCGACCCCATCTCGAGAAGGGATCAATTACTCAAGCCCCTCCCTCCCCATCTTACCGGGGCTGAGAAACGGGGGAGGGGGGTGTGACACAGAGCCGCACTTTCTGGAAGAGGACAGATAATTCTCGCCTCCAACTCTCGGAGAAAGAGTGGATTAATCACTCGATTCCCCAGAGACCCCGCTCGCTGTGCGGCGGGGAGAAATGTAAGAGCCCCCCACCCGCGTCCCGCTCTCCGCCCCCAAGCTTTCCAAACTTCAACTCCGCAAAGCAAAAGGAAAGTTCAGTCCCCCCGGGCGCGGCGGCTTCTTACGCAACCCCTCCCCCAAACTGAGAGCCGGGCTGGGGGGCACCGGCGGGCGGGGCGACCGGGAGCCCGGGGACCCAGCCCGGCCGCGCGGGTCAGTGAAGGCGAACGCGGCGCCGCAGAGCCCACACTCCGCGCCCCAACATCCGCCCCGGCGTGGGCCAGAGGCGAAGAAGAAAGAAGATAAATGGCCCGGAGAAGCAACAGGAAACCAAAACCGACTCTATTCAAATCGAAAAATAGTAGGCAGCCCGCCCGCCCGGCCGACCGGCGGCAAGCCCCACGCGCGGCGGGTGAAGGGCGGGCCCGGAGTAGGGCCTCCGGGGCCCCAGCACCCCACACCGGCCTCCTAACTCGGCTCCAGGCACGGGCGGCGCGAGTCCGCCTCCACGGGGGGATCGAGGGGGAAGGTCGGTCCTCCCTGATCCCGGGACTCCAGAACCCCACGCCCCGGGCCGCCCGCTTTTCCCTCTCCATGCTGGCCTCCCCGCCGCCCGCTCCCAGCCGTGGGGCGCGCGCGCCGGGCGCCGCCAAAGTTTCCAAAGGGCGCGGAAAGTGGGGGCTCGCGGGTGGGTGGGCGCCTACCTCGTGCGGCGAGCGCGGGCAGCAGCGCCAGGCAGAGCAGGGGCGCCAGGAGCGGCGGCATGCCTCCCCACCGGCTGCCCTCTGCGCCCGGGCGGCGGCCTCCTGCGCTGGCCGGCGGGGCTGGGACGCACACGCGCGGCGTACGGTCCCGGGGCGGCGGCGGACGGTCCCGCCCTCTCTTCCCCGGCTGGCTGGCGGCGCTGTGCTCTCGCAGGCCCCCGGGCCCGGCTCCGCGCCCGGCTCGTTCCTTCGCTGCGCTCGCGCCCGCGCCCGCGCCCCGCGCCCCGCGCCCTTGCGCTCCCTCCCGCGGCCGAGGCACTAGTGAGGCTCAGAGTCGAGGTGCGCTCCGCCCCCGCCGGCCCCGCCCCGCCCGGCCCCACCCCCGCCGGTCCCCCCGCCCCCTCCGCGGCCACCTCCTCCCGCACGCCCCGTCCGCCTTTGCGCCTCCCCGAGCTGAGCCGCGCGTCCCGAGCCCAGCCTCTCCGGGGAGGAGGGACCCGGCGGCGCGGCGTGGGTCGGGAGCGGGCGCCTGGGACTACTTCTCGTTTGAAAGTTTTCAGAGGCCAAAAGTTTGAGCCGGGGCTGCGGAAGGATCCGGCTCTGGCGGTTGCCGCGCTCGGCGACAACTGGCGACTGAAATTTGCATGTGAATAAGCGGAGGAGCCCGGGGCGGAATGGGGAGGGCGAGGCCGCGGACAGCCGTGTGCACCGTGCGCTGGGCCGGGCGGGGAGCAGCTGAGGCCACGTTGGGGGACCCCGGGCCCGGGGCAGGGCTCTGGGAGAGTGGCCTAGCCGTGTGTGCGCCCCTAGCCCAGCGGCTTCACTCCCTCCCGAGGGCCCCGTGGCCGCGGCTTTAGGCGTCCAGAGGATCGATCGCCGCCAGACATCCCTGGCCGTGATTGCCCGAGCACTTGACCGCGAGGGATGGGGGCGCCGCGGCCTCTGGGCAGGGGACTCCGGGCGCCCCGAGGGAGCAGCCGGGACCAGTGCCTCGCGGACGGATTGTGCCCCGCTCCCCCAAGGGGGACCCGCGTCGACACGCTCCTCGGTCACCGTCCTCCTCCTGCCCGGGCGCCGCCTGCCTAAGGTGGCCCCAGAAAGCACAAACGGGTCGGGCGGATCTGCCGCTGGCGCCGGCGCAGCCCTTCCCACGTGCTCCTTCCGGCTGATTTATTTCTCCACCACGATGCCAGGCACGGGCACCCTGTGCCAAGCCTGGTTAAGCGCCAGGAGTCCAAAATGCCTGCCATAGTCCCTGCGCAAAGTTCACGGCCTCGTGCCAGGGACAGACAGCGCCCCCTCCCCACCCCAACACAGGGTGGTGAGTGCGATGGCAGAAGGCGCGTGTCCCGGCGCCCCTCCTGGAGTAGGAGGGCTAAGCCTGCCCTGCGGGGAGACCGAAAGGCTGGGAGGGACCTAGGACTGTGGGGGCCTGGGGGGAGGGCTGCAGAAACCCCAGAGCATGGTGGCAGAGGCAGGCACAGAAAGCAGGACAAATCTCACACCTGACCCCAGCAAGCCTTTCCTGGCACACCTCTTGCCAAATGCTGAGCACTCTGGAAACAGCCAGTGCAGGCGGCCTGTCCCGCCCCTGTAGCTGCTGCTGGGAGCCTCCCTCGCCTGCGTCCTCCCAGAATCTGGCCTCACTTCTGCAGGCCTGGGGTAACATCTTGGGGTCAGCGCCCCAGGAGAGGAGGCGCCTGGAGGCAGCAGAGATGTTTATGTAACAGCAGCCAGGCAGCCTGGAGGAGCAGATTTTCCATAGAAGGAAGCGCGGGGCTGTGCAGCTCCCAGGCTGAGGACTCTGCCCACCACGACGTCCTCTGCTCCTGGTGGGTGGGGGTGGGGTGGGGCATAGGGAGGCCCGAAGGCCTCAGGCCTGGTGCTGATCGGGTGCGGGTGCGACTGCCTGTGTGCCTCCATTGGCATCTCTGCCTGTGGGCCCCAGGCCAGAAGTAATGGCCCATGTAGCCCAGGCCCGGGGGCCAGTCCTCAGCATTTTGCGGAGGGGCGGCCTGGGAGGGGAGGAGGGGATCCCTGGATAGGGGGTCTCCCCTGGTCTGCCCCAGCTGTGCCGACAGCACCTCCACCTTGGGCCTCCATCCTCTACCAGCAGAGAAGAGAGTGGCCCATTCGGTGTCCACCCGTCAGGCCACCCAGCAGCCAGGCACGCTCATAAGCCCGCGTTACGGATGGTGCGGCCGGGTGCACAGGCCCGAGGGAAGCACAGGCCTCGGCCTCCCAGCTCCCAACCCCTGCACCACCCACAGCCGGGAGTACCCCATGGACAGCTGTGGCCGAGGAGAAGCCAGGGATGAGGGGGATGGGCCTCACCTCCCCACCAGCCTGGGAAGGGGGTAGGCCCCTGGCAAGTAGGTGAGAAGCTTTTTCATTCACAAGTTGTCCGGGCTCCCCATTCCTCTTTGTCAGGCCAGCGGGTGTGGGCAGTCGGGGGAGGCTGGGGTCCTGACACAACAGGAGTACATCTGCTGGCCTAGGGCCTGGAGACCTTCTCCTACAGGTCGGGAGGCAGCCCTGGGCAGCGGGCATTGCGGGGACTAAAGAGAAACAAGAGCAGGTTGTGTGCAGGGCACCCCAGCCACTCCAGAAACCCAATGGGAGGGTGGGGGCTAGGACCCCAAGAAGCTGAATTGGGGTGCAGTGCCGCCAGGCCTCCCCTGTAGGAGTCACTTTGGGCTTCCTGTCCCAACTTGTGGTGGGAGCTGGGGCAAGGTTCCAGGGGTACCCCGAATGAATGGGGCTGTTCCCAAGCTGGCCAGGGAGCCTGGAAGCAGATGAGATGGGGCCGCAGAGCCTGGTTTGCGGAGGGGAGAGGCAGACGTGTCCTGCAGCCCTCTCTTCTTCAGAGGCCCCCTGCGGGTGCTGAGGGGAGAGTGGCTTAGGCGTTGCACCCCAGGAGACTGAACTGGGTCAGTTCCCCCTTGTTTGCTGCCAGAGAAATGGGGGTACCATTGTCAGGGTGAGCTAAGGAGGCCCTGCTGACATTGGCCCAACCAGGCCCCTCCTTTGCGGCTGCTGTGGGGACTTTCGAGAGCAGAGCACACCCCTAAGTGCGTGGAGAGGTAAGCACAGCTGGTGAGCACACGGGGACAGCGACGGAGCTCATGGAGACCCAGGTGACCTTAAAACACCCCAGGGCCGGCTCCGGCCCCAGAGAGATGTGGTCCGAGTAGAGGGGGGTCAGCAGTGACCTGGTGGGTGGGTGTATTTGAGGGGTGCCTGTGTTGAAAGCTCTGCAGTAGATTCTAAGGAGCAGCCAGGGCTGAGACTCCCGGTGCTGAGCCCAAGGCCCCTTTCCTTCCTGCAGGAGTTCATCTTGGCTCTTGCAGCCCCCATGACCCTGTGGCGCTGGGGGGCGGCTAGCATGATGCTCCCCATTTTTCAGGAGGGAAGCTGAGGCTCAGAGACATCATGAGGATGCCAGCTCAAGGCCCAGCCAGGCCTTGGTCCTCAGCTGCTGTCATCCAGTAGGGTAAGTGGGACCCCCAGGAGGTGTTGGGGGACACTCCTCCCCTCCCCCACACTCACAGTCTGTTCACCGCCCAAGGCAGCAGGCTGGACTCGGTGCAGGGACCATGGCTTGGCGTGGCCAGGTTGGAGTGGCCCCTGGGACTGAAAGCAGGGGGCGTGGGGGCTCTGAGGCGGGGCCGAGTGCGGGGACGTCCTGTGGCGGGTACCCTGCTGGGTCCTGGGTGGGGGCCACCACCAGGCAGCTGTGGGAACATTCCAGACCACCTAGGAGTAGGGCCCCTTCACCGTTTGAAGCTGACTGTAAAAAACATCTGACCTGTGTGCAAAGCTCAAGCCCAGAGGCCTCCAGGGTGTCCAGCCTCCAGGGTGCCTCCTACGCAGCCTCCACGTCCCCATCCACTGCAGCCCCTGACCATCGGGCACACCGTGGGGCCTTCGCTGGCCGCCGGGCCTCAGGTTCTGCTGCACCAAGTGATTTTTAAAGCCCCATCTGCCTTTCTCCACTTATAAAGAACTTGGGACATTTCCTCGAGGTTGGGCATTTTTCCAGATGTGGTTTCAGTGTCTCGCTTGCTACCTGGTCCCCTGTGCTGGGCGGTCCGCTGTGACGCACCTGGCAGTCCTTGCTCTAGGATGGATTCGGGCCGGCCCTTGTTCTGAGAACAGAGAACGGCCCTTGTTCTGAGGAGGCTGGGGTCTGGAATCTGCTTCCTGGTCCCCTGCTGTGTGCAGACAGCCACCGTCACCCAGGCCCAGGGGTGCCTGCAGGTGCTGGGCATCTCACCCTGGCCCCCACAGGGGCTCCCCATGCCCTGCACCCCTCGGTCTGTGCCGGGGACTTCCCTGCTCTGCTGTTGCAGGCCTCGTCCTTTGCCGAGGGGGTCTCTTTCCCACGTGTCCCTGAGACTCCTCAGCCATCCCAGAGGCTCTCGGCCGTCTGAGCACCCCTGACCATGAAGCCTTCCTGGCCCACTCTCTGTGTGTGAGGCAGAGCCCATCCCTACCATTCCGACCCACACCAGAGGCTCCGGAAGGTTTGCTGACTGACCTGTGACTGCAAGAAGCTGAAGGAATGTGGGCGCAGACCCGGCAGGGGCTTTTCTTGGTGCAAAGTCAACTGGCTGTCCATGCAAGCCTGCTGCTGTGGCCAGCCCTCCCGCCAGGCGCCTGGTACCCTCCCTGGACCCAGTTGCCAGGACAGTGATCCCCAGCTGTGGCCAGGACTCTGCCCGGGGCCCTGTCTACTCAGTGTCTCCAGTGGTCCCCATGCAGAAACTGCCCCCCTTGCTGCCCATGAGGCATGGGATAGGGTCAGCATCCGAGAGGCAGGCCCTGCTGTTCCCCTCTGCACAGAGGCTGGGGGAGTGAGTTGCCCGGGCAAGTCCCCGGGCAGGCACTGGGCCTCCTGAGCAGGTGAGCTGAGAAGGCCCCAGCTGGTGTAGGCCTCGAGAGCTGCAGGACTGGCCATGGGGCAGACCTGGCATTGTCATTCTAGAGCTGGGCCTGGGGGGTGGCTGGTGCAGTGCAGATCTCAGGTGGAGGCCACCTGCCCGTCCTTTCCACGTGGCTCAGGGCTCAGACCCACCTGCCTGTCCCTGGAAGCCCCTAGACTGCTCAGAGCACAGACCTCAGTGGGAAAGACAGTAGATAGGCCTGGGTATGGTCTCCCAGCCCTGAGAAGTGGGGAGCCCACTCAGACCTTTCCAGGACCCCAGGTCCCCTCAGCAGCCCACAGAGCGTGGGTGGAGCCTGGGCTGGGGTTGGGTCACTTGGGAGCCAAAGGCCCATTTCTGCTGCTTCCAGGGAGTCCCAGGGAGACGGCAGAGGCAGTGCCTGGCTGGGGCCCTGGTTGGCGTGCCGTTTGAGGGGTGCATGCACTGGGAAGTTGGCCAGGCCTGCCCAAATCAGGGGGCTTCCAGGAGGAGAGACATCAGGAGGATGGGCACAGAGGCGGCTTAGCACCAGGGCTGGCACCTCCAGGTAGGGGCTGTGGGGGGCTGGACCAGACAGGGAGGCTGTCACGATGCCTGGCTGTTGGATGGGGGCACAGAGGCTCTGAGTGGGGTGGCAGAGCTTGGCCACCAGGTCCATCTGCACCCCCCATGCCCCCTCACTACCCCCAGACCCCCATGATCCCAAACTACTCAGTCCCAGGGACCCCTGCAGAGCCTGTGGTGGGGGTGATCTTCCACCCTGCCTGGCCCCTGCCCACCTCACCTCAGAACTTTCTCCAAAAAGTAAGAGCCCCGGGGGACGAAACTTCGAGGCTCCACCCCTTGGGCTCTGGTACAAACCCCGAGCCTCCTCCGAGGGCTGAGTCACTGGGAAAGCCGGGATGGGCTGGCCCCTCCCCCTCCCTCTCCTTCCTTCCTCCTTCCCCCTTTCTCGGTCTCCCTCTTTTTCTCTTTGCTTTACTTCTCTTTCTTGCCTCCCTCTCTCCCTCTCTTCTTTCGTTCCTTTCATCTTCTTCCCTTCCTCCGTCTTTGCCTTTCTTCTTTTCTGAGGGTAAAAATAGCTGGAAAACCCCCTTAAAAAAGTTTATTTTAATCTTAGAGGGACAATGTTGGTGTCCCAAAGCACAGTCCTTTGCCCCGGAGGAGCCACCGGCAGAGCCAGGAGCCCCTGAAGGACTTTGACCACACCCCCCACCCCACCCCGACCTGTGCCTGGTGCCCCAAGTGGAGCCTGGGCCATCCTTGACCTCACCGCTGGGGTGATGGAGAAGCAGCCGCCCGAGGCGAGAGTTTCTCAGGTGGCCGGGGTTTCCCCCCATTTGCTCCAGACACATTTAAACAAGCTGAGAACTTCCGTCCCCCCATACTCCCCCCCGCGGACCCCCACGGACCCCCTCTGCAAATGAACATGGGCCTGGAAATCGGGGTGTGGGTTACAGAGAGCACGGGGAATTCTGCTCGTGAAGTAACACGGAGCACGAACATAAGCAGGTACCGCACATCTGCGAGCTATTCGGGTCTCCGGGGGAAGGCAAAAAGCCCCAACAAGCCTTAAGTAAGACCAGGACGCTTCTATAGTTTTGCTTTGACAGCTAAGGAAAAAATCTGCCAAAAACCAGAGGCGCTGCTGAGTGTTGGCGTGGGAATGCTAGTTTAGTCAGAGCCTTGCTCTGGGCCATTTAAATAAAAACAGACATGTTGGTGGCAAATGCCAGTTGAACACGCAGGAGAGCGGTGCTTCTCGGGCCCGGAGAAGGGTTTGCAGCTGCACTCTCTCTTCCCTTTTCTCTTGGCCTCCCCAGCCTTCTTATCATCACGATCAGCATTTCACTGGTAAACATTTGGTGCAATAATTTTCAAAAATCAGCAAGAAAAGTCTGAGCGTTTCATGTGGCTGTGACTGCGTGGCCCCAGCTGGAAGCATGGATTCCCAGCGCCTCCCAGAGCCTGTCTCCGAGGGATACTCTAATCACTTGAGGGCCTTTGCACGACATAAATCAGACCGACTATCTCTAGAGTGGAGAGGGGGATAAACTCACTTGTAGCAAGTGAAGGCCAGAGGCTGCCCTGGGATGGCATTGCCTGTTCCCAGGGGCTTGTGGTGGTGCAGCAGACATGGGGACCCCTGGGCCCCTTCCCCTCCTTGCTGGGGATGCCACACAGACCCACGTTCAGGGACCTGAATTCAGAGCCTGCCCCAGGGGTGGCGAATGTATCTGGGACACTGAGGACCCCCCTACCGGGTGCATCTCATGGCCTTTTGGTCTTTTTTTTTGAGACGGAGTCTCACTTTGTTGCCCAGGCTGGAGTGTCATGGGGCGATCTCCGCTCACTACCACCTCCGCCTCCCGGGTTCAAGCAATTCTCCTGTCTCAGCCTCCGAGTAGCTGGGATTACAGGTATGTGCCACCACGCCAGCTAATTTTTCTATTTTTAATAGAGATAGGGTTTCACCATGTTGGTCAGGCTGGTCTTGAACTCCTAACCTCGGGTGATCTGCCTGCCTTGGCCTCCCGAAGTGTTGGGATTACAGGCGTGAGCCACTGCACCTGGCCAGCCTTTTGGTCTTGAAGGGTCTCTGGGAGGGCCTCAGAGAATGTCTTGGTTTCCTCACTCTTGGGTTCCCATCGACTGAGGTCAGGGCTGGGAAGGGGTGATGAGCCCAGGACTCTTCTGGCGAGAGCGAGGGTCTATGTTGGGGGGCTCCCTTCTGCCACCTCTCCTTGGTGACATGGGGCTGGCTGGAGAGTCCCTCCGTGCCTGGGAGTTCCTCAGTGTAGGGGGGGAAGGGGGCCACTGCAATGAATCTGACACCAGCCCCCTCTCTCTCCGCCCTGCTGGCAGCCCTCACTCATATGGGGGGCGGGTCTGTCCTCCTTTCCCCAAAGCTGGGGGTCCTGAGTGTGGTTGGGGTAACGTCTGGTCCTCCTTAGAACAGTGGGGCTTGGAATTCATTCAAGGGAAGAAGAGTGAAGGAACGCAGATGCCGACTGCATGGAGCCCCCCCGGGCTGCAGCCCCTAGAGCCTGGGCGCTCTGTGAGCCAGAAAGAGAACGGCTGGGGAGAGGGCTGTGTGAGGCCCTGTTCTTCCAAGACCGCTGCGGAGGACCGACGGGGCCCAGGGACCCTGACTGAGGTGTGCCGAGCACAGCAGCTCTGGACAGGCCGCACCGGCCTCTCTGTCTGTCATCTGTCCACCTGTTGGTGGGCAGGAACAGACCTGATGCTGTAAGAAGAGGCCCCCAGGACCCTGCCTCTCCCATTGGCTGAGCCTGGACTGTGGAGCCAGCCGCCCTCACACTGGGCACAGATGACCGACTTAGGTTTTGAGAAGATCCAAACAGCAGCAGGACGTGCACCTGGTAGGGGTAGGAGGGCCTCCCCTGGACTCAAAAGTGTATTCGCGGAGCCCCTTCCCTGCAGCGTAGGCTCTGGGGGGACAGTGGCCAGGACGGAGGCCCTCGTGGAAAGGGGGAGATGTGAACAGTGAGCCTCCTGCATGCAGGCATCTGGGAAAGAACATTCCAGCCAAGTGGCTCTGAGCACACCCCGACCCTGGCCACCCTGGCCCTGTGGACCAACCCTGGGGCCCAGGATTAATGACAGCCAGTGCTCGCTGGTGCCTCCAGCCTGGGCCAGGCCTGTGGGCTGGTCCCTTCAATGATGGGGCAAGCTCAGCCCCGTCCACACCCTTCTCCTCCTCCTCTGTGCTTCCCTCCACCCCCAGGAGTGGGCTCCAGGTCTGTCACTCGTCACTCATGGGGGGCTGTGGGTTGACTCGTATTCCCCCAAAAGACTCGCTGTATACCCCCAGAGCTTGTGAGCAGGACCTGTTTTGGAGATGGGTCTTTGCAGATGTCGTCGAGTTAAGACAAGGCCATGCTGGAGTGGGGCCTGCCCTAATCCAACGACTGGGGCCCTTGGCAGGAGAGGGAGGTTTGGGGAGAAGGCGCTGGGAAGACAGGCAGAGGCTGGAGACAGTGCAGCCCCAAGCTGGGAGCACAGGGGTTGCCGGCACCCAACAGAAGCTGGAGGAGGTGGGAAGGATCCTCCCTAGAGCCTTGGGAGGGGGCCCGGTCCTGTGACACCCAGATTTTGGATTTCTGGCCTTCGGAACTGAGAGAGCACACATTTCTGCGGTTTGAAGCCACCAAATTTTTGGTAATTTGTTCTGGCCAGGAAATTAATACCAGGGATAAAGGTGTTTTAATGCAGACAAAGACAGTTTTTGAATTAACCAAGCTTTGCGCAAGGCTGCCGGGATTGACTGGGGGAAGTGAGGGACTCAGCAGCTTCCCCGACGCTCGCCAGGCACCGGCCTCCATACACGCTTGCTGGCGGTGGCTACGGCAGGTCGCTCTTCAGGTGAAACCACATAATGAGCAGCCTTAAGCCTGTCGATTTACACAGCAGAGGCTGCCTGGCCTGGCGCTCTTCCTGGCTGGAGGACTCTGCCTTCCCCCTCTGCCTGCCTGTGGCCACTCCGGCTGCAGAGGAGACTGGCAGACGACGTTCTCATCCCTGGTCGGGGCAAAAGTTCTGCTCAAATATGACAACGGTGAAACTCGGAATAGCGACAGAGCCAACCCATGATTGAGGCAGGGCTGGAGGCTTTCTGGAAAACGCACGGAGAAACACGAGGGCCCAGCTGTGCCCTGGGCCGCCCCATGAGTCCAGCCTTCTTCGTCCTAGTCCCTTCTCCAAAGAAAGGACAAAACCACTGAAAGGGTTCGTCTGGGTCACAAACGTCCCAAATTGGCTTCCGCGTGGAAACTAAACAAGGGTAGGTCCCAGCCCCTGGGATTCAGGTGAAACCCGAGGCCTGTCTGAGGTCACAGCGTCTTCCCGAGGACGTCAGCCCTGTTGGCTGTGTCTGGGGCCAGGCTGAGGCATAGCGGGCCAGGAGGCCGAGCTTCCCAAAGGAGCTGCACTGTCTTTTCCTTAGAATATGAAATCAATGTCTGCCACCTTGAATCCTCATGGACAAGACTCCTTGGAAGCCAGCCTGTGTCAGGGCCAGCGTCCCCCAGGGCTGACACCTACACCCTCGCATTCTCAGCGTGACTCGGGACAGTGGCAGAACCCGCTGGGTTCTCTCTACGGGAGTGCTTTTTTTTTTTCTTTTCTTTTTTTTTTTTTTTTTTTTTTTTGAGTCGGAGTTTCACTCTTGTTGCCCAGGCTGGAGTACAATGGTGTGATCTCGGCTCACTGCAACCTCCACCTCCTGGGTTCAAGCAGTTCTCCTGTCTCAGCCTCCCGAGTAGCTGGGATTACAGGTGCACACCACCATGCCTGGCTAATTTTTGTATTTTTAGTAGAGATGAGGTTTCACGGTGTTGGCCAAGCTGGTCTCGAACTCCTGACCTCAAGTGATCCACCTGCCTTGGCCTCCCGAAGTGCTGGGATTTCTGGCGTGAGCCACCGCACCCAGCTCGGAGTGCGTTATGACTAGAGGCAAAGACAGCAGCATGATCTTCAGCTTGCAAATGAGACACAGAATGACAATGAATCTTCACCGAAGTTAACTTGAACCTGGATGGATGAGTGGCCGGGTCGCCAAAAAGCTCCTCGGACCCTGCCAGAGTGTGAGCTCTGCCAGGAGGGCCGGGGCTCCAGGATCCCAGGCTGGGCAGTCACTGGCTCCCCCAGGAAGGGCCACATTCCGGTGGGCAGACAGAGGGTTGGGGAGGGTGGTGGGCAGCCAGCCGCCTGGATCCCGGCCGGGGCACCGTCCCGCAGAGCTTGTCCCGCACAGACTCAGTTTCCTAACCCAGCAAGTGGGAGTCCACTGTGAGAAGTCCAGCCCTACGCAGATGCGTGCGAATCCCCTAAGAGCCATGCCTGAGCCCTTGGCGGAAGCAGTTGGCTCCTCGTGTCATGCAAAGGGCGGCATTTTCATTCCTAACAGGGAGGTGGCCCCGGAGCATCCAGTTCAAAGGAGCTAGGATGATCCAGGGTCCTCTCACGTGGGCCTTGGTGAGTGGCCACACCCTCTGAGACCCCCTTTCATCCCCATAGAAAGGTCCTAGCAGGGCTGTGCCAGGGGGATCCGCGGGTGGCAGGGTGGCCCCATCTGCAGTGGGCCCAGGAGGATAGCAACAGGACTTAGCAGTGGTGGGATTGTATTTCTGGGCCCTTCTTCCCCCACAGCCCACAGCCTCCTGACGGGACCCCTCCCCCCAGAACCTGAAGGACGGACCTCAGGTGTGGAGCTCCCTCACCAGACAGAGGGGAGGAGCCCAGGTCCATCTCCTCAAAGGGACCCACCAGCCCCTCACGCGGCTGCACACAAGGCAGTCCCAGCCAGGCCCCAGGTTGAGGCAGACTCAGCCTATGTCCTCAAGAGGCTCCCTGGAGAAGGCAGGACCCAGAAGCTTCTCTCTCGGCTGACATGGCCTTTGCGGGCAGCCTTCCCACCCACATCCCCAGCATGAGCCCCAGCTCCTTGGAGCCCAGAGTCCAAGAAATGGCCTTTCTGCCACTGACCCCTCCCGTGGAATGGCTCCTCCCGAGCAGGGAACCTCTGCTGGGACCCGTCAGCTGCAAGAAGGCCCGTCCCCGAGAGAGCCCTGCAGGGCAAGGGGAGAGGGACCCCGGGGTAGGGGTGGAGAGCAGCTGAGGGGACAGACACAGAGAAGACCAGGCAGGGGCATAGCCTGCTGATGGGGGATGCCATCCTCTCGGTCACAGCTGAGCCAGGGCAGCCTCTAAGCTTCCTAAGTGGGGAAACCAAGGCAGAGAACCCCAGGACTGGGGCCACCGCTGTGGTCAGCCGGTTGGGGGTGGCCTGGGCCTCTCCAGTCTCCACTCTTCCATCCAGCTTCATGGGGAGCAACATTTTTTTCACCTCAAGGCCAAATTAGGAAGAACAAACATGTTTTATTTATCAGTGTCACTTTTTTTTTTTTTTGTTTTAGAGACAGGGGTCTCACTATGTTGCCCAGGTTGGACTTGAATTCCTGGGCTCAAACAATCCTCCTGCCTCAGCCTCCCAAGTTACTAGGACTACAGGTGCACCACTTAGTTACATTTTTTTTATACACGTGAAAACAGCTTTTTTGCTGGGCGCAGTGGCTCACGCCTGTAATCCTAGCCCTTGGGGAGGCCGAGGCAGGTGGATCACCTGAGGTCAGGAGTTCGAGACCAGCCTGGCCAACATGGTGAAACCCCGTCTCTACTAAAAATACAAAAATTAGCTGGGTGTGATGATGGGAGCCTGTAGTCCCATCTACTCAGGAGGCTGAGGCAGGAGAGTGGCATGAACCAGGGAGGCGGAGGTGGCAGTGAGCCGAGATCGCGCCATTGCACTCCAGCCTGGGTGACAGAGTGAAACTCCATCTCAAAAAAAAAAAAAAAAAAGAAAAGAAAAAGAAAGTAGTTTTTTTTCCCCCTATGCTAAAAATTCAAACAAAGCAAACAAGCAAATTTTTAGAGAAGAAAATTCCATTGGCCACAATCTGTAGCAGGGAGAGCTGTTTTTTTTGTTTTGTTTTTGTTTTTTTTTTGAGGCAGAGTCTTGCTCTGTCACCCAGACTGGAATGCAGTGGTGCAATCTCGGCTCACTGTAACCTCTGCCTCCCGGGTTCACGCCATTCTCCTGCTTCAGTCTCCAAAGTAGCTGGGACTACAGGTGCCCGCCACCACGCCCAGCTAATTTTTTGTATTTTTAGTAGAGACGGGATTTCACCGTATTAGCCAGGATGGTCTCAATCTCCTGACCTCATGATCCACCTGCCTTGGCCTCCCAAAGTGCTGGGATTACGGGCGTGAGTCACTGCACCCAGCCTGAGGGCTGTGTTTTAAATGAAACATGCACCTCTTTGCTCCTTGATATGGTTTGGCTCTGTGTACCCCCACCCCCAATCAAGTTGTAATCCCCACATGAAGGAGGGACCTGGTGGAAGGTGATTTAATCATGGAATGGACTTTCCCCTTCGCTGTCTCCCTCTCCTGCTCTGGCCGTGTGAAGACAGAACCCACTTCCCCTTTGCCTTTCGCCATGATTTCCTGAGGCCTCCTCAGCCATCCCTCCTGCACAGCCTGTGGGACTGTGAGCTGATTAAACCTCTTTTCTTCATAAATTACCTAATTCTCAGGTAGTTCTTTATAGCCGTGTGAGAAGAGACTAACACAGAAAATGGTACTGGGAGAGAGGCACTGCTCTAAAGATGCCTGAGAATGTGGAAGCAGCATGGGAACTGGGTCGTGGACAGAGGCTGGGACAGTTCGAAGGGCTCAGAAGAAGACAGGAAGGTGAGGGAAAGTTTGGAACTTCCTAGAGATTTGTTGAATGGTTGTAACCAAAATGCTGATAGCGATACGGACAGTGAAGTCCAGGCTGAGGTGATCTCAGATGGAGATGAGGAACTTATTGGGAAAGGGAGGAAAGGTCACTCTTGCTATGCTCCAGCAAGGAGACAGGCAGCACTGTGCCCCTGCTCTAGGGATCTGTGGAACTTTGAACTTGAGAGAGATGATTTAGGGTATCTGATGGAAGAAATGTCTAGGCAGCAAAGCATTCGAGATGTGGTCTGGCTGCTTCTAAAAGCTTATGTTTATTTGCATAAAGAAGGAAACGACCCAAAATCGGAACTTATGTTTAAAAGTGAAGCAGAACATAAAAGTTTGAAAATTTTGCAGCCTGACTATGCAATTGAAAAGTAAAACCCATTTTCTAGGGAGGAATTCAAGCCTGCAGAAATTTGCATAAGCAAAAAAGAGCCAAATGTTAATCACCAAGACAATGGGGAAAATGTCTCCAGGGCATTTCAGAGACCTTCACAGCAGCCCCTCCCATCACAGGCCTGGAGGCCTGGGAGGGAAAAATGGTTTCATGGGTCAGGCCCAGGGCCCTGCTGCTTTGTGCAGCCTTGGGACATGGCACCCTGCATCCCAGCCACTCTAGCTCCAGCCATGGCTGAAAGGTATACCTCAGACCATTGCTTCAGAGGGTGCAAGCCCCAAGCCTTGGCAGTTTCCATGTGCTGTTGGGCTCACAGATGTGCAGAAAGCAAGCGTTACGGTTTTGGAGCCTCCACCTAGGTTTCAGAGGATGTATGGAAATGCCTGGATGTCCAGACAGAAGTCTGCTGCAGGGGGTGAGCCCTCATGGAGAACCTCTACTAGAACAGTTCGGAGGGAAAATATGGGGTTGGAGCCCCCACACAGAGTCCCCGCTGGGGCACTGCCTAGTGGAGCAGTGAGGAGAGGGCCACTGTCCTCCAGACCCCAGAATGGTAGATCCACTGACAGCTTGCACTGTGTGCCTGGAAAAGCCACAGGTACTCAATGCCAGCTTGTGAAAGCAGCCACAGGGGGCTGTATCCTGCAGAGCCAGAGGGGTGGAGCTGCCCAAGGCCTTGGGATCCCACCCCTTGAGTCAGTGTGGCCTGGATGTGAGACATGGAGTCAAAGGATATTGTTTTGGAGCTTTAAGATTTAATGACTGCTTCAGATCACTTGAAGTCAGGAGTTTGAGATCAGCCTGGCCAATGTGGTGAAACCCCATTTCTACTAAAAATACAAAAATTAGCTGGGCGTGGTGGCAGGTGCCTGTAATCCCAGCTACTCGGGAGGCTGAGGCAAGAGAATTGCTTGAACCCAGGAGGCGGAGGTTGCAGTGAGCCGAGGTCGTGCCATTGCACTCCAGCCTGGGGGACAAGAGCAAGACTTCATCTCAAAAAAAAAACAAAAAACCGTTTAATGACTACCCTACTGGGTTCAGGACATGCATGGGGCCTGTAGGCCCTTTGTTTTGGCCAATTTCTCCCTTTTGAAATGGGAGCATTTACCCAGTGCCTGTACCCACATTGTATCTTGGAAGTAAGTAACTTGTTTTTGATTTTACAGGCTCATAGGCAGAAGGGACTTGTCTTGTCTCAGATGAGACTTTGGACTTTTGAGTTAATGCTGAAATGGGTTAAGATTTGGGGGTCTGTTGAGAAGGCATGATTGTGTTTTGAAATGTGAGAAGGACATGAGATTTGGGAGGGGCCAGGGCTGGAATGATATGGTTTGGTTCTATGTCCCCACCCAAATTTCATGTCAAATTGTAATCCCCACATGTTGAAGGCGTGGCCTGGTGGGCCATGATTGAAGCACGGGATGGACTTCCCCCTTCGCACTCTCTCCTGCTCTGGCCATATGAAAATGGTGCCTGCTTCCTCTTTGCCTTCCACCATGATTGTAAGTTTCCTGAGGCCTCCTCAGCCATGCCTCCTGAACAGCCTGCAGAACTGTGTCAATTAAACTTCTTTTTTCATAAATTACCTAGTCTCAGGTAGTTTTTATTTTTTGAGACAGAGTCTTGCTCTGTCGTCCAGGCTGGAGTGTAGCAGCTTGATCTCGGCTCACTGCAAACTCCACCTCCCAAGTTCAAGCGATTCTCCCGCCTCAGCCTCCTGAGTAGCTGGGATTATAGGTGCTTGCCACCATGCCCAGCTAATTTTTGTATTTTTAGTAGAGACAGGGTTTCACCATGTTGGTCGGGCTGGTCTCGAGCTCCTGACCTCGTGATCTGCCTGCCTTGGCCTCCCAAAGTGCTGGGATTACAGGCTTGAGCTGCTGCGCCCGCCCTTAGGTAGCTCTTTATAGCAGTGTGAGAATGGCCTAATACACTCCTTTACTTTTTAGAGCCCCTAGGAGCAGAGTTAGGGGTAGAAGTGTGTCCTGGGGTCCAGCTCGATCCCTTTCCTCAGCTCACAGGACCCTCTGATGGAGCCTTCCACAAGCCCCACAACCCAGACTGCTGGGCTCGTCATTATGGTTGGAAACCACAGTCATTTTCTTAAAACTTCACTCGGTGCCCATTGCCCCACCAGACTGGGACCTGCAGAGGACAAGGGTTGGGTGGGTGCAGCATGCCAGGGTCAGCATAGACTTAGTGCGGGGATGGGTGGTGAGTCAAGCCGGGGCCCTCCGAGGCAGCACTGGGTCAGCTTTCAGAGCATCGGTCCTGGGACTTTCTCTGTGGCGTCCTCCCGGTGGCCATGCCCTCCAGCCACGGGAACTCTCCCTTGTAGCCCAGGGTACTTGGCATCTCAGGAAGGCCCTGCGTTCCAGGTGGGCCAGGAACCCCTGCACAACTCAGCTGATGGAACCAAGTGGACAGGAGACTAACCCAAGATGCTCTGTGCTCCAAAAGTCACTGAGTCTCTTGAGAACAGCCTTTGACCCAGTGGTGGGGAGGCCCCGTGGCCTGGTCGTGGCCGTGGTCAGATCACCGTGGCCGGGGTGAGTGAGGACGTGTGCTGGACGGTAGCCTTGTTTTCTCTGGACAGTGCTGGAGCTCATCTGGGACTCCACCACCACCCAGTGCTTGCCCGCGACCAGTGGCTCCTGTGAGGAGGGGACCCCGTGGCCCGTGGCTCCCGTGCTCCTGCGTGGACCGCATGCCCTCAGTTCTGGCTTCTCCTGGCCGCCTCGAGTCCCACAGCCGAGAGGGAAGACTCCCGAGAGAGCTCCACCCAGAGGCGCTACTGAGGGCCCACGCTGGCCGCGTGCGACCAAACCCTCCTGAATTGTTCACCTTAGAGCCAGTGTGTGTAGCTCATCTTAATCATTGAGTTTGCATTTGTTTTAGAGTGAAAATATGATTTGCCCCAGGTGAGGCCCAGCTCCGGAATGAATGTGCTGTGCTTTATGCCCAGGACTTGGGCTCTCCCTGGGGTCCAACGGTTGCCCCTGTTGCATCCTCCTCACCCCAGCTTTCCCCCCAAGGCAGGAAGGGACACTGAGGCGGCAGGTCTGGGATGGGCATTAGGACTCGCTTCCTGCCCTGCAGGGCTCCAGAATCACTGGGGAAGCCCGAGGAGAGCTCAGGAGTTGAAATTCAGCCCGTGGAACCGGGATCCTTGATCCTCATATCCACCTGGTCTCTGCCTGAAGCTGGGTGACCTCAGGCAGGTGACACTTCCGCTCTGCACCTTGGGTGCCCTTCTGTGGAATGGACTCACTTTTGGCACCTGTGAGGGGATGAGGTGGGCTCAGTGGGCACTTGGTGCTTGGCCCTGGGCCTGGCTTGTGGTCAGCACTTTCAGTGGACAGCTGTGGTTTGGGGACCCACTGTTCCCCTAACCATCTGCCCACGTGTTTGGACTTCTGGGCCCAGGCTGCCTGGAACAGGGGGGCCTAGGACCTGTGCAGACCCTATCTTCCAGGGGAGTTGCCGACCTGGGGGACATGAGCCATCTTTGCCACACCGTGGGAAGGGATTACCAGGGAGGGAGCCCACATCAGGGTCAGGGAGCCCAAAGAGGGACAGACACAAAGTCCAGGCAGCATTGCCGGAGCCCTGGATCCAGCCACGCCAGGAGCTGCTGTGATTCTGCAAGCGTTCACTGCTTACAAGGCAACTGAACAGTCATCTTCCCCTTTTGACCTCCAGCGACCACCCCTCAAGATCACTGGGAAACTGAGGCCTGAGAGGGAAGGACAGCATTGAAGGTTGTCCAGGAGGTTAGAGCAGACGGGAGGAGAGCCCCGGCCTCCAGGTCTCCTTCCCACGGGAGCCCGCTGGCTGGGTGTGTGGGCCGCCTGCCTGAGCCGCTGCTGTGGGAACCACCCGCTTCCTGAGCTCCCCTGAGCCCCCGCCCGCTGCCAAGCCAGCCTGGGAAAGCCCCTGTGGCGGTGAGCTCGGGGCTCAGAGCAGACCCTTGACCCAAAGCCTGTCACAGCAGACGCCGCATCCTCCCCTTTCCTCCCAGCCCGCGTGGCTAGGCTGGGGTCTGCCCTGCTAGCGGCCTCTGGCCTGGAGCCTTCTCCTGCCTAGGCCCAGCAGTGGGCCCCCCACCAGCATGGACCCTTCTGTAGTCCCTGCGCCCACCTCCTCAGTCCAGAGCCAGCTGGGGCAGGCTGGCCGCACAGCACATTGAGGAGAGGCTGTTGGCTCTATCGGGAAATGGCGACCCGATGTCCTCCCACATGCTGAGCTGCACCCACCCTGCCAGCAGGTGCTTCGGGAGACTCAGAGGTTCCTGGTGGGGTCAGAGGCACCTAGGACCCCAGGGCCAGGCCCTCGTTTCTGTTTACTCCTGGAAGAAGAGAGTTCTTGTCCTCCCTGGCAGGAGCTGGGCTTCAACAAGTCCCCTGAGGGCCCCTGGACCCTGGCAGTCCCTGCGCTGAGCCAGGAGCCGCTGCGGACCAACCAGACCAGGGTCTGACACCTGCCGGGCTGAGTCTGGTTTCTGTTTCTCAGGTCACAGAGGGGTTTGGTGGCTGGCGTGGGGGCCATGGAGCTGGGTTCTCAGGCGACTCTGCTGCGTCCACACTGTTCCCTCAGTCAGCTCCATGTTCTCACCTGTACAGTGGGGCTATGGTGAGACACGCAGCGGGTGGCTGATCAGGTGCGCTCAGCATGAGGCCAGCAGGCAAGACCCCTGCCCAGAAAGCTGTGGGGCCACCTGCCCACCCGACAGGGCCTGGACCATGCCCTCCATGCGAGAGCGAACTGCCCAAAGCAGCTGCCCCGGGACAAATCTCCCCCTCCCTGGCCCCGTCATACCCCAGGCCCTGGGATTTCCAGAGGCCCACGGGCTTGTGGCTCAGAGCTTGGGAAGTGCTCAAGGGGAGGGGCCCAGGACTAGGCAGAAGGGCAGGATTGGGGACAGGGCCGTGGGACTCCTATAGTGACCGCAGGGAGGAGCAGCCCAGGTCACAGCAGAAGGGGCTGAGGAGGGGGGTTGTTGCACGCTGAGGGTGGGTGTGAACCTGACCAGGAGGCAGCTGCCAGCCTCACCTGGGAGGGGCGCCCTGCAGCCACGCCTGGCAGGAGGTCCCTGGAGCCTGCCCGCAGCCTCCTGCCTTGCCCCAGAGGCTGCATTGTCTCCCGCTGGAGAGGCAGGGAGGGCTTCCAGGAAGGGGCACAGCGGGCAGCACCCCAGGCCTGGAGCTAATGCGCTGGCTGCATGAAGGAGCCGGCCCCGACCAGCCCAGCTGCCTGCAGGCCGGGACCTGGGGGCCGAGGCCCAAAATGGAATCTGACAGCTAAGCCCAGCTCAACCAGGTCAGGGCCCACCTCTGGGGTGCAGTAAACAGGAAAGTCCACAGGGGACCAGAGGCTGCCACGAGAAAGGAAAGGGCTGGGCCAGAGGGTTTCACAAGATGTTTCAGATCAGCAGGAAATGGTGACTTCTCACTGTCTGACTCCACTGGCCTTATTGAGCCAGCACTGCGGCCAGCAACCGCGCTGGGTGTGTCTGTGAATTTCAAGGGAGCCCACACGTGGGCGGCAGTCGCCCCGCTGGACTCCCAAGAGGAAGCCCCAGCTCCCAGCCTCACCTCTCACCCCGTCCTAGTGAGGCCCTTCTGCGTGTGCGGTGATTCTGGACCTGCCCAGGCTCCCGGCTGGAGCTGGGCATGAGAAACTGAGGCCCAGCAGGGTCTGGGCTGACCCAAGGGTCCCCGCCTCCCATTGATGGGGCCCCACAAAGAAGCCCCAGGTGTCTCGGCAGGTCCCTGGCCCTTCTGAATCATTCCCCAAAATGTAAAGCTGGCTTTGTGCATCTTCTAGCGTGAGAACTGTTTGAAATTGGGTGGGCCAGGCAGTGTGAGGCCCCGCAAGCGCAGTCCTGGGTTGGGTCAGCCATGCAGCGTGAGGCCCTGCAAGCGGAGTCCTGGGTGGACAGAGCACCGCACTCCCGGCATCTGTGCACGGCCATGCAGGCCCAGCTCCTTTCCGGAGAAGGTCCCGGCTCTGTAGAGGGGTCCTCGCTCTGTTCCAGATGGAGTCCAGATTCCTTCTGACGACCGTGTGTCCTAAGAGGCATAAAATGCTCGCATTTTTGACCTAGTGATTCTCCTTCTGGGAGTTTATCCCGAGGAAATAGCACGAAGCCAGAAAACCTTCCGTGGGAGACGCCCCCGCCCGCGTTATTTATAACCGGGAGAAGCTGGAGCCGGCCCAGATGCAGGGGAGGCCCGGCTGGGAAAACCATCCCGTCTGTCTAATTGAATGATGTGCAGTTGTTAAAAGCAATGCCTGTGGAAAGTTCTAACAACGTGGGAAACACTCATTATGGGATGGGAGGTAGAGACGTGGATGTGTCGGCCGCCAAGGACTCTCAGCCGGCAAAGCAGACCAGGGCTGTGAATTCGAGACCTGCGCGTGTGGGAGGGAGGAGGTGCCCCATGGCCACCCCGGCCGTCCTGCAGGGGAAGAGGTGGTATGGGTTCTGCCAGGTTCCGCCCCGGTCCTGGCCACATGGTGATCTATGGGGGACCCTCTTACCAAAATGAATATGATTTATGGGACTCTATCTTCACCCCAACTCAGAGACTTTCCCCATGAGGCCGCAGGGGTCAGGATTCCAAGGTCTGTCTCTGAGTTTCTGAGTGGGCGGGGTGAGTAGGTGGCAGGGGAGGAGCCAGTTCCCACTGGGGCCAGCAGACCCCCTCCCTAATGGGCAGAGAGTCCCCTTGGGGCCTGCTCCAGCTGTCCTGGGAATGGTTTCCAGGCCCCAGGCCTTTGGGATGCAGCAATGACACCGGCTGTGGGGGTCGCAGCCCCAAAGGGGAGGGAAGAGTCAGTGGCTCCTGGGGAGTCCCGCAGATGCTCCCTCCACATTCCCCGAACCTCCGTCCCTCTCCAATCTATGTGGCTCACCCTTCCCACCCGCTCGGCTGCTGCGAGCCCGCGAGGCCCTTGAGGCCAGGCACAGGGCTGGACGTGGCAGGTGCCCATGAACAAGGAGGGATGAAGACTGAGGCAGGATGGGGCGGGTTGTCAGGGGTCTGATCAGGGGAGGGTGGAACCCCTCCACCAACACCGTGTGCTGACACTGGAGTGAGGCCTAGGCCTCTGGATGGGGAAGGTGGGGGACAAGGACCTGAGCCCCCAAGGGCCAGCGGGTCCCAAGGAGCACAGAGCCCTGGGGTGGGGACAAGGGACCCCTGCCTTCGGCTGAGTCCCTGGACCCCGACCCCGGAAGCACCAGGCCTGGGGCGCAGCCACCTCTGGCCAGCAGCGGCCGGGTCTGCCAGGCCAGAAGGCAACTCAGGACTCAGTGCGGCCGGCACTCTGCCCTCCCCCTAACCAGGGCGGGCCGAGGAGAGGCCTTCGCACCCCAGGTGCACAGGTGGTCCCCGGTGGGCTCTCACGGCAGCAAGGGGTAACAGCAAACGACTGGGCAGCCGAGGGCTCTGCTTCTCTTTTGTCTGACTCGTCATCACAACAGCCCTGTGAGGTGGGTCCACGTTAAAGACCGGGTGAGGAAAAGGCAGAGGCCGGTGGGGCCCAGACCACTCCAGCAGCCACTCAGGCCCCAAGGAGGTCCCGGGACTCCAGGGAGATCTCCTGGGGAGAGGATCTGAGCCTCTGCCAGACCCCAAAGCTGGCGAGCCACGGGAAGGCGGACACGCGGGAAAAAGGCAGATATGCGGGAAGGCGGACGGCCAGGGCTTCTGTCCCTCAGGCTGCCCTGAGCCCCATGCCCCACACTGGCCACTGGCACCCATCCCAGATAGAGCAGCTGGGAACTGACCCGGGCCAGGGAGTGGCCGTGGCTGGGCTTTGTACATCTCCCGGCAAACAATCTGTCCTTTCTACTGAAGACTTGAGTGCGAGGATGATCTACAGCCCCAGGGAGCTGCCTGGGCTTGCGGGGAGGGTCTGCCAGGGCTGGGGGGGGAAGGTCTGCCCGGGCTGTGGGGGGGGGAGGGTATGCCAGGGCTGGGGGGGAGGGTCTGCCAGGGCTGGTGGGGAGGGTCTGCCCGGGCTGGGTGGGGGAGGGTATGCCAGGGCTGGTGGGGGAGGGTCTGCCCGGGCTGTGGGGGGAGGGTCTGCCAGGGCTGGGGGGGGAGGTTTTGCCAGGGCTGGTGGGGAGGGTCTGCCCGGGGGAAGGTTTTGCCAGGGCTGGGGGGGAGGGTCTGCCCGGGCTGTTGGGGGAGGGTCTGCCTGGGCTGTGGGGGGAGGGTCTGCCCGGCCCCCTGTGAATTTCGGGCCTATAAGGTGCCCCGGGTACGGCAGACATTTTTCTCACCATTAATCATTTCCATACCTACATAAGATGCAAACGAGGCGAGGTGAGATGTCTTTCTCCACCCTGCACAGCGGATGGGATGGGCCCAGGCTGGCCTCCCCCAGGCTGCTATGCGTGGGAGGGGCTCCCTCGGCCCTTCCCCAGGTGCTGCAGCCTCTGTCCCTTTCACTGTGCTCAGGGCCACACCAGGCCCCTGAGGCTGGAGAGTGCAGTCTCCGCCTCTCAGAAGGGGCTGGGTGGCAGGACCCTCGGGGAAGCCCTGCTCTGTGACTGCTGATGAGCCCATTCGCCCGCCGCGCCTCAGTCTTCTCTCCTGAAAACCAGGCAGCGCTTCCTTCCTTCAGGGGGGCTGGAAGAGCCCCTGGCTCCCGGGCGGTCCTGGGGACCGGCAGAGGCCCTCAGACCTGAGCACTTCCCTGAGCATGAATGGGAACGACCAGGAACGAAGTCTGACCCAGGCCACGTGCGGAGAAGCCCCGAAAACCCTGTACTCTGTGAGGCAGCAGACACCCAGGCCACACGCGGTCACATTCCATTGCCATGAGACGCCCAGAGCAGGCCAGCCCGGGGATCCGGGTGCAGAGAGCGGATGGGACCAGGGAGGGGGTGATGGCTCCTTAGCGGGTAGGGAGCTCCTTAAAAAACGTTTGGGAGTCAGAGGCAGCGCCACACGACCTCCGGCTGCACCGAATGCCACGGGGCTGTACGGTTTTGATGGATGTGAGTTTCAACTCAATTTGAAAAACAGAAGGGGTGCAGGTCGCCCTCTCTGGGCGGCAGCCCCCACCCCAGCTGGAGGGGAGGTGATCTGCCCACAGGCTGTGGGTGGGGCTCAAACCCGGGTCTCTAACGGCCAATCGAAAGTGCAGAGAAGCCACCCGGACTCAGTTTCCCCTTCCAAAATAGAGGTCTTGTTCTGGGGACCAAGGGCCTGTGTTCCCGAGGGCACCCTTAGAGCAGGAACAGGCTGGAGGAGTCATGGGCGGGGTAGGGAGGGAGAGGGTGGTGGTGGGGGCTGAGTGGGGCCATTCACAGCTCCTTAGGAGGGACAGCCCTCCACCCACATCCGGGGCGGCTGATGGCCTGAGGCTGGGCCTGACCCTGTCCCCAAATAGCTCCTGTCCCCTGCCATGTCCCTGCGGCCCCTCACCCCGGGTACAGGCCTCTGTTCCCCTCCTCTGAGCTGGGGCGGGCAAGGGACCAGGAAGCTGGCCAGGCATGGTCTGGAGCCAGGGCCAGGGCTGAGCTGAGGCCTCTGCTTCCTGTCAGGTCCCAACTAGCACTTGAACCCTGTCTAACACGGTAAGCACAGGCCCTGGACCCCTGTGGTGACCGCCTCAGCCGGGACTGGGAGGGTGTGACACAGCCCCCATCCTGTGTCCTGGCCTGGTTGCCCCAGGCCCTCCTGCTGGAGGCCCAGGAAGATCTGGCGCCGGCCCCTGCACTGTTTGGTCACCATGTTCAAGCCCCTTCCCTCCTCCAGGCCGCTGCTCTCACTTCAGCCGCCTCTTCAGAGAACCTCCCCAGCCCTCACCCCTTCTCCCTGCAAGATAAATCCCCCGGCAGCCCTACCCTCACCTCCACGGACTCCTCCCTGCCCCACCTCGCAGGTGATGACCAACTCTCAGGGGGGTTGGGGGAGCCCAGAGCATGTGGGGGCTTTCACCCACTCGACACCAAGCCCAGGTTCCTGTTGACTGTCCAGGGCTGTATGTGTGCCTCTGTGTGTGCACTTGTGTGTCTGTGCACATGTGTTTGTGTGTGCATGTGTTTGTGTGTACGTGTGTGTGTGCAAGTGTCTGCATGCACGTGTGTATCTGTGTGTGCATATGTCTGTATGCGCATGTGTGTGCACGTGTTTGTGTGTGTGCATGCGTGTGTTTGCGTGTACGTGTGTGTGCATGCATCTGTGTGTGCGTGTGTGTCTCTGAGTGCATCTGTGCCTGTGTGTCTCTGTGTGTGCATGTGTCTGTGTGTATACTGGTGTGTGCCTGTGTGTATCTGTGTGTGCATGTGTGTGTCTCTGTGTGTGTACTGGTGTGTGCATGTATCTGTGCGTGCATGTGTCTGTGTGCATGTGTCTCTGTGTGTGTAGTGGTGTGTGTATGTGTGTGTCTCTGTGTGTACTGGTGTGTGCATCCGTTGGAGCATGTGTGCATGTGTGTGTGTCTGTGTGCACGTGTGTGCACGTGTGTCTGTGTGCATGTGTGCATGTCTGTGTCTCTGTGTGTGTACTGGTGTGTGCATGTGTGTCTCTGTACTGGTGTGTGCATGTGTGTGTCTCTGTGTGTGTACTGGTGTGTGCATCTGTTGGAGCATGCGTGCACGTGTGTGTGTCTGTGTGTACATGTGTGCATTGTGTGTGCAAGTGTGTCTGTGTGCACTGTGTTTGTGTGTACATGTGTCTCTATGTGTGTGTGTATTGTTTGGGTGGGGGTCCCCTGCTTGCTCTCAGCCCTCTCTTGGCCCGACCCTGCATCCCTGGGCCTGACAGCAGGTGGCATTGGCTTGGGCAAGCGGAGGGGAGAGGTGACTTCTGCCCAGGTGCTGCTGGCGCCCTCCTGCCTTCCCAGGCCTGTGGGATGGGAGGCTCAGAGCAGCCCAGAACAGAGAGGAGGGGAGGGCACCCCACACAGGGCATAGGCAGCGAGCTTAGAGCAGACCCTTGGCCCTGGCTGGGCGTGCAGTCACCATGGCACCTGACACAGTCACGCCAGGGTCACACCAGGTCAGCGAGAGGTTCTTGCCACAGACACAGCGTCTCTGGACCTCTGACTCGGGTCCCCAGTCCCTAGCCCTGCTGCTACCCCCAGGTTTTGCTAGGCTGTGCCCGAGATGTGCAGACCTCCTGAACTATCAACCAGGCTGGGCAGTCAGGCCCCGGTCCCCAGCCCGGGATCATTGTCTGCCCCGCCCTTTTGTCCTCTGGCCTCCCTCACCAGGACTGACCCCCATTTTCCCCAGACTTTTTGGTGCCCCCTGCACATCTCTCCTTCCCTTGCTGGGTGGCCCTGCTGGAGCCCTTCGCCCTGTCCCCCAGGGGGCCAGTGGGCTGGCACTGCCCCACCCCGAGATGGAAGGGAAGAGCTGCCCACCCCGAGCTGGGGAATGAGCAGCTCCCGGGCCTCTGGGGGCCCTGGCCAATCCCCTGGCCCCGGCCGGTATGCTGGTTCTCAGTGCCTGGCTGCCGGGGCCAGGGACAAAGGGAAGGGTAGGGCCCTCACCCACTCCCCAGCCTCTCCACAGCCTCCACAGAAAACCTGCTTCCAGGACAGCACGACGCCCCACGGCTGGGACAGACAGGGGACAGACCCCTGTGCCCAGGGCCTCCTGGCTGCCCTGGCCTCCTTTCCCCTAGGTCCTGGCCTCTTCCCTCCTTTGTCCTCCTGAGGCCCCCACAACCCTCCCCTCCCTCGCCTGCCGTCACCCCCGGACAGGTCCCACCTCCCGGCCTTCGCACACAGTTCCTTCTGCCTGGTGTGCGTCTCCTGGGAGCCCGGGAGCCGTGGTGCTGACTCTGGGCCGGCCTCTCCTTCTGACGTTTATCGGCCGCTCACCTCCCACGCCCTGGGAGTCGTTACCACCTCCCCAGTTTCACAGACGGAGACACAGGGAGTCGTTACCACCTCCCCAGTTTCACAGACAGAGAGACAGACACAGAGACAGAGACACAGAGCCCCGACACTCAGAGCTGGGGTCAGTCCCAGGCGGCCTCAGCCACCACACCGCGCCACGCCCTCGGTGAGGATCCAAAGAGCCAACATTCTAGGGGGCTGAAGGGCAGTGTGGGGGCTTCAGGGATATTCCCCACTTGGTCCTTCCTGGCTGTCCCCACTGAGAACAGCCCTTCCTAGTCCCATTTCTGAGTGAGCTGGGGTTCCTGGAGTGAAGGCCATGGCTTCAAATGTAGGCCGGGGCAGCCTCCCCCGGGTTCCTCCTCCCCGTGTGGACAGCTCAAGTCCCTGCAGTCCCCTCCACCCTGGCCCTTCCCTGCTGTCCTGTGGGGTTTGCTGGGGAATCTGAAAGGCCTTGGAGGGAACAGGAACCAGGTCCTAGGAGCCCGCAGGGACTTCTGAGCTGCTGGCAGTCTCCCCACGCTGGCCGAGCTCACAGCCCCAGCGCTGGCCCAGAGTGAAGGTCTGCACGATGGACCCCATGCAGCCGCCCACATGGCCTTCGGCCTGTCGGTCAGGAGGCCTCGCCCTTCTCACGTCCTTAGTGGATTTCCTCCCTTCCTCTGTCCCCTTCTGCCCCATCTCAGCTTCCCATCTCCCCCACGCCCTCCCCACCTTGGGCTGAAAGCAGATACCTTCTCAGGACGGGGTCTCCTGTGCCATTTTACTGCTGAGACCACTGAGGCCAACAGAGTGGCTACAGGGTTGCTGGCAGTTGTAGCCACCCAGGTCAATGGCACTCCCGGGAATTGTGCAGTTTACAACCGGCACCACTGTGCTTGGCAGCTCTTGATGACTCCTACTTGGTGCTTAAACCTGGCCAGTCTCATCTCTCCCTACCCTCTGTGCTGACAGGCTCGAGTGACAGCAAGCGTCAGAGGCTTGGGGGTGCGGGGCCGGCCCCTTGGTGGGCTCTGCCAGCATTCTTGGGATGCCTGTGTCCATTCAGCAGTCAAGGCACTCACTATGCAAACATGCAGGGCCTCACACAATGGTCCCCGCCAGACTTTCCCACCTCCTCTCTACCCCCATTGTCCTTCCCTCTGGGGAAGGGCAGCATAGCCAGGAGGCAGAGACAGAGCCAGTGCCTTTCTGCAGGGCGGGTGTACCCAGAGATGAAGGGCCATGCACATAAGACACTGATGAATGAGGCCAGCGTCCCCAGAAACGCGGCCCTGGAAGCTGCCCCAGCCCAGGCCGGAGGGAGGGGCTGTCCCACCTCCCTGTCCCTCCCGCATCTCTGGACCTGAAGCTCAGACCCTGGGAACTCCCTTCGGGTGGAGGGGGCTGGCTTGTCGGACCTCCCGCCTCAGCGTGGTCCACTCCCTTCCCTCCAGCTCAGTGCAGCCTCCTCTGGGTCTGGCCCCTCACAGCATTGCCCTTGTCACAGGAAATTGTCATCACCCACAGCTTGTCACCCTGTCCCTCTGCCAAGGTCTGAGTTTGAGAGCACAGGGCCTACCTTGCAGGGTTGAGCTCTGTCTGCCCAGTGCAGCAGTGTGGGATGAGTGAATAAGCAACCGGTGGGCCCTTCCCCATGAGGCCCTGCAGGCATGCTGAGTTTCCACCTGCCCTGGGCACCTGTCTCTGCGTTCCGCCCCGCTCTGCGCTCTCTCACCAGCTCTGGACACCAGTGGGCACGGCTCCCTTCTCACCTGCAACGTGGAACTTAGAGACAGTCCCTTATCACAGCCCGAAAACCTCCTTCCTCGGTCTTTTCTTTGCTCGTCGAATATTCTGCTGTGCTGTGTGGCGTGCACAGGCCAGCGATGAGTATGTAGGTTTTTCCTGAGAAGCTAAGGAGCTGCGCTGCAATGACCTCGTCCCCAAGATCACCACAGGCAGCACGACTTCCTCGAAGCAGGGTCAAAGGATTCGTCCTTCTGAGAGATTTTTCCGAGTTGCCCTCTGTAGGGAGTGCAACCACTTACAACACTTGCTGGTCCCTGCCTCCTCCCGGTGCAGACAACACCATGTAATCAAAGCCATGGCCAACCTGATAGGAAACACGCTGTCAGTGCCGTTTTAGTTTGCATTTCTCTCACCAAGAAGGAGGTGGAGGACCAGGCGCGGCGGCTCACGCCTGAAATCCCAGCACTTGGGAGGCCGAGGCAGGCAGATCACCTGAAGTCAGGAGTTCAAGACCAGCCTGGCCAACATGGCGCGGCCCCATCTCTACTAAAAATACAAAAACTAGCCGGGCACGGTGCCACACACCTGTCATCCCAGCTACTTGGGAGGCTGAGACAGGAGAATCGCTTGAACCCGAGAGTTGGAGGTGGCAGTGAGCTGAGATCGCACCACTGCACTCCAGCCTGGGGGACAGAGCGAGACTCTGTCTCACACATACAAAAAAAAAAAAGAGTGGGGGAGCATCTTTTTGCATGTTTATGGAGCATTTGTTTTTCCTTTCGTGTGAATGCTCTGTTCGTATTCTTTGCTTTCCATTTTTTCCCTGTGCTGGATTATAACCTCATTATTGATTTGTTAGAGCTCTTTCTAAATGAGAGAATTCAGCCCTTCGAGGGGGATAGAGTTCACAAGGAATTTCCCCGCTTGCCTAAACAGCAGACTTTGACTTTGCTTAATGTGGTTGTTGCTACGCAGAAATTTTATTTTATGGAGTTGAATTCATTTATTTATGTATTTGAGGCCGAGTCTTGCTGTGTCCCCAGGCTGGAGGGCAGTGGTGTGATCACGGCTCACTGCAGCCTCTGCCTCCTGAGCTCAAGCGATCCTCCCACCTCAGCCTCCTGGGTAACTGAAACCGCAGGCATGTGCCATCACGCCCAGCTAATTTTTGCTTTTTTTTTTTTTTTTGTAAAAACAGGGTTTCTCCATGTTGCCCAGGCTGGTCTCAAACTCCTGAACTCAAACGTCCACCCGCCTCGGTCTCTTAAAGTTCTGGGATTACAGGCATAAGCCATCGCGCCCAGCCTATGGAATTGAATTTATTTTTAAAAATTTATGTGTTGGATTTTTGTATTTTGCATCATGCTTAGGAAGGTCTCGCCTCAAGCTTCTAAAGATGCATCTTCTGTTGCTTTCTAGACTTTGTGGTTTTATTTTTTACATTGAAATCTCAGATCCATCTGAAATTTATTTTGGTATGAGGTGTGAGACATTCAACTTTATTTTTTCTGGATGGCTCCCCGGCTTCCCAGGTGTGGAGGGGTTTTTGAATGATCTGTTTTTATCACTGATTTGACATTCTGTCTTTGTCACATGCCACATTCCTTATCTGTTTGAGTCTGTTTCTGGACTCGGCGCCGTTGGTCTTCGTGCCTATTCTTGTGCCAGTATCACTCTGTTTTAACCACTGTGGGGATTTTTTTGTTTTGTTTTGTTTTTTCTTGAGACGGAGTTTCGCTCTTGTTGCCCAGTCTGGAGTGCAGTGGCGCGATCTCAGCGCACTGTAACCTCCGCCTCCCAGGTTCAAGTGATTCTCCTGCCTCAGCCTTCCAAGTAGCTGGGATTACAGCCATGCGCCACCACCATGCCTGGCTAATTTTTGTAGTTTTTGAGTAGAGGCGGGGTTTCACCATGCTGGCCAGGCTGGTCTTAAACTCCTGACTTCAGGTAATCCGCCCGCCTCGGCCTCCCAAAGTTCTGGGATTACAGGCGTCAGCCACCGCGCCGGGCCACATCCTCCCTTTCCTAACACCCATCTGTGAACAGGCCTCGCTCTGCCACTGCTCGGCCGAGTCTGTCCTCATGAGGCAGCTTTTTGTTTTGTTTTGTTTTGTTTGTTTGTTTGTTTTGAGACAGAGTCTCGCTCTGTCACCCAGGCTGGAGTGCAGTGGTGTGATCTCGGCTCACTGCAACCTCTGCCTCCTCAGTTCAAGCAATTCTCCTGCCACAGCCTCCTGAGTAGCTGGGATTACAGACATGCACCACCACGCCTGGCTAATTTTTGTATTTTTAATGGAGATGGGGTTTCACCATCTTGGCCAGACTGGTCTTGAACTCCTGACCTCAGGTGATCCACCCACCTCAGCCTCCCAAAGTGCCGGGATTACAGGCCTGAGCCACCGCGCCCGGCCCTGATAAGGCTGTTACACCTCAGCGTCCGGGACACAATTTGGTTACTTAGAACATCAGCAACGGAGCTGTGCTGCTCTACAAAGATCTCAGCGATGTCTGATCCAGCCCCCTGTGGTACAGATGGGGAAACTGAGGCACAAAGCAGCAGCGTGATCTGTGGAAGATCACAAAAGGAGACAGGGGGTGTCAGGCACAACCGTCAGCACCGGAGTTTATTGGGCACCTCCGAGGGGCCGGGTGTAGGTGGAGTCCGAGGGGCCAGGTGCAGGTGGAGGACCTGCCGTTGTTGTCTGGTTTTACCCTCTCTCGTAAGGCTGGGCCTGAGTCCTGGCGAGAAGGGCAAGGCGCGGAGAGGCAGTGGACTGGCCTGAGGCCGCACCACCAGCGGGGCGGGGAGGACCAGGTCTGGAGCCGGGAGGTCTACACCTCTGGGGTCTGCTGATCTCCAGCTCTGCTGGCCTGCAGTGTTTTGGCTGCTGGCCTCTGCTGGGAGCTGGGGGAGGGTGGGGTGGCCTGGCAGAGGCCGAGGAGCCCAGCCCCACTTGAATCCAAGGCCGCGTGTCTGCAGGTTGGGGGTATCAGGGAGCAAGTCCAGCCACCTGGAAGAGGAGCCGAGGCAGAGGCTGAGGGTCCAGACAGAGGCCTCCTGCCTGCCCAGCTCTGCCAGTCGCTGTCACACACCGATGCTTGCAGAGACATAACAGGGTGTGGAGGTGACCGGGTGGCCTGGCAGGACCCCCAACAGGCACAGTCACCCGGGATCCGGCAGAGGACACCTTGTCAGGGCAGGCCTTGTGTGCAAAAACAGGTGCCGCGGGCCCAGCCTGCCCAGCCTGCCCAGCCTGGGGCCCGGACTCCACAAGATCTGGGGCTGCACCCAGCCCCCTGCCAGCCCCCTGCCAGCCCCCTGCCAGCCCCCTGCCTTCCCTCCATTTTCACCACCACATGCTTCTCTCTCTCCTCGTTCAGTCTCCCTCCCAAAGCTTCATTCCTGCCCGTTCATCAAGCCGTGTTTGCACATGAGGTGCTGTGCCAGGCCAAGGACCTCACTGCCAGCTGGGCCTGGCAAGGAGAGGGGAACTGACTCATCCTGGGAGCCCAGGGTGGTGGGGCTTTCCCCACTTGGGCCAGGGTAGTGGTGAGGAGGCTGTCTCCGGAGAGGCTGAGGTGAGGGCAGGAGTAGCGAGAAGATTTAGGGTCGTGGCAAGGCTGGCCTAGGCCCTGTGGGGTGGCAGGAGAGGGCAGAGCCCGGGACTCGGGTCCCCACTTCCAGCGGAGGCTGGGCTGTCAGGAGGGCCACACCCTCATCCACTCCTCAGTGCCCCCTCGTCCACTCCAGAGGACACAGTGGTCCCTGCCTCTTGGCCTCCCACCCTTGGCTCACAGCGCTCTGCTGGGAACTCCCCTCACTCCCCTTGAGTAACTGGGGGCCTTTGTTCCCCAGAGCAGTGAGCCAAATGGTGAATGGTGGCCCCCAAGAGCCATGTCCACCTCCCAAGTCCCGGAACCTGCAGATGTGCAGATGGAAACTTGTTTTTTTGTTTGTTTGTTTGTTTGTTTTTGGAGACAGACTCTCACTCTATCCCCCAAGCTGCAGTGCAGTGGCACGATCTCGGCTCACTGCAACCTCCGCCTCCCGGGTTCAAGCGATTCTCATGCCTCAGCTTCCTGAGTAGCTGGGATTACAGGCATCCACCGCCACACCCGGCTAATTTTGGTATTTTTAGTAGAGACGGGGTTTCACCACATTGGCCAGGCTGGTCTTGAACTCCTGACCTCAAGTGATCCGCCCGCCTCGGCCTCCCACAGTGCTGGGATTTCAGGTGTGAGCCGCCGCAAAGCCCAGCTGGAAACTTACTTGGAATTAGGGTCTTCGCAGTTGTGATCGAGGTAGGGATCTCCAGCAGATGATATTATCCTGGAGTACCTGGAAGGGCCCTAAATCCAGTGACAGGTGTCCTTCTAAGAGGTAGAAGAGGAGGCACAGACACAGAGAACAGGAGGCCACTTGGCAGTGGCGTGTGGAAATCTGAGTAGACAGTGGCTGAGGCTTCCCCCGTGCCTGTCGGCCCCATCCAGGCTCCAGGAAGAAGGAGGTGTCTGTCCTTTTCTCTCTCACGCTGTGTCCTCAGCACCTAGAACGTAACAGGTATTTGTCTGCGGATGGACACAAAAAGAGGCGAGACTGGATCAGAGATCCCAGCGAGCAGCGCCCAGGCTCCAGGGCCGGAGGAGCTGCGGGGCTCGGACAAACCCCAGGTGCTGGCGGCATCACCGCGGGCTCCTTTGACTTCAAGACCCATAAGTGTAAGGCCGGGTGCGGTGGCTCACGCCTGTAATCCCAGCACTTTGGGAGGCTGAGGTGGGTGGATCACGAGGTCAGGAGATCGAGACCATCCTGACTAACACGGTGAAACCCCGTCTCTACTAAAAATACAAAAAAATTAGCCGGGCGTGGTTGCGGGTGCCTGTAGTCCCAGCTACTCAGGAGGCTGAGGCAGGAGAATGGCATGAGCCCGGGAGGCGGAGCTTGCAGTGAGCCGAGATCGCGCCACTGCACTCCAGCCTGGGCGACAGAGCGAGACTCCATTTCAAAAAAAAAAAAAAAAAAAAAAAAAGACCCGTAAGTGTTCCCAGTCTTCCAGAAAATGCTGATTGCATCTAAAGAAGTAATCCCATAAACTGGAGGTAAATCTGCGCAAGAACGCGGGCTTTGGTTAAGATGGTTTTGGACAGGTGGAAACCAGCCAGCTCTGACGGTTCCAGCATGGGAGTGTGTGGCACGTAGGCATCCCTATCGTGACCATGCAGTCATCGCGCTGCGCTGCTGGCCTGGCACCTCCCGGATACCAAACACCCAGACAGCACCTCCTGCTGAAATCCCCACAAACACGGCCGGGGGACACTGAGGCCCAGAGGGTGGGGTGTGGGGGTGGCCTCGGGGCATGAGCCAGGCTCTGGGCCCCTCCCCACACCGGGGCTAGCTGGCTAGCTATTTCTCTTCCTGAGTGATGAGAACTTCGAGGCAGGGACGTTCTCTGAAAAGCCAGATACAACCTGAGCCCGCTGTGGTGCAGCAGTCGAGCCGCCGGGCGCCCCCACCGCTGTGGCCCAGGAGCCCTGCGCTGGGGAACCCTGATTTCCTGGCGGGAGGCTGTGTCTGTGGGACTCTGATTCACAATAGCGGGAAGATTCAAAGTGACAGGGTGAGGCTGTCAGTCCCAAGCCATGTCCCCTGAGAACACCATCAACCTGGAGTGTAAAATGTGACAAGGAAGAGGCTGGAAGGGGCCGCCCTCCCATCCCACTCCCCGGGGTCCGTGGGGCAGACCTTCACCTGCAAGTTTGCAGCCTGGACCAGGCAGCTTCTCAGGAAGCCCAGCCGGGAAGCTCTGTTGGGGAGCACTCTCCCCACCCAGCAACGTTCAGGGGCCTGGCCTGGGGCGGGGCCTGTAGTCAGAGGTCCCCGAGGCTGGGGGCCCACATGAGCCCAGCAGGGACTGCCATTCCCAAAGAAGTTATTTTTATGCCATAAGTGCTTGTGGGAAAGTGAGGGGGACCCATGGGAGGCAAGGGAAACATTGAGACCCCAGTCACGGGCAAGAAGGAAGGAACTGTTTGCTCCAATGAGGCTGCGCCCACCCCAGCCTGGGGAGGGACATGTGGGCGGGGCACCACAGGAGGAACAAGCTGGCCTTCTCCCACCTGGCTGAATGCCAGGGGTCAGGGGGAGGGTGGTGGCCCCACATCACAGGGCCCCTGGTCCTCCCAGGGGATGTGGCTGGGCGCTGGGGGAGGGGCTTGGAGCTCCACACTGGGGCCAGGCGCCTGGCCTCCGAAGGAGATGTGGGGTCTCTGGGACCCTCACCTCTGCCTTTAGCTCCGATTCAGGGCTCATTCTGGCCACTGAGCATGGCCGGGGATGGGGGCCCTGCCCCACACACTGGGTGCTGAAATGAGCCTGTTCAGACAGGACCCACGCAGTTTGTCTCCCTCAAAATCCAGGTGCCTCCTTCAGTTCCCAGCTGTGTTGAGCCACCTGGGGCCCAGGGCAGCCCTGGCAGGGCAGGGATGGTGTCTGCCCAGCTCTGCCTTCGGCCAGGCCCCCAGACCGTTTGAGGCTTCAGCCTCAAACCGGGACCTCCAGCAGGGTGAGCCTCCTGCAGGCAGTGCTCTTCCCCTGCGCTCACCTGCAGCCTCTGGGGCCCAACCCAAGACCCGCTTAGAAGGTAGCACATCCTGCTGGGAATACCCGCCCCTGCCTGGGCCTCCCCTCCCTCACCCCTACCTCTCCTTCACTCAGTCACTCGCTCGCTCACTCATTCACTCACTCCTTCACTCAATCACTCACTCACTCACTCATTCACTCACTCATTCACTCATTCACTCACTCATTCACTCCTTCGCTCATTCATTCACTCACTCATTTACTCACTCATTCATTCACTCACCCACTCATTCACTCACTTGCTCATTCACTCACTCACTCATTCCCTCACTCATTCTCTCTCACTCCCTGACTCATTCACTCACTCACTCATTCCCTCACTCACTCATTCCCTCACTCATTCCCTCACTCATTCTCTCACTCACTCCCTGACTCATTCACTCACTCACTCATTCACTCACTTATTCCCTCATTCATTCACTCATTCACTCACTCATTCACTCATTCACTCGTTCACTTACTCACTCACTCACTCGTTCACTCACTCATTCACTCACTCACTCACTCGTTCACTCATTCACTCACTCACTCACTCGTTCACTCACTCACTCACTCACTCGTTCACTCACTCACTCACTCATTCACTCACTCATTCACTCACTCACTCGTTCACTCACTCATTCACTCACTCACTCGTTCACTCACTCATTCACTCACTCACTCACTCGTTCACTCACTCACTCATTCCCTCACTCACTCGTTCACTCACTCACTTATTTGCTCACTCATTCACTCACTCACTCATTCACTCATTCCCTCATTCACTCACTCACTCACTCGTTCACTCACTCACTCATTCCCTCACTCACTCGTTCACTCACTCACTTATTCGCTCACTCATTCACTCACTCACTCATTCACTCATTCCCTCATTCATTCACTCATTCCCTCACTCACTCATTCACTCACTCACTCACTCATTCGCTCGTTCACTCACTCACTCATTTGCTCGTTCACTCACTCACTCATTTGCTCACTCACTCACTCATTCACTCACTCACTCATTCACTCACTCATTCACTCACTCACTCATTCACTCACTCATTCACTCACTCACTCATTCACTCACTCGTTCACTCATTCACTCACTCACTCACTCGTTCACTCACTCACTCACTCACTCGTTCACTCACTCACTCACTCATTCACTCACTCATTCACTCACTCACTCGTTCACTCACTCATTCACTCACTCACTCGTTCACTCACTCATTCACTCACTCACTCACTCGTTCACTCACTCACTCATTCCCTCACTCACTCGTTCACTCACTCACTTATTTGCTCACTCATTCACTCACTCACTCATTCACTCATTCCCTCATTCACTCACTCACTCACTCGTTCACTCACTCACTCATTCCCTCACTCACTCGTTCACTCACTCACTTATTCGCTCACTCATTCACTCACTCACTCATTCACTCATTCCCTCATTCATTCACTCATTCCCTCACTCACTCATTCACTCACTCACTCACTCATTCGCTCGTTCACTCACTCACTCATTTGCTCGTTCACTCACTCACTCATTTGCTCACTCACTCACTCATTCACTCACTCACTCATTCACTCACTCATTCACTCACTCACTCATTCACTCACTCATTCACTCACTCACTCATTCCCTCACTCACTCATTCCCTCACTCACTCATTCGCTCGTTCACTCACTCACTCATTTGCTCATTCACTCACTCACTCATTTGCTCACTCACTCATTCATTCACTCATTCCCTCATTCATTCACTCACTCATTCACTCACTCATTCACTCGTTCACTCACTCACTCACTCGTTCACTCACTCACTCATTCACTCATTCACTTGTTCACTCACTCACTCATTCACTCACTCATTCACTCACCCACTCATTCACTCACTCATTCACTCACTCATTCACTCACTCACTCATTCCCTCACTCACCCATTCACTCACTCACTCACTCACTCATTCACTCACTCACTCACTCATTCACTCACTCATTCCCTCATTCATTCACTCATTCACTCACTCACTCACTCATTCACTCACTCATTCACTCACTCATTCACTCACTCATTCACTCGCTTACTCACTCACTCGCTCACTTACTCATTCACTTGCTCACTCACTCGCTCACTTACTCGTTCACTCACTCACTCCCTCGCTCATTCACTCCCTCGCTCCCTCACTCACTCGCTAACTTACTCATTCACTCACTCACTCACTCCCTTGCTCATTCACTCCCTCACTCACCCACTCTCTCACTCTTCAATCACTCACTCATTCACGCATTCATTCACTCACTCATTCACTCACTCATTCGCTCACTCACTCATTCACTCACTCACTCATTCACTCGCTCATTCACTCACTCACTCATTCACTCGCTCATTCACTCACTCACTCATTTACTCACTCACTCATTCAGTCCTTCACTCACTCACTCAGTCATTCAGTCACTCACTCACTTATTCACTCATTCACTCATTCACTCACTCATTCACTCTTTCATTCACTCACTCATTCATTTGCTCACTCCTTCAGTCACTCACTCACCCACACACTCACCCACTCACTCACCCACTCATTCACTCAATCACTCATTCACTCGCTCATTGACTCTCAGTCAGTCACTCACTCATTCACTCACTCATTCATTCATTTGCTCACTCATTCATTCACTAACTCACCCACTCATTCACAAACTCATTCACTCATACACTCACTCATTCACTCTCACTTATTCAGTTGCTCACTCACCCACTCACTCATTCACTCACTCACTTGCTCATTTACTCACTGAATCACTCACCCATTCACTTACTCATTCAGTCACTCACTCATTTGCTCACTCATTCATTCACTCATTCGTCCATCCATTTATTCAACAGATGTTGTCTGAGCCCAGCTGTACACCAGACACAGAGATAAGGGAGGTAGGGAGACAGGAAAAAGGGAGGAAGGAGGGAGCCTCATGGCATAGGAACCAACTGACCGCCTCTGTATCCAGTGCCCTGTGGGCTGTTGCAGGCAGGAGGCACTGGATGTTCCTGGGGAAGGTTGCCACCCGTGTCACAGGTGGGGCCAGGCCTGCCGTGTGGCCCACTGGCCCCTGTGGCTGTTCTTCTGCACTTGAGTCTCTCCTGGTAGGCACCATGCACCGTGGAAGCCTGAAACGGGTCCTGGGACAGCAGGACAGGGCAGCGTGTGTTTCTGAGGCCTCTCAGCTCCCTGAGACATAGGTGGGCAAAGGGGACACTGCCAGCCACACCTTCCTGGCCTTGCCCTTAAGGTGCCTGGAGTCAGGTGCTTCGTCTCCAGAGAGACCCAGGGATGGGCCAAGCATGAGCTGCCCCTGACCCACTGGGCACCTGTCACTGAGGGAGGGCCACCCCCCACTATCCTGGCCCAGCTCAGGGAAGCCCACCTATGCCTCCTTGGGTTCCCAGCCACGCTGAGCCACCTGGGGCCTTCGATAGCCAAGACAGTGCTTGGCAGGGTGGGGCAGAGATGGAGTGTGTCTGCATCCACCTGTGCCTGCCTGTGCCCAACTGTGCCAACCTGTGTCTGCCTGTGCCCACCTGTACTCACCTGTGCCTACCCATGCCCATTGTGCCTGCCTAGGGCCTTATCTGATGGGCCTGCTGCATCCCTGGAGAGCCTCTCTCTGCCTCTCCTTGCTTGGGGGCACCCCTCCAGGCTGGCTAGCCGGCTCCAGCCCATCTCAGTGTGGCCTGAGATAAGGGCCCAGCTCAAAGCTGCTTTGTTCAGCCAACAAAAGGACATTTCTGCAGCACCCTGGGAGCTGGGCCATGGGCTGGCCCGGGCTGGCCCAGGCTGGGGAGGCCCGGGCCCAGTGCAGGCACCAGCTCGAGAAACCCTAGCCTGGCCCTGGTTGTGCCTCAGGGGCTGGGGACGCTCCCTCCATAGGCTTCCCAGGCCCTCAGGTCCACAGGCGGTGTCTCCTTTCTATGCCCGGCCTGGGTTGGGCCCTGCCTGTGGCCAGTGCCGCCCATTGCCCAGCCCCTGCCTTTGAGGCCTGGAGCCTTCACATCCATGGCAAGGAAGGCCACCCGTGCAGAGTGGAGCAGGTGCACAGCCAGGACCCTGAATACCCAGCCCTGCCCCCTGGCCTTTGCCCAGGGTGTCCCCTCTGCAGGTGCACTTTCCCCACAGCTTCCCCGGGAAACTGACTTGAGGCCACTGGGGGCTGGATGCAACCCCTGGGGAGGCAGGGGCAGTGCCGGGGCAGAGGGGCAGCCCCGGCTGAGGGCCCTGGCATTGGGAGTGGGTTGAAATGTGGCCCCCCAGGATGCATCCACCCGGAACCTCAGAGTGTGAACTTACTCTTTGCAGATGGAATTAAGGTTGGGATCTCGGGGTGAGACCTCCCTGGCCTCGGGTGGGTTCTAAACACAGTGTCAAGCGTCCTCATGCCAGCGGGAAAGGCACAGAGGCCAGGGACGCTGGAGTGAGGGAGGCAGAGGCCGTACTGGCCACCGGAGCTGGGAGGGGCGGGAAGGGCGGGAAGGGCCTCCCGAGGGAGCGCAGCCCTCCTGACACCTGCGTCCTAGGCTGTTGGCCTCCAGAAACGGGAGGGGATGCATTTCTGCTTTAAGCCACCCAGTCTGTGGTACTTCGTTACGGGAACTGGAGGACAGGCTTTCAAGGGAAAGTGACAAAAGCAGGGTGAAGGACCAAGGCCCGATGGCCTCAGGACTCCCACCCCCACAGCGTGGCCAGGGGCTTCCTTGGGGCCCGCCAAGTTCCTGGGACCCTCCCAGGCTAGTCAGGGCTCCCAGCAGGAGCCCCCTGCACCGAGACGGCCGTGTCCCCTGCTCCATGGGACCACAGCACCCACTGTCACACACACACAGCCACCGTCCCATCAGGCACCCACATCCCCGTGGGGCCCGGCTCAGCCAGGGGTTGCCAGCCTCCCAGGGTATCCTTGACAGCTGGGGGAGGCTGGCCTTGGCCCCATCTCTCTCTACCCCACTGCTGGGGGTCTGAGGCCCTCCCACTTCCTCTCCTCTTCCCCTAAGGTCCTGTCACAATGAGGAGCTCCCAGGGGCCGGCGCTGCAGCCACCCTCCCCGGGCAGGCTGGAGCCGGCCTTCCTTCCACCTCGCCCTCCGCTTCCCACGGGTAAGCTGCTCGCAAGGCAGCCGGCACGCTCGGGTCACGAGGTCAAGGGCAGCAGGAGCGACCAGGGAGTTGCAGTCACCCTGCCCCGTGCCACAACCTCGTTCACAGGAGGGAAATCAGGCAGGCCCAGAGACGGCAAGCAACCTGTATAAGATCACACAGCCAGCGCAGGGTGAGGCCTGGGCTCTGGGCACCTGACTCTCACGTGTCGGTTGCCTCTGCTCCTCCCTCCGTCAGTGCTGGCTGCCCCCTGAAGCTGTCATCCAGGGACCAGCAAACAGAAGTGTCTGAATGAGGCAACAGCATGGCCCCCGCCCCAGCAGTTAAAGGTTTGAGGCAGATCCCCATAGGACTTTGGGCCAACACCTCCAAATCTCTGAGCGGGACAGGGAGATGGGGCCAGTGGGTGGAGACGGGCAGCCCAGGGTGAGCACGTGGGCAGGGAAGGCCTCTCTGGGAGGAGCCGTGGGGAGGAGCAGGGAGCTTGCTGGGCAGTTTTCCACCTGGGCCCTGCATCCCTTTCCCGGCTACTGGCGCTCTCTCAGCTCAGCATGGATTGATTTCTTCATTCATTCTCTGCTCGAAGATCTGCTGAGCCTCTTGAGAGTCAGGCTCTGTCGGGGTGTAGCAGTGCCCTCCCTCCCCCAAGACCCTGCATGGGAGGGGCTCACCCAGCGAGGATGAGGCACCTACCCCTGCCGTGGCGAGGGCCCCCCAGGGTTCCAGCCAAGGCCAGTAGGATGGATGGGGTCACGTAAGCCACCAGAGGGGACAGCGAGGTGCCCCAGACAAACAGACCAGAACCCTGGGGTGGCTGGAGGGCGAGGGCAGGGGGCAGGCTCTTCCAGGCGGGGCTGCAGGAACTGAGCCCTGCAGTCAAGGGGAGGGCAGAGGGTGGCTGGAGCTGGGCTTCCCAAAGATGCTTTGGCTGCAGGGAGCGGCTAGGGTGGCGGCCCACAGAGCCAGCAGCTCTGGAGGCCATAGAGAGGGGCCAGGCCCCACCTGCACCCTACCTACCTGCTGAAGCATAAAGAGGGAGACCGGCCCCACACCCATCCCCATCCCTCACTGACACACAACACCTGCATGCGCCTGCAGGAGATACCCACAGCCGTTCATCCCGGGACGCAGCGGGCAGGGTCATCCTGGGACGCATCAGGCAGGGTCATCCCGGGATGCAGCGGGCAGGGTCATGAGCCCCCAGGGCCCTGTTTGCAAGACTCCCCACCTAGGCCAGGGGGATGAGGTGGGGAGCAAAGGCTCTTCCAGATGGCGGGAGGCCAGACAAGTCCCCAAGGTCCCCAGGGTGGCGGATGCCCAGTCCCTCTGTGTGGGGAGCAGGCTCGGCAGGGCACAGGTCCCTGGTCTGCTTGGAGAGCAAGGGTGTCCCTCTACATCCCAGGGGACAGCTGCTGCCTCCCTCCACACAGGGCCTGAGGATGGCTGTGGCAGCCGCAGGCTTCAGGGGCCAGGCCTGTACCACACTACATCATGGTCTTCTCTCGGGCTCTGCCTCCTCAGCTACAGCCTGTGGCAAATTCTCCTCTGAACACTCACCCAGGCAAAGTGGGCTAGGAAAAGGACAGGGGGTGGGGAGACGCACAGAAGGGGCGCCAGGGGCCACTGTCACACCCACAAAGCCGGCGTGGGGTTCCCGGGGAGAATGACATTCAGGTGTGCACGTGTGAGAACGTGTGCGTGTGCACCAGTGCTTGCTCACCTGAGTCCACACGCAGGTGTGCAAGTGTGTGCCCGTGTGTGTAGAGGGGTGCATGTGTGTGCCTCTACATGTGAGGGGTGCGTGTGTGTGCATGTGTGAGAGTGTGTACGTGTGTGTGCTTGCTCACGTGAGTGTCCACACACGGGTGCTCCCGTGTGCATGCGCGTGTGTGCTCGTGAGTGCTTGTTTGCATGTGTGTGCACTCACATACGTGTATGCCAGTGTGTGAACATATCTGTGCATGACCTCAATGGTGTAGATTGCACGTGTATGCTTGTGTGAGTTTGTGTATGTGTGTGCCTGTGTATGCACACTGTGTGAGCATGTGCATATGTGGGAACAAGTGTACACATGTATGCACACATGTATCCACACGTGTGTGTGCCTCTGTGTGTGCAGGGCAAGAGGGTGGGGACGCCATCGGGGTCTGTGGCCCAGGTGAGCCTCCCGGAGGGCGTGGCTCTGGTGAGTGGCGGTGCCTGGCAGAAGCTGGCCCTCCAGAAACCCTCCACAGTGACGATGGGTTGAGCAAGGCCTGCGGGGCTGAGCCTCCAGCCATCGCCAGGGTGCTGTGATGAGGCAGCCAGGGAGGCCGAGCGGGACCTGAGGGTGCAGCACTGGGCCGAAGCCAAGCTGGGACCCAAAAGGGGCTTGTGCTGCCCATCTGGGTGGGTCGGCCCCGGGCCCTCCTCAGTCTCCCCATCCAAGCTCATGTGTCCATAGCCCCGATCCCGTCTGCGCTGGGCTCTGCAGCTTCCTCTTCTTCCTCACTTCCTCCCGCACCCCCCTCCCCACGGGCAACAGTCCCAACATCTGGTTGGCGTTTCCAGCAAAGCCGGGGGCGGGGCCGGCAGGAGCCAGAAGAGCAGCTGCGGACAGTGTGGGAGTCTCCGGCGGGGCTGTGAGAACCAGCACTAGCCGGATGGTTGCGTTCCCAGTGCAGCCCCCGCCAGTGTGGTGGGGGGTGCTGGAGACCAGGGAGGAGAGGTGACTGGGTCACAGCCACTCCGGAGGCCGGGCGCCTCCCTCAGACACGGCTCTGCTGGAGGAGGGGGCTGTGGGCTGCCGAGCCTCCACCCCAGCCTCCAGGCAGCACAGGGCGAGGGCCTGCCCTTGCTCCTGGGCCCCCTGCCGTCATCTCACCCCAGCCTCAGTTCCCTCCTCTCTGAAATGGGCCCTGACGGTACCTGCCTCATGAGCTGTGGGGAGGACTCCAGGAGCTCAGGCTCGGAGGTCGCTGCCCAGTGTGGTAGGGGTGGCCTCACCCCTCGGGCCCACTCCCGGCTGTGTGGGTTCATCCATCCTACAGCAGCGAGGGCTGCGGAGGACACCGTGCAGGCCTGGAGTCAGACTGGGCTCCGAAGCCCGGGAGCAGGGTCTCAGGGTGTCAGCCCAAAAGCCAGGCTGGCCCACTGCCCAGCAGGTGGGCACCAAGGCGGGGGCCTGGTGCAGCATCTCCAGCCTCAGCAGGGTTAACTCCCAACCCCAACCCAGCCCTGGCTGCAAGGGGGGTGCTGGGCCAGTTGCGGGGGAGGCGGGGGCGGGGGCGGGGGGTACTCAGCTCCAGGAGCCTGCTCAGGATCAGGCCTCCCGCGCGGCTCAGCCCTTCCGGGTGAGGTCATGGGAAAAACCGCCTCAGACACCCCCAAGACAAGGACCCCCAAGGCTGCCTGCGGGTTAATAGTGGCTCCTCCCAGCTGCAGGGGCCGCTCAGCCAGACCCTGGCTCCTGAGCAGGTGTGCGCCCCCCAGGTCCCAGGTTGCACACCCCCATGGGGGCGGGGGAGGCAGTTTCCTGCTTCTCAGACTTCTCCCACCGGGGCTTCTTTCCGGCTGCGGCTTTGCTTTTGTTGTGTGTTTTTGTTCACTCCCCCTCCCCGCTGGAGTCAGTCTCAGGAAAGCTTCTGGGGCGATGGGAGCAGCGGAGGAGCCCAGGCCGGAAAGGGGACAATTAAACCCAGGGAAGAAAGGGTTAACCCTGACTCCGCCCCCCCCCCACCCCCATTCACCAGGAAATAAACAAGGAGCTTTGTTTCCATTCACCCTGAAAAATACAAGGATTTCCTCTCCCACTGGTCTGCACTGTCCCCCAAGGACCCCTCAAACCCAGAGGGGCAGGGCAGGAAGGGGACCCTGAGGTGGGCAGAGGTACTTGGGCTTCCGGAGACAGGGAGATGTTTGGAAGGTTCAGCTCAGCCTGGGTCATGGCAGGTGACCCAGAGCCACTGAGAGCAGGGTGAACCTGGGGCCTGTCCTCACCCACCCACTCACCCGTCTGTTCCTAGAGGCCCTGCTGTGTGTGGCTTGCAGAGGCCGGGCCGATGAGAGTCTGCCCCCAGGAGCGCACCACAGGCTAGAGAGGACGCTCCCACCCTCGCAGCCCCCATCAAAGCCATGGAGGGGAGAGAGCCACGCTGGGAGAAGTCGTGTGTGCCCCGGATGGTCTGGAAAGGCCTCTGGGGCCTTGAGGGACAGGAAGGGGGCCTGGGCATCCCCAGCAAAAGCGTATACAAGGCCTTGTGGCAGGCAGGCTCCCGGGCCTCCAAAACAGACAGGGGAAGTGGAGGCCACTGGATGGTGGGGCCCATCCCGAGGGAGCCCAGCTGCTGGGAGGCATTTTGCATCTTGATGTGATGACAGTGGGAAGTCCCAGGGCAGCTCTGAGCAGGGGATGCTGCCTGCACCTTAGAAACTGCAGCTGTGGGTTGGGCGTGGGGGTTGAAGGAGGAGAGAGGTGTGGGAACAGGGGTCCTGGCCTGGACATGCCACGTGGGTAGGGTGCCGTTTGCTGAGGCAGTGTGAGCGGAAGAGGCAGGGGTGGTGGGGAGGGGGTCTGGTTTGGGATGTGTCCAGTCTGAGAGGCGTATGGGAAAGTGGCTGACCCTAGACCTGGTAGGGGGGTGCAGGTGGGACCTGACGAGGCCTCCCTGAGAGGGCAGTGGAGGAGGCACGGTCTGAGGACCGGACCTGGCAGGGGCCTGAGTCTATCAGAGGCAAGGAAGGGGTGAGGCCGTGGTCAGCTCCCGGGGTGTGTGGGCTCCGCAAGGCCTGGTGGGAGCGAGGTGCTGGGTCCTTCTCTGTCAAGTGGGGACAGTGAGTGAGTGCACTGAGCCCGAGAGGTTGAGACACTACAGAAACAGCAGCGGCTCAAAGAGCGGAGGAAATCTGTGGATGCCCCCACCGTGCGATGTCCCCCCCGCCATGTGACACACCCACCATGCGATGCCCTCTCATCCACTGTGATCCCCCCACACTGTTCAGTGCTCCCGCCACCACGCGATGCCCTCTCATCCAGTGTGATCCCCCCACACTGTTCAGTGCTCCCCCCACCACGCGATGCCCCCCTCCACAGTGCGGTGCCCCCCTCCACAGTGCGATGCCCCCTACTGTGTCCCCTTGGACCTCTGCCATCTCCATCAAGGTGTCATCTGCTGGTGATACCTGTGCCCTCACCCACTTGGTTCTCGGGCCAGAGTTGGCACCATCTGGGGCAGCCAGGGGCCCTGCGAGGCTGCTCCAAGTTCTGCACCATTTCCCAACCCGGGGGACAGAGCCCTGACCCACGCTGGGAGCCGGCAGCACACCTGCTGGTTACCTCCCGTCCTCCATCCACCCCCATCCTGTGCCGCCTGCCTTCCCAAATAGATGGCATCAATATGCACCCTGGTCCTCAGGGGTGCTTCCAAGAGCCACACTAAGTCAGCTGGGGCCAGAAGGGACTCTGGGAGGGGGCTCGGGATGGCTGAAGGAGCCCCACTGCTGGGGCAGTGGAGGGTGACAGCCCTGGGGTGCAGTGCAGTGTTGGACCTCTGCCATGGCGACTGGGAAGGGCCGTGGGAGCCGGAGGCCCCTGCCACGCGGTTCTCCAGCATTCAGGAGTTATGGAGGCCACAGTGACCATGAGGACGTGGGAGCCGTGGCTACTGGCCAGTGTCACAGTTGGGGCCCGGCTGGTTTCAGCTGACCTCTCCTCTGGCCATGGGACACAGTAAGGGCATTGCAGTAAGGGAATTGCAGAGGAGGCTCCTGGAAGTCTCCCAGGCTGGGATCAGGGCTCTGACCGAGAAGGAGTGGGCCTGAGTGCTGGCCTGGGCCACCTGGGTGTGTCTGTTTGAGAGGATGACCTCCCAGAAGTGCCTGCTCCTCCTCCATCATCTCTGCCTCCCCATAGAGTCCCGAGGACACCCCTTAGTGGAAGGCGTCAGGAAAGCTGCCGTCAGCTGCAGCGAGAGAAAAATCCTTCACAGTGTTCTAGACGTGGCCGGCTCTCAGATCCAGAGCCCGCAACTGGAGGGGCGGCCAGGTGCCCTTGAGGAAGGACCCTACAACACAAAAGCACACATGCACAGTTCCCCCACTGCATCCCCAGAGGGACCACTGGCCATTTACTAGAGGAACTGGGCGCTGGAGAAAGGGCCCACCCACTCCATCAGTGCTGTCTGATGTCCAGCCTGGCTGACGCCAGTATCAGGAGACCACAGTGACCTCATGGCATGGCCCCTGTTAAGGCGGGAAAGGATGGACACTGGGTGATAAATGGGGCCCTGGGCCAGCTCCATCCAGTGGGCCCCTAGGTCCCTGGGCCACTCTGTGGCCACTCCCCTTGGCCTGAGTGTGTGGTTGGAGGAAGGGCTGGATGTGGCAGCTGGCAAAGCCCTTCTGTCACTTCCTTCTGCGGCGTAAGAGCCTGGATGGCTGAAAAAACCAAGTTGAAACTCCCAAAACCATGACTCCCCATGCGTACACACCAAGATGGGAAACCCAAAGCAGATGCCTTCTGAGATGGCATGGATTCGTGCCACCCAGAAAGCCTTGACAAATACACACACAGTGGTCCCAACCTATTCTCATCGAGTTCAGCAGTCCGGCCCCTGCGGAGGTCAGACAGACCATGGCAGGTGGGTGACGGTCAACCTAACAAGCTGGGAGTCCTGGCCACAGCCACTCTGCCAGAGGTGATGTCTGGACTGGGGAACAGGCCAACACAAGCTCGAGCACCCGGCCTGGGGCTCCCTGGAGGCAAGTCTGGAGACCGCACGGATCCCAGTCCCTGTTGGGGTGGAAGGAGCATCATAAGCAGTCTGCACGGGCATGGGAAGGACAGTAGTGCACGTGCACGACCCCGCCCAGGGCGGTGACTATGTTCCTGCTCTCCACACAGCCCTGAGACTCGCAGGCCATCCAGACGTTTCTTGGAACATCGTGAGAGCTCAATGCACAAAGGCTATGGAGTTAATCTTCTGGGGAAGCAGGAGTCGCATTCTGATGCTTTGTGCTTGTGTGCCAGAGGACAGACGGTAAACCCACCGAGATTCTGGGGCTACCATATCCGCTTTCAGGGGTTCAGTGGTCTGGGATGTGATGGCAGGGACTAATGCACCCTTGGAGACTGCAAGGAGACAGGTGGTCTCCTCCACATAAAGAACAAGTTATTCAGCCTGGGCAACACACTCAGACCCATCTCCTGCCTGTGGTCCCAGCTGCTTGGGAGGCTGAGGCAGGAGGATCCCTTGGGCCCAGGAGGTAGAGGCTACAGTGAGCTGTGGTCACACCATTGCATGCATTCTGGGCGGCAGAGTGAGACCGCATCTGTAACAAAGAACGAGTGATTGCTCCTCACACCTACACCAAGGAAGCAGTGCAATGCTTGGCTGTCTCTTTGGGTTCAACAGGCAGCTTCGGCAATGCTCTGCCCATTTGTTAGATGACCCAGAAGACGATCACTTTCGAGTGGGGCCCAGAACAACAGAGGGCCCTGCATCAAGCTCAGACAGTGGTGTCAAGACCCCGAGCCACTGGAGGCGTCCATGCAGATCCAGACACTTGGAGCCCCCCAGACAGCTGCAGCCTAGGGGGCCTCCAGGATTCCAGGGCAAGTTCATGGCGTCTGCTAGCAGAGAGGCCCCCTCCAGAGCCTCAGAATGTGACCTTACCAGGAAATAGAGGTTTGGAAAATGGAATTAAAGATCTCGAGATGAGACTGTCCTGCATGTAGGGTGAGCCTTTAACCAAAGGACTGGTGTCTTTATAAGAAGAGGAGAGGACGCAGAGACACAGGGGAGAAGCCACATAAAAACGGAGGCAGAGACTGGAGCCAGGCGCCCACAAGCCAGGAATGCCTGCAGCATCAGAAGCTGGAGGAGGCAGAAAGGACCCTCCCCTGGAGCCTCTGGAGGGAGCGTGGCCCTGGGACACCCGGGTCTCTGACTTCTGGCCTCCAGAGCGGGGAGAGCACATTTTGGGTGCTTTATGCCCCCCAATCTGTGGCCCTTCGTTACAGCAGCCCCCAGACACGGAGAGCATCTGACCTTGGGTCCTGGAATGACCCTGTCAGAGCCACCCGCATCCGTCGCTGGAATGACCGTGTCCGGGCTGCCAGCGTCTGTCACTAAGTCATGAGTCCAGGCAAGAGTGTGCTGGGTGTGGGTGACCCTGGGCAGCCCTTAACCAGCGACAGGCCCGAGCCAGCCTCAGAGCTGCTGGGCCAGCTCACCTTGCCTGCCTGGCTACCCCATCTGTAGCGAGGCTTCTTGGGAGAAGGATGGGGGTGGGACCATGGGAGGGAACACATGGAGTGCTTGGCAGCGTAGACAGTCCCAGCTCCACCTCCACCACTGAGGCCCATGGGGTGAGGCTCCAGCCCCCGGTTTGGGTTGCAGGGGAGCGTATGGCACCCTTTAGCGGCCACCTTCTCCTCCTCTCTCATCGATCCCGTCCCCACTCCTCCTGCCCCTCCCCATGAGCTGCGGTCCCAGGGCTGCCTCTGGAAAACCCCAGTGAAGACCCCAGCCGCACCTGCCTCTGGAGAATCCCAGGCTCCAGCCAGCCTCGCTCCCTCATCCTTGAATCCTTGGCTTTGTCCTCACTGTCTCTGACAGCCTCTTCTCTTTGGTCCCCAGCCCCAGTATACCCTGGCTCTCAGTCTCTTAACCTTCTGTTCCCTTGTCTCTGGCTTCCACAGGACCATGAGCCCTGTAGAGGTAGGGGTTCATCTGTCCCACCATCACAGCCTGGGGTCCGTCTGTCCTGACATGGCATCCTGGGGTCCGTCTGTCCTGACGTCGCACCCGGGGGTCCGTCTGTCCTGACGTCGCATCCTGGGGTCCGTCTGTCCTGACGTCGCATCCTGGGGTCCGTCTGTCCTGACGTCGCATCCTGGGGTCCGTCTGTCCTGATGTCGCATCCTGGGGTCCGTCTGTCCTGATGTCTCATCCTGGAGCCCAGTGCAGAGCTGGCAACCAGTGGGTCCCCAGGGAGGGTTTGTTGAATGAATGGCCGACCTCGGATGTTGAATGAATGACACTGAACCCTGCCCCCAGAGGAAATGAGGCCCCAACTGTGGATGGACAAAGAAGCTTAGAGGAACACAGGCAAGAAAATTAAAAAATAAATTTGCACTAAACTTCTCTGCATCATAGGACACTGTCAAGAGTGAAAAGGCAACCCAAGAATGGGAGGACACACTTGGAAGTTATATGTCGGGTAAGAGGTTCATATCCAGAATATATTTTAAAAACTCCCACAACTCCACAAGAAGAAAACCAAACAACCCAATTAAAAACAGGTGAAAGACTGCAATAGACATTTCTCCAGAGAAGATACACAAGTGGCCGCTAAGCCCATGAAAAGATGCTTGCCATCATTAGTTAGCAGGGAGATACAAATCAAGAGACACCACTTTACACCCGTTATCATAGTATTATTTTAAAAAACAGAAAGTAAGTGTTGGTGCAGAGGTGGAGAAATCAGGACACCGTGCGGGAACGTGAAACCGTGCAGCTCCTGGAAAACCATTTGGCGGTTCCCCAAAAACTTAAACGTAGAATCACCACGTGATCCCACAATTCTGACTTTCAGTTTATGCCCAAGAAGATTGAAAACAGGAACTTCAACAGGTATTTGTTGGGATTTAACTAGCCCCACTGAGGGACACTGAGCTTGCCCCCAGTGTCACGGGGCAGATGACGATGCTGTGGACTCCCTGTTGGCACCTTGGCCCCACCATGATCCCTCCAAGGCCAGCCCTCAGCAGCAGCGTCCCTGGGCGTCTTTAAGTGTCAACAGCTCCTACCGAATGGCCCTGCACAAACTCAGTCCAAGTGAAAGCGGGGACTCAGACTCAAACTTGCACACCCATGTTCATGGCAGCATCAGTCCCAGCAGCCAAAGGTGGATGCAGCAGAGCATCCGGGGACGAGCGATGGAGAAACAAAATGCCACCCGTTACGCAGTGGAATACTACGCAGCCATGAAAAGGAAGGAAATTCTGACCCACGCTAAAACCGGATGAGCCTTGAGGACATTATGAGAAATGAAATGAGTCAGCCACGAAAGAACGTGTCCTATGGTTCCACTCATGGACGGTCCCCAGTATTGTCAGGTTCATAGAGACAGGAAGTAGAAAGGTGGGTGCCAGGCTGGGGAGGGGACGGGAAGTGAGTGTTTCATGGGGACAGAGTTCACTTTGGGAAGATGGAGAGTTCTGGAGATGGAGGGTGGTGAAGGTCACACAATTCGAATGTGCCTAGTGCCACTGAACTGTTCACTTAAATAGTGAAGGTGGTCAATTTTATGTTACGTCTGTTTTACCACAATTTAAAGAAGAACAAGAAGGAGGAGGAGGAGGAGAAAGGAGGAGAAGGAGGAGAAAGAGAAGGAGAGGAGGAGGAGGAAGAGGAAGAAGGAGGAGGAGGAAGAGGAAGAAGGAGAAGGAGAAGAAGAAGAAGAAGAAGCAGCTGCTGCTCATGGGGCATTGCAGAGGCATTTCGGGGAGTTTGGATGCCAGCAGAGATGGGCAGGGTGACTCTCTGAGCTGGCATTCTGCTGCCTGCCTCCTGCAAAAGTGACTTCAGCCTCCACTGGGAGGCCCTTGCTGTGGGAATGAAGCAGAGGCGATTCAGCACCGAGTGCCACCCTTTATGGGAGCAAGTTGAGAATGGGGTGCCAGGGTGCGCCAGGGCGAGGGGGAGTCAGGAGCCCCTCGCCCAGCAGCCCCTGGAGGAATGCACCCTAGTCTGGCACAGCCGTCTGCAGGCGCGGGGGGCTCGTGGATGATGACGTGATAGTCCACTGATGTAACCCCTAATTAGGCCCCAAAGAGGATGGCAGGAAAGGCCTCTCAGATAAGGCCGATTCGGTGGAGGGACAGAGGTCCCCCGAGGGGAAGCTGGGGGGAGTATCAGCTGCAAAGTCAAACAGACCATGAGTTCTCACCAGTGGGCATGGCAGGACCCTCAGCCTCCTCATCTGTGCAATGGGACAATGGTAGCGCCCGCCCACAGGAGTCACGCTGCGAAATCATGCTCACAGCACTCGGTAAACCATGGGAGAGGGCCTCGGAGAAGATCCAGCGTGGCGATGAAACGTAAGTTAAAGGAATGTGTTTAGTGGTCCGTTCGCGATGTCTTGTTAGCCTCTCGTGATGTATTGTTGGCAGCTCGTGATGTGTTGTTAGCCGCTTGTGATGTATTGTTCGATGAAAAAAGCAGTTTGCAAAGAATGATTAAATGACATTCCCGTGAGCTTCCCTGATTCCTACCCGGCATTCCAAAGGGTGAGGCAGCACCTCGGCCAGCTCACCTTCAACAGCACCCCTGGAATGGGCCCAGAGCCAGGCCCTAAGCCCCCGATACTTGCTTGGGGGGGCTGAATGAAGGGGATGAATGAATGAATCAATGAAGACTGGCCCCAGTTTTGTGAACAAGATGAAAAAACACACTGGGGAGATGCTCCCCCTGATACCAACAGGCTGGAATTACTGGCGATTTTTTATCTTCCTTTTTGTGTGACATTCTATTTTGCTTTTGTGTTTTTTGTTTGTTTGGGTTTTTTTTTTTTTTTTTTTTTCATTTCCAAAGTGCTGCAGGGAATGTGTGGGACTTTTGCATTCACATAAAAGGTCACCATTGGTGAATGTTTAATAGCCCTTGTCGAGGTGGGTGTAGGTGCAGGATTCACACGCCCTGCTCCCTGGCCCTTCTGCAAGGCTGGATGGGAACAGGGAAATTCTTAACCCAAAGGACATTGGGCACCAGAGGCCCCAGTGGGCACAGGTGGCAAGGCCCAGCGTGGGCCATGTCCCTCCCCTCCTTCCACACCCTACCCTCGGCACACGGCATTTTGCAAGGGATGAGAAGGAAAAAGAAAGGTCCTCCCGGCTGCCGTGTGCGGGCCCTGGGTAACAAAAGTGATTGTGTACTTGAGGAAAGGAGACGGTTATGAGAAACACTCCCCGTTACAGCATTTTACGTTCGCAGGGAAAATGCCAGGCCTTGCTGGGTGGGACCAGCCGGGCTTGCACAAAAGCCCCTTTGTTCACCCCCAGCGCCCGACAACGGCACAGAGAGAAATTATCTTTTCAGCAAAAGATTAAGCGGGCTTCCAAGCCCAGGCTGGCTCATTTCCATGCGGCTGAGGGGAGACCCCTCTCTGGGGCCGCCCATCCTGGTGCCCTCTCCTGCCCCAGGTCCCAGTGGGCCCCCAGGAGGAGGCGGCAGCAGCTGGGGTGGAGGAGGGGACTGGAGTGGACAGGGCGCCGCTCGGCACAGGGGCACACTGGGCACAGCCCTGGCGATAGGATGCCATTGCCCCAAGTTACAGTTGAGGAAGTGGAGGCAGGCAGGCTGCTGCCCAGGCCTCTGCAGAAGGCTCGATCTGGCATCCCTGGGCAGGACAGGCCCTCCCTGCCTTGGGAGAGGGATGTTATCAGTGGGAGGGGCTCTGGCCACCCAGCCTGGCATCAGGGGATGTCGGTGTGTTTGAGTATTAACCCCCAGCGGGGCTGAAAAACCAGCCTGCCGCTCTCACCTGCCCACCTGGCCCCAGCCCAGCCTGGCACCCGAAACTCCTGGTTTCAGTCTTCACTGTGTCCGAGGCTGGGGGCTCCTCCTTCTGCCAGCAAACCCCAGCCCCTGCCCCCATCATCGCTCCTGAGAAAGCCCCTCCCACTCCTGAGGAAGGGGTGCCTGGCCGGGCCCCACTGGGTGGGGCAGGCCTTGCGGGGCTGGGGCACTGGAGTCACTAGGAGCAGGGCGAGTCTGGACAGGTCAGGGCCACCCTCGAGTCTCCAGGCTGGTGCCAGTGGGGCCTCCGCAGCCCACATGGGAGCAAGAGCAAGGTCTGCCTGTGGAGGAACCTCTGGCCACTCTGTGGAGGGCCCTGCACTGGGAAACTGAGGCCATCTGCATCTTTACAAGACGGAGGAGACAGGGAGGGTGGGGCCTAGAGCCAAGGAGGGTGGGGCTCAGAGGGCAAGGCTGTCCCAGGGGGAGGGAAGGGTGGAGGGCCCAGGTGGCAGGAGATTGGGGTCCAAAATGCCCCAGATGTGGGGGGCTGGGCTGGGCTGCACCCACCAGGACTTCCTTGGGTCACCTGGCACCTCCTCTGTCCTACGTTACCCACCCACTAGCCTCACCTCCAGGCCCAGAAACTCCACAGCAGAACTGCAGCCGTGGGAGCTGGGGAAGCCCCTGAGTGCGGGGTCCAGCTGCTGCCCCATTGACAGGGGAAAGTCAAGGCTGGGTGGGGTGGGGGGGATGGGCAGGAGCAAAGGCGGCTCCCATTGGCCACCTCCAGTCTGAACCCAGCAGCTAGCACAGTGGAGAAGGCCCCAGAAGCTGCCCTCCCTCTCCACCCAGCTTCCTGCTGCTAAAAAAATGGACACAGGCCTGTCTCTGACACTTCAGTGACCACCAGGCGGTGCATGGCCTGGCCCTCGAGCCAGTCCAGGCTACTGCCTGCAGAGCCCGGAGTAGGGCTCACATGCCCACATGGGCCAGCGATGGGCCCGCCATTGCGCTGGGGGCCCAGGGCAGAGACGGCCCAGCAGGTGATGTGAAGGCCATGAGCGTGTGGGACACATGGGTGCCCAGGGGAACACCAGGAGCACCTGGGGCAGTGTGGGCATGAGGGCAGCAGGGCAGTGTGGGCAGGAGCACCTGGGGGAGTGTGGGCAGGAGGGCAGCAGGGCAGTGTGGGCAGGAGCGCCTGGGGCAGTGTGGGCATGAGGGCAGCAGGGCAGTGTGGGCAGGAGCACCTGGGGGAGTGTGGGCATGAGGGCAGCAGGGCAGTGTGGGCAGGAGCACCTGGGGGAGTGTGGGCATGAGGGCAGCAGGGCAGTGTGGGCAGGAGCGCCTGGGGCAGTGTGGGCATGAGGGCAGCAGGGCAGTGTGGGCATGAGGGCAGCAGGGCAGTGTGGGCAGGAGCACCTGGGGGAGTGTGGGCAGGAGGGCAGCAGGGCAGTGTGGGCAGGAGCGCCTGGGGCAGTGTGGGCAGGAGGGCAGCAGGGCAGTGTGGGCAGGAGCACCTGGGGCAGTGTGGGCAGGAGGGCAGCAGGGCAGTGTGGGCAGGAGCGCCCGGGGCAGTGTGGGCAGGAGCGCCCGGGGCAGTGTGGGCAGCGGGGCAGCTGGGGCCATCCCTGGGCCTGTTGGGCTGCTCAGCCCCCTCCCAGTCCCCAGGCCCTCACTGCCTTTGGCCACTGTAGGTTTGCGTGGCCACTGGCAATCTGGGCCCAGCCTCCTGGCGGGAGTGCCTGATGAAGAGCGGGGGCCACCACCCCTTCCCGTCCCAGCCAGAGGCCCCCAGCCCTCCTCACAAGACCCCCAGGAGTGTCCCGGGCCTGCCCTCATGTTGGGGTGGGGCTCACAAGGCTTAGCGGCCAGCCAGGCCGCAGGGCAGCATTCCTGGAAGCCCGGTGGAGTCGCCCGGCTGAGAGGAAAAGCCCAGTCTCTGTCCCCGCCTGCACCAGGTAGGACCTGTGCCTGAGCCCAGGGCGTGGTAGGATCCTCTCTCCCTGTGGTTGCAGTACCCACGGAGCTCCTCAGCACCACCCCGTCTTCATCGCCTCCTTTCAGGGCGTCTTCATCGCCTCCTTTCAGGGAGGCACCCTCCCTGCCTCCCCTTCACGCTGATGCCAGCAGGAGCCCTGGGAGACCCACAGGGGAGGTCCCAGGAGGAAGGGCTCCCCTAGGACCTCAGGCTTCCCAGAGCCCTAGGTCCAGCCCAGGGGACCCCAGAGACTCACCGGGTGGCCTCAGGACATGCTGACGGGGGTGCAGGGCCTCCCAGGCATGACGGGCCGTTCCCGTGCCCTCCCTTGTGGCCTCTCCCCTCCCCTTGTCCCCTTGTCTCCCGTGGGGTCTGCTGGGCTGAAGGGGTAGGCTCCCAGCGTCACCATCAATGTTGGTGGGAGTGGAATTGTGCTTGAAGGAGCCCCCACCCCAACTCTGCTCCTGTACCAGGATCCTGTGGGAAGCCCCAAGAGGGGGGCAGGAGTCAGAGGTGGCCTGGGGTCATGGCCCTGCCCCCGCGTGACCCCTCCTCTGGCACTTAGCCTCCTGAGACCCACGGCTGGGCAGGGAGGGATTCAGCAGACAGTGGGGTCTGGCCCCCAGAGCAGGAGGTGGGGAGGGAGAGCCAGGTGGCCCTGGAAGGCAGGCGGGTGCCCAAGGCCTGGGAAGCCGGAGGGGAGTGGGTAGTGGGGAGGGGCTCTGGGGCTCAGCATCCGCCGCCCCCCTCTTGCCAACCACCAACTGGCGGGCCCGGGAACAGGGGCTGTGCTATCGGCTGTTGTCTCAGGCCCTGCTCTTTGGTGTGCAGAGGGTGGGGGCTGCCTCCCAGGGCCCCATTCAGCCGCCTTCACTCTGGCAGGGGGGCCAGCCGCAGTAACACAAAGAAAACTTTGTCCCGGCAGCCGGTCCCCAGGGCCTCCCGTCCATGTGCAGAGCAGGACTCCGGGCCAGCGGCACAGGGCTGTGCCATTGAGGCAGCTCAGGGTCTCCCAGCCTCCCAGCCTCTGTCTGCTCTGAGAGCATGCAAAGCCCCCCGAGGGCGAACAGGAAGCCTCAGAGCCGCAGAGCACAGGGGCCTCTGGCTGGGGGCAGGGAGGGCCGGGGGCTCTCGTCCTGCCACTAATTCCAGCTCCCTGCTCTCTGCTCACACAGGGGCGTGTGTGGCCTGTGCTTCTGCCAGGGAAGGAAAAAGCTTTCTCAGGGCCTCGGGCTGGCTGCGGGCTCAGGTGGTGGTGGAGGGAACAGCCATGGGGCCCTGCCGGGTCCGGAGCTCCGGGCCTGGAGCACCCAGCCAGGTGGGGCTGTGTGTGTAAAATGCAGCAGCAACCCGTGTTGGTGGGTAGGCATCACACCTTGGTGTGTGTGCATGTGCGAGAGAGGGCATCAGCACACGCCTGCGTGCACTGAGGAGTGTGTGCACTAAGGAGTGTGTGCACTGAGGAGTTGTGCACTGAGGAGGAGTGTGTGCACTGGGGAGTGTGTGCACCGAGGAGGAGTGTGTGCACTGAGGAGTGTATGCACTGAGGAGTACGTGCACTGAGGAATGTGTGCACTAAGGAGTGTGTGCACCAAGGAATGTGTGCACTGAGGAGTGTGTGCACCGAGGAGTGCGTGTACTGAGGAGTGTGTGCACTGAGGAACCAAGGAGTGTGTGCACTGAGTGTGTGCACTGGGGAGAAGTGTGTGCACTGAGGAGGAGTGTGTGCACTGAGAAGTGTGTGCACTGAGGAACCAAGGAGTGTATGCACTGAGGAGTGTGTGCACCAAGGAGGAGTGTGCACATTGAGGAGTGTGTGCACCGAGGAGTGCGTGCACTAAGGAGTTTGTGCACTGAGAAGTGGGTGCACTGAGGAGTGCGTGCACTAAGTGGGTGCACTGAGGAGTGTGTGCACTGAGGAGGCGTGTGTGCACTGAGGAGTGTGTGCACTGAGGAGGCGTGTGTGCACTAAGGAGTGTGTGCACCGAGGAGTGTGTGCACTGAGGAGGCGTGTGTGCACTGAGGAGTGTGTGCACTGAGGCGTGTGTGCACCGAGGAGTGTGTGCACTGAGCAGTGTGTGCACCGAGGAATGTGTGCACTGAGGAGTGTGTGCACTGAGGAGGCGTGTGTGCACCGAGGAGTGTGTGCACTGAGGAGTGCGTGCACTGAGGAGTGTGTGCACTGAGGAGGCGTGTGTGCACTGAGGAGTGTGTGCACTGAGGCGTGTGTGCACCGAGGAGTGTGTGCACTGAGGAGGCGTGTGTGCACTGAGCAGTGTGTGCACCGAGGAGTGTGTGCACTGAGGAGTGTGTGCACTGAGGAGGCGTGTGTGCACCGAGGAGTGTGTGCACTGAGGAGTGCGTGCACTGAGGAGTGTGTGCACTGAGGAGGCGTGTGTGCACTGAGGAGGCGTGTGTGCACCGAGGAGTGTGTGCACTGAGTGCATGCACTGAGGAGTGTGTGCACACGCATGCCGCAGGACCCTGTGTGCCTTAGCGCAGATGCCCGCCTGCACGTCCGCATGTGTGCCTGCATCCTGCCAGCAGTTGACAGCATCTTGGCATCCCCGGCGTGCGTGGTGTGCTGCCCGGGCAGGTTCCTTCCCCTCTCCGCCGGGGCCCTGGCCCCTTGGGGATGCAGGTCATGTCTGGACACTGAGCTCTACTGGCACTGGGTGGGGGGAGGGCCAGCACCCCCCTCCCTGGACTCCTAGAAGCTGTGGGCAGCCCCCCAGCCGAGGGCCAGGGTGGGCGAAAGGTAGAGAGGACTCCTGCCCAAGTTTGCCAGGCTGGGGCCTCAGGGCACCTCGGTGATGCCCTAGGGACAACCCTGAGTTGGGTACTGAGGGAATCTGGATGGAGCCCACCCCTCAGAGCGGGAGTGGGCGAGAGACGAGAAAGGGAAGGCCCCAAAGCCAGGGTCGAATGGAGTCAGCGGCCGAGGGGGCAGGTGGGCGGGCGGGGTTGGGCGGGGTTGGTCGGGCTCCCAGAGGAGGGAGCTCGAAGGGCCACGGGACTCCTGCGGCCGGGGGCACAGCCTCCCTAGCTGCAGAGTACCTCATCCTCATCCCGGGTCCACCCGCCCCAGTGCTGGCAGGTGGCTGCGGGGCCAGCGGGGATGGGACCTGGCCTGCCTCATCTCATGGTTCCAGTGTCTGTCAGCAGTGAGTTTTGCAGCTGGGGCGGGGACAGGGGGAAGGCGGACAGGAGGCGGGTGCAGGTGGAAAGGACATCTGCCTGGGAACGTGGAGCAGCGAGCGCTCGGCCTGGGGCACCACAAACATCTGGGACCCAGGAAGGGGAAGCGAGACTGTACTTTGAGGGATCGTTTCTATAGGTCACTACTGGAGAAGCGTTTCTGAACGTGCAGAGCATAGAGGAGGAAGCGACCCCCGCCCCATGGTTGGTCGGGGGAGGGAGGAACGTGTGGGGTCGGGTCTCCCAGGCTCCCAGGTGGGCTTCAGCTGACCCCCTGCAGGCCCCCCAACCCCGGTTCGGGCACTGGCTTACACATTCTCAGCTGACCACCCCCCACCCAATTTCTGTCCTGGGAAAAGGGCAGGAGCCATGGACCCAGCCTCTTCAGAGAGGGTGGCCCCAGGGCCCGACCCGGCCTTTTCCCCAGCATCCCACCATTCCTACACCAAGGTTCTGTTGCTTTGGTTCAGCCAGTGCCTCCGAGCTTATGAAGTGTGGGTAGCAGTCACTCACACTCCAGCAAGAACGGTTTGCTTCCATCCTCTGCCAGGGGCCTCCTCAGACCCCTTCTAAATGCCTGGCGCTGACAAAGTGCCCAGAACCACTTATCATCTGTGACTCCTCCCTACTGTGACCTCCACCCCCACCAAGCCTTGGCTTTTCTGTCTCAGAGCCACAGGCCCTGGAGAGCGTGGGGATGGCACCCCTCCCGGGAGGGCCTGGACCCTGTGCCAGGGACTTACTGGCCACTTTGTGTACACTGTAGACTCTACAGCAATTCCTACGATATTCATGCAACATTTTGGGGCCTGCATTTTCTCCCCGTCTTACACCAGAGGAAACTGAGGCCTGGCGAGGCTAAGCTAGCTGCCAGGCCTCCACCTGGGGGGCAGAGGGAGGTTGGAGGTGGGGCTTGCGCCCGGGTGTGCCTGCCTCTAACGTCTGCGCTTCTAGTCATGGCTTTTATTGTCCCCAGTAAAAGAGCCCTGGACTTCGGGCTCTGTCAGGTACTTGGGGCTGCGAGTTGTGAGTTGGGGAAACAGGCCGCCGGGAACCAAATATGCTCCCAGGCTCCACAACCAATGAGGGTGTGGCTGGGATTTGAGCCCACATGCCAGGGGTCCTGGTGGGGTCCAGGGCCTGGCTGGGGCTGGGAGGCGCCGGTGCTTGTGGGAAGACCAGCCAGTGTGGGGCTCTCCTCTGGCCCAGGTGCCTCCAGGCTACTCTGGGTGACCCTGTGACACCCTGCATTCTCCATTCCCCTAGGCCTCAGTTTCCCCACCAGTCAGAAGGCAGAGACACCTCCTTTCCAGTGAGAGCTTAGCCTGAGGCCCAGGGACTCCTCCCAAGGTGGCCCACAGGTGAGCCTCCTGGGGTCTGGAACTCCTTGAGACTCTGAAAATTGGGTGTGAAATGTTGTGCGTTTTTCCAGGGAGACGGCCCATGCTGTGTGTCACAGCTAAGGTGTCTGCTGTCCCCAAAAGAAACCCAAATGGCCATTGCAGAGATGAGGAAGTAGCTGGAGAAGTCGGGGTTAGAGGTGTGGAGGGTGGGGCAGGTGCTGGCTGGGGATGAGGAGAGGAGGAGGGAGGTCTGGGTGCTGGGAGATGCAGGGCCATGGGGGCCGGCAGGTGGAGGGGGTGACTCGTGGGTGGGGCCGAGGGCCATGGTGGGTGGAGGTGCTGGATGGGACGGCTCCGGCAGGAGCTGCCACCTCGCTGAGCTCAGAGACGCCCCAGGCAGGGCTGGGACTTCCTGACGGACTGTGTGTCCGAGCGGCTGGTTGGAGGCCGGGGTGGGCAACGTCCTGGCCCTCGGCGGGGTGGCTCCTGGACAGGATATCCCCGGTCCCACCGCCTGCACTCTCCCATCCCCCAAATCAGCGCTTAGGCGGGGCCTGGGAAGGGAGGAAGGAAGGGAGAGCACTGCCCGCAGGGCGGGGAAGGTTTATCGCCTGGGACTCCAGGCCCTCCCATCAGGAGCCCTCTATGGCGCCCCCGTGCCAAGATCCAATCTCCCCTGCCCAAAAGTCAGCCCCCAAATCTGGGCTCCCCGAAGTCCAGCTTCATCCCAAACCCCTCTGCCTATGAGCACGAGGTGTCCCTCCACCGCACCCTGAACACATGCAGGTCCTCCCAGCTCCGCATCGAGAACTGCCTTCCCCATCGCCTCAGCTGGGACACCATCCATAAAGGGCTGGGGGAAAGCCCCCTCCTCCAGGAAGCCTGCCGTGATAGCCCACCTGCTGGGCTCCACTTGCTTCTCTGACGGATGGCCATGGCCAGGCACATCACCCCCATTTTCAAGAGGAGGGGGTTTCCTGGGGTCTCCCAGCAAGTCAGTGGGGAAGCTGGAAGCCGCCACAGGCTGAGCCCCATGCCTTGGGGCTGCCCCACACAGGCTCAGAGAGGCATCGGACCGGGGGCCTGGGCCTCCACCACTGTCTGCGAATTTCAGCCCAGAATCCCCTGCCCTCCCCCAGCCCCACCCAGGCCACCCTTTCCACGAGGGTGCCCGAGGTTCCATCTCCGGGCTTCCGCCTGCCCAAGCTGTTAGGGCCATGCTGACTGGCTTATCAGCTCCTTCCCCTCCCACCGCCCGCCTGGGGGCCTGCCCAGGCCCAGGGCCCTGCCTCTTCAGGCGCTGCCAGCACACTGCACGTCCAGGCTGGAGGGGACAGCAAGCAGCGCTGGGGCAGGGGAGGGCGGCAGGAGGCTGGAGGCTCTCCATGTACTCACTGCTCCGCTGGCCAAGGGTGCCTGAAGGTGGGAACCAGAGGCCATGGCACCCCAGGACTGGGTGCTGGGTTCCCACAGGGAAGCTAGGTGAGCTCAGGGCCCTCCTGCCTCCCGGGTTGTTCTAAGAGCCTGTGGCCCTCCTGAGATCACGGCGAAAGTGAACTCGGCCTCCTGGGGTCACGGGGAACATGAGCCCGGCTTCCTGTTCTTGGGGCTCACAGGGGCACCGGGGCCTGGGTCAGGAGAGGCCACTCAGTGCTGGGCAGCCGAGGGTCAGCAGGGCTACGGCCAGCAGATTCTCGGGCCTGGAGGCGCCCTGTGCCTCATAGCTGTGGCCACAATTCTCAGCACCCCTGAGGGCTTGCCCAGGCCGCCCGTCTGCTCCATGTGAGAGGAAAGGAGTCCAGGCCGCCTGAGCTGCAACTGCTCAAATCCACGTTCTTCTCGTCATCTCCACGTTTAGTTCTACAGTAACTCATTCATTTCATAAGTGGCACAATATTGGCTCACTGCAGCCTTGACCTCCCAGGCTCAAGAGAGCCTCCTGCCTCAGCCTCCCGAGTAGCTGGGACTACAGGTGCGTGCCACCATGCTAGCTAATTTTTAATTTTTTTTTTGTAGAGATGAGATCTCCCTATATTGTTCAGGCTGGTCTCGAACTCCTGGACTCAAGTGATCTTCCCCGCCCGGACCTCCCAAAGTGCTGGGATTCCAGGCATGAGCCACCGCACCTGGCCCATTTAACAAGTCTTTACCAGGCCCCTAGTGTGTGCAGGCTCTGATCCTCCAACCAAACAAGCCAATCGGGATCGGTGGAGACAGCAGTGGGTTCAGTGCTGGGGCCTCAGGCAAGGCCTGTGCCCAGGCCGGGAGGAGGGCAGAGAGCCAGCGCTGGGCAGAAGGAAACCCAGGAGGCGTGTTCTGGGGGTTTGAGGTCTGTCTGGACACCAGTGTGGCTGGCACCATAGGATCCGGGCCACGTGGGATGTAGAGGGGGAATCCCGTTCCAAGCCCCTCCCCTGGACGGCAGCTCTTGGCTGGGCCCCAGGCAGGACCTGAGGCTATTTCCAACCCGCCAGAGGCAAGGCCCCGGGGCCGGCTGTTTGCCTGAGAGACCTGGGTGACGCCAGCTGCCTGGGTGGCTACAGAGGCACTTTCAAGAGCCAGGCACAGGGACAGAGCTTTGCTCCAGCCTCAGGGGTGCAGCCGTGCTCTGTGGGCCAGGGGAGCCTGCAGCAGGCCTCCAGCTCCCTCCGCCCTGCAGACGCCCAGCTCTGCAGCCTCGTCCCATATCCAGGCCCTCACACTGAGCTGCCTGAAGGCCCCCAAACTCATGAGGCTGCTGGGCCTCTGTCCAGGCTTTCCCTCTGCCTGGAGTGCCCCTCACCCCTGCCCTGGATCACCCAGCGAGTGTCTGTCTCTCTTTAGGTCCAGCTGAGATGTAACCCCCAAACCTTCCCAACAAGGCTGGCACTGCTGGGGTCCCACACCCCACTTTGCTCTCTAAACGGGAGCTGGACACCTGTGTCAGGCTGCTGGGAGACGGGGGCACCCACAAGCCCTGACGTTACCCCGAAGGCCCCTGGGAGGCCCAGGCAGTGGGAAGGGACGGCCTCTGGGAATCCCCCTTCTGCCTGGCCTCCCTCTGTGTGGAGTCATGAGGAGTGGATGGCCCTCGAGGGGAGCCCGTCCAGCCAGCCGCCCTCTTGAGGGAGAAGCCACGTGGCCGTGAAGCTGAGAGGCCCTGCACAGGGACCTGTCCTGCAAGCAAGGCCGGCTCCGCCCTGGGAGTCAGCAGCCACCTTTACTGTACGTGTGAGAGTGAAGCCGCCTCCTCTAATTACACCCCTGGACCTTCTCATCCGCCCCCAGCCCTTCCAACTTCAAAGGCCTCTGGCCCCTGGCAGGGAGGGAAAGTTTCTGGGTGCCTGTGAGTACCCTGCCTCCTTGAGGCAGAAGCGTGGGCTCCATCCAGGCTGAGGTGGCAGCCGGGCCCTTTCTCCCGGGCCTGGGGTGCGGTGGGGCTGCCAGCTGGCAGTGTGGGCAGTGCCCTGGCCTGTGATGCCCCCACCTGCTCGTGGCACTTTTAAGTTGGGTCCATCCTGAGTTTGCCAACTGGCTGCCCTGAGCTGCAACCTTGGCCCTGGTCCTGTCCTCAGGGGGTCCCAGCCAGAGACACACAGAACCACACCCAAAGACCACAGTCTACCCTGCATAGGGGTGGGGTCCCAAAGACCAGAGCTGGGGCAGGAGGGGAGCTGACGGGCAGAGTGGCCCGCGGACGCCCAGGGGCAGCTGGTCTGGACAGGTGTTTGGGGAGGCGGAGCAGAGGGTTCCCAGGCCAGGGACCCAAGGGGGTGGGCCCAGTGGCTAATTCCAGATGGAGCCAACATGCACCAGGGAGGCTGTGCGGGGAGGGCCCGGACAGTGACGCCCCCACGGCTGTAGCATGGAGTCGCCCCGCCCTGCCTTGGCCCCCAGCAGCTGGACAGCTCCGCACAGATCCAGCGGCTGGATGGTTCCCACAAGGCCAGGAGGGAATGAAGGCCGGGTCAGAGCACCTGGGCTGAGACACCAAACAGAGCCACCTGCGTGAGGATACCAGGGTGTGGAGCCTGCTGGTGACGTTAGCAGAGGCCCAACGTCCAGGAGGAGGGAGGTGATTTTCTCTCTCCTCAACAGTCCAAGGCCAACTCACTGGCCCAGGAGGCCTCCCTCACCCCTGACTGCTGAGTTGCTGCTCCCAACACCTTTCTGCCCACATGGTCCTTTTAGAGCTGCCGCCCCCCAGCTAGCCTGGTGCCAGCCAGGGACTGGCAGTTCCCTTCTGCGTCCTCAGCCCAGCCTGAGGACACCTAGAGGAGGTACACAGTCAGCATCAGCTTGGTGGAAACATATTCCCTCCCTCATGGCTTTGTCCTCAAAGAAGGGAGGAAGAATAAAGGAGGGGAGGAGGGAGGGAAGAAGAGAGGGAAGGAGGGAGGGAGGAGGGAGGGAAGGAGAGAAGGAGGAGGGAGGGAAGGAGGGAGGGAGGAGGGAGGGAAGGAGAGAAGGAGGAGGGAGGGAAAGAGGGAGAGAGGGAAGAAGGGAAGAGAGAGGGAAGGGGAAAGGAAGGAGAGGAGAAGGGGGAAGGAGGGGAGAGGAAGGGAGGGAGGAAGGGGGAAGGAGGGAGGTAGGAGGGAGGGAGGGAGGGAAGGAGGGGAGAGGGAAGGAGGGAGAGAGGAGGAAGGGAGGGAAGGAGGGAGAGGGAAAGAGGGAGAGAGGTAAGGAGGTGAGAGGGAGGGAGGAGGGAGGGAAGGAAGGAGGGAAGGAGGGAAGGAGGAGGGAGGGAGGGAAGGAGGGGAGAGGGAAGGAGGGAAGGAGGGAGAAAAGAGCTCAGGAATCCTTTAGCCTTTGAAGTGGCTCCCAGGGGGACAGCCTCACTGTCCCTGCCCCAATTACACAGTTACACAGTAAGAGCACCAATAAAACCTGAGCATTTGATCCCAATTTCAAAGATCTTTGATCCAGCCTGTGCCTCCCCTGTCCCTGTGCCCGGGGCGCCGGGTGGGGCCCAGCCTGGCCTCCCTGGTCCTCCTGCAGAAGCCCCTCCGCATCGCTCTCGGCCGGGTCTGTATCTCTCCTCCCCATCTTCTCTGGATGCTTCTGTGACTCTCTCCTGACTGGGTCTCTCTCCTTCAGTCAGTCTCCCACTGTCTCTCTGTCTCACTGTCTGTCTCTTTCTGTCTCTTTGTCCTCTGGGCACTGGCCCCACTTCCTGGGAAAACAGGAGCTGCGGGGTCTCCTTGTTGAGGGACAAATGCCAAACGGGCCGGGGCCATCTGCTCAGGGGCCCTGGAAAACTGGCCCAAAGCTCCAGCAAATGGCCCTGACGATGGGGCCTTCCCCGCCCCTGCCCTCTGCGGGGCTCTTCCTGGAGAGGCTGTAAAGAGTTACTGAGTGTGTTTCCCCCGGGTCTGTTGCGGGCAGGCGGGGTACCTGGTGGCTGGGGGAAGGGAAGGCATGGCATGCCCCTGCTCTGAGGAGGGCATCCCAGGGAGAGTGGGGGTCTTCTCCCCTGGAATATGGCCCAGACCCCTATCTCAGGAACCTGAGGCCCCCAGGGCAGGGCCAGGCGGGTGGGCGGCCATGGCCAAATAGGGGCTCCAGGCAACTCCCGGTCAGTGTTGCGCGGCCCCTCCCTGCAGCTGCCCCTCCAGGGTGTCCACAGGACATTCCCAGTGCCTGCTGCACCCCCAGCCAGCTGCCCCAAGGTCACATTTCTTGGCAGATAACCCTCCCAGCACCCACTGACTGGCCCCGGGCCCCAGACTTTTCCTGAGCCCCCTCTCCAACCCCCCGCACTTTTTGGGGACCCACTTTCCACCATCACCGCTAGGGACAGGTCGGGCTGGGGGCAGGTCAGGCTCGGAGGGGAGGCCCCTGGAGGAACAGTGGCTCTGAGGGTGAGCAGCTCCTTGGGAAGCACCGCTGTAGCCGGGCCAGAGGACCGCGGCTTCTCTGCCTTTCCCTCGGCAAATCTTTTCCGAGCACCTGCTCTGCCAGGCCTGGAGCAAGTCAGTTGAGGTGCGGAGGAGACTGGGCACTCTCTGTCCCCCAGAGCCCATCTGTGGGGTGGTGGCAGCAGCCACAGGCCTTCAAGCGCTCAGGCCTGGGGCTTGGAGGGTGACCCAGAGGTCTGCGCTGCCTGGAAGGCTGCCGCCCCTGCGCCCTGGGGTACTAGATGGCCCTGGCATGCGCCTTGGAACGAGCGGGTGGCATTGGGGTATCCAATCTCCCCCCGCCCCTCCCTGCGATGCTGCCTCCCTGCCAGAAGTGCTTGCCAGTGGAATTGCCCCTCCCACCGGGCCGGGCAGTGGAGGGCAGAGCTATCAGAAGGCTCCCCAGCCCTCATGGGCTTCAGGGGACAGAGGGACCAGGGAGTCGGGCAGGTTTGGCCAGCTGCCACCTCCCTAAGGCACCTGCAGGGAAGGGCGGCAGTTTCTAGGAAGCCAGCTGGCAGGGTGGTCCTGCCCAAAGGGTTACCGAGGGCTGCTGTGTGGAGTGGGGCTGCAGCTCAGCCAGGCCTGGGGAGGCGATGTGACTGCAGCACTGGAGAGCCCCTGCACAGCCCGCCGCCCTGCGCTCCAGAACCTACCGTCCTCTGGGGCTCCCAGGGCCAGGTGTCGGCTTCACAGCAACAAGGCCCAGGACTTGCATGGGGCGGGGGAGGGGGGTGGGGGGGCGGAGGGGAGGGCGACTTCGGTGTTTTCCAGCATTATTCTAGTGGCCACAGCCCCCAGGCCTGTTTCCTCTGTAAATGGAGATGGCAGCCCACCCCACGGGCGCTGGAGGGGAGCTGACCCTCAGGCCAGTCAGGAGCCCTGTGACGGGACTCGCTGGAGGGCACCCACCCTCGGGACCAGGCTCCCTGGACTCCAAGCCTGCGCCCCCACGTCCACCCTGCTGGTAGGAGGCCTCGGGGTGTGGCCCCTGCCAATGAGCTGCTCCATGAGGCACTGAGCCATTGACCTCTGCCCCAGGCTGTGTGGCCCGAGGCTCAGCGCTCAGCAGTAGATATGGGCATGAGGGGGAGGTCAGGTCAGAGCCGCAGAGCTGGGAACTCAGCGCTCAGCAGTGGACGGTGGGTTCCGGGAGCAGAAAAGGTTCTGGCCTCTCCCTGTAGCCTGAGCTGGGAAGGCGGCCATGGGGGGCAGGTGCGGCCAGGCAGGGGAAGCGGCCATGGGGGGCAGGTGCGGCCAGGCAGGGAGGGCGGCCATGGGGGGCAGGTGCGGCCAGGCAGGGAGGGCGGCCATGGGGGGCAGGTGCGGCCAGGCAGGGGGGGCGGCCATGGGGGGCAGGTGCGGCCAGGCAGGGGGGGCGGCCATGGGGGGCAGGTGCGGCCAGGCAGGGGGGGCGGCCATGGGGGGCAGGGGCGGCCAGGCAGGGGGGCGGCCATGGGGGGCAGGTGCAGCCAGGCAGGGGGGGCGGCCGTGGGGGGGCAGGTGCGGCCAGGCAGGGGGGGCGGCCGTGGGGGGCAGGTGCGGCCAGGCAGGGGGGGCGGCCGTGGGGGGCAGGTGTGGGCAGGCAGGGAGGGATCCCTACAGGTGGCAGCTCACGCTGCAGGACCAGCGGCCCCAGGAACACAAGGGCTGCCCTGTGTGTGTCTGGGGGACCAAGGGGGTGAACCTAGGCAGCCGTAGACCACAGGCTGGGTGGCCACTCATGTGGAGTCCAGGGGACCCAGGGAGCTCCAGGAGGCCTCTGGAACCCTCCAGAACCTTCCAGAACTTCACACTTGAATTTTGTTCTGTCCCAGGCAGGTTCTCCAGCCTCAGGTCCAATGGCCAACTCATGCCCAGGGCAGGCCCAGTGTGGGGCTTGGGCGCCGAGGGAGGGACCGCACACCTTGAGTTCCTGCCGAGTCCAGAGAATGGAGGAAGTGGCCAGTGAGGGCCCAACTTGCTGGTGGGCCTCTCTGAGCCCAGCATCCTCTTCTGAAATGGGGGCGTGATGTTCCTGCCTCCCAGGGAGATCTGCAGACCAGCCCTGCGAGGTGTGGAGTCAGCCCCTGCGCGTGCCCGGTCCCCACTCACATTGCCACCTGCCTCCGGTGTGGCTGCGAAGTCGGAGGGAGGAGAGAGCCAGCCAGGGGTGTGGGCGCCAAGATCAGAGACTCGCACGCTGCTGGACGGAATGTGGACCGGCCCAGCTGCTGGGTCACCTGCCGGCAGCTCCCGAAACAACCAGTCACCACGAGACCCAGCAACTCCACCCCTAGGTGTGCGCCCAAGATAAACGGAAGCTCCTGTCCGCACAAACACCCGTGCGGCTTCCTTCACTAAGGGTGGAAACGGCCCGGGTGCCCATGGGTGGGTGACGGATGAACCGGGTAGACCGTCTGTACAATGGAATATTTATCCTTCCGCCACAAAAACAGAAGAAATTCGGACGCAGGCTTCAGTACGGACGGGGTTTAAAGTTGTGATGTGTACGCCACAGTCCGTGTGTGATTCCATTCCCGAGAAGCCCAGCGCTGGCCAGCCCCTGGGAACAGAAGGTGGCTGAGTGGGTCTTTATGGCTGGGGGGCTGGGGCTGGGCTGATGACGTTTATTTTTGATGAAAATGTTCTGGGCCAGGCTTTGTGGTGGCTCACAACTGTGATCCCAGCACTTTGGGAGGCCGAGGCGGGCGGATCACCTGAGGTCAGAAGTTCAAGATCAGCCTGGCCAACATGGTGAAACCCCATCTCCACTAGAAATACAAAAATTAGCTGGGCGTGGTGGTAGCACGTGCCTGTAATCCCGGCTACTCGGGAGGCTGAGGCAGGAGAATTGCTTGAACCCGGGAGGCAGAGATTGCACTGAACCGAGATCGCGCCACTGCACTCCAGCCTGGGCGACAGAACGAGACTCCGTCCGAAAAAGAAAAAAGAAAATGTCCTGAATGGACGGTGGTGACGGCCGCACGTAGCTGAACGTGCTGGAGATGGTGGAATCGCCACTGTCGGTGGAGAAATTCATGGAGCGTGAATTACGGCCGACCCCGGAAAAACGCGGGTTTGAACTTTGGGCTCACCTGCACGTGGATTTTCTCCTTTCTCTGCTGCTCCTGGGTCAGCAAGACCAGCCCCTCCTCTTCCTTCTCCTCCCCAGCCTCCTCAGCATGAAAAAGACCAGGATGAAGACCTTTAGGGTGATCCGCTTCCACGTGGAGACGAGGAAATGCATCCTCTCTTCCTTAGGATTTTCCGAATGGCATTTTCTTTTCTCTGGCTTACTGTATTGTAAGAACACACTATATCACACATTCACGATACAAAAACGTGCATCGACTGTTTATGTTATTGGTAAAGCTTCTGGTCAATAGTAGCCTATGAGTAGTTAAGTTTCGGGGCAATCAAGAGTTATACTTGGGTCTGGCGCAGTGGTTCACAACTGTAATCCCATCACTTGGGGAGGCCGAGGCGGGCGGATCTCGAGGTCAGGAGATCGAGACCATCCTGGCTAACACGGTGAAACCCCATCTCTACTAAAAATACAAAAAATTAGCCGGGCATGGTGGCGGGCGCCTGTAGTCCCAGCAACTCAGGAGACTGAGGCAGGAGAATGGTGTGAACCCAGGAGGCGGAGCTTGCAGTGAGCCAAGATCCCACCACTGCACTCCAGCCTGGGCGACAGAGCGAGACTCCATCTCAAAAAATAAATAAATAAATAAATATAGAAACCCCAGCACTTTGGGAGGCCAAGGCAGGCGGATCACCTGAAGTCAGGAGTTCGAGACCAGCCTGGCCACATGGTGAAACCCCATCTCTACTAAAAATACAAAAATTAGCCAGGCATGGTGGCGTGCACCTGTAATCCCAGCTACTTGGGAGGCTGAGGCAGGAGAATCACTTGAAACCAGGAGGTGGAGCTTGCAGTGAGCCGAGATTGCACCACTGCACTCCAGCCTGGGCAACAGAGCAAGACTGTCTAAAAATATATGTATATATTTTTTTTGAGGTCAAGAGTTTGAGACCTTATAATATATATAAATAGAAGGATTTTCAACTTTGTGTGGGGTTGGCGCCCGAGTCCCCCATTGATCAAGGGCCAATTGTGTATCTCAATAAAGCTGTTAAGACAAAAAAGACTTGCCCAGACTCCCTGAGCAGGGTCAGGGCTGCAGAAGCCAAATGGGCTTGGGAGGGGCTGGCCGGCTGTGGCTCTGTTTTCACTCTGCAGGGTCCCTGGGTGTTTATTCAGCAGGCCTGGGCCCTGCTCCCCACCCAGCCAGAGGCCTCCTCCCCTCCCCGGAGTCTTCCCAGAGGATGTTTTTCCAGGGCCCGGCTGGGCAAATGGCATTTGGATTCTGGCCGGGGAAGCCTGGGGGGACAGTCCCCACGTCCTAGCCCCGTTTGGAAGCAGCCTGTTTCCTCCAGCATCCAGCCAGAGCCCTGCGGATTCATTCTCGGCCACCCGCTGCCCCTCGGAGCTGTGGGACCCCAGGGGGTGCACCTCCTGGGCTGTGCTGGCCTTGGCAAGGCTGGGCAAGGCGAGGCTGGGCCAGGCACCCCTGAGCGTGAGGGACCTGAGGAGGGGTTCAGGCAGGAGCCTCGTGTGGTCTCCCTGTGATGATATTCGGGGCCCCCGACCCCTGCCCGGTGAGGGAGCATGTGGAGCGTCAGGGCACACGGGATGCACAGCTCAGCAGCCCAGGCAGGCCTCTGGTGGAGACGTCCCACACCCCACCCCACCCTCCGCCCCGGCTCCCGCCTTCCCCACCCCCAGACCCGGCCCCTAATCACAATGCACTTCCCACAGCTGGTCCCCACAGCGAGCTCTGCGCCATCCGGATTGAGTGGGGGTGGGTGGGAGTTTTCCCAGAAACGGGCCTGTGAGTCACCAGCCAGGCCAGGAAGTGGCTGCCTCCTGTCCAGCCCCCCAGCTGACCACTGGGCCTCAGTGTGGATCACACAGCAAGGCCATCCATGGTGACCCGAGGACTGACTGAGCGCCTGCTGCCCCCCAACCTCCAGGCGCTCCCAGGCTGTGACTGAGACTGCGGTCAGCGGCCCCGTGCGGGCCCTCATGGAGGAGCACGAAGAACAGGTGCTTCAGGGAGGACAGGATTTTGGGGAGCCCCTGGGGGGGCCTTCCTAGAGGGGAACACGCGTGGGGAGCCCTGAGGTCAGAGCTGACACGCGTGCGAAGGAGGCCTTGGAGGCTGCAGCTCAGCAGGTGGGGCCGGGCTGGGCCCCGAGATGGAGAGGGGAGGCCTTCCCAGGGGCTGTCAGGCCAGGGGTGCCACCAGGAAGCCCAGAGGAGGGGGGGGCCGCTCCTGGGCCCCAGTCACCCAGCCTGGTATATGAGAGTAGGGGGGACCAGAGAGGGAAAGATGGTAGGCAGCCCCAGGCCACACAGAAACCCAGGCAGGACCGTAAAACCCAGGCCTCGACCCGTCAGCCTCCAGCCGCTCTCCGAGGCACCTTGCAGGGGGTGGGATGGCAGTGGGGAGCCTCTCACAACAGGAACTGGGGTCCCAGATGCTGCCCGGAGCCTGGAACTGCGAGTGGCCGTGGCGGTGGCTGTGCTGCTCTTATACGGGACACCCCGGCACCCGAAGGTCGAGCAGGGACCCAGCCCCTGCCACAGCACCTGCCAAGCATCTGGGTGACACTGTGGTCGGGTGGGGCGGGGGGCTTAAGTCAGGTGAATTTGTCAGCTCGGGCAGCTGTGACAAAGTTGCACAGACCCTGGTGGCTTCAACTGCAGGAACTGATTCTCCTGGAAGCCCGAGATCCAAGGGCTGGCTCTTCCGAGGCCCCGCTTCCCGCTCTTGCACACCGTCTTCCTGAGGCGCCCTCACATGGCCATCCCTCGGGGCGTGTCTGTCCCAATCTCCTCTTCTTACAAGGACGCCAGTCATATTGGATCAGGGCCACCCTGTCTTACCTTGACAACCTTTACCTGTCTCCAAACACAGTAGCACACTGGGGCCCTGGGTGCTAGGGCTTCAGCTTGTGAATCTGAGGGCCTTTGTCTGCCCAGGCACTGCCTCCAATAGAACCTTTGGTCCTGCAGGCCGGCAGGTGCCTCTGCCTCCATGCAGCCTGGCCTTAGCCCTGCCTTCATTCCACCTCCCCTCTGGGACTAGGGATGGTGCTGGGAGGCCAGACAGGCTTTGGGGAAGTTACCTGACCTCTCTGAGCCACGAGGTCTTCATTTACAGGATGTGGCTGTGTGTCTCACTGTGACTCTGGGGAGGGACAAGGCTTAGTCAGTGCCTGCCCGGACGCCCACACCCAGCACACAGTAGGTGCTCAGAAAACGCAGCCCAGATTGTTGGAGGCAGAGGGACCCAGGGGCCCCTGGAACAAAGCCCTCGTTGAGCTGGTAGAGACCAAGGCCAGAGAGCCCTAGGCACCTCCCCCGTCTCCCAAGGCCTCTGGGGACCCCCTTTCCACCGAGACCCCTCTGCCCCTGCCCCTCCGGTGACTCGGTGGTTCCCACGTCAGTGACAGCAGGGCCCCTCCCGCCCAGGACAAGCACCACCGCAGGCTGGGGCTGCCTTTCCCTCCTCCGTCTCCCCTCTGCCCACTCGGATCCCACCAGCCTCCTCCAAGGGCCTGTCTGGCCTGCCCAGTCTGCGGGACTCCAGCCATGGTGACGATTCCCCACCATCTCTTGGGAAGGACTGGAGTCATGGTTCAGCTCCAACTGGGGGAGTGCTCCGGTTGCCAGCGGCCAGAGGACCCCGGGGTTGGGGCTGATCCTCGTCAGTCACCCCATCACCAGCTGAAGACCCCCAGCGCCTCCCATGCCCCCTGAGGTGAGGGGGCTGCCTGGAGCATGTGCCCCTGGGGTGACTCGTCCAGGCTACCAGAGAGGCTGCCCAGGAGCACCCGTGTGAGGGGCTGGCCTGGCTCCCATCGTCAGGCACGTGAGGCTGCATGGGGGCTGCATGGGACTTCGCGCCCTTGTCCCCAGGTAGAAGAAGGGGGCGCAGATACCCCCCAGGATGGTCACAGACCCTCCCCATCCCCCTCCAGGGCCAGGGCCAGGTGGTTCGCAGGCTGAGCCTGGGCTCCTGGATCTTGGAGACAGAGGAGACAAAGGAAGAGGTCTCCAGCCATCTGGGCCATTGGTGCACTTGGGGCCTGAGGTTTCTCCAGCCCGTCGGGATTGACCCCTGCTGTCCGAGTAGCCTGGGGTGTGGGCCCCCACCCTGTCCATCTCATATGTGTCCCCCCGGCTCCCCACCAGAGGGGATGAGTGTGTGGAAGGATGTCGGGGGGCTGCTTTGCTTTCTCAGGTCAAAGAAACATTGCCCTTGCCTTTCTGGAGCCCAGAGAAGTGGGTTCTCCAGGATCCAGCCCACGGAACATTCCAGAACCTGGTGGGGGGGGCCTCACCCCTCCCCTACCTCCCCATGGGGGTGATTTCCTCTGCTCGGCCACTCCCAGGCTCACCTCCAGAAGGTCCAGTTGCTGGACCAGGCAGGTCACAGGCCGAGCTCTGCTTCCAGCTGTCCAAACACACAGTGCCTGCAGGGCGACCTGGGGGTGATGGGGGTGTGGGATTGGGGGCTGGGGGCACAGGCCTGAGGGAGGGCCTTGCCCACTTCCCTGCAGGAGCCTCGGCCAGCCCTGCCTGTCTCTGATCTGTTGCCTCTTTGGGTTTAGGAAGTGCCAAAGAGGGCCATTATGGGGAGACCCTCAGGACTGCAGGGGGAGGGGCTGAGAGCCGTGCAGGAGATGTGGGCCGCCCACGGGGTGTGGCGGAGTGGGGAGGACAGGGCCCTTGGAGTTCGATGGCACTGGTGTGGGGACTGGCAGGCCCCAGGTCTGGGACCAGCACCCACACAGGAGACGCGAGCCCCAAACGGTATGGCGGGAAGTGGTGGGGCCCGTGTGCTGGGAACAGGTTCGTGCCTCCTGCAAGCTGTGCCGCCACGCTGGGCCAGGCTACTGAGTCGAGCAGCATCGGGTGGGCCTGGCCCTCAGGGGCTTTGCAGGGCCTGGGGCTGGTTGGAGCTGAAGGAGGCGGCCCCTCCAGACCAGGTGCCCTCCGGTGAGTGTCTCTGTCCTGTCCTCTCCCCTGTGAGTTGGAGAGAATGGCGGCACCCTGAGCCGCTGCAAAATGAAAGAGATCGTGGGTGAGAAGAGGCTCCTTGCTGGGGGCAGCTCTGTAGGCTCCTCTACTTGGGGCGATCGGGAGGCTCTGGAAAGAGCAGGCATCTGAGCTTGGCCGGAAGGCCTGGCCCCGGCGGCTGCTGCCCCTGGGACTCCCACATGAAGAGGCTGGGCAGGGGCGTGCCTGGAGGCCTCCCAGGCAGGTGCAGAGAGCGGCTGGCAGAGAGCTAGTGTGGAAACTGCCTTCCAGGGCAGTAAACTCCCCAGCAGCCAAAACCAGAAGGACATGAGAGGGCCCTAGGTGGGGCTGTCAGCCGGGCACCCACACCAGCCACAGCCAGCCTAGGAGAAGCTAGGGAAGAGGTGGGCTTGCCGAGGTGTATGGAAGAGGGTTTGGGCTGAAGGAGAGGTCATTCTTTTAAAGGAAAAGGCGACACAAACTCAGAGTCACTGTCAGCACGTGGTGTCTGGCCTGCTGTCACCTGGGGGAAAGGCACAGGTGCTGGGAAGTCCTGCCCGGCCGCTCTGCCTGTGTGAGAACCACCTGGGGGAGGCCTGGGGGGCCACCAGCCCCAGCGGGGATCTCCAGCCAGCCCAGCCCTGTTTTTTCCTCTCCTCCCACCTCCGCACTGGCCAATTTTCCTCTGTAGTGCAGGCATTACTTGCTGTTTTGTGAAGCACGTGCTGAACCCAGCGCAGGCCTGTGGCAGGTGCTGCCAGCCAAGACCTGCCTCGACGAAGGCCCCACACCAGGCACTTCTGCCGGGTGCGGCCCCTCGAGGCGCAGGAGCTGGTGGTGCAGGCAGCATGGAGGCCGGTTCCCGGGGCACAGCTCTCCTTGGAACTAAGTGAGACCTAAGTCCCACGTGGACGGGACCCTGGCCATCCCCCTGCACCCCTGCGTGGCCGTGGCCAGTCTCCGTGGGCGCCCACTGCTCCGTAAGCACCTGCCATCTTTCACTTCCTTATCCTGTGAGGGAAGTGGTGAAGAAGCCGAGGCTGCTGGCTGGGTCACACCACCAGCAAGTGGCAGAACCCCACCCAAGTCACACCGGCCCCGAGGCCAGGCTCTGAGCCACAGCCCAACAGCCGCAGCTGGGCCAGGACATGCCGGCTCTGGACGCAGGAGCACGGGGCAGTCTGGGCAGTGGAGACTCAGCCTGGGCGCCAGGACACTGCAGCCCCCACCTCAGATGTCCCCTGGGGCCAAGGAGGGAGTGTGAGGGAGGCGGGTCCCAGGAGAGGAGGCGGAGGCCTGGGGTGCCTGAGGTCCTTGGCCTGCCCCTGCTCTCCCGGCTGCCACTTTCCTGCGGGAACAGCTTCCTGGCTTTCTGGCTGACGGCACGTTGGGAGCAAAGGTGGGGAGGCCAGGAGACCAGAGCCCTCGCTGGCACACATACGCTGTCCGGGTGGAGATGAGCACACCTTCCACCTAGAGAGGCATGTGAGTTGGGCCAAGCAATGGGCAAACATTTATGGAGCGCCTAATGTATGCCAAATCCAGTGGGGGGAGACAGGGAAGAACTGGATGCACCAACTGTCCTCAAATAGCCAGAAAAGGGCATCAGTAGGGGGTGCCCCATTGCCCAGGGAGGCCGAGACCCCTTCTGGGTGAGGCAGTCCAGGAGGACTTCCTGAAGGAGGAGGAGGAAGAGGGGGAGGAGCCTTAGGGACCCTTGGAGGCTAGGCACCTCTCTGGATCTCATTTTCTCTGAGGTAGGGAGAAGAGGCCAGTCCTGCCACGGGAGGAAGAGGGGGAGGAATTTTAGGGACCCTTGGAGGCTAGGCATGTCTCTGGGTCTCAGTTTCTCTGAGCTAGGGAGAAGACGCCAGTCCTGCCACGTGGGTTTGGTTGGGTTCTTTTCACCAGAAACAGATGAGCTTATGGCCAGGAAGCACTGGAGCCCCCGTGTGCATTTCCCCACTTTCCAGATGGGTGTAAGCGTCATGTCCCTGTGTTCACTGGTGAGGCCGGTGGTCTGGGGACTGAGCCCTGGCAGGCACAGGGAGCCGCCTTGCACTACTGGCACCCCCAGAGGAGGCTGCGGTGCTTGGCCCCGACCCACAGAGCCCAGCTGCTTCAGTGACTTGTGACCACAGAGCAGTCAGAGGCCGGCACCTGACCAGGGCCTGGGCCAGCGGCGCTCACCGTCCAGAGGTTGCGCACAGAGTGGAGAGGAAGCCGGGCCGGGAACTCTGTGGTGCACCGCGGTTGTTTGTGTTGACCCAGGAACTTGTGCAACGAACTGGGGCCCGGAAGGCTGGCTGCCCATGGCCACACGCAAGGGGCAGGCCGAGGGGCCACCCAGGAGGCTGCCCAAGAGCCAGGGTGGCCTGGGCCAGTCCCACCAGGTCGAACCCACCCAGCTGGGGTCACAGTCCAAGAACAGTGAAAACTGAACATCTCTCCTGGCCCCGCAGGACCCTCCCCAGTCTCTGCCCCTGCATGGTGAGGGAAGAAGAGAGGCAGGAGGCCCGTGTCTCCCGGAGTGACGGCCTTGCAGAGGACAGCCTGGAGTGTGCAGGGGAGAGGAAGTGGGGAGGGGGCTGCAGACCCTCCCTCAGGACTCCCGGGCCTCCGCCAGGCTGACCTGGGGTTGGGGGTGCCGCTTGGACCGTGTCTGTCTCAGCTCCCCTGACAGAGCTCGGGCCACAGACCCCAAAGGCCCAGCCAGGCCAGTTATTGGGCCCCTGCCAGACCCAGGCCGGAGGCCGGAGAGGGGTGTGGGGCATTTCCAGCCCCCCACAACCAGCGCCTGCTATCTGGAGTGGCCTGGTCCCACCCGAGATAGTCGCCCACAGCAGAGATGGACGCTGAGACCTGAGTGCAGGGCCGGCTTGGGCTGGAGAGCCGCTCCATGTCTGCCCAGGGCACCTGGAGGGGACGCCCGGGGGCTCCACACAGCTCGGCAGAGCCTGGCAGCCTGGGCAGCCCCTGGAGGAAGCACGCCAAGGCCCAGAGAAGGGGGCGAGCTGCTGGGGTCACAGGAGCGTTTGGGCCCACACTGAGCTCCGCTTCCCAGGGGGCTCCTCCTCCCAGACCCTCGCAGTGGCCTCTGCATGCGGCTGCACCCCTGCAGGCCCCCAGGGGCTCTCCTCCTGAGAGGGGACCTCAGGACGGAGGCCGCAGCCCCCTGTGCCCATGGGGCCACCCCTGCGGCATCCCCAGCCCGCAGGCCTCTGCCGGGAGGAGCCAGTGCCTCCCTCCGCGCCGGGCCCAGCGTGCGATTTCTGGGGACGGGGAGGAGATGCCCACCCCACCGCCACCTGGGGCCCCCCGGGCAGAGTGCGGCTGCCTCGCCCGTGTGGGGGGTCCTGGGATTCCAGAAAGCCCCCTCTTCCCACACGAAAGTCCTTTCAGGCCCCCCTAAGGCCCACCCAGCGCCTGCGGCCAACCTTTCTCTGCTCTTGCGACACCCGCCTGAGTGCTGAGGCAGAAATCTGACTCCCCGGCTCAGGCCCCAACCTGCCGGCCGCCCTCTCCGCAGGCTCCTCTCCCACGGGGAGGGCGCACCGGGCACAAGGACCCCGTGGAGACCTGCTGGTTCTGGGAGGCGGCGGGGGTCCTGCCCTGCCACGGCTCCTTGGGAAAAGGTGCTCTGTACACAGACCCTCGGCAGTGAGGTCCACCAAGGCCCCCGTACTGTGGCTTTCCCGCCTCTGAACAGGATGCTCTGCCGGGACCCTCACCAGATGCGTGGGCTGTGGCAGCCCCAGCCTGGCCCACGGCTGCTAGAGTCTGAGCCATCCCACCTCTCACAGGCAGGGAAGGCTGTGAACAACCACGTCTCCCAGGGCCCACGTTGTCCCCAGGCTGACCTCCCCAGCACAGCCCCTCTCGGCTCATGGGGGAAGGGGAGGGACCCTTGGGTGTGGAGTCTTGCCCTCACCCCAGGGACCCTGGGTGTCGGGGGAGATGGTGCGTTCTGCCCAGGCACGTATGGGGCTCAGGACGCCTCTCCAGGACACGATCAGAGCCAGGGTGAAGAGGCAGGGCTGGGTGGGCTCGTGGGGCTGGGTGGGGGTAACCTGGCTGGAGGCCCACAGGCTCATGTCTAGCTGAGCCCAGCCTCACCTTCCCCCTGCTCCTCCTAGGCTGGGAACAGGTGGCCTGGTCCCCTCGGCTTCCCATTCCCAGCGCCGGCCGCCGCAGGTGGGGTGGGTAACGGGGGCCTTCCTTCCTCTGCAGCAGATGGTGAAGGAGCCGTGGTGACCTGGCCATAAACAAGGGTGGCCCCTCCCTGTGGGGGAAGCTGCCGGGGCAGGATGCTCGAGGTGGGCTCAGTGGTGGAGGGGCTGGCCATGGGATCAGGAGGCTCCTGAAGGTGGGCAACCTCCTCTCTACCCCAGGACCAGGCCCCTGCCATCCTCCAGGCTGAACCTGGTAGCGTGTGGTTGTGCAGGTTGAGCACTGCTCACAGGACCCGGGGCATCTTTCTAAGGTGTGAATTGGACGTCTTCGTGCACCAGCGAAACCCACCCCTGCCCGAGGGATGAAGTTCGAGTCCTTGGCCCCTGCCTGTCCCCCAACCCCCCACCTCATCCCGAGTGACTCCTCCGAGAGCCAGGCCAGCGAGCCACCCTGCTGTCCCCATCAGTGCCCGGTCACACGTGCCATCGCTGTGTGGTCCCTGGGACATCTTCTCCCCTGGTCGTTGGGTGCTGCCACGCCTGGAGTGGCCTAAATAAAACCACTTTGGAATCTCCAGGGTCCGACAGGAGCCCCTCACACTGAGGCTTGTGGAAGCCAGGTTTTGCTGGTGAAGGGTCCAGGACTAGAGTGCTGAGTGAGCCGAGGGCTGGGGGGCAGACAGGCCCAGGGGATCCTCTGGTCAGGGCCCAGCACAGCCCAAGGCAGGTGAGGACAGACCTGCGGCCCACCAGGGAGGGCACGGGCGGGACGCCAGGCCCAGCCCCATGCCTCAGGCTCCTGAGTCCTGTAGCCCCCAGGACCTGCGCCCTGCCTCTTCTGCCTCATCACACAGACACGTGGGGAGCAGCCTGGATCTTCTCTTCTGTGCAGGGGCTTTGCCCGGGCACCGCTCTCCCTAGCCACGGTGCCGCCCCTGCTGTCTCTCAGGCACATCGGTCGGTCTGCAGCCGCCTGGGGCATGAAACGCCTCTTCCCGGGAGCCTCCCCGGAGCTCCTGGGCAAAGCTGGTGTCTCCCCAGTCTTGCTGGGGCCAAGGCTGAGCCCCCTACAGGGAGTCCTGAGGGGCCTTCATGGGCCTGGTGGGCTCTGGGGCCGTTGGAAGCCCCTTTGTGGTGCAGAGACTGGGTGGCCTAGGTCAGCTGCATCCTTGCTGGGTGCCTCAGTTTCCCCATGTGTGAAGCAGACAATATGTCTGAAGCCAGTGGGCCTAGGAGGCTCCAGCCAGAGCCCCGTGATGGGGGACCCGCCTCTGATGCTGCTGGGCTCTCAGGGCAGCCCCGGCCGGTTCCCACCAGGCAGCTCCTGGTGTGGAGAGCGGGCACATGCCCGGGCAGCATCCTCCACAGCTGGCTGCTCAGAGGACGGGGCGCCTGCCCCACACCCACCGTGGGCTCATGCCCCTCAGGGTCAGGGTTCAGGGAGGCCCCGTGCACTCCTGGCTCTGGGCCCCTCCTCCTTTCTCCTTCCTTCTCTCCAGTGGCCCACGAAGGACCCGGGGCCACTCCTGGGACCCAGAGACCAGGCCTCGGTGCTCCCGGGGCCCTGGGTGAATGCTGGGAATGTGGGGCTCCCTATCCTGGGAACCCCAGGGCTGCCAAGGAGGCCCAAAGACTCTGGGCTCTGTGTCTGGCTCTTGGGACAGCAGGACAGCAGGGATCTCTGGGGTGGCCCAGGCCCCACACCTGACCCAGGGCCCACCACAGCCCAGATCAGTGACTCCAACAAGGAAGGAACTGCTCTGGCGAGCCTCCTCCACCCCTACAGACCCCTGCTGGCCACATGGCCAGACACCCAGCTCTGCCTCCTGTCCTGATGGAGACAGCTATTTAGCGCCAGCTGTGTGCAGCCACGCACTGCTTCAGGGGCAGAGCTGAGGGGCAGGCGTGGGAGCTGCAGCCAGGGGCCAGCCCCCGAGGGGCTGGAGGTTGGTACTCTCTGCCCCAGCTCCAGGACAGGGCCAGGGTCAGCGGCCAGGAAGGGCAGAAGCTGGGGGCTGGGCTCAAGAAGGTGGGCACTCACCTGGAGCCACTCCACACCCTCCTCCCCGGCTCAGCACTTTCTCACGCTCAGAGCTGGCACGGGGGCCAGGCCTCGCTGGGGCTTGTCCTGGCCCTGGGAAGGCGGGCGAGGCTTTCCTCTGGGCCCAGGGGCAGGGGCCGCTGCAGGTTGGGACACGTCTGGAGTGGGGGAGCCCGGTTGCAACACCGGCTGAGCAGCTGCAGGATCTCGTGGGGCTGCAGGAGGCCCAGCCCCCACTGCACATGTCCCAGCCTGCTCGGTCCCCAGAGAGGACAGGGGGCATCAGAGAGAGGCAGCTCCCAAAACTTGGACCTAGAGACCTGGGCCAAGGCCCTGTCCCTCCCTGGTCCTCCATGTTCTCCCTTTGAATTTGGGGAACCTGGTCAGAGCACCCATGTGGGATCTTGTGCGCACAGCACACACCACGCCTTGTCAGGGCCTGGGATGGTCAGCAGCATCTCAGCCTCAGCGCTACTCTCTGGAGAGTGGGATGACGGGGCCACGTCAGCTGCTGGGAGGCTCCCAGGAGGAAGCCGCACACTAGGGACTCTTGCCCAGCTGTGTGGTGGCTGTGCCTTCAGGACGTGCAGTCAGGAATTCCTAAGGGCCCCTGAGCCTGAGGACTGGGGATGGAGCCCTGTGGCCCCTGGCTCTCAGCCTCACCCAGCCCCAGGCTTTGACCTCAGAGCTGTCCACCCAGAACTGCTGGGGCTCCTCAGCCCCCTGGAGCTGGGAGCTGGGCGGAGTCACCCTCAGACGGTGCACCTGCCCCAGACCTGCTCCAGCCGCCAGCCAGTCTCTCAGAGCCAGCCGGGCCCCTCTGGCCACACAGGCCTCGACCCCTGCACGAACCCGCTGGAGGTGATGCCTCACCTGGAGGTCTCACCCGCAGACTCCTGGGATGGGCCTCTGGTTCTAAGGACAAACTGGCTCCTCCTGGGACCCACCTGCCTCAATGGGTCTATAGGGACCCAGGCTGTTGTCAGCCCCCAGGAGCAGCCAAGGCCCCCGTGCATCCTTGGCCAGTCAGATTTGTCACACTGGGATGAGAGACAGGCCAGAGGGGCCTTGGATGGCTCCCGTCCAGCCATCACCCCTGCCCACTCTGTTCCTGGGGAAACCGAGGCCCAGGGAGATACAGACCCATGGCTGGCTTCCTGAGTCACAGAACCTGGGGGAAGCGCCCGGCCTCTCCCACCTTGGTCTGCAGGCCTGCAAAGCCCTCCATCTCCCCGGCCCCTCGCCCTGGGCAGGAAGGCGGGAACGGGGACACTGGGCTCTGGGGAAGGGAACTCACAGGTTAGGAGCTCCATCTGCAGGAATCTCGTGCTGTCCTCAGAGCTGGGCAGGGTGAGAGGCAGGTCCCCTGGGAGGCAGCCCCCGACACCCAGCCACTCTCTGGCAGCCTCCCAGGCCGGCGTGGGAATGTGGCTGGCGGGAACGGGGCCTCTCCCCTGGGGAATCAGCTGCTGGGTGCTGGCCAAGAACGCTCTGATCCAAAGAGGAAGCAAAGTTCAGCTGCAGCAACTTGACCCAGGACAGCTGGGGAAAAATGGGCGGCCGGGGCAGGGGCAGAGACTGTCCAGACCAGGTTGAACTCCAGCCCCTGCCCTGGTCTGATCCTTAATCTCAGCTACAGTCTGAGCCCTGATCCGAGCTACAGATTAAGTCTTGACAGACACAGTCTGCGTGTCTACTCCAGCTATGGACTCATCCCTAATCCCAGCTACAGGCTGGCCTCTGATCCCAGTCACACACTGAACCCTCATCCCAGCCATACACCAAGTCCTTACCCCAGCCGCAGACTAACCCCTGAGGCCACCTATAGGTCGACCCCTCACCCTGGTCACAGACTGAGCCCCCATCACCAGCCCAAATTGACCCTTGATCCCAGACTAAGCTGAGCCCTGGTCAAAAGCATAGACTGACCCCTGATCCCAGCTACAAACTAAACTCTGCTCCCAGCCATAGCCTGAGCCCTGACCCAGGCACAGAATGAGTTCCCATCCCAGCCACGGGGTGACCTCTGACCTCAATCAGAGCCTGGCTTCTGATCCCAGGCACAGACTGACCCTGGCTCCAAACCAACCTTAGCCTCAGCTCTGCGGATCTCCAACTCAAACTCTGCCCAAACCCCAGACTGAGTCCATCCCGAGTGGCATTTGCCGAGGGCGAGCGCCTCCCGCCACTCTGGAAGTGACTGTCGACTCTGCTGGGCCCCATCATGCCTCCCTGGCTGCCATGTCCCCTCCTGGCCCTGCACTTTCAAGGGAACTCGGGCCAGCTGGAGCGGGTGCAGGAGGGAGGCCAGGCGCAGGCCGGAGGGCAGCTGAGGGAGCCAGGCAGGCCAGTGTGGGGCTGGGAGGCCAGGTCGCCGGCTTGCCAAGTGCCTGCTGTGTGTCAGCACGTCCCCTCCACCACCTCAACTCTTCCTAGCCAGCACCAAAAGGTGGAGAGCCAGGCTGGACGGGGCAGCAACGGCAAAGCAGACAGCAGGTGCATGGTGGCCGAGCTCCAACCATGTCCATCCAAACCCAACCTGGTTGGCCCTTGCTGGAGACAAACCCCAACCCCGTCCGGCAGATGCCCACCTGCAGGGTGGGACTGCGGGGGTGGCAGGGGCTCCTGGGTTGGTGGTGTGCCCCGGGGTGCCGGAGATGCCTCGGACCGGGAAGCCAGAGCCACGACGGGTCGGGGCAGGGGTCGGGGCAGGGCGGGGCAGGGGTGGGGGCAGGGCGGGGGCAGGGGTGGGGGCAGGGCGGGGGCAGGGGTGGGGGCAGGGCGGGGGCACCTGCACTCTCAGCCCTTGCAGCTGCCAGCCTGGGGTCTGGTGCTGGGAATCCCATGCTGGGGGAGAAGAAGCTGTTTATTGGGAGCTGAGCGATCCTCTAATCTCTGCCTTATCGCCGCCTGTTTGCCCAGTGAGAGTGCAAACACAGGGGTGGAGGTCACAGGGCTGTGGGGAGGGGCCCACACTATTTGCCTGACTTCTCCCAGTGGTGTTAAAAATAGCACAGAGCTCTGGGCTCAGAGGGGTCTACGGAGTTCCCGCCTGGCCCCTGGCTCACGGGCACCAGCTGCCAGGTGGAGGCCTGAGGTATTGACACTCCCCGGCTCTGTGTTTGGCTTCTGATAGCGGCCCAGGAGGGCGTGGCTGGAGGGGCCCTTTCTCAAGAAAAGCCCAGAGAAGTGGTGTCCAGCCCCCTGCCCTGCCCACCTCGCCGCCCCCCACACCATCCCAGCCCACACCTGGACTGGGGGCAGGGGGGACCCAGGAAGCCCAGCTGGAGCACGGGGAGGGGCTGGAGGCTGGCTCCCAGCTCCCTGCTGCTGCCAGGACTGGCTGGGGCTGGGGTAGTGAAGCCCCAGGGAGAGGCAGGCCCAGTGCCGAGTCTGAGCCCATCCAGGGAGCCCCGTGCTCTGCCCCTAGAAGGCAGCATTGCCTGGTGGTGGCGGCACCTGAAGGGTTCCATGACCTGGTGCAGCCGCGGAACTGTGGAGCCTGTTTCCCCAGCTGCAAAGACGGGTACTCATGGTTCCTACGTCCTGAGGTGTGGCAGAGATGGATGCAAAGCTCATTGCAATGCAGGCATCAGCACTGCTCCACAGCCTCCAAGCCGAGGCCCTGCCTGTCCTAGCGTGCTTCTCACGGTCATCCCCGCCTGGTGGAGGACACAGGCTGGTGCCGGCTCCTGGCACCCCGAAGAAGATCCTTTTCCTTTCTGAGTTGAATGAGATTTAATCACCCTCATTACCTGGTTTACAGTGCCTCTGGGGTGCTTCAAAGCTCTCCTGGCACCAGCAGCGTGGGGAGCCCTCCCTGCCCCCGGGAGACGGATGTTGGCTGGAAGATCCCCAGGTTCATGGAGCCACGGGGCCACCCCACAGGCTTTGGGCCCAAAGGACCTGGAGAATGGGGCAGGGAGATGATGGGTGGGCTTGGTGCCCTTGAGGCGCCTCGACGGGGCCACCAGACCGGCAGGTGCCATCACTGTATCTGCCCGGCACAGACACAGACTCGCTCCACCCCCAGGGCTGCAAGGCCAGGCAGGGTGGGCCCGGCCAAGGCGGTGATAACACAGTGGCCATCTCGGGGGTGGGCCAGCTCGGGCCAGGGCTGCGGCGCCACATGGATGGGGCCGGGGCATCTTCCTGAGCACCCCTCCACAAAAATAAAAGTAGTAAACAACATCATATTTTATGTCTGTGCTGGCATAAAGACAAATATATTCATATTATGTATTAAAGCATTTTCTTGGCCCTAAAAGTTCAGTTTTTTTCTCCTGATTTTAAAAGAAATTAAAATATTTCTGTGAGGCCCTGCAAGCCTCCCAGGTGCTGGTGTTCGGGCCTAAAGCCGGAGTCGGCCCGCAGGGGATGCCAGAGCTCAGAGATGGGGACCGAGAGAGGGGTTAGAAAAGCGTCTCAGAGCCATCGGGCCGGGAGAGAAGAGGCAGGAAGAAAGGGGGGTCGCAGAGACGGTTGTGGAGGCCAGCTGGTCCCAGCAGCCGTGCCTGTGGCCACAGCGGCCGGAGGTGGCAGCAGCTGGACGAGATCCCGCAACATCCTGGAGGCTGCGGGCGGGGCGCGTGGAAGTTGGGGGCTGCGGGCGGGGCGCGTGGAAGGTGGGGGCTGGGGCTCCGGGGAAAGTACTGCTGCTGGGGTCGGCTACGGTGGGGCCTGGGTCCAGCTTTCTGGGGACTCAGTGAGCAGGGGTGCTGAGGCCCAAGCTGGCTGCCGGGGAGATCAAGTGGCTGGCCCGAGCCCCAGGCCTCAGTTTCCCCACCTGTACAAGGGAGGGTTGGATAAGAGGGTCTCCAGAGAGGTTCCTAAAAGCCAAAGGAAGAAATTGTGGTGCTGGCGGAAAGGGGAGTGTCATCTCGGTCAAGGGGTCTTCACCCAGTATTCCAGAAAGGCGATGGGGTGAGGCAGCTCCCCCCGGCCCCACAATCACTGTGTCTTCCAGCTAGAGCTCAGCCCTCTCTCCCGGGACTCCTCCTGGGGTCTGCCTGCCCAGGGACAGACGCCGGGCCAGCTGCCAGCCGGCCCTCTGTCCCCCTACCTGTGGGCGAGCGCCTCCCCCTGCCTTCTTGCTCCCTCAGGGAAGCTGCCATCAATCAGGCCCCAGCGTTTCCTGTCACTGCGCAGGTTCCCACGGCCTCTGCCCTTGACCCCCAGCCTGGGCATGGCCCGCCCACCCTCCTTGGCCCCCAGCAGCCCCTCAAGGACGCAGGGCAGGCCCCCCGGGCCTGGTGGTAGCAACCCTGCCTCATGGACCTGCCTGTCCTGTGAACACTGGGAGAGCCACTCAGAATCCTGGCTTCGGACACCGCCCTGTGCACCTCGAGGAAGAAGCTGCAGCTGATGGCACAGGTGAGCAAGCGGGAACTCCACAGGCTCCCTGCCCTGGGTTTGCCCCTGGGGCCCTCGGCTCCTCTCCCCAGCAACCTGTGTGTCCGGGATTCCCCCGCCTCTGTCCTGTGTCCAGCTGGGGAGTGGGGCCCCGGGATGGATCGTGGGAACAGCCACGGGGCCACTGAACAAGGCTTGAGAGGGCTGGGCAGGGTGGAGGCGGCTGCACCTGTGCCTGTCTTGCTGGGGGGTCCCTGGAGACTGGGGTCCTCGCCTGGGCCCTGTGCCCACCACTCTGCACTTTGGTTTCCTGGTGGCATCAGGACCCATCACTCTGGGCCAGCCGAGGGCTATCCAGCTAGGACACCCAGGCCTGGTGGCTGCCCAAGGCCCCTGAGCCTGGGCCCGGTCAGGGCTTCCCAGCCCCTTCTCCCTTCTTGGCAAACAAAGGCCCTGCCAGCCATATGCTGCGACTCTGATTTGTTGGGCGGGGGACCTGGGGCATTGGGCACACCTCACCCCACCCACCCTGGCACAGCACAAATGCTTCTTAGCCTGCACAGTTCCTCTCTGCACCCCATAACCTCTCAAACTAAGCTGCTCCCCACAGCTGGGTCACCATCACCCCAGCTGCCCAACCGAGGCGTGTCACAGTGAAGGCCCCAGCCCTGCCTGTTGCAGGGGGGAGGGGAGGGGGGCGACGACACCACCCTGTCCCCAGCTCCACTCCCTCAGGCACCGTCTCCTCCTCACAGCCCCCACTGGTCTCCTTACTGCGGTGCCCAAGACCCATCCTGGACTGGGGTCTGGTGCTGGGAATCTCACACTGGACCCCCAACCTGGCTCCCATGGGCCTGTCCTGCCCAGCCCCAGGCTGCCCCTCAGCAGCTCTCACCCCCTAGACCCCAGACTCCTGTCTCCCCTTCCCCACTCCTCCCAGGCTGGGCTGGGTCCCGCTGTGCCCATGTCTGCCCGCATATCTGTAGGACCACTCGCTGCCTCACCCCTGCACCCCCACCTGCCGGCCACAGCCACTCCCAGCCTGCACCTGCCAGGGCTTCACAAATGACCAAGGGGAAATGAAAACACAACTCTTCTGAGTTCAGCTGTCCAAGGCAGAGGCTGGGCAGTGCCCCCTGCCCACCAGCTCCTGGAGCTGAGCCAGGGGCTCTGGGAGTGGGGGAAGGAGTCAAAGACCCCCGAGCAGAGGAGAGACTGGAGAGGGACTGGTTGGGGTGAATCGGCCTCCAGCGTCTTCCAGCAAAGCGTCTCCTCCCACCCACGCTGGCCTGCGACCATTCCCCAGACACCTGGCGCCACCCACCGGGCCAAGTGGAGGCTGCGTGTGGGAGGGCTGTAGCCCTCAATGCCCTGGGGTGCTCAGATGAGGAGGGGGCTGAGAAGGGGAGGGGCCCTAGATGGGGAGGAACAGAGAAGCCCTGTTAGACGCATGCCTTGAAGAAACTTGGTTTACACACACACACATGCTTCCATGTGCATGCACACACTGGCAGACACACGTACATACACACGCACACATGCTCACACAGATGCCCATGCTTGCACACACCCATCCACGCTCACTAATACACATGCACGCATGCTCACAAACTGATGCCCGCATGCTCACGCACAAGCACACGTGCTCACACACACATACGCATGCATGCTCACACACATATACACGTACATGCATGCTCACACGTGCACACATACACACGCACCCATACTCACACACATACATACATGCCTGCACACACACACGCATGCTCACACAGACTACCGCATGCTCGCACACGCACACATGCACACATGCTCACATACATACACGCATGCATGCTCACACATATACACACGCATGCATGCTCACACACATGCTCGCACACATACATACACACATGCTTACACACACACGCACGCATGCTCACAGACTCCCGCATGCTCACACACGTGCTAACACACGCACGTGCTCACACATACACATGCACAAATGATCACACACACACCTGCATGCATGATCACACATGCACACATATGCACCCATGCTTGCACACATGCTGACACACATACGCACGCAGGCATGGTCACACGCATACACACGCACACATGCTCTCTCACACACACACATACATGCACACACATACATGCTCACACACACGCACACATACACACACACCCATGCTCGCACACACACACGCATGCTCACACACGCACACACGCACCCATGCTCACACACACACCACACAAGCATGCTCCCACACATACACACATACATGCTCTCACACACTCTATCACACATACGACTGTTCCTGGGGCTGTGCTGCCCTCCTGTGGCTGCTGACAACTCCATGTCCAGCCCACTCAGCTGCCGGATCCCCAGGAGGGCCACCATGGATGTCTGGGGCCGAGGAGGCACACAGCCACCCGGGGCCAGGGAGCACCGAGGCCTGGGTAAGGGCAGAAGCCGCCAAGCCCCCGGTTTGCTCCACCCCTCAGTCCCCATCACAGTCTGGGCCAGGACTCAGAGCCCTGGGTTCCCCAACGAACCTGCCCCTCCAGGGAACCCAGGACCCCTTAGGACAGAGCTCCAGACCCCATCAAGGACTAAAGGAAGAAAATTAAGCACAAACAAGGTAGAAGAAATAATGAAAACACGAGTGGACAGAAATGAAGTAAAAAGTGGACAAACAACAGAGAAAATCAAGGAAAGCAAGAGTGAGTGATTCGGAAAGATCCACAGAACCCACAGATTTCCAGCTGGACGAATCAAAGGAAACAAAAAGAAGAAACCACAAATCAGCACTGTCAGAAAGGAGAGGAGGCGCCATCTCACCTCCCACAGACACCGAGAGAGTGAGTGTCAGGAAGGAGAGGAGGTGTTGTCTCACCTCCCACAGACACTGACAGAGTGAACGTGTCAGGAAGGAGAGGAGGCGCCGTCTCACCTCCCACAGACAGCAAGAGAGTGAACGTGTCAGGAAGGAGAGGAGGCGCCATCTCACCTCCCACAGACACCGACAGAGTGAGTGTCAGGAAGGAGAGGAGGTGTTGTCTCACCTCCCACAGACACTGACAGAGTGAACGTGTCAGGAAGGAGAGGAGGCGCCATCTCACCTCCCACAGACAGCAAGAGAGTGAACGTGTCAGGAAGGAGAGGAGGCACCATCTCACCTCCCACAGACACCGACAGAGTGAACGTGTCAGGAAGGAGAGGAGGCGCCGTCTCACCTCCCACAGACACCGAGAGAGTGAACGTTTAGGAACGAGAGAAGGCGCCATCTCACCTCCCACAGACAGCGAGAGAGTGAACGTGTCAGGAAGGAGAGGAGGTGTCGTCTCACCTCCCACAGACGCCGACAGAGTGAAAGTGTCAGGAAGGAGAGGAGGCGCCGTCTCACCTCCCACAGACGCCGACAGAGTGAAAGTGTCAGGAAGGAGAGGAGGCGCCGTCTCACCTCCCACAGACACCGAGAGAGTGAACGTGTCAGGAAGGAGAGGAGGCGCCATCTCACCTCCCACAGACACCGAGAGAGTGAACGTGTCAGGAAGGAGAGGAGGTGTCGTCTCAACTCCCACAGACACCGAGAGAGTGAACGTTTAGGAACGAGAGAAGGCGCCATCTCACCTCCCACAGACAGCGAGAAAGTGAACGTGTCAGGAAGGAGAGGAGGCGTCGTCTCACCTCCCACAGACACCGAGAGAGTGAACGTGTCAGGAAGGACAGGAGGCGCCATCTCACCTCCCACAGACAGCGAGAGAGTGAACGTGTCAGGAAGGAGAGGAGGCACCATCTCACCTCCCACAGACACCGACAGAGTGAACGTGTCAGGAAGGAGAGGAGGCGCTGTCTCACCTCCCACAGACACCGAGAGAGTGAACGTTTAGGAACGAGAGAAGGCGCCATCTCACCTCCCACAGACAGCGAGAGAGTGAACGTGTCAGGAAGGAGAGGAGGCGTCGTCTCACCTCCCACAGACACCGACAGAGTGAAAGTGTCAGGAAGGAGAGGAGGCGCCATCTCACCTCCCACAGACAGCGAGACAGTGAACGTCTCAAGTTTATTAACAGCTTTATGACCACAAATTTCCCAACTTAGATGACATAGAAAAATTCCTTGAAAGACACTAATTGTTGGATCTGGCAGAAGAAGTTTCATCACCAAAATGGCCCTAGATCTAGTAAAGAAATTCCATATACAACTAAAACCTTCCCACAAAGACAATTCCTGGCCCAGATGTCTTCCCTGGTGAATGCAACCAAACATTTAGGGAACAAATAATATCCATTCTACACAGACTCTTCCCAGAAATACAAGTTTCGAGGCCACCATTACCACAAGCTCAAAACCAGAAGAGATATCATGGGAAAAGGAAATTACAGGCCAACTTTCCTCACAGACATGGACACAAAATAGTTTCTAGAACACTTGCCTGAAAAGCAAATAGAGGCCGGGCGTGGTGGCCCACGCCCGTGATCCCAGCACTTTGGGAGGCCAAGGAGGGCGGATTTCTTGAGGTCAGGAGTTTGAGACCATCTTGGTCAGCATGGTGAAAACCCGTCTCTACTAAAAATACAAAAATTAGTCGGGTGGTGGGGTGCACCTGTAATCCCAGCTACTTGGGAGGCTGAGACAAGAGAGTCACTTGAACCTGGGAGGCGGAGGTTGCAGTGATCCGAGATCGTGCCATTGCACTACAGCCCAGGCAATAAAGCGAGACTTCGTCTCAAAAAAAAAAAAAAAAAAGCAAATAGAATAATTTTTTTTAAACACATAGACACAAAAGTTGTAATGAAATAAATGCAAAGTAAATCGAATTGTGCAATATATAAAGAGGATAATACATCAACACCAAGGGGAGTTTATCCCAGGAAGGCAAGGGATCCAGCTTTCTTTTTCCTTTTTTTTTTTTTTTTTGAGATGGATTCTCGCTCTGTCACCCAGGCTGGAGTGCGGTGGCAGGATCTGGGCTCACTGCAAGCTCCGCCTCCCGGGTTCACACCATTCTCCTGCCTCAGCGTCTTGAGTAGCTGGGACTACAGGCACCAACCACCACACCCGGCTAATTTTTTTGTATTTTTAGTAGAAACAGGGTTTCACCGTGTTAGCCAGGATGGTCTCAATCTCCTGACTTTGTGTCCGCCTACCTCGGCCTCCCAAAGTGCTGAGATTACAGGTGTGAGCCACTGTGCCTGGCCCCTTTTTTTTTTTTTTTTTTTTTGAGATGGAATCTTGCTCTGTCACCCAGGCTGGAGTACAGTGGTGCGATTCTGGCTCACTGCAACCCAGCAGCCTCCGCCTCCCAGGTTCAAGTGATTCTCCCGCCTCAGCCTGCCAAGTAGCTGGGATCACAGGTGCGCGCCACCACGCTCGGCTAATTTTTGTATTTTTAGTAGAGACAGGGTTTCACCATATTGGCCAAGCTGGTCTCAAACCCCTGACCTCGTGATCCACCCACCTCAGCCTCCCAAAGTGCTGGGATTACAGGCGTGAGCCACTGTGCCCGGCCAGGATTCAGCTTTCTAAAGTCAATCAGCATAATTTACCATGTCCAGCTAACTAACAGACAGAGAGGGACTCCCTAAAAGAAGAGCTGTTTATTTGGGACTAGCAAGCTGCAAAGGGAATGCTTGGCCTCTGTAAACTACGTGCATATTCCTGTAGGGAAAGGAAGAGGAGGGTTTCTAAGGGAAAATGGGGAGAATCATGTTGTTTTGAAAATTATCCTTGGCTACAAATACCAACAGCTGGGGTGAGGCCAGTCAGAGGTTGGACAGGCGGTGGCTGAGCAGACGTCCTTGGAGAAGCATTGTTTGGGTCTCAAGGCCTTCGTGCAGGGCTGTGGTGCCCATAGTCTTTTTCCTCAGGCACAGGCATGACACATCTCTTCAGGACCTCGCCCAGCTCTGTTTGTCACGGTTTGGTGGTGGTGGTGGTGGTGTTTTATTGGTTATTGAGATGCCGTTTTGCTCTCGTTGCCCAGTCTGGAGTGCAGTGGTGCGATCTCGGCTCACTGCAGCCTCTGCCTCCCGGGTTCAAGCGGTTCTCCTGCCTCAGCCTCCCGAGTAGCTGGAATTACAGGCACATGCCACCACACCAGGCTAATTTTTGTATTTTTAGTAGAGACGGGGTTTCACCGTGTCGGTCAGGCTGGTCTGGAACTCCTGACCTCCGGTGATCCTCCTGCCTCAGCCTCCCAAAGTGCTGGGATTACAGGCATGAGCCACCGTGCCCAGCCTGTTGTTGTTTTAACACCAGTGACCTTATATTTATTCTGACAACTTTCACATTCATGTTAACAGAATAAGAAAAAAATCCATGTAATCCCCTCAGGCAAAATCATGACAAAATGCGTCATCGTTCGTGGTGCAAACTCTCAGCAAACCAGCAATGGAAGGGAGCCAACTACACCGACAAGACCATCTATCCAAACCCATCGCTGAAGCCATGGCTGATGGTGAAACACAGAAGGCCCCGGCCGAGGTGGGGAGCAGGGCCGGGGGCTTCTCTCGCCACCTCCCTCTGCGCCGTGCAGGAAGTCCCGGGGCAATAGGGCAGGAAAAGGAAAGGAAGACATACATGATCCGACATGTAGAAAATCCTTTTAAGGCCGGGTGTCGTGGCTCACGTAATCCCAGCACTTTGGGAGCCCAGGAGTTGGAGACCAGCCTGGGCAACACAGCAAGACCCTGTCTCTATAAAAAAATTTTTGAAAATTAGCTGGGCATGGTGGCACGCACCTATAGTCCCAGCTACTCAGGAGGCTGAGACAGGAGGATTTCTTGAGTCTGAGAGGTTGAGACCAGCCTGGGCAACATGGCGAAATCCTGTCTCTACTAAAAATACAAAAATTAGCCAGGCATGGCGGCACATGCCTGTAATCCCTGTTACTTGGGAGCGGAAGGCTGAGGTGGGAGGATCACATGAACCTGGGAGGTGAAGGCTGCAGTGAGCCGAGATTGTGCCACTGCATTCCAGCCTGGGCAACAGGCTGTCTCAAAAAAAAAAAAGAAAGAAAGAAAGAAAAAAATTGAACCTTAACTTTATTTCACTCTGCACAAAAATGAAATCAAGATGAGTCACATAGACTTAAACATAAAATCCAAGACCTTCTGGAAGAAGACGAGGGACAATCGTCACAATTTGGGGTAGGCAAAGACTTCTTTCAGGTCACAGAAACACCAGACATACAAGAAAAGAAATTGATAGCAAAGTAGATTTTTATCAAAATCAATTTTTTTTTGCTGATCAAAAGATACCATGAAGAAAATGAATAGGCAATCCAGAGACTGGGAAAAATATTCATTGTAGATATCTCTGACAAAAGATTTGCATTCATGGCTGGGTGCAGTGGCTCACAACTGTGATCCCAGGAGCTTCGGAGGCCGAAGTGGGTGGATCAGCTGGGCTCAGGAGTTCAAGACCAGCCTGGCCAACATGGTGAAACCTCGTCTCTACTAAAAATACAAAAATTAGCTTGGTGTGGTAGTGGGCCCTCTAATCCCAGCTACTTGGGAGGCTGAGGCAGGAGAATCGCTTGAACCCAGGAGACGGAGGTTGCAGTAAGCCAAAATCATGCCACTGCACTTCAGCCTCGGCAATAGAGTGAAACCCTGCCTCAAAAAAAAAAAAAAAGATATTACACAAATGGCCAATAAACATAGAAAGGTGGGGGTCAGGTGCGGTGGCTCACACCTGTAATCCCAGCACTTTGGGAGGCTGAGGCAGGCTGATCACCTGAGGTCAGGAGTTCAAGACCAGCCTGGCCAACATGGTAAAACCCTGTCTCTACTGAAAATACAAAAATTAGCTGGATGTGGTGGTGCATACCTGTAATCCCAGCTACTTGGGAGACTGAGGCAGGAGAATCACTTGAACCAGGGAGGCAGAAGTTGCAGTGAGCCAAGATCTTGCCACTGCACTCCAGCCTGGGTGACCGAGTGAGACTCCAACTCAAAACTAAATAAATAAAAAATAAAAATAAAAAAACACAGAAAAGTGCTCAACATCTGTAGAACCAGAGAAATGCAAATTAAAATTACAGTGAGATGCAGCCGGGCGCAGTGGGAGGCCGAAGCAGGCGGATCATGAGGTCAAGAGATCGAGACCATCCTGGCCAACATGGTGAAACCCATCTCTAAAAATACAAAAATTAGCCGGGTGTGGTGGTGCGTGCTTGTAGTCCCAGCTACTAGGGAGGCTGAAGCAGGAGAATCGCTTGAACCCAGGAGGTTCCCAGGTTGAACCCAGCCTGGCAAAAGAGCAAGACTCCATCTCAAAAAAAAAAAAAAAAAGAAAAATTACAGAGAGTTGCCGGTACATACCAGTTCATCAATGGTAGCAAACACATCTCACGAATGTAAGACGTTAAATAATCAGAGAAACTGTGTGCAGGCTGTATGGAACTGTCACGAGACAACATTGCAACAAATTCAACTTAAAAATCTTAATTGGCTTTCATTCACAATTCTGAAATTGGCTTAGAACCAGGACAAATTCAGACCTGGAGCTGCACAACGTTCATGGAAACGGAAGTGATGCGCAGAGGCAGTTTTGGTGGTGGCCGCTGGGCACTTTGCCTTGAAATCAGCGGCCACTGGCAACTGACAGCTGGCAGCTGCGGTGACCTGGACCCAGTCCCTGTGACAAGAGGCCAGCCTTCTGTGGCCTTCAGGCCATGCCAGGCTGCAGTTTGCTGTATGGACTCATGCCCCAGGCCTCCTCGGTGAAAACTTAACAGGACTCTCGGGTTCATTTTGAAACCTTTATGTAAGTCTTAGCCGGGCACGGTGGCTCATGCCTGTAATCCCAGCACTTTGGGAGGCTGAGGCAGGTGGATCATGACGTCAGGAGTTTGAGACTAGCCTGACCAACATGGTGAAACCCCGTCTCTACTAAAAGTACAAAAACTGGAGGCCGGGCACAGTGGCACATGCTTGTAATCCCAGCTACTCGGGAGGCTGAGGCAGGAGAATCACTTGAACCCAGGAGATGGAGGTTGCAGTGAGCTGAGATCGCGCCATTGTACTCCAGCCTGGGCAACAGAGCAAGACTCCATCTCAGGAAAAAAAAAAAGAAGAGAAACCTTTATGTAAGTCTAAATCTATTCTGAAATTAAAAGTTGATGTAAAAATCTTTAAAACGTAGGCTGCAGTCACATGGGGGGAAGCCAGAGGAGGGGGAAGATGAGTGAAGCCCAGCTCTGCTCCTGGGAGCTGAAAGCACAGGTGTCAAAACACCAGCCGGGAGTGCGGCAGTGCAAGGCCTGGCCCTGCCTTCCCCAAGTGCTCAGGACAGAATTTTCCATCTGTTTTATTTTTTAAATTTTTATTGATTGATTCATTCATTCATTTATTGAGATGAAATCTCGCCCTGTCGCCCAGGCTGGAGTGCAATGGCATGATCTCGGCTCACTGCAACCTCCACCTCCCGGGTTCAAGCAATTCTCCTGCCTCAGCCTCCCAAATAGCTGGGATTACAGGGGCCTGCCACCACACCTGGCTAATTTTTTTGTATCTTTAGTAGAGACGGGGTTTCACCATGTTGGCCAGGCTGGTCTCGAACTCCTGACCTCAGGTGATCTGCCCGCCTCAGCCTCCCAAAGCACTGGGATTACAGGTGTGAGCCATCGTGCTGGGCCCATTTATTTATTTATTTATTTGAGACAGAGTCTCGTTCTCTCTCCCAGGCCGGAATGCAGTGGCGCAATCTTGGCTCACTGCAACCTCTGCCTTCTGGGTTCAAGCGATTCTTCTGCCTCAGCCTCCCGAGTAGCTGGGATTACAGGCACCCGCCACCACGCCCAGCTAATTTTTTGTATTTTTAGTAGAGATGGGGTTTCACCATGTTGGCCAGACTGGTCTTGAACTCCTGACCTCAGGTGATCTGCCCACCTCAGCCTCCCAAAGCACTAGGATTACAGGTGTGAGCCACCACACTGGGCTTATTTATTTATTTATTTTATATATATATATATATTTTTTTTTTTTTTTGAGGCGGAGTCTCGCTCTGTCACCCAGGCTGGAGTGCAGTGGCATGATCTTGGCTCACTGCAACCTCCATGTCTGGGTTCAAGCAATTCTCTGCCTCAGACTCTCGAATAGCTAGGATTACAGGTGGCCACCATCACTCCCAGCTAATTTTTTGTATTTTTAGTAGAGACGGGGTTTCACCACGTTGGCCAGGCTGGTCTTGAACTCCTGACCTCAGGTGATCCGCCCGCCTCAGCCTCCCAAAGTGCTGGGATTGCAGGTGTGAGCCACCCGCCTGGGCCATTTATTTATTGTTTGAGGAACTGCTATATTGCTTCCCACAGTGGCTACATCGTTTTACATTCCACAACATCACACAAGGGCTCCCATCTCTCCACACCCTGAACAACACTTGTTACTTTTTTTTTTTGAGATGGAGTTTCGCTCTTGTTGCCCAGGCTGGAGTGCAATGGCGCGATCTCGGTTCACTGCAACCTCCACCTCCCGGGTTTAGGCAATTCTCCTGTCTCAGCCTCCTGAGTAGCTGGGATTACAGGCGCCTGCCACCACACCCAGCTAATTTTTGTATTTTTAGTAGAGATGGGGTTTCATCATATTGGTCAGGCTGGTCTCGAACTCCTGACCTTGTGATCCACCCGCCTTGGCCTCCCAAAGTGCTGGGATTACAGGCGTGAGCCACCGCACCTGGCCACTTTCTTTTTTTGAATAGTAACCATCCTAATGAGCCTGAGGGGACATCGAGCTGTGGTTCTACTTAACTTCTGAACAGAGGGAATACAGCAAAAACGACTGCTTCAATGCCCACCTCTGCTCATTCTCACATCTGTGTCAACTTTGGGATGGTTTTACCTTTTTTTTTTTTTGTCATAGAGACAGGGTCTTACTATGTTGCCCCATCTGGTCTTGAACTCTTGGCCTCAAGTGATCCTCCACCTCGGCTTCCCAAAGTGCTAGGATGACAGGCGTTAGCCACCGCACCCAGCCCTGGGATGGTTTTGATTACATCATTTTTCTCATCATGGGTCCCGTTCTCCTGCTTTTCCCATTGCCTGGCAGGTCCTCTTCCTTTGGACGCCAGTCCTTGTGAATTTCACCTGGCTGGGTGCCGGGGATTTTTGTCTTCCTGGAAATCTTCAGCTTTGTCCTGGACGTGCGGTTAAGTGATCTGGAGGCAGTTTGATCCTTTCTAGTCTTGCTTTTATGGCTTGGTAGGAGGGCTCAGAGCACAGCTCGGGCTCAGGCTGATCGTCCCCCGCCGAGGCAAGCCCTTCCCAAGGGCTTCACCCAAGGCCCCGTGAGTTACGAGATTTCCTGCTTGGCTGATGGGGAGAGACACTGTCCTCAGCCCTGCAGGAGTCGGGCCCTGTTCCCTCTCATCCTTCCGGGTGCCTTTTTACCCACCCTGGGGAGTTTCCTTATGGGGATCCGCAGGGCCATGCTCTTCCAAATACTCCAGGGGTCCCATCCAGGTCTTCAGGGTCCCTCTCTGTGCGACCCTCTCCACTCTGGTACTGTGTCCATGAACTCGAGCCGCCTCGGTCTGTCCAGCCTCGGGGGTCCACTGGGACCTGCGTGGGTTCCGCCTTCCCACCCACAGCCTGGACTGCCTCCCAGGGCAGTGAGCACGGGTGACTAGGGCACGGCTGTTCCCATCACTCAGGGTTACTGTCCTCTAATGCCTGGTGTCCCGTGTCTTGGAAGCCATGTGTCTGCGTTTTGTCTGGTTTTGTTTTGCTTTTTGGCTGTTTCGGGTAGGAGGGTAAGTCTATGACATCCCGCCTCAGCTGGACGGAGAAGCTTTTCCTAGAGTAATGGAAATATTCTCAATGTGGTTTTGGATGGTGGCTCCGCAGGGTCTGCAGTGGACACACTCGCTGACCTCATGCAATCCGGCGACTCTGCTGCAGATGCTGGGACTCGTGGGCCCCCACCGTCGGGGGAGCCGGTCCCCATAAACTCTGCCGTCGCGGGGGCCGGTCCCCGTAAACTCCACCGTCGCGGGAGCCAGTGTCTGTAAACTCCACCATCGCGGGGGCCGGTCCCCGTAAACTCCACCGTCGCGGGGGCCGGTGTCCGTAAACTCCACAGTGCACTCACAGTGCACGCCCAGAGAGCAGCAGCAAGGGGGCTCAGCAGGTGATAATTTTCTGGAGAAAAGAAAGAAGTGGCCTGGTTGGTTCCCCATGCCTAAGATTGGGCCTCCCGGCCCCTCAGCCTGGTGCCCTTGAGCATCTGTCCCTGCCTGACCTGGGGCTGTCACTCACCCACCAGCTCCTCCCTGTCTGCTGTGCCGCACAAGCCTACCCCACACACCAGACAAGACCTCCTCTTTTCCCCCACGTTTTCCATGAATGTTTGCACACAAAGGCTCAGTTCAGGGCCTATTAACTAAAAATTTTTAATGTTTATATTTTTATTTTTATTTTTTTGTTGAGAAAAGGTCTCACTCTGTCACCCAGGCTGGAGTGCAGTGGCACAAACACAGCTCCCTGCAGCCTCCTCCCGAGCTCAAGTGATTCTCCCACCTCAGCCTCCCAAGTAGCTGGGACTACAGGCAGCACATTGGCCAATGTTTCAATGTTTTTGTGGAGATGGGGTCTTGCTGTGTTGCCCAGGCTGGTCTCAAACTCCTGGGCTCAAGCGAGTCTCCCCCCTCAGCCTCCCAAAGTGCTGGGATTACAGGCATGAGCCACCACACCTGGCTGTGTTTTTTTAAATTTTAAAAGCAATGTGTGCACTTAGTTTAAAAGTTTCCCCAAGACATAGAGAAAATAGCAACTCCAACTCCAGAAGTGATCACTTAAAATTCCTTTTTTTTTTTTTTTTTTGAGACAGAGTCTCGCTCCCTTGCCCAGGCTGGAGTGCAGTGGCGCCATCCCGGCTTACTGCAAGCTCCGCCCCCCAGGTTCACGCCATTCTCCTGCCTCAGCCCCCCAAGCAGCCGGGACCACAGGCACCCGCCACCAAGTCCGGCTAATTTGTTTTATTTTTTAGTAAAGATGGGGTTTCACCGTGTTAGCCAGGATGGTCTCCATCTCCTGACCTTGTGATCCACCCGCCTCGGCTCCCCAAAGTGCTGGGATTACAGGCGTGAGCCACCGCGCCTGGCCCACTTAAAATTCTTTTAGCCAACTTAGCTCTTCTAGCCGGCATTACTCCCTATTTTGAAATAATATGCTCATCATGCAGGTCCTTGAAGCTTCCTGTTGACTTCCTACCAGAAGATGAGGATCTCACTTTCCCGTCTCTCCTGGCCAGTGCATGCCCTTCTCCCCTCCCACCTTCAAACAGACGACGGATCCTGAATTCTTCACACGGATAGTCAGCACTTGCATTAATATAACTCTGTAATTGTTCACTCTTGAGCCAAGTACTATATGATAAATGCATTTCCTTTTTATAACTTTTTGTTTTTCCTGGAATTCAAAGTTGCTTCCTTTTTCACTTGCTTAGTTAGAATATTGGTTAAGTTACTGAGGCAAAGAACCAAAACAACAGGAATCTAAACATGATAGAGTTGGTTTCTCCCTCACATGAAAGTCCCGAGGCTGATGGGCTTCCCTGCCGCTCTCAACACGTGGCTGGCTCAGGACCAAAGGGGCTGCTCCACCTCTCACCATCTCCCTGCCTGCAGGAGGGAGGGAAGGGTCAACAAGAGAGTGACCCTGGCCAGGCACGGTAGCTCACACCTGTAATCCCAGCACTTTGGGAGGCCGAGGCAGGTGGATCACAAGGTCAGGTGTTCGAGACCAGCCTGGCCAATATGGTGAAACCCCAACTCTACTAAAAATACAAAAATTAGCTAGGTGTGGGGGCGGGCACCTGTAGTCCCAGCTACTTGGGAGGCTGAGGCAAGAGAATCACCTGAACTTGGGAGGTAGACCTTGCAGTGAGCTGAGATCACACCATTGCACTCCAGCCTGGGCAACCAGAGTGAAACTCTGTCTCAAAAAAAAAAAAAAGGAATAAAAGAAAAAGTAAATAAAAACCAACCACCTTCAATCTGATAATTCTGGGCAGAAAACTGAATATAGTTTGGACCAGATCTTCGAGAAAAATTCATATACACCAAATTAACTAGTTCTGTTAAAAGGCTGCTATAAAAATACACATCATCATGAGATATACAGAACTTTAGAATCCAGCTAAGAGTGGAGAAATACTGAATTTCTTAATTTATCTGGAGGGGGCTGTAAATCCAAAGGTAGAAGGGCATTTCAGCGTTCTGGCGTGTTCTGAGATTCTAGGGTATAGTATCTCCCATACACACAGAGGGCATTTTGAAGGTGGCTACGGCCAGGACACCTCGGGTGGGTTCTCCTGGAGAATGACCCTTTCTTTTAATGGGAAGATCCGGAAGTGACACCTCCCACTCCTGCTCTGGTCCCATTGACCAGAACTTGGTCACAGGCTAAGTTAGAGTCTGCAAGGAGGCTGGGAGACGTGGTCTTTAGCTGGACAGCCTTGAGCCCGGTGAAACCCCTTTTACCGTGAAATGGGAGGGCACAGCTTGGGTGACGATCAGAGGTCGCCGCGGCACGGGTGGTCCTCACCCAAGCTCTCCCACGGAGCCGCAAGGCTCGTCCCCGTGTTCTCACACGCATCAGGTCATCACTCCTTTCCATTTCTTTTCTTGAAGGCATCTCCTGGCCTCCTGGAGACTTTGCCCCACCCGTCTCCTCTGGACTGGCCACTCTGGTCACTCTGACAGCCTCCCTTCAGCTGTGACGCTGCCACTTCTTCTTTCAGTCATCACGGGAATGCCCCCTGTGGGTTTTCCACATTTGAATCCCAGAGATTCGGCAGCCGGCCCCTCCCCAGAAGATCGCGGGGACCTACTGCCCCTGCAGAATCCCTTGGCCTGCCCCAAAGCCGGCAAGCAAACCCTCACCCCAAAGCGTCTGGCATTCCCTGGTCACCTCAGGACAGCCCAGCCTGCCATCCTCCCCGATATGCAGGCCGTGCCGCCGTGTGACTCGCAGGATTCAGGAGTCAGGGGGCCAGAGTCGGCAGCCAGGCTTTCCCTGGAGGCTGTGCCCAGAGCTCCTCAGAGTGTGAAATGTGGTGACAGCGGTGCCCGCTGGCTGCTTGCAGGATCCTGGCAGTGACCCGCGGGCAGGGCCCCCCCGGACGGCCCCCTGCGGAGGGCGCAGCCTTGCAGGTGGGGTCGGAGCACAGGGTCCCAGGGTCCCAGGCCCCACTTCCCAACCAAGCCAGGTCCTCTCTCCGCCCCTCTCCTCGAATCTTAAGAGCCTTTGGAGAGAAGCCACGCAGGGCGGGACGCACAGGCTGTCAGGGTGGGAGGGGTGCGTGTCCCACGTGCAGGGAGCCCCGCCCAAGGCTGGCAGCAGCAGGGTAGAGGCCACTGGTCCGGGGCAGCTTCCGCGGGGAAACACCGCCGCGCTGTGAGCATTGGGGGAACTGCAGCCGCCGCCCCATCTGCCGGCTGCGGGTCGTTGGGGGGGCCCCATGCCAACGGCCACGGAGGCCAAGGACCCCCGGAACCCCTCGGCCTTTGTCCCAGGAGAGGCTCCTCACACCCTCGGTGCCAGGGCCCTGGGAGCCCGTGAGACCAGGGTTCTCCCTGCTCAGACTCTTCCTGTGGCCTGGAGGGGACAGTGGGGGTGACAGGCACTGACCACCAGGCAGGCAGCAGCCAGGCAGAGCCTGGGGTGTGAGGACACAGAGGTGACCAGGTGCTGAGCCCCTCCCTGATGAGCTCAGCACGGAGGTGGGAGCCCCTGACCCTTTCCCAGGGCTCTGAGTCAGCCTTGGAGAGTGTGGCGTTGAGCCTGGCCAGAGGTCAGCAGATGGCGGGCGGCTGGCGCTGGGGCCCCGGCTCTGCAGAAGGGTCAGGCCCCAGCACACCCGGGCATTTCCTGTGCAGCCCCAGATGGGTGAGGTCAGCTGAGAAGGGGAGAGGCCACAGGGGACTTCCTCTATCCTCTCAAATTAGCGGAGGCAGGGCCCCGGGCCGGGCCAGGGCCTAGGGCGGACGTGCTCTGGATATGGCAGCCTCTCCTCTCCCACCCCCCAAGGAAGCGCCACTCAGCTACAGCCCCAGCCCCAGTTGATGGGTGGGAAACTGAGGCACAGCCAGATCCACAGATGACAATGGGCCCGGTCGGCGACTGCAGGTGGCCCTGCGCTCTCTGGCCTGCAGGTCACAGGCTCCAGCCACGGCCAACAGAAAAAGACTCTCACGGCCTGGCTCACCCACTGTCAGTCAGGGACGCAAAGGTCCCTCTCACAGCAGGGCCACGACCTGAATCTAGCCACTGGGCTCAGGATGCCTCCCCGGGAGGCAAGCGAGAGCCCTGTCACCACGGAACAGGTTAGAGGGGCACAAGCCTCTGTGGGCCTCTCCCACGCCCCCCACCCCCCACCCCCCGTGCTTCTGCAGAAGTGGGGGCCTGCAGGGGCTCTGGTGCCTTCCCACAGCAGGTGTCATCAGGGCAGGAACACAGTCCCCACCGCCTACCCATGGGTTTCACGTGCTGGGGGCAGTCATCACCCCAACCTCAAGAAGCCAAGAGGACTGGATGTGGCCCCAGCACCCCACCAGCAGCCATGTCCTCCCAGGGAGGGAGCATGACTTACGCCTGGGGCAGAATAGGCTGCAGGGCCTGCTGGGAAGCCGTTCCCGGACCCCAGCTCAGTCCTCCGGCAGATTCACTCAGAGGAAGGTAGCACTGGTGACCTGGCCGGTGCTAGGCCCCCAAGCCCGCCCGCCAGCGTTCTTCAAGTCTGCACGTCCGAGGGCGGGAGGGAGCATGGACCCTGTCAGCCCCACCCTGACTGGGGTGGCCCCATATCCACCAGAGGGCAGCTGGGCCCAGTCCGGGCCATCCCCTTCGGGAGCCAGCACAGCAGGAGGGCCCCTTGTCAGCCAGAGCCTGGGTGGACGGCAGAGCCCCCGGGGCCGCCTCTGGACTGAGTTTGTGCCTCACCTAGCTGGGGCCTGACCTCGAGAGGTCACTGTTGCCCTGGGCCTCAGTTTCCCCATCCAACAGGTGGGGAGAGCGTTAGCACCCACATCACGGCGGCCCCACAGATCAGTGCAGCGTGAAGTACTCAGCTAACCCTCCAGACCCCGGAGGCTGGGCCTCCCACCCCGCTGCCCCTGACCCATCCTGCACATCTGCCCCCACCTGGCTCCGCTCGCTCCCCTTGCTCCCCTCAGCCTCCCGTCCCGCTGGGTGGGGGCCTCCAGCGCCTCCGCCTCCGCCTCCGGGCTTCCAGGCAGGAAGGCGGCGGAGAGGAGCGTTTCCGCGCAGGCTGCTGTGCTGGGAGTGCAGCCTGTGATAAGGACACACATGGCCGGCTGCACGTCCGCCTTTTGTCCCTGGCTCCCGCCAGCCCTTCCTGCTCCGGCCTGCAGGGTGGGGACTATGGGCCCGGCTGCAGCCCTCCCCCGACCCCCACCTCCACTCTGCCCCTGGCTCCACAGCCCCTGGGGTCCTGGCTGCCCTGGGGGAGTTTGAGGCCCCCAGTAGCAGCTACGGCTGGGGCCCCGGACAAACTGGGGGTGTAGGAGCTCTAGGAAATCAACCCCAGGGAGGCTGCTACGGCTAAACAGAAGCATCAGCCCCAACCCAGCAGGGCCAGATGTTCTGCTCTCCCTCCCCCAGTTTCGGCTGCCGGGAGGGTCCCCACCGAGAGTCCCCCCCGACTCCTGCACAGGCCTAGCCACAGGCTCCCTCCCGGGCTGGACCGACCACTCTCCTGCTTGAGGTCCCAGAGAGGCGCTGGCCTGGCCCGGCCCATGTGCCCCACAAACACCCCTGGCTGCTCCTCCGGCATCTGTCTTAAAGTGCCAGCCCAGCGTGAGCCCCGCATCAGCTACCGAGAGGTATCCATCCTTACCCCCGACTGCCCATGGTGCCTACGCGGCAACCTCACAACCGGTCTGCTGAGCTGGGTGGAGGAGAGGTTCCACCCACCCCAGAAGGAGTCCACTCCCATCCCCTAAACTCCAGGAGCTGCCCTTGGCTGAGGAAGGACTGCAGAGGGCACGGGGCAGGCTGAGCCCAGGGTGGCAGGGGCTGCATGGTGCCCGGGATGCCTGGCAGGAGAGAGACCCGCAGCCCAGAAGGCTTCCTCTCCAGGACTGGGGGCCCCTCAGTGCTCACACTTCCCACTAACTGCCAGCATCCCCTACAACATGGCCCACGTCTCAAGGGATTGGAAGGAGCCCCCGCAGAGGCCATCGGCACGGACTAGAATGCAACCCAGTGGGGCATCCACCGATGTGGTCAAACGCTCAGCCAAGATGGTGGGAAGCGTTCAGGTCTGAGGCATTTCTTCTTTTTCTTGAATAACACCTTTATGGCTGGCCACGGTGGCTCATGCCTGTCATCCCAGCACTGTGGGAGGCCGAGGCGGGCAGATCACCTGAGGTCAGGAGTTTGAGACCAGCCTGGCCAACATGGTGAAATGCTGTCTCTACTACAAATACAAAAATTAGCTGGGTGTGGTGGCGGGCGCCTGTAATCCCAGCTACTAGGGAGACTGAGGCAGGAGAATTGCTTGAGCCCAGGAGGCAGAGGTTGCAGTGAGCTGAGATCGTGCCACTGCATTCCAGCCTGGGAGACAGAGTGAGACTCCACCTTGAAAATAAAATAAAAATAACAGCTTTATTAAGAAATCATTTATATACCATACAATTCACCCATTTAAAATGTACAATTCAGTCCGGGCTCGGTGGCTCATGCCTGTAATCCCAGCACTTTGGGAGGCTGAGGCGGGTGGATCACCAGGTCAGGAGTTTGAGACCAGCCTGGCCAATATGGTGAAACCCTGTCTCTACTAAAAATACAAAAATTAGTCGGGCGTGGTGTTGGGCACCTGTAATTCCAGCTACTCGGGAGGCTGAGGCAGGAGAATCACTTGAACCTGGGAAGCAGAGGTTGCAGTGAGTTGAGATCGCGCCACTGCACTCCAGGCTGGGCGACAGAGGGAGATTCTGTCTCAAATAAATAAAATAAAATAAAATAAATAATAATAATAAGCGGGCGCAGTGGCTCACGCCTGTAATCCCAGCACTTTGGGAGGCCGAGGCAGACGAATCACCTGAGGTTGGGAGTTCAAGGCCATCCTGACCAACATACAGAAACCCCATCTCTACTAAAAATACAAAATTGAATGGGCGTGGTGGTGCATGCCTGTAATCCCAGCTGCTCGGGAGGCTGAGGCAGGAGAATCACTTGAACCCGGGAGGTAGAGATTGTGGTGAGCTGAGATTGCACCATTTCACTCCAGCCTGGGCGAAAAGAGTGAAACTCCGTCTCGAAAAAAAACAGAAAGAAAGAAAAAAAAGAAAATAGTAATAATAATAATAAAACGTACAATTCAGTGGGTTTGAGTAATAATTACATCATTAATTCTTTAAAATTATCAAATTATACATAACATAATTTGCCATTTTTTCCATTTTTTTCCAGACAGAAGTAACTTCTAAAACATTGCTAGGGAAACGCTCTGACATCTTCCGTAGAGGTGAAAAAGCACAGGTCTGACTCAGGTAGCTGCGAGTTCAAGTTCAGCCGCAGGCTCTTCCCCAAGGTGCTGGTCTTCGCAGGAACCCCTTGCAGGCAGCTGCAAAGAGCAGCACGGCGCGCACACACAGGGTCCGGCTGGCGTCTGGCCAGAGCAAGGGAACAGTAAGTGTGTCCTGGAGGCGCTCGCCATGCACTCACACGCCATCTGTGGATTCGGAAGTGACCTCCCCCTCGGTTGATGAGGGTTCTCTGCGTCTGGAGAACACAGGACGTCCACAGGAAAGTTCTCCCTCCTGCACTCCCGGCTGGCTCTGAAAATTATGAAGTAAGTTGAATGCTCTGAGGGCTTAATTCCATCTGCCCAACTTTTACATAAAACAAGGAAGTTGAGCCCAGTTTAGGGGAAGAATGTACAGAGCACCAGGAGGCAGGGTCTCCTCTGAAGTCTTTTTTTGGACCGAATCTCACTCTGGCCCAGGCTGGAGTGGAATGGCATGATCTCGGCTCACTGCAGCCTCCACCTTCCGAGCTGAAGCAATTCTTGTGCCTCAGCCTCCTGAGGAGCTGGAATGACAGGCATGCGCTACCATGCCCGGCTAATTTTTATATTTCTAGTAGAGATGGGGTTTCACCATGTTGGCCAGGGTGGTCTCGAACTCCTGACCTCAGGTGATCCACCCACCTCAGCCTCCCAAAGTGCTGGGATTACAGGCGTGAGCCACTGCGCCCGGCCTCTCCTCTGAAGTCTTATTGCCTACGTTTTTTTTTTTTTTTTAACAATTAGGCATTGTATTTTATATTCTTTTCTTTCCCTAGTGCACTGACTACTTATTTTATTTATTTTTTTGTTATTGTTGTTGTTTTTTAAGACAGAGTCCCACTCTGTTTCCCAGGCTGGAGTGCAGTGGGGCAATCTCGGCTCACTGCAACCTCTGCCTCCCAGGTTCAAGTAATTCTCCTGCCTCAGCCTCACAAGCAGCTGGGATTACAGGTGCCTGCCACCAAGCCCGGCTAATTTTTGTATTTTTAGTAGAGACGGGGTTTTGCCATGTTGGTCAGGCTGGTCTTGAACTCCTGACCTCAAGGGATCTGCCCACCTTGGCCTCCCAAAGTGCTGGGATTACAGGCGTGAGCCACCACGCCCTGCCTGTTTGTTTTTTAATTGACAAACGTGGTACATATTTATGGTACATGGCACGTTATGGTCTATGTGGACATTCGGGAACAGCTACGTCGAGCCAGTTCATACCTACATCACCTCCCGTGCTTACCTTTGTGGTGATGAGAAAGACTCTCTCGGAAATTTTCAAGAGCACAGTGCCTTTATTCACTCAAGTCGCTGGGTGTCCCATAGATCTTGGCACCGACTCCTCAACTGAAACTTTGTGTCCCATAGATCTTGCACTGACTCCTCAACTGAAACTTTGTGTCCCATAGATATTGCACCCACTCCTCAACTGAAACTTTGTGGCCTTCCGCCAACATCTGGCCACCCCGCCCCGCCCACCCCTGGGAGCAACTGCCCCACTTTCTGCTTCTAAGCTCCACTATTTCACACTCCACATATGAGTGAGAGCATGTGGGATTTGTCTTTCTGTGCCTGGCCTATTTTACTTAAGATTGTGACCTTAGGCCAGGCGCAGTGGCTCACGCCTTTAATCCCAGCACTTTGGGAGGCCGAGGCAGGAGGATCACCTAAGGTCAGGAGTTTGAGACCGGCCTAGCCAACATGGTGAAACCCCATCTGTACTTAAAAAAGTACTAAAAAATTAGCCGGGTGTGGTGGCGGGCCCCTGTAGTCCCAGCTGCTCAGGAGGCTGAGGCAGGAGAATTGCTTGAACCGGGAGGCAGAGGCTGCAGTGAGCCGAGATTGTACCACTGCACTCCAGCCTGGGCGACAGAGTGAGACTCTGGCTCAAAAAAAAAAGATTGTGACCTCCAAGTTCACACATGTGATCACAAGTGACAGGTCTCCTTGCTGAAGGGTGAACAGTGCCCCGCTGTGTGTATCCGCCACACTTATTCATCCATGCATGCACTAACTTTGTTTCTTGGCTATTATGAACAGCGTGCGACGCCCGTGGCCTGCAGCTATCTCTTAGACACATCGATTTCATTTCCGTTAGGTCTATACCCAGAAGAGGGATTGCTGGGTTACATGCAATGTTTAATGTTTTGAGGAACCTCCACACTGCTGTGCCACTTTAGCCATTTTTAGGTGTCCCTCAGGGGAATTCTATTCACAATAGGGTGCGATCACCACCACTATCTATGTCCAAAACTTGTTCATGCTCCCAGAGTGAAACTCCACGCACCTCAGGTGTGTGTCCCCGTTCTCTCCTCCTGCGGTCCTTGGTAACCACTAAGCTGCTTCCTGTCTCTATGGCCCTGCCCGCTGTGGACATCTCTTGTCAATGGAATCACTCAGGGCTCGTCCATGCCGCAGCTCCTGCCAGGGTGTCATTCCATTTTTTTTTTTTTTTTTTTTTTTTGAGATGGAGTCTTGCTCTGTCGCCCAGGCTGGAGCACAGTGGCGTGATCTCGGCTCACTGCAACCTCCACCTCCCGGGTTCAAGCAATTCTCATGCCTCAGCCTCCCAGGTAGCTGGGATTACAGGTGCGAGCCACCATGCCCAGCTAATTTTTGTATTTTTAGTAAAGACAGGGTTTCACCATGTAGGTCAGGCTGGTCTTGAACTGCTGACCTCAGGAGATCCGCCCGCCTCGGCCTCCCAAAGTGCTGGGATTACAGGTGTGAGCCACCGCGCCTGGCCTAGTGTTAATTTTTTTTTTTTGAGACGGAGTCTCGCTCTGTCGCCCAGGCTGGAGTGTAGTGGCGCAATCTCAGCTCACTGCAACCTCTGCCTCCGGAGTTCAAGCGATTCTCCTGGCTCAGCCTGCTGAGTAGCTGGGACTAAAAGCGCGCACCACCACACCCGGCTAATTTTTGTATTTTTAGTAAAGACGGGGTTTCACCATGTTGGCCAGGCTGGTCTCAAACTTCTGACCTAAACTGATCCTCCTGCCTCAGCCTCCCAAAGTGCTGGGATTACAGACGTGAGCCACCACCCCGGGCCTCATTCCTTTTTTTTTTTTTTTAATTTTTTTTTCCCCTTTTTAAATATTTGAGACAGGGTTTTGCCAAGTTGCACAGGCTAGTTTTGAACTCCTGAGCTCAAACAATCCACCATTCTTGGCCTCCCAGAGTGCTGGGATTACAGATGTGAGCCACCGCCCCTGGCCAGAGCTTCATTCCTCTTTACGGCTCAGCAGTGTCTCACTGTACGGATGGGCCTTGGCTTGTCAATGCACTCATCCGTGGATGCGCATCCGGGTCTATCCACCTCTCGGCTCCTGTGAGCACAACGCTGTGTGTACATTGCGCGTCTGTTTGAATCCCTGCTCTAGGGGAATGTACCTAGCGTGGAGTTTTGGAGACTGTGGTAATCCTATGTTGAGTCTTGTGAGAAGTGGAGGGACCCTTTCTTTGTTTGTTATTATTTTTAAATTTTTTTCCAAACTCTCTTCTCTCTGAAATTAAAATGTGTTCATATAAACTGTGGCCCTGGAGTTGGGCGTGGTGGCGTGTGCCTGTTATCCCAGCTACTCGAGAGGCTGAGGCAGAGAATCACTTGAACCACAGAGGCGGAAGTTGCAGTGAGCTGAGATTGCGCCGCCGCACTCCAGCCTGGGTGACAGAGTGAGACCCTGTATCAAAAAATAAATAAATAGGCCGGGTGCGGTGGCTCACACCTGTAATCCCAGCACTTTGGGAGGCCGAGGCAGACAGATCACGAGGTCAGGAGATCAAGACCATCCTGGCTAACACAGTGAAACCCTGTCTCTACTAAAAATTTAAAAAATTAGCCAGGTGTGGTGGCGGGTGCCTGTAGTCCCAGCTACGTGGGAGGCTGAGGCAGGAGAATGGCGTGAACCCAGGAGGCAGAGCTTGCAGTGAGCTGAGATCGTGCCACTGCACTCCAGCCTGGGCGACAGAGCCAGACTCCATCTCTAAATGAATGAATGAATGAATGAATGAACCATGGCCCACTCAGACTGTGGACTCCTACGAAGCAGTACTGAGTCACAGACACACACAGCACTGACCAACCCTAACCCATCACGGCCACGCGCAGTGGCTCACACCTATAATCCCAGCACTTTGGGAGGCCAAGGCAAGCGGATCACCTGAGGTCAGGAGATCGAGACTGTCCTGACCAACATGGTGAAACCCCATCTCTACTAAAATTAGCCGGGCATGGTGGTGTACACCTGTAATCCCAGCTACTCAGAAGGCTGAGGCAGGAGAATCGCTTGAACCAGGGAAGCGGAGGTTGCAATGAGCTAGGATTGTGCCACTGCACTCCAGCCTGGGCTACAGAGTAAGACTCTGTCTCAAAAAAAAAAGAAAAGCCATCGTGCTGGGCACAGGGCACTGGCCACTTGGCTTCCACAACACAAATCTCCCAGGAGCAGCAGAGAGCACGTCGGGGCTGCCAGGGGTCAGGCAGAGTGTGAGGGGCTTCGGAGGGGTGGGAAACATCCTATCCATCCTTGGCGGTGACGATTACACGGGGGTGCTCATTTGCCCAAATGCATTAAACTGTCCACGTAAAGAGGGTGCCTCTCGGACGATTTTAGGGCAGAGACGTCCGTGCCTGATACTGTCCTGGCAGCCACGTGCCCTCATACACTTGCCCAGACCCTGAATGTGCTACACGGAGTGACCCCAATTACACCGTGGGCCCCGGGTGACTGCGACATGTGAGTGCAGGTTCACCCACGTCACAGACGAACCGCTCCGGTGCAGGGGGAGCTGCGCACGTCGGGGCGGGGGCTGTGGCGTGGGACCTCTGTACCTTCTCTCAATTTGGCTGTAAGCCTACAACTGCCCTAAAATAAAGTCTCTTTATTTATTTTTTTATTTATTTTTACGCAGCTCTCTTTTCCTTAAAATAAAGGCTCTAAAATTGTGTGATTCCACCTCCCTGAGGCTAAGCGAAAGAGCCGCGTCTGCCCCTGTCCTTCCCGGGGGCTGGCAGGGAGTGGGTGCCCGGCGGTGACTCAGCCCTGCAGCCTCCCAGCCCTTCCCCGTATGCGGGCAGGTGATGCGGACGCCTCCGACCCTCGTGGGGTTTGTGGAGAGCGTTGATCAGCGCTGCCGTCAGAACAGGACCTGTGCGAGGCCTCGCAGATGCCGGGAGCCGGGCGGTGCTCTCGGTGCTTCTCATCAAATCCACTGGCTCTTCGAGAGGAAGCACATGTCACAGCCCAGCTCAAACAAGAAGCAAGAAAATCACTCTTCATTTTGGAATTGTAAAATAAAGTAGAAATTATCCTCAGGCTAGAGTGACCTTCCCGTCCTGCCCCAGCCACCCCCCACCTCCCAGCACCTGCCGGTAACAGCCCTGCACACAGCCCCGAGACCCTCCGCCAAACCCAGCCCACCACCCCCGGGAGGGCTGTGGAAGAGGCTAGAGAGCGCATCCCCTCTGGCTCCTGGGGTGGAGGCCTGCTGTGGGTTGGCTGGAATCAGCCCCCCTCCCCCGTGTCCTGGGCCCCTGCAGCCCTGCGAGGCGGACACCTAGCCACCCCTCATCCCAGGGAAGCCAGGGCCAGGGAAGGGCCCAGGAGGGGAGGGTTCGCCCTTCCTGCTGGATGTCGTTCCTTTAAAAATCCCTGCCGCTGGCCGGGCGTGGTGGCTCACGCCTGGAATCCCAGCACTTTGGGAGGCCGAGGCGGGCGGATCACGAGGTCAGGAGATCGAGACCATCCTGGCTAACACAGTGAAACCCCGTCTCTACTAAAAATACAAAAAATTAGCCGGGTGTGGTGGGGGGTGCCTGTAGTCCCAGCTACTCGGGAGGCTGAGGCAGGAGAATGGCGTGAACCCGGGGGGCGGAGCTTGCAGTGAGCCAAGATCGCACCACCGCGCTCCAGCCTGGGAGACAGAGAGAGACTCCGTCACAAAAAAAAAAAAAAAAAAAAAAATCCCTGCTGCTGGAGTGGTTGGGGGAGCCGGCTGGGGGTGCAGACTGTGGTGCCACTGTGGCCGCCGCCATCATTGTCACCATCATCAGCATCACCATCATCAGCTGCCATCCCTGAACCCTCAGGCTTTGCTGGTGGCTGGGAGGGAGGCCGAGGCTGGCATGGCCTGCTGCCCTGACCTGCTTCCTGAACGCTCCGGCCACCCAGGCCTGCGTGGAGTAGGGTCCACGGGCAGACAGATGGGCAGGCCCCTTAGGCAGAGCAGCCCTCCCCATCCCGGCAGTGTGGGGGTCTGCCGGGCAGCCTGAGAGAGGAGTTTCCAGTCATTGCCCAGGCAGGGGTGGCTCAGGAAGCTGCAGTCCCCCCCAAGAGGCCTGATGGTGCTGGGCGGGTTTGCAGCATCCCGGCTGAGAGTCCAGTTGGTGTCACCTGGGCCAGGATGGTGGCCAGTGGCAGCAGCAAGGATATAGGCATGGGGGTGTCCTGCCTGATGCAGAGTCATGGCCAGGGCCTGGGGAGGGACCTGCCCCGTGTCCCCTCCCTGCCTGGGGAAGGGCCCGGACCACCTTCACACAGTCACCCTAGGGCACTAGTGGGGAGTGAAGGAGCCGCCCCCCAGAGCAGGACAGGGAGCTGGTGTGGAGACATGCAGGACAGGGCGCTAGGATGCAGGGGTGCAGGGTGCTGGTGTGGAGAGATGCAGGACAGGGTGCTGGGGTGGAGACTGCAAGGTGCTAAGGTGGGGACGCACACCTGGCAGGGCTGGAGGGAGCACGGGCTGGTGGCAGCCTTGCCTCTCAGGCTGCTCCGGGCCAGGGTGACTTGGGAAAGCCAGGCTCGAGAGGTGAGGCGTTGCCTGGGGTCACACGGCTGGCAGGAATGGCCAGGGCTGGCTGCAGGGGCCCGCACTGCCCTCCCGCCTCCACCAGAACCCGCTATGTTTATTCAGGGACGTGAGGGGGTGCCCAGGTCCAGCAGGTGTTAAGCCGAGCAAAGCCTGCAGCCCCAACGAGACAGCCACGGGAGCTCGGCACCCTCAGTCCCCCAGACAGGGCTCTTCCCCTCTTTGGGCCTCAGTTTACCCATAGGTGAAAGGAGGGCACAGTTAGATGGTCCCTAAGGCCCCAGGGACCCAGGCCAGCCTTGCCCTCCCCCCAGCCCCAGCAGTAGGGCATCTGAGCCTTTCATCAGGAAAAGGAGACTAAATTTATGCCTCAGGCCCCCTCTGCGCTTGGCGGGGCAGAGGTCAGGCTTCCGGCAGCCCCCACCCCTTGACGCAGTTCCCCTTCCCCTCTGGGGGGCTCTGGGGGGGCTCTATTGTTCTCGAGGGCTGGTTCCCAATCTCCCCGAACACTCACTTCCTGTTTCCTGGCTGAGAGGAAACAGAGATTCCTGACCAGGCAGATGCCTTTTTTTCCCTTTCTCTCTTTACATTTTTTAAGGGTATTAAATAATAGTGATAATATGACGGCAGCCTTGGTGCTGAGGAGTGTGGACTCGGGGACTGGAGGAAGCCCAGGGCCACCTGCATGGGGCTCTGTTGACCCTCCTTCGAGAATCTGCTGGAAGCTATGGACCCCTCCTCCCTCCCCACCAGGGAAGGGCCCAGGCATAAACTGTGTGCACTGTGACTGGGAACAGGGAGACCCCGGCACCCTCCCCAGGACTCCCAAGACCCTCCACGCCCTGATCTGACACGTGGGGAAACTGAGGCAGACAAGCTTTCAGGGCACCTATGGTCCCTGACCCTACCGGAGCTCTATGACAACCCCGCAAGAGAGACAGGGATGAAGCCTCCAGGGAGGGACCCTCACACCCTTCCCAGAAGCCCACAGACCCCAGACACACGGGCATCCCCAGGGGAGGGGCCCCCCACCACTGTGCCTTGCGGAGACTGGGGTCCCTGTGGCTCTGGGTTCCAGTCCAGCCCTGCCGGGGAAGGCCCTGGGAGCTTGAGCAGCCACTCCCATGGGGCCTCAGTTTCCTCATCTGTAGATGGGGTCAGATCATTGCCTCCACTTCGCAGGGCCAGGGCAACGGCCCCAGGAGGAGACACCCGAACGCAGCACCTGCTCACAGGCGTACACCGTCTCTCCCGCTATTTTCTCCCCTAAAAGCTTGGAGCGCCTGGTCCCCAGCTCTCCCCACACGGGCAGGCGGGGAGAGGACAGGGCGGCCCCCAGATCTCCCCAGGCGGGCAGGTGGGGAGAGGACAGGGCGGCTCCAGCTGGGGGCCGGGCTGCTGAACTGCCGCCACCTCAACTGGCTGCCCCACAGGCCCTGAGCTCTCGGGAACTTCTCCTTCCGTCGCGGGAGATGAAGTGCTTTTTCCTCTTGACGTTAACGGCTGCCCCATCTGTCGGGCCTGGGCAAATCACAGCCCACCGAGTGGGACTTCTGTGCCATGTACTGGCGCCAGGCGTGAGGGCAGCCTCAGGGGGCCGGCAAGTCCCCCTTCCTCAGCCCCATGGGAACCTCAGCAGGGGTGGGAAGCAGTCTCCAGGGCCTGCAGGAGCGGGATCCCAGAAGCTGGACACTGGGACCAGCCCCGTTCGTGGCGCTGAGGACCCCGAAGGGACACGCGAGGCCCTGGCAGCTGCATTGGGTGGGGACTCTGAACTCACTCGAGGGTCACATGACCCTCCTTCAAGAATCTGCTGGAAGCTACGGACCCCTCCTTCCTCCCTCCTGGGAAGGACCCAGGCACAAACTGTCTGCCCCATGACTGGGAACTGGAGACCCCGGGACCCTCCCCAGGGCTCCGAAGACCCTCCATGCCCTGGTCTGACACGAGGGGAAACTGAGGCAGAGAAGCCTTCAGGGCACCCATGGTCCCTGACTCTACTGGAGCTCTATGACAACCCCGCAAGAGAGACAGGGATGAAGCCTCCAGGGAGGGACCCCCCACACCCTTCCCAGAAGCCCACAGACCCCAGAAGCACAGGCATCCCCAGGGGAGGGGTGCCCCACACACTAGGGGCTCCATCTGGGGCTCACGCTGCTCCACAAGGCTTTCTCAAGTCAGACCACCAGTGCCCACCTCGTGAGCTGCCAGGCAGCACCCAGTGTCCATCTGGGGACCCCTCTCCCAGGCTCACTCCACAGTGGAGGCCTCTTCTCTCTCCTCCCCTCCAGACTCCCTGGGTGCTGCTGGGGACATCCACGGAGCCTGCAGCACACAGCCCCCTGAGCCCACACTGCGCTCTCACCCCAGCCAGGTGTCTCCCCTGTGAAGCAAGTCTCTCCCTAGGGACGGATTCTGCCGTTTAAAAAATAAGATTTTCTTCACCTTCCTACATGAACAAAAATAACAATACAGCAATACCACTGCAAAATCATCAGAATGGCTAAAATGAAAAAGACAGACAACAGCAAGTGCTGACAAGGGTGTGGGGCGGCCAAATGCTCCTGCACTGCTGGCAGGGGACCTGAGAACTGCAGGGCATTCCCTGGCTTCCTGCCCCTCCTGGGACTGGGGACCCCCCAGGGACAGCCTAAGGGAACTGCATTTATCTTCACGTCTGCCAAAAGATAACACGAAGATGTTCAAAGCTAAGCCCCCAGGCTGGTAAGAGCTCCAAGGCACCAGCAGTGTGTGCAGAACTGGGGGGAGTCTGTTCTCCCAGGGATGCTCCCATCACCTGCTGCCAGCAGTGGGGCATGCCGGTCCCCTGGGGTGTGGCCAAGGGGCTGTGTCTCCTGCCCGGGCTGCCGGCCCCTCTCAGGTTCACTTTCCCATCTCTAAGCCCACGTCTCGCTGCAGTTCAAGTTTGCCAGGCCACCAACGGGTGACACGCCCGGCGCAGTGGGGGACTCCGCACTTTCTGCGCACCTGCTCCAAGTCACCTCTTCCAGGTCCGGGTCCCTGCCCTGTGGAGCGCGCACCCGGGCAGGGGCATGGAGCACCGGCAGGACTGGACTTTGTGCTGAGTGTGGTGGCGCCTTAGGAGGAGGTCACACAACCCGATGTGTCCCTCCGCGAAACTCCCTGAGCACTGGGTGTGAAGGGCAGCGGCGCCCAGCAAGGCCGAGGAGGGGCGACTGTTATCCAGGCAGGAAGCGGGGTGGACCGGACCAGGGTAGGGGCAATGTCAGGAGAAGGGGACACTCAGATGCAAAGCCGGTGGGGACCTGCCAAGAAGCCAGCCCACAAGGCCATGGACTCCTCCACGCCATCAGCTGGAGCAGTGGGCAGCCCCAGGAAGGGAGACGGGAGCGGCCAGGGGAAGGGCGAGGGGTCCCCCGGGCGACCCCCGAGGCTCAGGCGCCCGGACTCCAGTCCTGGGCCTCCGTTTTCCACCCTTGAACAAGCGGCTTCCACCTGTGAGCCAGCTGCCTCCTCTGAAAATGGAAGCCCCTCAACTCAGAGGGTGTCGCTCTGGGACGTGGGTCAGGGGCCGGAGCAGGCAGGGAGAGGTGAGAGGAAAGGCTGGGGACCCTCACTTCTCCCTGCCCAAACCCTCGCTCGGGAGCAGACGGCTCCTCTGCCCGCAGGCACCCCTGCCTGGCAGCTCCCTCCAGCCCCCGTCGGGTCCGGGACGTCCTCTGATGGGAAGGTTCCACCACATCCGTGGCTGACAGAGCCAGCCCGTCCGAGGCCGGGGGGCGCTCGGGGTAAACAGGAAGCCCCATCCCTCCCGCACTCTGCTTCACTCCCTCCTCCTGCACCTCCTGCAGCCCGGCTCCCGCGGCCGCGCCTGGTGCCCCTCTGTCTCGCGCCACCTGAGATGCCCAGGCTGGCCTCTGCCAGGGGCTTAGTCTGCCCTCTCCTGGGGCTTCAGAGGCCAAAAGCACCCTGGTGAGGGGTCCGGGAGGCCCGGGAGGGCCCGGGGGGCTCTGCCAGGCCCCTCCACGCCTCTCTGCCCAGCCAGCACGCTCTGGGAAGGTAAGGCAGCCCTTCCCCTTATAACTAACCTCAGAACATTCCCAGGTGGCTGGAAGGCCACTGGACAACATGGCCCTGCTGACAAGAGAGACAATGGGGAAACTGAGGCCTGTGTGGGGCACAAAGCTGGGACCAGAGCTCCAGCTTCCTGCCCCTGCCGGGCCTCCACCTCTGACACCACCCCAGGCAGGGTGAAGCCCTGGGCTCCAGACCTTCCAGTGCCCAGATGAGGACAGGCGCAGGCCTTGGGGTGGCCACACTCTCCCACCAGGTCTCCCCCTCTGTGCTGGGCCCCTGAGGTGAGGGGAGGAGGCCAGGCGTGGGGCCCGGCCTGGCTTCTGTGGGGCTGGAGCCTGGGCAGGAGGCACTGCTGACTCCCAAAATGATTCCCTGCTGAAGGTCTGTGCCATGATCCCAAACACACACCACCAGAGCGGCCAGGGCAGGGAAGGGGGCACCTCCAAGGACCGGAGGGTGAGGGAGGGGCCCGCCTGCCCCTTGCTGAGCCCCTGGGCCTTGGGCACAGAGTGTGCTCCACCCATACCAGAACCCGGGGGCAGCCCCAACCCCCTGGACCCCCAGTACCCTCTGGCGTCCAAGAACCCATGTCTGTCCCCTGCCAACCCCCCGCCCCTCCTGTCCCCGCTGGGCCCCCGACATTAGGGCAAGGCCGCAGCCCACCTCCTGTACCTGCCTCTGAGGCTCCAGGAGCCCAAGAGAGTGGAGTGCCCCTCCTGTGGTGGCTCCAGGCTATGGGATAGGGCAAAGCTGGCACTCTGGGCCTGAGCCCAGGCCTCCTTCCCTTGGGGAGGGTCTAGTCTTGGCCTGGGGAGGGGCTGGGGGCAGGGCAGAGCTTATCAGGAGGGGGTTGCAGTGAAGAACAAGTTGGCAGCAGGCGGTGCCCAGCCCCCCAGGCTGTCACCCAGGAGTCCAGTGCCAGGAGGACAGCCTGGGGAGGACGCAGACTCTGCCCTCGCCCCTTGCCTGTAAGCACAGCAGTCAGTTCACCGGGAAGGCCCCCAGCGGGCCAAGCCTTAGCAACTCGTGCACTCGGCTACTTAGCTATTCCTGCCCCGAGCTGTCCCCTGGCCGGATAGGTCTGATGACAGGGGCTGCTCCAGGTTGGGACATAGGACAAGCTGGGGTGGGGGACATGGGGCTCCCCAAGAAGAGGAAGGAAGGGTGAGGCAGCCTCCTGTGCCGAGCATCCCAGCCCTGTCCGGCCTCCAGGCTCACCTGGGCCGGTCACTTCTCCCTCTGGGCCTCAGTTTCCCCCTCTGTACACAGAAAGGGCTGGATCTAGCCCACCCCATGCTTGTGGGTCCTTCCACCAGGAGGCCAGGGCAGATCCAGGGGCATGCAGGTGGGGGAGGAGGGGGCAGGCCGCAGGGATGCAGGCAGAGGGCAAGAGGGCACCTCCTGGGATGGGGGCACAAGCCTACTGGGCCCCTATACGGTGGAGTAGCTAAGTAGCCGAGTGCACGAGTTGCTAAGGCTTGGCCCGCTGGGGGCCTTCCCGGTGAACTGACTGCTGTGCTTACAGCCAGGGGCGAGGGCAGAGTCTGGGTCCTCCCCAGGCTGTCCTCCTGGCACTGGACTCCTGGGTGACAGCCTGGGGGACTGGGCCCGGCCTGCTGCCAACTTGTTCTTCACTGCAACCCCCTCCTGACAGCTGGAGGGACAGGCTGGCCAGGGCAGGATGAGCCCCTGGGTGGGAGAGCCAGGGGGCCGAGGGAGGCACAGGGCGGCTGAGGGTGCAGCCAGTAGGGTAAGGGCCAGATCCCAGGGTGGCCTAGTGTGGAGGAGGTGGGGAAATGGGGTTCTGCCTATCTGCTCCAACCTCAGGGCAGGGGCCACCTCTGGAAAGAGGCCCCTCCCGCTCAGACCAGCGGTGCCTGGGTGCCAGGAGCGCCCCCTTAAACCAGCTCAGTGACCATGAAGCAGGTGCAGAAACAGGCCCGGAGAAGAGTGAGGTCCTGCCTGGCTGAGGCCCTGAGCCCTGACCACAGCCTGGCGCCCAGAGCAGACCCTTCCCCTGGCCGTGGGTAGAGGGGAGCTGGTTCCTGCTTGAGGGGGAGGCGCATCGCGTGTGGGTGAGGTTTCCACCTGCCCTCCAAAGTCCCGTGGGGAATTTCCCCAGCTGCCCCAGCCTCCCTTGGCTCAAGTTGCCCAGCTGAGTGGGGCTGGAGAGGTGGGGGCACACTGACCGCCCAGGGCCAGGGAAATGGGGGTGTCCCAGGCATCAGGCCGACAGGGGCTGACCCCAAAGCAGGGCTCACACCCCACGGACAGCGGGGTTGGGAGAGGCCCTGCTCTCCTGGGGTTCCAGGCGTGCCCTCCAAAGCCACCCAGCTCCCTTCGGCACCGTGTCCCCTCCCACCCAGCCCACCTTTGCCACAGTGGCTCGCTCGGCCTGAGGCTCCCACTGCCGTGTGAACAGGGAAGATGAGGGTCAGACCTGGAGGCTGGGACGCCGGGAATCTGACAGAGCACCCCCTGTGATCACCCACAGTGTCCCGCATCCCTCCCCACACCCCCGGCCGCAGCCTGCTGCCAGCCCAGAGCACCCCTGTGAAGTGGGGCTGAGGGCATTGGGCCTGCTTGCCCATCTCCAGGGCAGGGGCTCACAGCCTCACTGGCAGCTCTTTTAGGGGAGAGAGCTTGGACTCCATGCTTGTCCCCTCCCGTCACCCCCTCACCATGGGCCTCAGGGACCCACGGAACAGGCTGTTCTCGGACCGCTCAGCCTGTCTTGCCACCCCAGTCCCTTCCTGCCGGGCCTCGCCACTCGCCATCCCTCACTGGTCAAGGCTCCTGTGTGGCTGGTCCCTGCCTTGGCCTGGGGCCCCTCCAAGCTCCCGTGCTGTGTCACACACATCTGGGGGTGTCCTGGGGGAGGGCCCAGCATCCTTGGCCCAAAGATGCAGCAGCTCCCTTCTGTCCAGCCACACGTGAGCATGGCCTGTGAACCCACGGTCCTGGGAGGGCCCTGGGCTTGCGTCCTCCACCCCACACTCTCCCCAGGGTCTCCAGCAGGGTCCAGCCCTGGTTTCTGGCTGTTTTGGGGCTAGACTCTGATGGCCCAGGGGACGGCTTCCCCACCCCTGGGCAGTTTGTCCAGGCCCCCTCACACGGTGGCCCCCACCCCCCTCAGCCTCCTGTTTGTCCGACGACACGTCCCCGTTATCAGCGGAGAACACACACAGGAAGTCCGGCTGGGAAGGGCCCATCCCAATCCCGATTACCCAGGACGGAGCATAAAAAGCCGCCCTTCCTCGCCCGGGGGGAGCCTCCCTGCACCAAGCTGGCCCTGCACGGCTGCAAGGGAGGCTCCTGTGGACAGGCCAGGCAGGTGGGCCTCAGGAGGTGCCTCCAGGCGGCCAGTGGGCCTGAGGCCCCAGCAAGGGCTAGGGTCCATCTCCAGTCCCAGGACACAGCAGCGGCCACCATGGCCACGCCTGGGCTCCAGCAGCATCAGGTATGGCAGGGGTGGCCTCGGAGGGGCAGGGAGCGGACAGGGCGGGCCCCCCATTCCCCTCACTCCCGCTGACCGTGGCGCCTGCTGGCTGCTCCGCAATCTGCTCCCCAGCGAGGTCACAGGGGAGGGGTCCCAGTCTCCTCCCCTTCTGCACAGAGGAGGCCACTGAGGCCCCTTGGCCAAACGCCTGCTAGTGGGTGGCCCAGCGTAGATCCCAATCCAGTCTGCTGACTCCAACACTTCACCCCCAGTCGCCCTTCCCCTGAACCCCACCCTCTGGCCTTTCTCTCCCTCCGCAGAGCAGCCCCTGTGGTTGGCAGCAAAGTTCAGCTTGGCTGGGCCCGCTGTGAGGGGCTTCGCGCTACGCCCTGCGGTGTCCCGAGGGCTGAGGTCTCCTCATCTTCTCCCTAGCAGTGGATGAGCAACCCAACGGGGGCCCGGGGAGGGGAACTGGCCCCGAGGGAGAGGAACCCCAAAGCCACATCTGTAGCCAGGATGAGCAGTGTGAATCCAGGGTGCGGGACGTGGGGCTCGGGCTTAGGGATGACTTGCTGGGTGCGGTGGGCAAATGGGTGACTCTGTGGGCCCCCCTTGGACCCTGGAGACGCCCTTGTTCTCCCTCTCCCCAGCCTCATGCAGAGTGGCTGAAGCCCCATCCCAAAGCCCCCAAAACCACAGTGGGTCCTAGAAGGCCCCACTTTTTGTCTCATACGTCCACACCAAGAAGCCTGTCTGAGAACCCCCACTTTCCAAATGGTGCCTAGCCAGGATGGGGGCAGCGAGGGCTGAGTCGGGGCAGCCCTGGAGCTGCCCTTTCTGCTCCATCGCCTCTTCCAGACTCAGGCAGGAGAGGTGGGGAGGCAGGTCAAAGGGTTAAGTGACCGCAGATCCAGAGATGAGGCCAGGGGCAGGGGACAGGGAGGGTGGCGGTGGCTCTCCCACCCAGAGGCCCCCTAGGCCCCACTCTGAACACTTCACTGCTGGGGGCTAGGTAAGAGCTGCCCTGCGTGGGCTCAGGGCGCCAGGAGGCCTAGGACTCCCCAGTCAGATGAGGAACGCCCCCTGACAGCAGCTGCTCTGGTCGTCCCTTGGACCACGTGCCAGGGGCTTCCAGGGCCCCTGGTCCAGAGCAGTGGCCACTGGATTGCAGGGTGGGGCGGCCTCATTTTGGGGACTCCTCTCCAGGGACCTGGGCCCCTCCCTTCCTCCAGCTCCCATGCACCAAGGTAGGACCAAGCTGGTGGCCCTCTCGGACCCATCTGCAGGCCCCTTGCCCAGCACCCTGGGTTACATGGAGAGACCTCCAGCTCCACTCACAGCAGCCTCCCATCCCCATGCCAGGGAGTCCAGGGCTGGAGGCAATAACCCCATTTTACTGAGGCCAGGGGCTGCGGATCCGAGAGGACAATCAGCTCAGGACAGGATGGGGTCGGGGTAGGTGCAGGACAGGGGCCTGTAGGCCTAGTGCAGGCGGAGGTCCCACAGCAGCACCGAAAGCTGGTCCCGGGCCCCTTCCCAGCCCCCAGACATCAGGGTGACCAGGACTGTGCATAGGCACTAACCCACAACTCCTCTCCAACCAGCAGCCCCCAGGACCGGGGAGGCACAGGTGGCCCCCACCACCCGGAGGAGCAGCTCCTGCCCCTGTCCGGGGGATGACTGATTCTCCTCCGCCAGGTGAGTCCCAGCAAACCCCTTGCTCCGAGGGAACACTTCTCACACCGGCGCCCACGCGGGTTATGACACAGGGCGCTGGCTCCGGCTGGGGTCTGAGGGGCTGCTGAATTGGGCTGGCCCGAGCCCCACGTGCCGCGCCCGCAGTAACAGCTGTAACAATTGTTGTGTGGCCACGACCTCACCGTCACTAGATCCCAGGGCTGTTTAGCCCCATCTTATAAATTTGGAAATGGAGGCCTGGAGAAGAGAGGTGACCAGCCCAGGGACCTCTGGTGTGAGGAGACTCTCTGGGGGCCTGTGGATTCGCTGGGAGGAGTGTTCTGCGATGGCCCTGACTGTGCTGAACTCAGCAGTGACCCAGTGACCCCGGTGAGGGTGCCTGATGCCTGAGAGAGGGCCAGGTGGGGGCCGGCGCAGGGGCCCCCAACCTAACACGCTAAGGCTAGGAGGCAGGCCTGGGCTCTGCCATGTGGTCTCAGAGGAGATCTGGGTCTCTGGGCCTGCGGTGGGGACGGTCATGATGCCCACTGCCTGCGAGGCTGCAGGACCCAGCTCAGTGCTAACCTGCGCCGGGCGCCTACCGCGCGGCCCCCCAGCGGCTGAGATGGGCGTCCCGGGGTGGTTTTCAGCCTGGGGGGCTTGAAAGCTAGCAAAGGGCCCGCAGCCCCGTCAGTGTGGGCGCCCTGGGCGGCCTCTCCTGGCTCCTGGCGGCCGGGCTTGGTCGTGCGTCCCCAGCGACCGCGCAGCGAGCGCCCTGCCGCGGGGACTCGGGCCCCAGGATTCCCGGAGGGGGTGCTGGCGGGCCGCGGCTCAGAGGCGCGTTTGCGTCAGCCCCGGGTTCCAGCAGAGTCACTGCCCGCCCGGGGGCAGCTCGTCCGCCGCGGGGCCTCAGTTTCCCCGTCTGCGCAATGGGGGCGGGGCGGGGCCGCCAGGTGGGGCGGGGCCGGGGGCGGGGCGGGGCGGGGCTCGGGGCCCCCACGGCGCGGGCTCGGGCGGCAGTGGCGGCGGCGCGTGCGCGCCCCGGATCCGGCGGTGAGTGCGGAGCGAGCGGGGCGCGCCGGGGTCGGGGTCCGGTCGCCGCCCGGGCTGGGTCGAGGGCGGGACCCGCGGAGCCCCCGGGGGCGGGGAACCTGGCCGCGCGCGGAGCTGGGGGCGGCTCCGGGACGAGGCAGCGCGACCGCTGGGGCCGGGGGCGGAGCGGGCCGGGGCGCCCGCGGCTGGGTCGGGCCGGGCCGGGAGAATGGGCCCAGCGGCCCCGGGAACCGGCTCCCCCTGCCGGCGGCGGGCGGGCGGGCGGCGCGGCGGGGAGGGCCGGGGTCGCCGCGGCCCCTCGTCCGACCCGGCGCGACTCAGCGCCTCGGGGCCCAGCCTGTGCCGCCTGCTCCGCCCCCCGCGAACCCCGGAGCCAGCAGCGCGGCTGGGAGGGGGCGGCGGGCAGGTCCGTCTCGCTCCGCCTCTGCGCCCTCCCTCGTGGGCCCCGCGGTCCCCAGCCCTGCTCCCGCCGCGAGGGGTCCGCCAGTGCCTGCGGCGCAGCCAGGCCCCTCCCTCTGCGGACCCGGCCTCTCGCGGGTGGGGGCTGCGGGGCTGCTGCCGGGCAGGTGGGGAGGGAGCCCGTGGGCGCTGGGGGCACGGGGACCGGACTGCTGGTCCACCTGGCGCCGCCGCCCCCTCCCCGCCCGGCACCCCTGGGTCGAGGCCGTGGCCCCCCCCGGGGAAATGGGGCTTGCAGCACCGGCTCGGAGAGCACCACGGGCTTCCTCTGGCCTCGGGAAAACATGACTTTCAAAAATTGAGTCTCCACTTAGCACCGCTTCCTGTCCAGGCGACTCTCAGGAATTGTGGGGGGGAGCTGTGCCAATATGTGTGGGGGGCAATGAGGTCTGGGAGATTCGCCTACCCCCAGGCCCGCCCTGGCATCCCCCTGCCCACATCAAGCCGCCGGGCCGCTGCCCTACCTCTTCCTTCCCGGGTCCCACTCCCCAATGTCCCCCGACTTCGAGTCTTGCCTTGAGGTCGCACCAGACCCAGCCCCTAACAGTGTCCTTCATCCAGGGCCCATCCCCAGAGTTAATCTCCAGCCAGCTCTGCCCCCTCGACAAACTCCTGCCCAAAAACTGCTGTGATGCCCCCCCTGCCCCCAAGCTAAGTCCCCACCCCTCAGCTGCCCAGGGCAGCCTCTGCCTAGTTGGCAGCCTCTGCCCTGCCCTCCTCTCTCCAGCGCACAGAGGACTGGAGGCCCAGGAAGGACCCCCAGCCACCCTCCCCGCTGGGACCGGGTGATGCCTTGGCAGTGCCCGTGGGAAGCAGGTGTGGGATCGTGCTCCACACCCAGTGGGGCTGGCCAGCAGCGACTGAGGACAGTGTGACTATTTATAGGACTGGCTGTCAGAGCTGAGGAGGGGCCTCAGAGACCCTATTCTAGTGTGTGAGGAAACTGAATCCCAGAGAAGGGACAGCCTTACCCCAGCCTCTGCCCCGACCCGAAGCCTGGCCTTTCCCTGCGGAGGGCCCTGCAGTGCCTCGGAAGGAACCCACCCAGCCTTTGGGAAGCACCCGTGAGAGGCCCTGGGTGGGACCCTGCAGCATGGCAGGGGCTCGCCAGGTCTCCAGACCCCTGGCTGCGCATAGGACAGAATCCCCATCCCCGGCATTGCCACAGACCATTAATTCTGGGCTCTCATGCTCTCAGGAAGCCTCACCCGGGCCCCTGGCTCCTGCTGCACAGCCAGGAGGGGGTTGGATTCCGGTTCCGGTGACACTGTCGGGGGCTGCTCCTCACCCCCAGGTGTGCACCTGGCACAGCCACTGTCCCAGGATCCCTGGAGGCTGATTGCACACATATCCCAGCCTGGGAAGGACCCCCTCTAAAATGAAGGCCGCCCCTCTGGTGGTCTTAGAATGTGTGCACCCTCCGCACGGTTCCTGCTGGCTTGCAGCTGCTGGCCCACCTGCTGGGGCCGGTTCCACACTCAGATGAGAAATCAAATTCCAGAAGGGCTGAGGCCGGCAGGTCCCTGGTGGGGCTGGATCCCAGCTCTGCCCACGAACACCCCGTTTGCATAGACTGGGGTGCAAACTCACCCCTGCCCTGCTGTGAGGAGGGCCCTGGAACCAGGCAGGACAGGAGAAACGGCCACCCGTAGCTGGAGCCATCCTTCCCGGAGCCTCGGGCAGATGCCCAGCAGGATCCACTCGATTCCTGCACCAAGAGCTCTGGACAGCGTCACCCCCCCTGTGCCCCCAGGCTGTGGCCCCAGCTGTTTGTGCCTGGCGAGGGTCTGGCTAGCTGGAAGAGGGGGCCAGCGGAGGAGAGAGTGGGCGCCACCGTGGGGCTGTCCCACCGGTGGAGGCTCCAGCGGAGATGAGCTGGGCAGGCCTCGCGGAGCAAGTGCAAACTGCACCCGCGTCCTGGGGGCATCTGCGGGGAGACTTAGGGGTCATGCTTTGTGCCCCAGGCCACCCAGAGGAGAAGGCCACCCCGCCTGGAGGCACAGGCCATGAGGGGCTCTCAGGAGGTGCTGCTGATGTGGCTTCTGGTGTTGGCAGTGGGCGGCACAGAGCACGCCTACCGGCCCGGGTGAGCCAAGCCCTAGCCTGGGAGTGCTGGGGTGGGGGGACCGGGAGCCCTCAGCACCTCCTAGAGGCGGCCCTCAGCACCTGTCGGGGACTCCCTGGGGGCTCCTGCTGAGGGTCCTGCCCCGGCCACATGTTCCCATCATTCTTGGGTCCTGCTCTGGGACTCCTGGGCTGACCCCCTCTCCACCCCCGCAGCCGTAGGGTGTGTGCTGTCCGGGCTCACGGGGACCCTGTCTCCGAGTCGTTCGTGCAGCGTGTGTACCAGCCCTTCCTCACCACCTGCGACGGGCACCGGGCCTGCAGCACCTACCGGTGAGTGCCCCACCACACCGAGCTCACCCAGCCCCAGCCTCCCAAGTCGGCCACACATCAGCATGTCAGGGGCGAGGCGGGGGTGAATCCTGGGACCCAAGATGGGAAACTGAGGCCAGAGCCATGAGAGGGCTGCCTGAGATGGGCGACCCAGGGCGGCCGGAGCCAAGGGGTTCCACGATCACCTCCAGTGTCCTAATCCTTGCTCTTGCCCCGACACGTCTCAAAGGACCGCACCTCTAAGAGCATCCCCATGTTTAGAGGGGTCACCCATCCTGTCTGCACCCCTCCACTTCCGGGGGACTAACCCCTCCCTACCCTGGCATCCCTGGCTGCAAGTTCCCATATACACAGAATGGTGCCTGACTCCCCTGGTCCCACTCCACTGGGCACCCCCCTCCACATGACGGCCCCCAGTGGGCACAGATGAGACCCTGAAATGTCCTGTATGCCCACACAAGGGGCACACACCCCTAAGTCTCAGAGTCCTCCTTCCTGGGTGTGGGAGCTCCACCCCCTGCTGGGGGAGGGGCCTGGGAATTCAGACTTCTGGAGGTTTAAGAAGGGCTCCGATGCCCAGGGCCCACACTCTGCCGTGACTCGCCGTAGGCCGGGCACACCCTCTCCTCTGGGCCTGGATGCCCCCACAGTAGGAGACCAGATAGGTGGGGGCACACACAGGCCTGGCCACTGCCTCTGCTCCATGCGGAGTGTGGCTGGGCCTTCCTGCTGTGGCTTGAGTCCCGGCCAGCACCGGAAGGCCCAGGCAGGGAAACGGCTGTGCAGTGACCCCTCAGTGCCATCCCTTGAGGAGAAGACCCTTGGGGGCATGCTGGGGTGACCCTGTGCACTCTGAGAGGGGACTCTAGATGCCCAGCAGGTGACTAAGGGGGAGTAGGATGCCCCTCTGAGCTGTCCCACCCACCCCACAGAACCATCTATAGGACCGCCTACCGCCGCAGCCCTGGGCTGGCCCCTGCCAGGCCTCGCTACGCGTGCTGCCCCGGCTGGAAGAGGACCAGCGGGCTTCCTGGGGCCTGTGGAGCAGGTGAGGGCTATGTCCCTCGGCGCCCGGTGTTAGGAGGGCGACTGTTCCCCAATCTTCCAGCAACGCTCCTGCTGCTTTTCTTGAACCCCGAGCAAAGCACCACCTTGCCGCAGAGCACCCACTCCCTAGCAGCTGCCCCCACAGGGTGCTGGGGACCCAACTGAGCTGGTGACCAGCCTCCCCCGCCCACAGCAATATGCCAGCCGCCATGCCGGAACGGAGGGAGCTGTGTCCAGCCTGGCCGCTGCCGCTGCCCTGCAGGATGGCGGGGTGACACTTGCCAGTCAGGTGAGGCTGGCTCTACCCTGGGGGGCCCTGGAAGGGTCCTGGGCACCTCCTTGCATGTCCTGGGGTTACTGCTGGCCCATGAGTGGGTGGTTGTGAAGGGAGCTGTGTGGGCAGGACCCCTCCCGCAGGCATGGCCGCCTGACACCCCGTTTCCTGCAGATGTGGATGAATGCAGTGCTAGGAGGGGCGGCTGTCCCCAGCGCTGCGTCAACACCGCCGGCAGTTACTGGTGCCAGTGTTGGGAGGGGCACAGCCTGTCTGCAGACGGTACACTCTGTGTGCCCAAGGGAGGGCCCCCCAGGGTGGCCCCCAACCCGACAGGTAAACAGCCCTGGCTGTGCCTGGCCTGGGGAGGCGGGCAGGCAGTGGACATTGCCGTGTGGCTGTTAGGCATGGTGGGGGGCACTGGAATCTGGGCGGAAGGCGGTGGGGACTCCCTCTCCAGGGAGGGAGGATGGGGAGGGAGGATAGGTGGGTTCCCGAGAACTGGGGGCAGGTTGCCCGGAGCCTCATATCAGCCAAGAAGGCAGAAGTGCCCCGTCCCGGGGTCCTGTCTGCATCCAGCGCAGCATTCTGGAAGACGCCACGCCTCCGCTGGCGACGGGACATTATTACTTTTGGTACGCGCTGTGACACTTCAAACTCGTACCGTGAGTAATAATGCGCCGTCCACGGCACCGCATCGAAAACGCCGCTGAGACCTCAGCCTTGACCTCCCTCAGCGTGGCCGGGACCCTGAGCCTCTGCGCAGAGCCACCCGCCCCGACGTACTTAGGCGGCATAGCCCTGAGACCTCTGGCCAGCGCCAGGCAGGCAGCGGGGGCGGCAGAGGCCTGGGCCTGAGTCTTCTGGCTCTGCCTCTCCCTGGGGACAGGAGGGAGCCTGGGGGTGTGGGTGGGGAGCCGGCCGGCCGTGACCCAGCGCCTGGCTCTGCCCGCAGGAGTGGACAGTGCAATGAAGGAAGAAGTGCAGAGGCTGCAGTCCAGGGTGGACCTGCTGGAGGAGGTGAGGCATTGGTGGGGGGGGGGGGGGGCAGGCAGTCCAGGGTGGACCTGCTGGAGGAGGTGAGGTGTGGAGGGGCAGGCAGTCCAGGGTGAACCTGCTGGAGGAGGTGAGGCATCGGGGGGGTAGGCAGGCAGTCCAGGGTGGACCTGCTGGAGGAGGTGAGGCGTCGGGGGGGCAGGCAGTCCAGGGTGGACCTGCTGGAGGAGGTGAGGCGTCGGGGGGGCAGGCAGTCCAGGGTGGACCTGCTGGAGGAGATGAGGCGTCGGGGGGGGAGGCAGGCAGTCCAGGGTGGACCTGCTGGAGGAGGTGAGACGTCGGCAGGGGGCAGGTCTTCACAACAGCAGAGGCCCAGGCCCGGGTACAGGCTCCGTAGTCTCCTGGGACATGGTCCCGACCCACGGATGGCTGGGGGTGGTCTGAAAAGGTCCTGGCCCTGGGGAGGTGGCTTCCTCGCTGCTGACTGCCGAGGGGGCCCTGGCCTGGATCCATGCTGGGCAGAAGCAGCTGGACACTGACCAGGACCCCCCAGGGCCGGAGGAACCAAGCTTGACAGCCCCCCAGACAATACACAGAGCCTGGACCCAGACGAGACCTCCCCACCCCCCCATCTTTGTCCCCACCAGGACAAAGAGCTCTTGCCAGTCTTCCCACTGGCCAGTGGTCCAGCTGTCCCCCTAGTTCTCCTGCCAGGGACCCCAAGGCTGGGACCACCCCGCCAGCCTGATGCCCCAGGCACCCACTCTGCGGCAAGCTTTTCTGCCACGGCAGCCCCCTCTAGTGGACACTTGGAGCCCTGCCGCGGAGGCGGGGGCTGGAGGCTTGTGGAGCCCTTCCCAGGGGTCCTCCCTAGACCCCGGTGGAGCAGAGAGGGCGGGGGCCGGCCCAGGGTCACTGCCCTTCTGCACCCACAGAAGCTGCAGCTGGTGCTGGCCCCACTGCACAGCCTGGCCTCGCAGGCACTGGAGCATGGGCTCCCGGACCCCGGCAGCCTCCTGGTGCACTCCTTCCAGCAGCTCGGCCGCATCGACTCCCTGAGCGAGCAGATTTCCTTCCTGGAGGAGCAGCTGGGGTCCTGTGAGTGCCCCCACCCTCCAGAGCCCTCCTCCCGGGTCTGGGCCCAGTGGGCCTAGAGGGGCTACCCAGGCTTGGGGGTCGGGGGCGACCAAAGGCCAAGGGGCCAGTCAGATCTAGCTGGGCGGGGAGGCTGTGGGGAGCAGTGATCTCTGACCTTCGCCTCATCCAACCCTAGGCTCCTGCAAGAAAGACTCGTGACTGCCCAGCGCCCCAGGCTGGACTGAGCCCCTCACGCCGCCCTGCAGCCCCCATGCCCCTGCCCAACATGCTGGGGGTCCAGAAACCACCTCGGGGTGACTGAGCGGAAGGCCAGGCAGGGCCTTCCTCCTCTTCCTCCTCCCCTTCCTCGGGAGGCTCCCCAGACCCTGGCATGGGATGGGCTGGGATCTTCTCTGTGAATCCACCCCTGGCTACCCCCACCCTGGCTACCCCAACGGCATCCCAAGGCCAGGTGGGCCCTCAGCTGAGGGAAGGTACGAGCTCCCTGCTGGAGCCTGGGACCCATGGCACAGGCCAGGCAGCCCGGAGGCTGGGTGGGGCCTCAGTGGGGGCTGCTGCCTGACCCCCAGCACAATAAAAATGAAACGTGAGCTGCTGTGTCAGTGGATGGACTGGGGGCCTGGGAGGAGGGCGCTCACCTCCTGGCCACCCCTCCCAGACCCACTGCTGGGTGCCAGCTGGCAAAGGGGGCCTGGTGGAGCGGGCAGTCGTGGGGTGGGGAGGGGGTCCAAGGCAGAGGGGGTGGGCAGGTGGTTTCTGTGAGGCCACAGAGAGCTTTGTCCTGGGGACATGTTGGCCCCAACCAGAGGCCAAAGAGCAAATCTCTGGCCTCCTTCCCAGTAGCCTGAGGATCCCGGCACACTTGCCCGTTAGGCGACACCCCCACCCATCGATGGAAGTAGTATAGGGTGATGTGGGTCCACTCCTGGATAGGGAACACGGGTGGGTGGCGGTGCCTGCACCCTGGGCCTCTAGGCAGGGCAGCTGGGAAGACACAGCGTCGCCTCCACCGCCCTGGTCACCTGCCCGCCCTGTGAGTGACCACAGCTCCCCAGCCACTTCCAAGAGTGTGTTTATAAAAAAACAGCAACGGAGTACAGTGCTGACCCCACAGAGTCTTCCAGGCCAGCAGGAGCAGCAGGCCCCGATTCCCGGCTCCCTGTGGCCCAGGGTGCGTGAGTCTGGGACTCCTGGCCCTCCAGGCCCCTCCTCTCCCAGAGAGCCTGATGCAGCTTGTGGGCTGGACCCTGGAGCCCAGCTGCACCCTGGTGGGTCCCAGGCGGCTGAGCAGAGGGCTCGGACAGTGTGCGTCTGGCCTCGGGGTCCTCCCATCTGCTCCTGGGCCATCGGGGGCCTTGTGGCTCAGCCCACCAGCGGGCCACAGCCGCAAGCCTCATCTTTATCATCCCAGCTCCCAGAGGTGCCGTGGGCGCGAGTCCCTGCCCTCGAGCCCGGGGAGGGTCCAGCTGAGCCCCCTGCAGGGGACACCAGGGGCCTGTGTCTGAGGCCAGTGACAGAAGGGGCTTCCTGCTTCCCGGGCTGAGTGAGAGCTGGGGGAGCCGGACAGAGTGGTATTTGGAAGCCGGGAGGAGTCCCCTCTGCCCATCCTCCAGCCATCGGCTTCCACCTGCCCTCCCCAGGTCATGCCCTGCCGTGGTCTGGGCTACTGGGCCGGCTGCACGCCAGACCCCGCAGTGGCCCCGTTCTCCTGGGGGGTCTTGGAGATGTGGAGGAAGGTGGTCCTCATGGCCCGGTGGCAGGTGTCCACGAGCGCAGGGACGTCCGCCGCAGTGAGGCCGCTGGTGGGGATGGCTTCCAGCACCTGCACTGTGACTGTTCCTGTGGGGGAAGCAACAGACCTCAGTGGCCTGTGGGGAGCTGGGGCCCACCTCAGCCTGCTGCCCTGGCCTCGCCTCTCCCCAGCCCCCCACAGCCCCTCCCTGGGAAGCCCGAGGCCGGGCTCTTCCCCTGGACTCCCTAGCCGTGGTGGGTTATTTTAATTGCAGTAACGTTGCTGCAGTAAACCCCATGGCTGCCTGGCCTTCACGCCGCATTTTCGACAAGTCTGCGCTCCCCTGTTACTGCCCCCAGAAAGCCCCACTTCCTGATCAGCCCCTACCTCACTGCCTGGCCTCTGCCCTCCATACGGGGCGAGGGGCTGTGGGAGAGATGGAGCTGGGTTCCCCCACTGCTCTCCAACTTTGACCCCACTGTCCTGCCTGGGCACCAGGTGCCCACGTTCTGGGAACTGGCTGGAAGGGGCAAGAGGTCATGAGCCCCGCAGCCTGTGCCCCTGGGCTGCCTGGGTTCCATCTACCCTATGCGGGCATCAGCCTGGACACATGGGCTCAGAGGCCGCCCTCCAGGCCCCCAAGCTGTGTGCACAGCTGGGGTCCATCCGTGTGAAGTCTCTTGGAGCCTCAGTTTTCTCATCTGAAAAATGGGCCCAGCACCACCCATCTCACAGGGCCATGAGGCCATGAAGCCCACAGCTGGGACTCCAGCCTGAGTCACTCATTCGCCACATGGTCACCGTGTGGCCACGCCACGGGTGCCACCCGGAAATGGGAACGATGAGGGGCCCGGGGCTCCGTGACTGTAGGGTCAGGCGGGGCCTACACCCCGGGTGCACACATGTGGGGGTACCTGAAGTGAAGAACTTCTTCTTGGTGTTGTAGAAGGAGGAGAAGGAAGAGTACACCACGGGGACGATGGGCACCTGCAGGCAGGGAGACGCACAGCTGAGGCAGCCCTGGGGACAGGCCAGGCACACCCCAGGCTGCATGTGGTTGGGGAGCCCTGTCCTGCGGCCCACCCACCCCTGCCTTCGCTGCTGCCATGGGTCCTTGTGGCTGTCCTGCCCCTGGGACCTGGGATATGTGTCCTGCTCTGGTTGGCCCAGAGTTCCATAAGCTCATCCTGCAAATTTTTACTCATCTCCTCTAGGAAGCCCTCCTGAGCTAGCACGTGTTTGCCTGGTTCACACCTGTCCCCATATTGGGTCTGCAGCTAGCCAGGGGGGCAGGGCCCTGTCCGGTTTAGGAGGAGATTATGGCACTCTTCCCTGCCCACGCCTCTCTCCCAGTCCTCTCCATCTCAGGAAGCCAGTGAGGGAGGCAGCCCTAGCCCGGGGGAGGGGTGGAGCCTGCTGGTGTTCCTGGAAGTCACCGGGGTCAAATCCAAGGGCACTTGGGGGTGATCATTAACCCGAGGCAGCCAGGGAACCTCCAGGGGGCCAGCAGGTAGGCTGGGGACTGGCAGCAGGAAGGGAGGGGGCCAGCAGGTAGGCTGGGGACTGGGAGCAGGGAGGGAGGGGGCCAGCAGGTAGGCTGGGGACTGGCAGCAGGAAGGGAGGAGGCCAGCAGGTAGGCTGGGGACTGGCAGCAGGGAGGGAGGAGGCCAGCAGGTAGGCTGGGGACTGGGAGCAGGGAGGGAGGGGGCCAGCAGGTAGGCTGGGGACTGGCAGCAGGGAGGGAGGGGGCCAGCAGGTAGGCTGGGGACCGGGAGCAGGGACGGAAAAGCTGTGGGTCTCCTGGCTGAAGCTGCACTGCGGCCACCCCCAGCCACCCCATCACAGCCGCCCGTCTCCCCTCTGCTCTCCCAGAGCTGATCCAGCCCTCACTCTGCCCCCAAAGGGAAGTGACATCAGCCCCAGGCTGGGCAGGTGTGCCCCGCACCTGGGCAGGGCTGGGATCAGAGCCCAAGGATGCTCACCCAGCCCAGCGCCTCCGGGGCTCCCCAGGCCTCACGGCCTTAGCTGGGAGCCTCTGGAAGGAGGGCCCCCTCCCCACCACCTTGCACAGGGCCAGGCACTGGGGGCCACTAGTGGCCAGTGTGAGGGAAGGAGCTGAGACCCCTGCCCTGAGCGAGACCCCACCCAGATGGGTAAAAGCTCCTTCTCCTGACGCAACTCTTCCCAGCACAGCGGCAGAGGCAGGACAGGTGCTGGGGGAATGGCTATACCCTGGCCTCTCCCAGACACCCTAGGATGCACTGCACCCCTGGAGGCTGGGGACCAGGAAGTCCAGAGTCTGGAGGCGCTGCTTACAATGAGCTCCACCCACCCTGAGCTCTGGTCTGGCCTGATACTACACCAAAAGCCTGGCTTGTCCAGACCCACTGCCCATGCCCTGAAGCCCACCCCAGCCAGGCACAGGCCCAGAAATGAGCCTCCTGAGAGCTCTGCAGCAGAGGCGAGCGGCCCGGCTCCCCACCCCTCTACCTGCCCAGCCTCGCAGGCCAAGCACTGGGTGCCCACCAAGGGCAGCTGGTCACTCTGGGCTCTGTGTGGGCAAAAGGCCCAAGGGGCTGCCCTCCCTGGTCGGTCAGGGGGCAAGTGCAGGAAGGGGCAAGGAGGCCCTGTCCCCAACTCAGTGGGAGGAGTCCCTTGTGTGTCAAGGGTCCTCAGCTCGGCTGGTGGTCACCTGCTGCCTTAAGCCAGCCTGACCCCGCCTCCCCAGCCTGCACCCACCCAGGGAGGGCTGGGCTCAGCCTACCTGTGCCTGGACTGCCAGGTAGAAGGCGCCCTTCTTAAAAGGCAGCAGGTCCCCATTGTCGTTGCGAGTACCCTCGGGATAGATCCACACTTTGAGCTGCAGGGAGAGGAGAGCCTGGACTGACCTCACGCCCAGGCCACCCCAGAAAGGCCACGCCGCCTCGCCTCCTAAGAAGCCCCACTTCGCAAAGCAGCTGGCATGGGACCCCATCTGCGGAGCATGGATGATGTAGGGGTCTGGCGTGGGACCCCACCTGCGGAGCATGGATGATGTGGGGGTCTTGTTTTTTCTGCCAAAACCAAGTCACAAGCTGGCCCCTGCCTGGCCCCGCCCAGGCCCCACCCCAACCCCACCGAGCCCGGCCCTGCACACTCACGTTCTCCCTGACCATGCGCTCGCCCAGGTCGGCCATCACTGTCATGGCAGTGCTAGAGCGCTGCCGGTTGATGAAGAAGACGCCCCCGAGGTACATGATGAGGCCCACGGGCCCCAGGAAGAGCAGCTCCCGCTTGGCGATCTGCACGCAGCGCTCCGGAAGGACCTCCATGAGGCCTGGGAGACAGAGAGACAGAGACAGAGAGAGAGGGGGAGACAGCGTGCGCTGGAAGACAGCTGCTGAGCACCCACAGGCCTGCCTGGCACCCTGCCTTCTCCCTGGCTACCTGGACGGGTCGTGTGGCCTCCGAGCCTCTGTGTCTGGCCCTGAGGGAGGTACTGAGGCCGAGCTCGCCCAGGCACAGGCAGCCCTGTGTCCTCGTCCCCGGGACCCAGCCCCACACAGCCCCAGCTCAGCCGGCCCCACTCAAACCCCAGAAGCCACCCCCGAGGCCCGGCCTACCCATCATGTCCAGGATGCTCTGGTGGTTGGAGACGATGACACAGGGACGGGCCTCCTGCAGCCTGCGCGGGTCCCGCACCTCGAAGCGGAGCCCGTAAAAGTACTTGAAGCTTCGCACGAACCAGCCGATGATGCTGCAGGGGAGGCCACCATGAACACGGGTCCCACAGATCCCGCAGCCGAGGCTGGGGCGCGAAGGCCTGGGGGTGGGGTGTGGAGGAGGCTGGGGAGGGGCCCTCCTGGCACGGGGCAGGAGACCGGGAGACACAGGGGAGGGAGCCCCTGAAGCGGACAGAGTCCCGGGCCCGGCTCACCCACCTGGACGGCTGCCCTGCCTCCGTCTCCCCAGCAACAGAGGAAAACCCAGAGCCTCTGGAACTCGGATGCTAGGAGCATGGGAAGGCGCCCACTTCCAAATCCACATCCAGGGCCCACCCAGCCCTCATCCACCCCACAGGGGACCCAGCCGGAAAGGAACTGGCACTGGCTCTCACGTCCGCTATGAAGGACCCACGTCGGGGAGAGCAGCCTCTGCACCCCAGCAGAGGAAATGGGGCCCCACACACCCTGGGGAAGGTCACTGGCCCCTCAAGGCAGGGCCACATCAGGAAGAAAGTGTCGGCGCCAGTGGAGACCTCTGAAACGACCTCCGAAAGGTTCTTCCAGAAAAGAGCCGAGACCGAGACCCTCTCTCACCCCTACCCTACAGAATCAGGCCGGTTCCCTTTCCCCGTGAAGAGGCGGCGAGGGGCTCGGGGCTTGTCTGAGGTCACACCAGGAGCAGCAGCAGAGCCAGGGTCTGGGCCACCTGAGCCCTGGCCACAGCAGCCCCCACTCTGGCAGGGGCCCAGCCCACTGGGGGCTGCCCTTGGAGCACCTGCAAATGTGAGGTGGCCTTGTCCAAGCAGCCCGTCATGGTTGGGACCAGGGATGTCCAAGGGGTACCCGAAGACTCTGACCAGCTCCGAGCGTCCCAACCTCTGCCCTGCTGTGCTGCCAGGAAGCTCTGGGCACACCCCAGATAGGGCACCCCATCACAGGGCAGCCGGCGGGGATGGAGCCAGGAGGACGGAGCTCCACTCCGAAGCTCCAGCAGGGGTGGATGGCCGGGGCAAGGCTGTGCCAGCGCTGACTGGGGGGCTGCCAGTGCTGCTCCCCTCTCCATGCAGACTAGTGCCCCCCACCATTTGATCCCCCAGCAGTCCTAAGGGCCCCACACTTTCTACAGATGAGTCTGAGTAACTGCCCCAGGCCACAGAGCAGAGATTCAAAGCCGGGGCCTTCTCTCAAAGCCATACTGGTGGGGATTTTTGTTGTTTTAACAGGGTCTTGCTCTGTCACCCAGGCTCCCCTTGCTCTGTCTTGCTCTGTGACACAATGTGTCACATTGTGCAGTGTCACAATCTGGGCTCACTCCAGCCTCCACCTCCTGGGCTCCTCCCACCTCAGGCTCCTGACTAGCTGGGACCACAGACGTGAGCCACCACACCTCGCTAGTTTTTGTATTTTTGGTACAGATGGGCTTTCACCATCTCTGGCCAGGCTGGTCTCGAACTCCTAGGCTCAAACAACCTGCCGACCTCGGCCTCCCAAAGTGCTGGGCTTACAGGCCTGAGCCAACTCGCCCGGCCTTTAAAAAAAAATTGTGGTAAAATACACGTAACATAAAATGTATCTCCTTGGCCTTTTCCGGGTGCACAGTTCATGGGCGCTGGGCACATTCGGTGTCTAGCAGCCATCTCCTCCCTCTATCTCCAGAACTCTCCACCTTCTCTGGCTGACGTCTGTTCCCATGCGACACAAACCCCTGTCCCCTCCCCAGCCCTGGCACTCTGCCCTTCCATGTGTGAGCCCAGGCCTGCGGCAGCACCACCTCAGGCTGATGGGGCAATGCTCATGACCCCCTGTTGCAGATGGGGAAACTGAGTCAAGGGGGGCCTAATGGTTAATTCTGGTGATGAGTCCAGCCGTCCGTCCCTGGACTTGGAAGCCTGGGGCCTCCTCAGATCTGCCTTCCTCAGCCAACTCTAGATATCTCCTCTCCAGGCCGCGCCGGCCACCGTCCCCTCCCACCCAGAAGGCACACCCGGGCTGGTAGCACCCGCACACTCAGGGGAACTGCAGGGCTGTTTTGCCTCCACACTCATTTGCGCAATCCAGCTTCCCGGACCCCTGTGACGCTCCAAGAAGACGAGGAGGCAAAAGCCGGCAGTTCACCAACAGGAAACACAGAACTGTCTGGTGCTAGCAAGACGGCCGTGTCGCCAATCAAAGAAGCGCAAATGGAAACAAGAGACTGTCCTCATCCTTCCCCCTGGCACAGATTAAAACGCCTGATAACAGGAGGTGCCAGCCAGGGTGTTGGGAACAGGCCCAGCGGCTGGCAGGAGTGAGGAGTCGCACAGACAAGATACTTCTGTGGAGGGCAGGTTGGCAGGCCCGGCCAGAGCCCTGAGGAAACCTGGCCCCTCCCCTCTCAGAATCTTCCAGGAATTCGCCCGACGGCTGGAGTGAGAAGCCTGTGGTGCTGAAGTGTGCAGTGAATTAGGAAAACCTGAAAATGCTTAAATAGCCACCAGTAGAAAGAGGGAAAGTAAATTAGGGTCCATTTCACAGACAGCTGGGGCGCGGGGAAAGAACAGGACAGGTCCACACTCATCTCCTGTGAAGGACATGTGTATGATTTCTAGCAGCAGCCAAGACACACCTGCAATTCCAAAGCTAGCTGCCTGCAGGAGGCTCGGGCCACATCTGAAAGGGACATTGGTTCCCTCTGGTAGTGACATTGGCCAGTTCCATCTTTTATTTACTTTTTTATTTTTGAGACAGGGTCTCACTCTGTCACCCAGACTGGAGTGCAGTGGTGTGATCTCAGCTCACTGCAACCTCTGCCTCCCGGGTTCAAGCAATTCTCCTGCCTCAGCCTCCTGAGTAGCTGGGATTACAGGTGCCTGCCACCAGGCCTGGCTAGTTTTTGTATTTTTAGTAGAGACGGGGTTTCACCATGTTGGCCAGGCTGGTCTCGAACTCCTGACCTCAGGTGATCCTCCCACCTCGGCCTCCCAAAGTGCTGGGATTACAGGTGTGAGCCACCGCGCCCGGCCAGCTAGTTTCTTAGTGTTAACAACTGCATCTTGGTGATGTAAGATGTTAACAAGGGAGGAAACTGGTGAGGGCCACATGGGGTCCCCCGTAATATCTTTGCAACTTCTCTGTAAATCTGAAATTATTAAAAAATAAGATCTTCATTTATTTTTTATTTTTTTTGAGACGGAGTCTTGCTGTCACCTAGGCTGGAGTGCAGTGGCGAGATCTCAGCTCACTGCCATTTCCACCTCCCGGCAAGCGATTCTCCTGCCTCAGCCTAGCAAGTAGTTGGGACTACTGGTGTGCGCCACCACACCCGGCTAATTTTTGTATTTTTAGTAGAGACGGGGTTTCACCATGTCGGCCAGGCTGGTCTCAAACTCCTGACCTCATGATCCGCCCGCCTCGGCCTCCCAAAGTGCTGGGATGACAGGAAGGAGCCAGCGCGCCGAGCCCTCCTCTGTTTTGATTGTGGTATAACACGCACCACCTAAACAATATAATTGTACCCATTTCTCAGCACACGGTTCCGTGGCACTCGGCGCATTCACTGCCGTGTGGCCAGCACCACCCTCTAGCTCCAAAACTTTTCCTTTTTTTTTTTTTTTTAATCTAAGCTGCTTAGGGGTTGGATCGTGCACTGATACTTCTCTCAGCTGTGAAAGACACGGGGTACAAACCCCCGCCCAGCAGGCGGTGCTGAGCAGGCGCTGTGTCCCGCCGCCCACCACCGGCCCCTGGTCCTCAGGCCAGACAGATGGACGGACGGAGGCTGCCCCAGGCCAGCGGGAGGCTGTGGCTCTCTAGAACTCTGCAGCCCACAGTGTGGCTGGGGGAGAAAGGTATACCCTGGGGGTGGAAGAAAGTTGAAGTTGATGTCCTCAAGGGGACAAAGGGCCATCTGCACCAGCCACGTGAGGCCACCGCACTTCCCCCGCGGTGTCCCGTACATAGTTCAGAGCTTTCTGAAAGCTGGTGGGAAAGTCTAGACTCACTTTACAAGCGGTTCCTGGATGGGCGGGTGGCTCACGCCTGTAATCCCAGGACTTTGGGAGGCCAAGGCGGGCAGATCACCTGAGGTCAGGAGTTCAAGACCAGCCTGGCCACCATGGTGAAATCCCGTCTCTATTAACAATACAAAAATCAGCCAGACGTGGTGGCAGCTGCCTGTAATCCCAGCTACTCGGGAGGCTGAGGCGGGAGAATCACCCGAACCAGGGAGGAGGAGGTTGCGTTGAGCCGAGATGGTGCCATTGTACTCCAGCCTGGGTGACAGAGCAAGACTTCATCTCACACACACAAAAAAAGTGTTTCCTCAGAGAGGAAGGGACTGAACTAAGCCCTGCAGAGGCTCCTGCGGCCGAGGACACCCCCGGGAACCCAAGCAGAGAAAAATCGCCTTCTAAGCACAGAGGCCCCCTGCACCTCCTGTGTGCAAAGCCTCGAGACAAGGGCTCTACATGAGTCACCTCCTTTTGTTCTGACAGTAACCCCCCAGGGTAGGTACGATCATAACCCCCCTCTTCAGATGAGGAATGCGAGGTTCAAGGTTCAGCAAAGTTAAGTGACTTCCCCAAGGCCACACAGCAGGGAAGCCAGAACAGGCCTGAGCCCCCCTCGGAACCCTGCTTCGGAGCTGGCAGAGTCGTGCTGGGGCGGCGCGGGCCCCCAGTAGGACTCTAGGAGCTCATCCTGAGGCTCCCTCCCTCCCCCGGGCTCCGCAGTCCCCTCAACCCCTCAGCAGGGCTGGGAGCTTGCTCCGGCCTCCCCCAGCAGGAAGCTCAGAGCAGCCACTGTCCCCAGGCTTCCCCCACCAGCTTGCCCAGCCCAGTCCCTGTCCTGTGCCAAACACCCTGCCTCACTCAAACTCCCCTCCCACCAACCACAGGCGGACGAGGGGCTGCCCTGTCCTTTCCTCAAAGCCTGGGGCAGGTGTCGCTGTGCCAGACCAGGACACAGTCACACGGACCCCAAATCCAGGTCCTGGACTCCTTGCCTCCCCGGGGAGCAGGGGCAAAGCCAAGGTTGCCGGAAGCCTGGAGCTCAGGGAGCCCTGCTGGCCACTGCCAGGCGGGTGACTTGTGCCAGCTTTGCCCAGCAAGGCAGGAGGCCCAGGGAGCAGCCCAGCACCCAAAACTAAGTGAGGCTGAGCCCAGACTGGGCCCTTCTGGTGGCATCGGAGCAGTGGGCTCCTGCTGAGGGAAAGCCCAGGTGCTGCCTCAGTCTTTTTCAGGAGCCCTCAGACTGGAGTCCACTGGCCTCGAGCGAAGCCCCGTAAGAGACCCCTCTGGGGTCTGCAGGAACCCAGCCTCCTCAGACCGCCTGAGCTCAGCCCCCAGGCACCTGGGCTGCTCCCACACTCAGGCTCTGGGCCTGACGGGGATTTGGATCCCATTTCCCTTCTTCCCAGCTATGGCCTCGGGCAAAGCATTTGACCTCCCAGGCTCTTGTGGAAGGGTGTGCAGGCTTACATTCTATGAGGCGGAGACACCCGGGGCACCATCGGGCCAGGGCAGGACCTCCACCAACAGTGGCTGTGATGGGGATGACTAGGGGGTGGGGGGGAGGGGGGGAAGAATCCAAAATGGGTGGGGCCGGGCACGGTGGCTCATGCCTGTGACCCCAGCACTTTGGGAGGCTGAGGCAGACGGATCACTTGAGCTCAGGGGTTTAAGACCAACCTGGGCAACAGAGCGAGACCTTGTCTCAAAAAATAAAAAAAAAAGTCCAAAGTAAATCGAAGCAAAAGGCCCCTCAATGTGCCTAAGCCCCCAATCCCACCAGCACCTGGCTCAGGCAGCTGGGAGGCGGTTCTAGGTCAGGGCCCAGGCCACTGGCCAGGCTGTCCTCGTGGAAGGCCACTCGCTGACCCTTGCCTTGGTCCTGGGCTGGGACACTCCCAGGAGACCCAGCAGCTCTCTGAGCCAGGACTTGCCCATCTTCAGCTGCGTGAGCTCATTCAGGGCAGCCCCCTCCCCCTCTGCTGGGGCTCGCTGGGGCCACCGGGGACAGGGACCCCAGTGAGGAATCTGGTGTTTTCCGACAAGTGTCATCCAAGCTGCAGCACAAGGCGGGATGGGTCCATAGGGGTGCGGGGTCCAGCCCACACAAACACCCGGATGTGGGGGGTCCCCGTGACTCCTCAAAGCGGATGTGTAGGAGTGCAGGTGTGGCGGGCGGGAAGGAGGTGGGGCCAGAGAAGCCCTCCCATCCCTCAGTCAGGACAGCTCCAATTTCTGGGCCTGCACAGAGACACCTGGAGCGCTCTGGAGGACCAAGGTCACGGTCTCCCTTGGGACTAAGACCCCAGTGCTGTGGTGACACAGGGCCCCCGATGGCATCTGTCATCACCGGACATCTGTCAGAGGACCCGGGACCATGCACTGGCCGGCAAATCTGGGTCAAACCTTGCCCGACATCCCAAGTCCCCTGTGCGTTCTCCCCACACTGGGCGTGTGGTGTGGGCACGTGCTCCATGGGGACAGGAGCCTGCCCTGCAGCCAGGAGCTGCCACAACCACTAGGTCCCGGCCTCCAGATACCAGCAGAGCGTGGGGTTCAATTCGGGGAGCATCCTTAAGAGGAAGAGCACCCCTTTTCTGTCTGGGACCCTGAAAATGGTGGGAATAGAGGTCAAAGGAGCCGGAAACTAACTGCTGTTTCCCTAGGCTGCCCATCTGGTCTCCTTTGCTGTATGAAAAAGTAAACTTCTCTGTGGATTAAGCTGCTGTCTTGAGGGTTTTCTGATCCTGTAGCTGAACCCAGCTGTAGGACACGGAGCCGCTCTGGGCTTTGCTTTCCTCTGTCGAATGGATGTACCAGGGCATCGGCCCCTGGTGAGGAAACGTCCCCTGCAGCTCCACCGTAACTGCGCACACAGGGAAGGGCTCAGGGGACACCCCCTGCCTGGAAGGGGTCCGTGGTCTCAGCCCCAAGCCCGGTGGGAACGAAGGCTGCCTCAGAGGTTCTAGTCCCATCACTGTCCCTCACACGCTCAGAACTACGGTGTAGACGGTGGGGGTCTCTTGGGTGCCGCCTGGAACCCCGTGGGGAGGGGCTGGGCCTCAGCCAGGGCAGCCATTGCTCAGGGGCAAGATGGAGCGCCCCTCCCAGAGCTCAGGCCTGCCGCAGGGCTGCCTCACCAGCCCCAAGCGCTGGGCTGGGAACAAGGGGAAAGGGAAAAGCAGGTACTCTGGAGTCACTGTCAGTGGGTTCGAACCCCAGTTCCACCCCATCCTGGCTTGGGGACCCTGCCCCAGTTTCAAGTTGCTTATCTCAGCCTCAGTGTCCTTATTTGTAACACAGAGCACACGCGAATCCCTGTTCCTGAGGCTGGAGGCACCCGTGGCGTACAGCAGGAACAGAGGCCGAGTATCCCCTCCTTCCCTTCCAGCCCCCCGGGTCCCTTCCCTGGAGTGACAAAGCGCCTGCTCTTCATCTGCCTTTCTCACCCCTCCCGACGGCCCCCACGGAGGGAACGCACGTTCGCAACAGCCCCACTCTTAGCCATTGCTGGGAGTCTTGGAAGTCATCAGGGACCCTGGGGCCTGGGGAGCACGTGCAGAGGTGTGGGGGAAGGTAGCCATGGAGCCCCAGGCCTCTCCTCCAGACTGCCCTGCCCTCTGGCCCTCCCTTCTCTTCAGGGACCAAAGCAGGAACAAAGCACCTGCTGTTAGTAGCCAGTGTCCCGGAAGCCACTACTCCACAGGCCTGAGCCTGGGTGCTGCCCTGGAGAGGTGAGGGCGGCAGGAGGGTCCCATCCAAGCACCATCAGAGGCCCCAGGTCCCGAGGACACCCAGGTTAGCCAGAATCTCCAAGCTGAGATGGGGACAGGGCCCAGTGGGGCAGCAGGGCCAGTGCCAGCCAACCCAGCCTGCCAGGTCCATAGAAAGGGCAGCAGGTGAACTGTGATTTGGTCCCTGGAAAACAGCTAGGAAGTCCAGGCAGAGGCCCCTGCAGAACAAGCCAGGCTTTCTCACACGAGGAGGCCGCCGATGAAGAGGCCCGTGGCCTGTGGCCTGGCTCAGTAGTGGGGTCTGCTCCAGGGTCTCCTAAGTCAGGTGCCCCATCATTTCTGCCAAAAGAACAGGACCCCGTCCCCTGTCCACACCCCAGGACACGCCCAGCACAGGATGCCCTGCAGGCATCAGAACCACACAAGCCATTTCCTCGGGGTGGGGGGCACCCCAAGGAACCCACAGACTGGCCCCTCCTCAGCTGGGAAAGCCGCACCCTCGCCCCTACTCTGAAGCACCCCAGGGGCTGAGGGGGGCCCCTCACAGAGACCCCTGCCTACAGGGGATCCCAGGGCCAGAACCACAGGTGAGGCCTTCACAGATTCCAGCACAGGTGCCCAGAGCCCAGCCCCCAGGAACTCCCTGTTTCTGCAAACTGCCTTCCTCGCTGAAGGGTGCTCCACTGGGGACGTCAGCGCCAGTCACCACCTGGGCCAGCCCTGGAGTGTGCGCTCCCCGGGACCCCGGCCTGGGCCACCTGGCCCACATCACCACTGGTCACACACGTCTGGCTGAGCAGCCAGCAGGCCCTTCTCGGACTCTCCATGCTCACCATCAGGCCCAGGGTCCTCCTTCATATTCCTGGAGCTTCTGGGGCTCCGTTGGAAGCCATGACTGTAGGCCCGTTCCAGCAGCCTCAGTGCCCTCCCAGGGCTGGCAAGGACAGCGAGTGCAGGGAGCTAGCAAACCCTCACCCACTGCCCCTGGAACCACGGGGAAGGGGGCCTCTGGGGCCACAATGCCCCCACCCCAGGCCATTGCAAAAGCCACTGGCTGGGCAGTCCAAACAGGGCAGGGAGAAATGTAGCAACAGCCTGGGGACGGCTAACAGGGAGAGGGGGCAGGCAAGAGCCTTCTCCAGCAGCCACCCCGCCCAGGAGCAGGCAGCCCCCGCCGTCTTTGGCAGCCCAGTCTGACCTCTGGCCCCCAACCCCAGCCTGGCAAAACCAAGCTCCCACCTTCTGGAAGGCGTCCAGGGGAAAATTTCAGCCCCGCCGAACCCTAGTCCTAACTCTTCCTTCCCTTCGCTTGGAAGCTGGGCCCCCGGAGCTGTAGGCCAGGGGCGCGCTCCCCAGCACGGAAGCAGGTCCCCTCCGGGTCCCCCACCTCCCTGCGAAGAGGAAAGGGAGAGAAAGGGGAACCCGCCCCACAGGTGCGCCCATCACCGGGCGGACAGTCAGGAGGGGGTCGGAGGGAGGCCGAGGGGTGCCCCCACGCCGTCGTGCGCCCTGATCAATAGCCCTGGGGCAAGTCCCCGCCGCCCCGGCCTCGGTTTCCCCGCTCAGGAAGCAGGGCTGAGCCTCTCCCAGCGCGGACCGGCCCCCTTTCTCTCCGAAAGCTGCTCCACCCCCGGAACCCCACGCCGGGCTGCAGGGACGCGGCGGAGGCCGAAACCGGTGTAGACGCCCGGGGCCAGGGCGGGGGGTGGGGTGCTGGGCACTGTGACGCCGGCTCCTTGACCCCGTGACTCCGGGACCCCCTGACTCCGGGACCCCCTCCTGTGCCTGCCGCCGGCCCAGGCGCGCTCTCCCCGGAGCCCCGGAGCGGGGCGGGACGGGCGGGGCAGGAAGGAGGGAAGCCCAGAAGAAAGTTAGGGAAGCGGAAGCGGCGCGGCGGTTCCCCGGCCCCTCCCGGCGGCCCCCGGCCTTGCCTCATGTTCTCCACCGTCCGGCCGCCGTGGCGCAGCAGGCAGACGAGCGAGGCCACGGCGGACACCGTGAAGCACAGCGCGCAGTACAGGGCGACCTTGGCGTAGAACTCGGCCGCGCGGCTCAGCTGCACCAGCAGCAGCAGCAACAGCAGCGCCGCGGCCAGACACGGCCACAGCTCCATGGCCCGGCCCGGCGCCCGACGGCGCCGCCAGCTCGCTCCCGCTCCCGCTCCCGCTTCTCCCCCGCGCGCTCAGGCCCCTTATTGCGAGGGCGGCGGGGCTGGGCGGGGCGGGGCGCGGCGTGGGGGAGGAGCGCGCGGCAGGGAAGGGCTAGGTGCGGCGCCCCGCCCCGACACTGTCCCCAACAACGCCCCGACACGGTCCCCTCACCAGGCCCCGCCCCGCCACTGTCCCCAACCCCGCCCCGACACGGCCCCCCCTTCCCGCCCTGGGTCACCCGGCCCGGACCTCCCCTCCACGCTCCCTCCCCACAGCCTTCTGCCAGGTTACCGAGGCTCTGGCGCTCTGCTCCCACCCTCCCGGTCCCAGGGGACCCCCCCATCATGGCTTGCCGGTGGCTCGGGCTCTGGCGCTGCCCCCCATGGTCTGGGCCTCCTGCCCCGCCCGGTGCCCCCTCCCCCCGCTGCCGGGGCAGCCACAGGCTCCCGCGCGCAGAACCACAGCTCCCCAAGGGCGTAAAACCAGCGGGGATGCGCCCGTGCCAGGCCGGTGGCCACGCAAAGGGCCGCCGGAACCGCCCCCGAGTGACCAGTGGCCACCTGGCAGAAAGCCTGGCTCTTAGGGTGTTCTCGGTCCCCTGCGGGGAGACTCGTGGGGGCGCGCAGGCCAACTGGGGCGTGTGTCTGGGCGGGGCTGGGTTGCCCCACCCTGGGTGCCAGAAGTAGCCTTGTCACCAGGGACGCTCCGGGGGCAGGCGAGGTGGGTGTCAGGTGGCGGCGTTCACATCCGCTTGGCAGCACGGCCAGCGTGGCAGGGCAAGGTGCAGCTGGGACAAGGGCAGCAGTCACCTGGCCCGGCCCCCACCCGGCGTCCCACCTCAGGGAGCAGATGGAGATTGAAAAGCAGTTTCCTGGGGTCCCTCCTCATAGGGACTCTTGGGTTTGCTGCAGTTGCGGGAGTGCTGGCCGCCCTGCGCTCTAACGGGTCAGCAGGGGAGCACGGCCCCTCTTTTTTCAGATGCAGAGTTGAGCTGTTAAAACATTTCCCTGAACATTGTAACCACCCCCCAAACTGTACTGAGAGAATGACAAATACAGAAACTGCTCTTCAAATGAATGGGGAACTGCGGTCCTGAAGGACGTGGGGTCTCGCTGCCTGGGCTCAGCAGCCCCTGCCCAGGCGGTCCCAGCTTTTCTTGAAAGTGGAGACACATCCTTTTGCCTTAGGCCTGTAGGCATCTTACAGCGAAACCCAGGAGAGCATTTTCCAGCCCAGTCTCCTTCCAGATCCATATGGGCTTCATCTGGAATCAGCTTGGAGGGCCTGGCTTGACCTCTTTCCACGCTTGGAGCCGGAACTGCACACCCCGCAGCCGGGAGGTCTGAGAGCTGCACTGCTGTGCCTCTGAGAGGCTGAGAGGTGGCTGCTGACGGCTGCGGGGTTTTCATCTTCCAGGGCAGATGAGGTGGGTGCACCCTGCAGACAGGAGTGCCGCTGCCGGGAGCTGGGGGATGCGGGGGTGTGGGCTGGGGTCCCAGGTGGACTTCCTGGAGGAGTGGGGCTTCACAGCACCTTCAGCTGGAGGCTCTGTGCACCCAGGTCCCGAGCAGGTTGTACCCTGGCTGTGGAATCCAGTCCTCACAACCATCAGGCCTGTCCAGGGGCTTTACATGCCAGCCCCCTTCTTGTCCTTTACCTCCCAGCCCACCGACCTTTCCAGGGTGGCCACCATCTTCCTGCACCCCTAGGTGACTGTGTGTGTGTTGGACACCTCTCCCTCCTCTCCTCCCCCCGGAATGGAGCCCGTGGGGCCTCATCTGTTTTGTGCACCATGTGCGACCAGCACTCAGGCCAATGTCTGGCACATAGCAGGTGCTCAGCACACACTTTCCATAGTAGCAAAGGCATCCCCATTTTACAGAGGGAAAACTGAGGCTCTCAAGGGTGAACACCAGACAGCCGGGACGTGACAGAGGAAAAGAGGCTGACTCTGAGCCGGAAGACTCCTGCCAGGGCTGGCAGGAACAGTGCCAGGGCAGCACACGGTGACCCTGTTGCCTCCCCAGACAAGGTGGGGTTTTGCCCACTGCTCTCCTGAAGAGGGTGAGACCTAATTTCACCTCCTCCCTCTTCTCTGCACCTTGCAGAAGTGTTGAGAGAAACGTCCACTTTTCCTCCGACAAGATCCAAGAGGAGGCGGGCCAGGGACTTGGGGAGTGATGAGGAAGTACTGTGTATTTTAATATAATGCCACATTTGGGAAGCTAACACATTATTTGTTTCTAGAAGTAAAGCTCCAGAGAATCTTATGGGCTGGCAGAGATGCCAAGAAAAGAGATTTTCTTCTTCTTTTTTTTTTTTTGAGACGGAGTCTCGCTCTGTCACCCAGGCTGGAGTGCAGTGGCGTGATCTCGGCTCACTGCAAGCTCTGCCCCCTGGGTTCAAGAGATTCTCCTACCTCAACCTCTTGAGTAGCTGGGATTACAGGCGCCCGACACCACACCCGGCTAATTTTTGTATTTTTAATAGAGACAGGGTTTTGTCATGTTGGCCAGGCTGGTCTCAAACTCTTGACCTCAAGTGATCTGCCCGCTTCGGCCTCCCGAAGTGCTGGGATTACAGATGTGAGCCACCGCGCCCAGCCTAGAAAAGAGATTTTCTCTAAAATGAGTGCTTCTCACCCAGGGAGGGCTGGCATGGGCTCTGCTGGGTTTATCCCAAGAGTGTGGTGAGGGACTGGGAGCCTGGTTCTGTTGTGTAGGGATGGCCAGCGCCCTGTCTGACCCTTGAGATGCCCTCAGCTACCAGGGGCAGGGAGTGCTGGGCCGGTGGTGGCCGTGCGGCTGTACCCACCCAAGGACAGCTGAGAGTCCTCCTGGGCATTTGCTGGGACCCGGCCAGACAGCGCATGACACCAGGTGACAGTGAGAGCTGAGTTGGCACCGGCTGCTGAGGCCCGGGGAGCCCACACAGCTCAGGGAGCGAGTGAGGACGGAAGGACCAGCCAAGCCTCTCCAATTCCAGGAAGCAGAGATGAAGCCAGTGCTGTGTGGCCCAGGAAGGACTGGCAGGGGCAGGGCAGCCGGGCTTTGAAGACCAGTCCATCTGGCTTTAAACCTAAACCCTGAGTTAGCCAAGGCACCAGAGCCTCGGTTTCCTCATCTGTAAAGTGGAGACGTGACGCTCGCCGTGCCCAGTGTGTGACAGGAGGCAGCTGCCGGGCTGGCGGGGCACATGGGCCTGACTAGGCCTCTCCCCAAAGACCTGCCCCGGAGAGACACCAGGACAAGAGCCAGGGAAGGGGAGAGCTTCTCGGCAGCTGGAGACACGGGGACGTGTGGCCAGGGGGCAGCCACGGCACAGCTGGGCCTCGGGCTGGACCCTTCAGGGGCTCCTTCCTTCCAGGGAGGACATCAAAGCCTGGCTTGGGGGCTGGACGGGGAGGCCAGGCTATGCCGGGACCTCAGCCTGCACAGAGTGGCTGAGGTCCAAGCCGGGCATGCCTGGGGCTCTCGGGCAGAGCGTACCCTGGCCGACGGGTTGTCCGGCCTCCTGGTGGGTGTGCTGGGCGCAATGCCATTCCCACCACCTGTAAATAAAGCAGCCTGTGAATCTTTCATGGGTTTGTGCTTAAAAATAGATGAGGTGAGCCCTCTGGGCTGGCTGCCCAGACCTCTGCAGCAGGCGGGGCGGTCCACACTCTCCCTAGGGAGTCAGGGAGGGCGGGTGAGGGCTCCAAGGGGCGCTGGCCAGGGCACGTGGGACCTTGGGACATATGGCCCCAGATGTAGGAGCCAACAGGAGGTCACGCCTTTGGATGTCCCATCCGGAGCTCTTAGGTCACAGGCTGGGGTGGGAGTGAGGGGCAGAGCACACCCCACAGGGTCCTTCTCCTGCCAGGATGATGTCTGGGCTGGGAGACAGAGGACAGAGGTGGATGGAGAGGACAGGGGCGGGGAGGCATCAGGAGACAGAAGGGAGGAGACGGCCCAGGGAGGAGGGGCCCACACTGCAGTAGCCCTTCCCTGCCCAGAGCAGCTGTGCCCTATGCACGGCCTCTCGCACCCAGCACACCTGTGTCTAAGTGGAGCCTCTGAGGAGCAGGGAGCCCGGGCAAGTCGGGCTCCGTGGCAGGAAGTACCAGAGCAGACGCAGAGCTCCGGCCTCTGACGCAGCCATGGCTGGAGCTCACACAGGACCACGGAGGCCCAGAGGGTGCCTGGGTCCCAGTCCGAGAGGGGTGTGGTGTGGGGCTGAAGAGCCCAGGGTCAGGGTCAGGCAGCCCGACCCAGCGAGGAGACCCTGGGTGACCTTGGATCAGCCCTGCCTCTCTAGGCCTCAGTTTCCCTTTCGTGCAGGGTGCGTGTGATGATTCAGTGGGACCGAGGCTTGGGACGGCCCAGGCCAGCCCAAGCAAGGCAGGGATGAAGGCCCAGCCCCCAGCCTCGGCCTCACCCCATGGCTTTTTACTCACTGCTGAGGGCGGCGTCCAATCAGGCCTAGGGCCTCCAAGCCCCCTCCTCTGGTATCTCGCCTAGGGCACAGGAGGGAGGCAAGTGCCCCAGAGAATGGGCGGTTCAGGAGCCCCCTCCACTACCAAGGCTGCCCCACCCACCACAGCGGGCTCTGCTCCCTGAGCCCCTCCAAGGGCCTCCCGACTGTGGCGGGGCTTGGAGCAGCTGATCCCACTGGGGCAGAGGAGCCGAGGTCCCAACCCCAGCAAGCGGGGGCAGGGGGGCCTGGGCTGCAGTCGGCTCCTCCTTCACCCTTCCCCCAAATACCTCCAGAGCACCTATTTCCCCAGTTTCCCCACCGGCAGTGGTGTCCAGGGGCTTGGCTCTTGCAGGGTGGCCCTGGCTCTGGCCCTGCGCCCTGCCCATGATGTGGTCGGAAGGGCCTTTGGCAGCACCGGTCCAAGCCTTAGCAAACCCAACTGGGGGCTCAGAGCCGCCCCCCAATTTCGGGAGCGACTTCACCTTTCCACAGGATCATCCTCTTGGCAAGATGAGGCTGAGGCCGGGGGTTCGGGGCTCAGCATCGAAAGCCGGGGCCTGGGTGCCACAGGCCGTGACCTCTTCCACCAAATGAGAGAAACGGCAAGACCTCCAGGAAGGGCCGTCGGAGCCCAGACGAGGCTGCAGCTTCCTTTGGTGAAGCGTCCGAGGGCCGGCTCTGGCGCCTACAGGGGCTTCCGACGCTGGGTCCTTCTCAGGCTGAGCGCCGCACTCCCACGGCCACCCGGGTGGTGCACACAGTTTCCAGGGTGTCCAGGCAGCCCCCAGTGGACCTGGTGTCCACGTCCTCCTCTGAACCATGCCAGGCCTGGGCCGTGGGCATCCGTGCTGCCGTGTGGGGCAGGGGCCTGTGTCCTGGGGCCGTGTCAGGCCTGGGCTCCTGTGGGCAGAGGCAGGCGGGCTTCCCTCCCCACCCGACCGCCCACCCGTGGGTTCGCTTCCAACACCCTCTACTCTGCTCCTGGCCCATGGCAGGTGCCCCATTGGTGAGTGAATGAGTGACGGAAGGAGGGAGGAATCCGCCCTTCCGATCCCAGTGGCAGCGTGGACTGTGCAGAGCCTGGAGCCCTCAGTCGTCAGGGGCCACCTGGGAAACGACGCACCGAGAGCCTCTGGACATCCTGGGAAGGAGCGGCCTTCGGGGATGGTGGCTGGGCTTCAGCCAGCACCAGGGGCAGCCTCCGAGATCCAGACAATGGGGCAATGACTGGGACCCAGTGAGGGAGGAGAAGAGGATCTGGAGCCTGGGAACCTAAGGCTGTTTCACGCTGACTCCGTAGAACAAAATCAAATGGAAACACATCAGCTACAACAGGAAATAACCTCTCCGTTTACATAGGGCATATACCAAGTAACCAGTGGAAACCTCTGGAGCATATTTAGACCCCAGGCAGTTCTGTAACAGGGCTCCCGACCCCCTGTGCTCAGCCCGGCTCCCACTGCACTGTGGAGTGCGCGTTCATGTTCCACACGTCTCTGCCTTTGCTGCTTCCTTCTTCCGTTGCTTTGTGCATTTTGTCCAATTCTTTGTTCATGATGCCAAGAACCTGGACACCCTCTGCCGGACATGAGGCTGTGCTGACCTGCCCTCGGCTCGGCCGGCGTCTGCCCCACACTCTCCATTTTCTTCTTTTCCATCCCAGAGGGTTGGGGTGTCTGAGCCCAAGTTGAATTCCAGGTGGAGCTGTGACTTAAATGTCATCAAGGAGACTCCAGCAGGAGTCCAGAGGCCACAGTGAGGGCGGGCGCACGGCAGGCAGGGAGAGAGAGAGGAGGGCAGGACCTGGGTGAGGAGGGAACCAGAGGAGCTGCCCCGGGCGCCTAGCCCAGCTGTGCAGGTTGTGCACTGCACAAGCCTAGAGGGTGTCAGCAACACTAACTACACCTGCAGCCGTGCCTTCCGGAGCAGAGGACACAGGGCTCTGGCCTTTGACCTATACCACGCCCCTTACCACCCCAAGGCCTCAGCACAAGAGCCCTGAGTGCAGGTGAGTAGGTCAGGTCCTCTTGCCTCTGGGTAAGAGGTGAGGGTTAAGGTCCAGCAGCTCAGCCACCCAGCTCCCACCCTCCCCGCCCTGCCGCACCCTGCCTGAGTCACAGCCCCGTCTGAGTCACAGCCTTGGGCAGGTGTGGCAGACGGTGGCCATCCCTGCCGAGCTGACTGCAGCCCTGCCTGCTCCTGGGAGCCGCCTTCCGAGAGCCTGCAGGTCACCTGTGCTGCCCCTGGCAGGGTTGCCAGATTTATCAAACAAAACAAAAACCTAGGGCTCAGGTTAGATCTGCACTTCAGATTGGCAAGGAAGAATATTTTGGCATAAACGTGTCCCGTGTAATATGGGGACATACTTATACTAAAAAATGTTATTTGTTGTTTATCTGAAACTCAGATCTAACTGGGTGTCCTGTATTTCAGCTGGCGACCCCTTCCCCAGCCTAGGGCCAAGTCCAGCAAGGCCGCCCCTGGATTCTCCCCAAGGCCTCTGCGAAGGGCTGGGCAGCACTGCCCTCTGGTGGACAGGCCCCGGGATGGGGTAGGGTGGGGTGGGGTGGAGGCAGCGCCAGGCCACAGGGCAGAGGGACGGAGGGATGACGGGGGACATGTGGCCCCAGACGCGGGAGCCCACAGGAGGTCACGCCTTTGGATCTACCATCCTTCGTCCTTAAAGCGTCCCCAGGGGCACTTGCCACTTGCCATGCTCCAACCTTCCGCACAATCCGAGTCCTCTGATGAGCGCTGGGCTGGGCGGGTACCACCCCAGGAATCCGCGGCCCCTCCAATACTCAGCAGCGCCAGGCAGGAGCCTCCCAGCCCCACCCACGGGGTGCGTCCTCCGAGCAGTGGGTGCCCCCGGGCCGCTAGTGGGAACCAGCATGGAGCGGCCCTGAGACTGCGGCTCTGCCTGCATGACTGGAGCTGCACAGGCGCCTCCGAGCGTTTGAGGTGCACTGAAGTTCCTCCCCTCTGCAAGTCCACCCATCGTAGTTTCTGGGCTTGGGGAATTAGTTTTCCCTCCCTCCCTCCCTCCCTCCCTTCTCTTCCTTTCTCCTTCCCCATTCCTGCCAGTTTCTGGGTGTCCTTCATCCGCATCCCCGGCGCCCCCAGTTTGCTGTTGCTCAATGGCCAGGACCCTCCGCACAGGGCGCGATGCCTGGGGGCCCCGGGCCCTTTGCCTTCAGGGGCTCCTTCCTTGATAAAAATACATTGAAAATTATATTTTATGAGTGTGTTGGTGTAAAGACAGATACAATCTTCCACTCTAAACATTCATTTCCAGCCGGGCGCAGTGGCTCACACCTGTAATCCCAGCACTTTGGGAGTTCAAGGCGGGCAGATCATGAGGTCAGCAGCTCGAGACCAGCCTGGCCAACATGTGAAACCCAGTCTCTACCAAAAATACAAAAATTAGCCAGGCATGCTGGCAGGTGCCTGTAATCCCAGCTACTTGGGAGGCTGGGGCAGGAGAACCGCTTGAGCCTGGGAAGTGGAGATTGCAGTGAGCTGAGATCGTGCCATTGCACTCCAGCCTGGGCAACAGAGTAAGACTCTGTCTCAAAAAAACAAAAACAAAAACACTTTCTTTAAATGACATTAACCTCGCCCTGTTGTTGCTCAGTCACCTGTATAAATAAAGGCAGACACATTCTCTTGCCAGCACACTGCACTGCCCAGCACTGTGGGGCCTGGCTGGGCACAGTGCCCGGGCCCTGGGCCTTCCTCCTCCCCAGCCTCCCAGAGAACCCTGCTGAGAGCACCTGGCTGCGGCCCTGGGGCGACGTCAGGTGGCTCTGTTTTCACGCCACCTTCTTAATAAGCAGGCAGAAGCCAGGCGGGCCAGGAGAATGTGTCCTAGCCCGCAAGACAGATGGTCAAGAGGCCTGGCAGGAGCCCAGTGTCTGCCTGGTGAGACCACAGCTGGTCAGGAGCCCATCCCCACAGGCCCAGGGTCATGGTAGGCTGCACCCCCTGGGGAAAGCCTGCCTTCAGGGAGCTCGGCCTTGTGGGGGAGCCCCACACGTCCCCCCAGGCAGGCACCCGGGTCCTGATCCGTCTGAGCTTTAGGTGAAACCCCCCTTCCCTCTGTGCATCCTGCTCCATCTCCTAGGCTCACCTTCTGTCGAGGAGGGCTGAGCGTCCCCCGCGGAGTCGAGCACAGCAGGGCCAGGATCTTCTCAGGGACCCCCCGTGCCAGCTGCACGCACGGCTCTCCGCAGGGCTGGTGAACCTGTTCCCTGGAGGAATTTACACACCACGGGCTCACACGGCCAGTGCCGATGTGCACTGCTCCCCTTACGTGACATGGGACGGTGACAGGTGTTCGGCCGCCTGCTGTCTTTGCACGTCCATGTGCCCTGAGTGTCTCCGGCCAGGGCCACCTGGCACCAGCTGCTGTCTGTGCCACAGCACCGGTTCTAACCAGCCCCGCCGAGGGGCCCCGGGCGCCCAGGAAGCCACACACCAACACTCCCACCAAGGGCTGTGGGTTGCACAGACCAAGCCCAGAAGCCCACGGGAGGGCAGGAGGTGACAGATGCTGGGAGGTGAGGGTCCCTGGGGCCCCCTGGGGCCTGGCCACCGCACACCCTGTAGGACACACTAGGTCTAGACAGGTAGACTGTGATTAAAACACAATAGGAGGCCTGGAGATTCGACCTGGTGCAGAACTTCCCTGGGCGACACCAGACCCTGCAACACAGGCCCTCAGCAGATTCTCACCGCAGCCCCGACAGCAGGGTGGGCTCCAGGCTGTGCGGGTGAACAGCTGGGGTGTCAAGAGGAGGAGCTGCCCCTCCAAGTCACGTGGTTGAGGCCGTGCAGCCAGGACTGGGGTCTCCTAGGCCAGTCCAGGACTCAGCTCTCCACCACTGCCTGCACCTCCACCCCCCAGCCTGGCGGAGCCTGGGGGGCCTGGGGCGCAAATGAGGCCCAAAGATGTTTTTATTCAGATTGCAAGATTCCTCCCCCTCCTCCCTCCCCTCCCCCTCCTCCCTCCCCTCCCCCTCCTCCCTCCCCTCCCCCTCCTCCCTGCCCTCCTTCCCCTCCCCTCCTCCCTCCCCTCCCCCTCCTCCCTCCCCTCCCCCTCCTCCCTGGCCTCCTTCCCCTCCCCCTCCTCCCTCCCCTCCCCCTCCTCCCTCCCCTCCTTCCCCCTCCTCCTCCTCCTTCCCCCTCCTCCTCCCCCCTCCCCCTCCTCCTCCCCCCTCCCCCTCCTCCTCCCCCTCCCCCTCCTCCTTCCCCCTCCCCCTCCTCCTTCCCCCTCCTATCATCCCTCTCTTTTCCCCTCTTCCCTCTCCCTTCTCCTCCTTCCTCCATCCTTATCTCAACACCCTTGCTGGTCTCTCAGGAGCTTCTAGAGGGAGGAAAAGAAGGTCACAGCTCCACTGAGGGACCCTGATCAGGCCGAAGTCCAGCCAGGCTCAGGGGGAGGCCAAGGGGACTCTGGACTGGGAGCGTCAGGAGCCGCAGGGTCAGCGGCCTGAGCCCAAGGGGCCCTTCGTAGCAGAGCTGAGCAAGCCCCAGGGTGTGTGTGTGTGCACGTGTGTGTGTGCGCGTGTGTGTGCCTGTGCGTGTCAGTGAGCTCTCCGGAAGGAGTGTGTGTGCATGAGTGGGCGTGAGGGAGCTAGCCCTGGCGTGCGCCTGCGTGTGAGAGCGTGTGCGTGCGTGCATGTACATGCCTCCACCCCTCTGCTGAGGTATGGAATCAGCGGTGGTCAGCACGGGGACAGAGACAGGCAAGGTGGTTCCTACCAGATGGGGCTTGGGGGCTAGTGGGGAGCCCAGCAGGAACGGGTGTCTGCATGACCTGTTGGATCAGGAGGGCCTCCACGAAAGGGAGGTCATAGGAGCTGGTCCCCCAGGGTGGATTGCTCACGGGGCCATCAGGCGGGTGGTTGGAATTCCTGGCATAGGGAATAGCATTGGCTCCAAGGCAAGGCAGGACCAGATGAATTCTGGGACCAAAAGAAGACGGGACCAGAGGAGGATGGGTAGGGGGCTAGTGAGGCTGGGGTCCCAGGGAAGGGCAGTCTGTTCCCCCGAGGTTGTGCCTGGGGAGAGAGGGAAGCAGCCCCCCGAAGGGCCGCTGCCCCAGAGTCCAGTCAGCGCTGCCACCAGGGAGTCCCACGAGACTGGGGTGGGCTGCGTCTCTGCCTCAGCTACCCCCAGGGGTACCCTGCTCTCTGGAGCAGGTTATGATAGAAAGCCACCCGTTCAAAGTCTCTGACCCAGAAATGTCACCTGCAGGAATCTGTCCCCAGTTAATAATTAAGGAACGGGACACAGACATAGCCAGTTGTGCAAACAGTGTGTTTCAGAAAAAGAGACAGTTTAGACATCCTAAGTACCCACCAAGAGACACTTGGTTGCATAAATTACGGTCGATCCAGGAAACAGAACATTATGCAACTTTTTTTTTTTTTTTTGAGACGGAGCCTTGCTCTGTCACCCAGGCTGGAGTGCAGTGGCGTGACCTCGGCTCACTGCAAGCTCCTCCTCTTGGGTTCAAGTGATTCTCCTGCCTCAGCTCCCCAGTAGTTGGGACTACAAGCACACGCCACCACGCCCGGCTAATTTTTGTATTTTTAATAGAGATGGGGTTTCACCACGTTGGCCAGGCTCATCTCGAACTCCTGACTTCAGGTGATCCACCCACCTCGGCCTCCCAAAGTGCTGGGATTACAGGTGTGAGCCACCATGCCTGGCAGCAACTTTTACGGTGGAGCTGAGGTCCAGAATGTCCTGAACTTGAATTCATATCCCTTTAAAGGAGGTGCACATTCCCCAGGATCCTGGAGATCGGCCTGAAGACCCACAGGGATCTCACGGTGCTGCCTGGTCACCCTCACGAAGTCCACGATGTTGGGGAAAAAACAGTCTTTTTGATGCCCAAGGGAAGCTTTGCTTTTATGTTAGTGGTTACACAATTTCTTTTACATATCATCAGCAGGAAAACATCATGTTTAAAACTTTGCTTAGAACATGTGATTCCCCAAACGCTGCGTGCGGAAGGCCGCAGGGTCCTCTGCCTAGGAAAACCAGAGACCTTTGTTCACTTGTTTATCTGCTGACCTTCCCTCCACTATTGTCCTATGACCCTGCCAAATCCCCCTCTGCGAGAAACACCCAAGAATGATCAATAAAAAAAAAAAAAAAAAAAAGAACATGTGATTCCCAATAATATGGCTGAGACCCTCAGTTCTTTTGAAAAAAGCAACAAGGTAAAGTAGCCCCTTTATGCCAAATGCATATGTCTGTGCCTGTGTATGTTTTTACGGCTGTGTGACTGTGTGTGTGTACATATAGTCAAAAGTTCCCAATCTGTCATGCCTGTAATCCCAGCTCTTTGGGAGGCCGAGGCCAACAGATCACCTGAGGTTGGGAGTTCCAGACCAGCCTGACTAACATGGAGAAACCCCATCTCTACTAAAAATACAAAAAATTAGCTGTGCGTGGTGGCAGGCGCCTGTAATCCCAGCTACTCAGGAGGCGGAGGCAGGAGAATCGCTTGTACCCGGAAGGCAGAAGTTGCAGTGAGCCGAGATGGTGCCACTGCACTCCACTCCAGCCTGGGAAACAAGAGCGAAACTCCGTCTCAAAAAAAAAAGGTCTCAATCTGGAAGGATACACATTTGGGTTCCACAGTGATTCCATCTGTCGGATGGCCAGGTCACAGCTGACTTTACTTATTTTTGCTTACCTGTATTTTTTTTTTTGAGATGGAGTCTCCCTGTGTTGCCCAGGCTGGAGTGCAATGGTGTGATCTCGGCTCACTGCAGCCTCCGCCTCTGGGTTCAAGCGATTCTCCTGCCTCAGCTTCCCGAGTAGCTGGAATTACAGATGCCCATCACCATGCCCAGCTAATTTTTGTATTTTTAGTAGAGACGGGGTTTCACCATGTTTGCCAGGCTATTCGCGAACTCCTGACCTCAAGTGATCCGCCCGCTTCAGCCTCCCAAAGTGCTGTGATTACAGGCGTGAGCCACCGCACCCAGCCCTTACCTATATTTTTTTATTGAAGTGAAATTCATGTAACATAAAATTATTCTAAAGTGTACAATTTGGCCGGGCACAGTGGCTCATGCCTGTAATCCTGACACCTTGAGAGGCTGAGGTGGGCAGATCACCTGAGATCAGGAGTTCGAGACCAGCCTGGCCAACATGGTAAAACACTGTCTCTACTAAAAATACAAAAATTAGCTGGGTGTGGTGGCGCATGCCTGTAATCCCAGCTACCTGGGAGGCCGAGGCGGGAGAATCACGTGAACCCAGGAGGCGGAAGTTGCAGTGAGCCAAGATGGTACCATTGCACTCCAGCCTGGGCAACAGAGTGAGACTCCATCTCAAAAAAAAAAAAAAGTGTATAATTTAGCACTTTCAGTTTTTTGCAACGCCTCCAATGTTTTGCAACCATCACCTCCAGAACATTTTCATCCCCCCAAAGGGAAACGCCTTCCCCATAGGCACTCGCTCCCCACTGCTCCCTCCCCCAGCCCATGGCAACCACTCATCTTCGTGTGTCTGTGGATTTGCCCGTTCTGGAAATTTCATAGAAGCGGAATCAGGACCATGTGGACCTTTGTGCCTGGATTCTTTCACTCAGCATGACAGCTTCACGACTCACCCACATAGCCTGGGCCAGAACTTCATTCCTCTGGCCGGGCACAGGGCCTCACGCCTGGAATCCCGGCACTTTGGGAGGCGAGATGGGGGAGGATCACTTGAGGCCAGGAGTTTGAGACCAGCCTGGACAGCATAGTGAGATCCCATCTCTACTAAAAATAAAACGTTAGCTGGGCGTGGTGGTACATGCCTGTAATCCCAGCTACTCGGGAGGCTGTGGCACGAGAATTGCTTGAACCCGGGAGATGGAGGTTGCAGTGAGCCGAGATCGCACCACTGCACTGCAGCCTGGAGGATACAGCAAGACTGTGTCTCCAAAAAAAAAAAAAAAATCAGCCAGGTGTGCTGGCAGGTGCCTGTAATCCCAGCTACTCGGGAGGCTGAGGCACGAGAATCGCTTGAACCTGGGAGGTGGAGGTTGCACTGGGCCAAGGTTGCCCCACTGCACTCCATCCTGGGAGACAGAGCGAGACTCCACCTCAAAAAAAAAAAAAAAAAGCTCATGCTGTCTACAGGGAAAGCCCCTACTGGAGACAGCTGCGCTTGAGTGAGTGGGACTACAGTGCCAACGCTAGGGCTTATTGTGTTGACTGTGGGGTCACCGCGGTTGCCACGTTCCGAGGACACGGTCACTTCCTCGACCGCCTGTCCTGCCTCAGATGAACCTGCATATTTTACAATGAACGTTCAAGACGTCGGTGATAAGGACATGAACAACAGCGACAAGGGCTGTTTTAGAGGAACCCGCCTGAGGTTCCCGGCCCCAGCCTCTCGAAGGACGCAGCTCTGTGCTCAGCCCTGCCTCCCTTGTCTCTCCACCCCCACCTTCCTGTGTGCTTCAGCCCACCTGGGACATCCGAATTTTCTCCAGGAGGAGCGGCAGGTACTAGGGTGATGACAGTTATGAACACGAGTCACAGCCCCGCTCGGTGGGATGGCCTCCTGTGTTCCCTGTGACTCGGACGCTGAACGTTGCTCACACGTTGACAGCATGGAGACGGTTTCACCGTCTGCTACTTTCGAGTTTATTGTGGTGTCTCTCTGCGTCACCCTCATTTTGAGCAGCTGTGGAGGATCCGGGGGCCCCAGCGCCCGCAGGATTCAGGTTTGTCTCCGCCGGCCAGGACATCCTCACAAAGCAGACGTTTCCTCCCCACGGGTCTGGAGGCTGGGGGTGGGGGCGCCCCGTGGTCCGGCTCTGGTGAGGGTCCTCTTCCTGGCAGATCCTGGGAACCCGCCTGAGGTTCCCAGCCCTGGCCTCTCTAAGGATCCAGCCCTTTTCCCCGTTCTCAGCCCTGCCTCCCTTCTCTAGTGCCTTCTTGCTGCGTCCTGACGCGAGGGTGGGATAAGGAATAAGGGGAGGGCACCTGTGCCCTTTCTACTAAGGCCCACCCTCATGACCTCATCCACCCCCAGGCACCTCCCATAGGCTACATCGTCAATACCCTCTCCTTGCAGGTTAGGGCTTCCAGGAAGGAATTTAGTGGGGACACGATTCAGTCCCCCCACTTACACCTTTGCAAATAGCAAGAGAGGGCTGGATATGGTGGCTCACGTCTGTAATCCCAGCACTTTCGGAGGCCAAGGCGGGTGGACCACCTGAGGTCAGGGGTTCGAGACCAGCCTGGCCAACATGGTGAAACTCCATCTCTACTAAAAATACAAAAAATTAGCCGGGCATGGTGGTGCGCGCCTGTAGTCCCAGCTACTCAGGAGGCTGAGGCAGGAGAATTGCTTGAACCTGGGAGGTGGAGGTTGCAGTGAGCCGAGATCGTGCCACTGCACTCCAGCCTGGGTGACAAAAGTGAAACTCTGTCTCGGATAAAAAAAAAAAAAATAGCAAGAGAGGTTCAATCACCTATACATGGAAGGAACACAGGGAGATTGACACACACACACACACACGCACGCGGGCACACACCCATGTGCACACACACACACAGAGCTAAATGACAAAAATGAAAATGGTACCACACTGCACGTGCTGCCCTGCACCTTGATTTTGATACTGCAGTGGGTTAAATGGTGCCCCCCAAAAGATAAGTCCCCCTGGAATGTGTAAATGTAACTTTCTGTGGAAATGGGGTCTTTACAGCTGTAATTAGGTTAAAGACCTCGAGTGAGATCAATTTTGCCTTTTTTTTTTTTTTTTTTTTTTTGAGATGGAGTCTCACTCTGTCACCCAGGCTGGAGTAAAATGGCGCGATCTCGGCTCTCTGCAACCTCCGTCTCCCCGGTTCCCGCGATTCTCCTGCCTCGGCCTCCCGAGTAGCTGGGATTATAGGCGCCCACCACCACACCCAGCTAATATTTGTATTTTTAGTAGAGATGGGTTTTCACCATGTTGGCCAGGCTGGTCTCAAACTCTTGACCTCAGGTGATCTGCCCGCCTCGGCCTCCCAAAGTGCTGGGATTACAGGTGTGAGCCACTGCACCTGTATAGTTCAAGATAGTTTTACAAGATGGAAAAGTTCTGGAGCCAGATGGCAGTGAGGGCTGTACAACAATGTGAACATACCTAATGTCACTGACTGTGTGCTTAAAAATGATTTAGAGGGCCGGGCGCGGTGGCTCACGCCTGTAACCCCAGCACTCTGGGAGGCCAAGGCGGGTGGATCACCTGAGGTCAGGAGTTCGAGACCAGCCTGGCCAACAAGGTGAAATCCCATCTCTACTAAAACTACAAAAAATTAGCTGGGCCTGGTGGCAGATGCCTGTAATCCCAGCTACTCGGGAGGCTGAGGCAGGAGAATTGCTTGAACCAGGGAGGCGGAGGTTGCGGTGAGCCGAGATCACACCACAGCACTCCAATCTGGGCGACAAGAGCGAGACTCTGTCTCAAAAGAAAGAAAGAGAGAAAGAAAAGATGTGTCTCTGCGAGCAGAAGGTCTTGCCGCTCTGACAGTCACAGATGTGTAGGTCTCCTGACCGCAGCTGCACTCCCACCGAGGGCAGAAACTAGGAAGTCCTTGGAGCTTTGGTTCCCTTGACAGATGGGGGTGGAGCCCCCAGTGTTATTAAGGAGGCATGGCCCAGCTGCTCCTGCACCTTTCCAGCCAACTCTAGATCTGTCCTGGGGGCACAGTGAAAGGTCTCTGAAGTCTGTGGCATGTCCTGCTGCTCTAAGGGGGGCTCTGGCCCATTTCAGGAGGTTTTGCTGACAGACAAACTCACAGGAAGCCACAGTTGAGACACGGGGTTTGCAGTCCTGGTGAAGGGAAAGTGACTGTCCTAGTCAGCTTTGACAAAACACCACAAGCCAGGTGGCTTACAAACAATGGAAATGCATTTCTCACAGTGATGGAGGCCAGAAAGTCCAATATCGAGGTGCAGGCAGATTCCGTGTCTGGTGAGCGCCCGCCTCCTGATAGACGTCACGTGGTGAATGCAGTCAGGGGTCTCCTGGCAGCCGGGGTGGGGGTCTCTTCTTTTTTTTTTTTGAGATGGAGTTTCGCTCTTGTTGCCCAGGTTGGAGTGTAATGGCGCAATCTTGGCTCACTGCAACCTCCGCCTCCCGGGTTCAAGTGACTCTCCTGCCCCAGCCTCCCGAGTAGCTGGGATTACAGGTGCCCGCCACCACCCCAGGCTGATTTTTGTATTTTTAGTAGAGACGGGGTTTCACCATGTTGGCCAGGCCGATCTCGAACTCCTGACCTCAGGTGATTCACCTGCCTCGGCCTCCCAAAGTGCTGGGATTACAGGCTTGAGGCCCCGTGCCCGGCCAGGGGTCTCCTTTATAAAGGCCCTGATCTCATTCATGAGAACTCCACCCTTATGACCTTGTCACCTCCCAAAGGCACCACCTCCCAAAACCATCTATATTAGTCCATTCTCACATGGGTACAAAGAAATACCTGAGACTGGGTAATTTAGAAAGAAAAGAGGTTGAATTGGCCCACAGTTCCTCAGACTGTACAGAAAGCATAGCGGCTTCTGCTTTTGGGGAGGCCTCAGGAAACATCATCGTGGCAGAAGGTGAAGGGGACACAGGTGTGTCCTACGTGGCTGGAGCAGGAGGAAGAGGCACCACTGAATTTTATTTATTTATATTTATCTATTTATTTATTTTGAGATGAGTTTTGCTCTTGTCACCCAGGCTGGAGTGCAGTGACACGATCTTGACTCACTGCAACCCCTGCTTCCCAGGTTCAAGCGATTCTTCTGCCTCAGCCTCCCGAGTAGCTGGGACTACATGCACCTGCCACCATGCGTGGCTAATTTCTGTATTTTTGGTAGAGAAGGACTTTCACCATGGTGGCCAGGCTGGTCTGGAACTCCTGACCTCAGGTGATCTGCCCGCCTCGGCCTCCCAAAAGGCTGGGATTACAGGCGTGAGCCACCATGCCCTGCCCGGCTAGATTAAAGTTGTTTAAAGCAAAATAAGGAGCAGTCATTGCCTGAGGCCGTCTCTGTACTGGGAGTTCCCACTAACCAACAACAACTTTATTCAGTAGTTTGTTAACAGATAGCCAGGTTTCAACCAATCAATCACGGGCAGCCAACCAATCAGACCACACCCAAATAAGGCAAAGGTCTTGAGTTATTTCTTTTCTTTTTTTTTTCTTTTTCTTTTTTTTTTTTTTTTTTGAGACAGAGTCATGCTCTGTTGCTCAGGCTGGAGTGCAGTGGTGTGATCTCGGCTCACTGCAACCTCCGCCTCCTGGGTTCAAGCGATTCTCCTGCCTCAGCCTCCCGATTAGCTGGGATTACAGGTGCACACCACCATGCCCAGCTAATTTTTGTATTTTTAGTAAAGACGGGGTTTCACCATGTTGGCCAGGCTGGTCTTGAACTCCTGACCTCATGTGATCTGCCTGCCTCGGCCTCCCAAACTGCTGGGATTACAGGTGTGAGCCACGGTGCCTAGCCTGGCCTTGAGTTATTTCCGTACTTCACTTCCACATTCAGCCTGTAAAAGCCTGCTGCTCACACTGCTAAGACAGAGCTCCCAGAGCCTCTTCCACCTTTGAGTGCTGCCTGATTCATGCCTCCTTTAATGCTCAAATCAACTCTGTTACATCTATTTTGTCTAAAGTAGGAAGAATCCTCAAATAAGATTGCCACTGGGACACCAAGCTCGAGTTGGCCAAATGGTGCAAACTCCACAGATCCAGCTGAAAACAACATGGCAATGGCTACTAAGCCATGGGGCTCCCAAAACTGAAGTAGATGGGTCAGCTGTGAGAAGCTCACTGCCTGGTACGGAGCATTGGATGGATTGAAAATCATGGAACAGTCCCTGGCTGAGTCATGAGCCGTTGCCACGCTGCCTGAAAATAAACGCAGAACCTTGTTCATGGACTTCCTCCTTCCACCTCTCACCCCCCTCCACTTACGTTAGGAAGAAAGATGATTAGAGGTTCCCAGGCCGTGGGCACCATCCAAGTGTGCTGGAGAACTTGGAGGAGAAGAAGAACTCAAACTTTATGGCTCTGTCGGATATGAGTAGCCCACATCACTCTCCTGTTTGGACCAGTGGAAGGAAAAGTTCTCTGGATTCCGCTCACCGGATTTGTGCACGGTTTGAAATGGGGAGTGAAGGCTGATGTGATCTTGTGGGTGTGGCATTTTGGGCCAATTCGATGCCCTGTTTTTGATGCTTCTATGTGTGTGTTGCCGCGTAGGAGCTGTGTTTCATCCCCATACTTCCATCCTGTACGTGCCAGAGGGGACTCTCCCTATTGGCAAGCACTGAATGCAGAGAAGGGCCAGTGGGATGTGTGAATCTCTCTGCAACCCGCTTTCAGGGCGGGTACAGAATCCCAGAAGCGGTACAGAATCCCAGAGGGAAAAAGGCGCATCAGAGGTTTGATTGAGGGATTAAGGGCAGTAGGGGGACTAAGAGATGAAATATGGGGCTGGGCGTGGTGGCTCACGCCTGTAATCCCAGCACTTTGAGAGACTGAGGCCGGTAGATCACTTGACACCAGGAGTTAGAGACCAGCCTGGTCAACATGGTGAAACCCCGTCTCTACTAAAAATACAAAAAAATTAGCCAGGTGTGGTGGCGGGCACCTATAGTCCCAGCTATTCGGGAGGCTGAGGCATAAGAATCCCTTGAACCCATCACTTGAACCCGGGAGGTGGAGGTTGCAGTGAGCCGAGATCGTGCCACTGCACTCCAGCCTGGACAACAGGGTGAGAGTCTGCCTCAAAAAAATAAAGGCTGGTCGTGGTGGCTCAAGCTTCTAATCCCAGCACTTTGGGAAGCCGAGGCGGGTGAATCATCTGAGGTCAGGAGTTCAAGACCAGCCTGGCCAACATGGAGAAACCCAGTCTCTACTAAAACTACAAAAATTAGCTGGGCATAGTGGCGGGCCCCTATAGTTCCAGCTACTCGCGAGGCTGAGGCAGGAGAATCATGTGAACCCAGGAGGCAGAGGCTGCAGTGAGCCGAGATCACGCCACTGCACTCCAGCCTGGGTGACAATCACTGGGTGACACTCCGTGTCAAAAAAAAAAAAAAGAGATGAAATATGGCAACACAACATCCCTGAGTGGCCAGTGGAGCAGGTAAGAGCTGCTGGTGGCTGACAGTGGATTACCACCAACAGAAGTCAGCCATTGCTCCCAGAGCCCTAGCTGTCCTACACACTGTGACCATACCGAGCCCATCACGTGGGCTCCGGGTACTTGGTACACTGTCTTGGATCCTGCCAATGCCTTTTTGCCACACCACTGGCAGGGGAGGAGCAAGACCAGCTTGCATTCACATGGCCAGGTCTCCAATACACTTAGGTGTGTTCCCCGTACACGCCCCGCCACTGGCCACCTGTGGGCAGGTTAGGACTTCTGATGTCCACAGGTGCCATGATACAGATGATGTCCTGCAGGTTGGCAGCTCAGAAGCCTTGGGTCTCTAGAACTAGACAACTAGACGGGGGTACTCTCATACCTCCCTGTCCACAGAGGCAGGCAAAACATCAACAGCGTCCAGTGGCTGCCTCACCAGGTGGAGTTTCTTGGGATGAGGTAGGTGGAGGTGGGTCCACAGCACTCACTGCCTCAGCCAGTCAAGGAAAACCTGTTGTCTCTTTGCTCCCTCATCTCACCCAAAAGGACAACCCAGCACTTGATTGGACTGTGTGGGTGTTGGAGACAGGATGTGCTTCATTTGGGCATTCGACTTGGCTTCTTAAATTAGTGAATCCAGGTCGGGCGAGGTGGCTCACGCCGGTAATCCCAGAACTTTGGGAGGCCGAGGGGGGTGGACCACCTGAGGTCAGGAATTTGAGACCAGCCTGGCCAACATAGCAAAACCCTGTCTCTACTAAAAATATAAAAATTAGCCAGACGTGGTGGTGTGTGCCCGTAATCCCAGCTACTCGGGAGGCCGAGGCAGGAGAATCGCTTGCACCTGGGAGGTGGAGGTTGCAGTGAGCCGAGATCACACCACTACATTCCAGCCTGGGCAACAGAGTAAGACTTGGTATCAAAAAAATAATAATATAAATAAAATAAATTAGTGAACCCACAAATCAGCCTGCTTACGTCAGGGCCTGAACCAACAGGCTATTCCAGCTGCCGCCCCGTGAGCCACAGGCCACTCTCTCTCCCGCTGGGGCCTCACAGCCCTGTGATCCCTTTGAACGACAAGTCCCTGTGGCTGACGATCCCGTTATCTGGAAACTCCAGAGAAAGAAAACAGCCTCTGCCCAGATGTGCCCCTTGGGGTGGTGGATTCACTGACTCTCTGACACGACTACTAGGTTCACCCCTTGTTTTCAAAAAGCAAAATTAGCTTACAACGAGCTCTTGTCCCAGTGAACCACCTGACCACGGAGGCCTTGTGACTGGAGCCTGACAGTCCCATTCGGAGGGTTTTCAACTCAGACACAACCACCACAAGGAAGGAGGGCCCTAGAGCTTCTCTTTGCAAACAGAAGACTCTGTATTCAACAGCAGCGGGCGGGTCCCCGGTGATATGTCAGCTTCTCATCGGAAGTGGCAGCTCTCCCTTTGGGGGAAACTTGACGCGCCGCACTCCACCGTCTGAGGGAAAGCTCGTGGCTCTCCAGGGCCCTCGATCCACCAGGGCCCCCTAAACGGCTGCTCACCTGGTGTGCTCACCGGCTTGCTGTCAATAAATACGTGGGTAAATCTCTGTTCGAGGCTCTCAGCTCTGAAGGCTGTGAGACCCGATTTCCTATTTCACACCTCTATATTTCTCTGTGTGTGTCTTTAATTCCTCTAACGCCGCTCGGATAGGGTCTCCCTGACTGAGCTGGTCTCAGCACGTCTCTACTAAAAATACAAAAAAAGGCCAGGCGTGGTGGCTCACGCCTGTAATCCCAGCACTTTGGGAGGCCGAAGCGGGCGGATCACGAGGTCAGGAGATCGAGACCATCCTGGCTAACACAGTGAAACTCCGTCTCTACTAAAAATACAAAAAATTAGCTGGGCGCCGTGGCAGGCGCCTGTAGTCCCAGCTACTCGGGAGGCTGAGGCAGGAGAAAGGCGTGAACCCAGGAGGCGGAGCTTGCAGTGAGCTGAGATTGCCCCACTGCACTCCAACCTGGGCAACGGAGCGAGACTCTATCTCAAAAAAAAGGTCTGGGTGTGAGTAGGGGATGCCTGGGGAAGAGACGCAGTTATAGCAGTTGGAATGGGACATGCCAGTTTTGCAGCAGGGCAGGGAGAGCAATGGGCCCCCTGCTTGGGGAGGAAACTCCCAGGCCTCAGGACGAATGGGAAGGAAAGACAGGGCAGGAAGGTCCTCCACTTTCAGAATTGTCCCCGGAGCCTGCCCCGAAGGTGTGTGTGATCCTGTGTCTCTGCGTCTGTGTCTGTGCAGTGGACCTTTCGTTTACCTGTCGTTTGCCCTGGCCAGGGTTTGAGCTCAGGGCCTCAGGCCACGAAAGGCCCTAGAAACAGCAAGGCACGGCCCAGTTCCCGCCCCCACACCTGAGATACCAGTCAGCACCTCCCGGGTCCTCTGCCCCATTCATGTTCCAGGCAGGTGGATGTCACCCATTGGTGGCGTAGAAACAAGGGCCCCAAAACGAGAACTAGACCCATTCAAACTGAACTGGAACCCGGCCAGTGCCCATTCCATGAACACTTGATGGGCTAGTGGCCACGGACAGTGTGCAGGTTCTGGGCCAGGCCTGCAGATGCAAAGGAGAACGTGGTCACTGGTCCCTGCCTGGAGGGAGCACCGCGTCCCGCGGGCCCTGCTGGGAAATGCCTTTTTGGAAGATCTCGGGGACAGGGTCACCCAGGGCCGGCTATGCGCTCACCAGGCACTCCTCCCAGGGCGGGCCATCTCCCTCCTGGCAGCCTGGGAGTGGCACTGAGGCTGCGCTCATCCTTCTCATGGCCCACACCTTCCCCAGATCCTGACCCACGGATCACGCTCTCCTGCGCCCCTCCCCCAGGAAGCCCTCCTCGGGAGACCCTCCAGAACTTTCTTGGCCGCGGTCTTGGCCTGGCTCACATTGACGGAAGGTGTGGGCTCCTGCACCCTCCAGCTGAGCTCCCTGCAGGCCGGACCGACCACCACTGCCCTGCACCCACTCCCCCTGGCCCTGGGACAGCCCTCCTGCAGGAGGAGGACAGGCCATGCAGGGAAGCACATGCTCTCCCAGCTGTAAACATGGCAAGGCCTCCCTCCAGGCCGGGAGAAGCCTACGTGTTGGCCTCTTGGTGCTTGTGCTCTGTGTCCCACCCTCTCGTACTGCTCTTCCCTTTCTTGGGCTCCGGGACCCTCGCTGGCAGAGAGACAGTGCTTGGATCGAGGGAGAGAGGAAAGGTCACTTGGGGACATGGCAGTCCCTCTTCCCAGCCTGGGCTACGGCTACCTTGGGGGTCACTGAGACTGGGAGGGTCTGCCTGCTACTTTCTCCCACTGGCCCCTCTCCCCTTCCTCACGTTGCCTCCAGCCCTGTCCATCCAGGTCGCTGGCCTAGGCCACTGCCACACCCCCAGGCCCACCCCTCCTTTCTATACCTGGCATAGAACCCTGACCCCATTGCCCCCTGGCCTTGTCCCTCTCTGTTTAACTCCCTGCCATGCAATTCTGTGGGGAGGGGCTCATCCTTTCAACAGATGATGCCAGAAGGATTGGATGTCCATGTGCAAAAAATGCTAACAAAACCCCCAAGCCCCAAACTGAAAACCCTCTGATCCACACCCTGCACAATACACAAAAGTTAACTGGAATTGGGTCATTGACTTAAATATGAAGCCGAATACTATACAACTTCTAGAAGAAAGCACAGAAAACCTTTGTGACCTTCGGTTAGGCAAAAATTTCTTAGAGATGACACACTCAGAGCACGATCCGGGCTGGTGGCAGTGGCTCACTCACGCCCAGAATCCCAGAGCTTTGGGAAGCCAAGGTGGGAGGATCGCTTGAGCCCAAAAGTTCAAGACCAGCCTGGGCAACATGGCAAAACCCCATCTCTACAAAACATTAAAAAATTAGCCTGGTGTGGCCAGGCACGGTGGCTCATGCCTGTAATGCCAGCACTTTGGGAGGCCAAGCCAGGCGGATCATGAGGTCAGGAGTGATCCTGGCCAACATAGTGAAACCCCGTCTCTACTAAAAATACAAAAATTAGCCGGGCATGGTGGCTTGCACCTATAGTTCCAGCTACTTGGGAGGCTGAGGCAGGAGAATCTCTTGAACCTGGGTGGCGGAGGTTGCAGTGAGCTGAGATCGCGCCACTGAACTCCAGCCTGGGCTACAAGAGTGAAACTCCGTCAAAAAAAAAAAAAAAAAAAAGGAAAAGAAAAGAAAGAAACTGTTAAGAGAATGAAAAGAAAGCCACAGACTGGGAGAAAAATCTTTGCAAATCACATGTGTAATAATGGGCAGATATCCAGAAGATATAAAGAAGTCTCGGACCAGGCATGGTGACTCACGCCTGTAATCCCAGCACTTTAGGAGGCTGAGGCAGGTGGATCACTTGAGGCCAGGAGTTTGAGACCACTCCGGCCTGGGCAACATAGCAAGACTCCCTCTCAAAAAAAAAAAAAAAAAAAAGTCTTGGCTGGGCACCAGGTGACTCATGCCTGTAATCCCAGCACTTTGGGAGGCCAAGGCAGGATGATCCCTTGAGCCCAGGAGTTCGAGACCAGCCTGGGCAAAACACTGAGACCCAGTCTCATTCTAGATATTAAAAATTAAAACCAAAATGTAAATAAGTCTCAAAACTTAATAATAAAGAAACAACGTGATTTTTATTAATGGTCAAAAACTTGAATAGACTTTGGAGAAGATACACAGGTGGTAACTGAACACGCAGAAAGTGTGTTAAACACGCGAACCACAGCCCCAGCGAGACGCCACCACCAGGGAAATGGCTAAAATGTAAAAACCTGCCGATAGCAAGAGCCGCCCGGGATGCGGAGCAGCTGGAAGCGCCGGCGGCCGCGGGGAGGGAGCGAGTCTTGGCAGCTGCTGGCTGCGCCCCACATCCCTCACCGTCCAACTCAGCCCCCCCAGGTGTTTACCGAAGTGCAATGAAAGCTTCTGTTCACACGGAACCTGCCTATGGAGGCGGCAACGGCTCATCCCCGAGCACCCCACGCGGAGGCGAAGGAAGTGTCCTCCCGGCGAGTGGCCAAGGCGCGGGGTCTCAGCCAGGAGGGAAGGGTCGGACCCCGGGGCGGGCTGCAGGCTCGGCCAGCCCAGGGCTCCGCGCGTCTGACCCCATCCTGAGGACCCAGGGGAAGGACCAGCCCTGGCTCTGCGGCCTCGAACCGGGGGCGCGCGTGGGGAGCCCTGAACCCCGCAGCCTGCGTAGCGCACGGGGCCTCTCTCCAGCGTGGGAAGAGCCCCCGAGACGCCCAGGAGCCCGACAGGCGCGCCCCCGGCCCCGGCTCCGCCTCCCGGCCCATCCCGCGCGCCCCCAGCCCCTCCCGCAGCACCGTTGCATGAGGGGCGGGGTCTGCGGGTGGGCGGGGCCTCGGTGCCCGCCCCCTCCTCAGCCGAGCCGGGGGTCGAAGGCGGGCCGCGCGCCAAGCCCCGCCCCCGCGCGCCTCCGCCGCGACCCTCCCCCGCGCGCCCCCGCCGCGCCGCCGTCGGCCGACAGAAAGGCGCGCGCCCTCGCCTTTAACGCGGGCCCGGGGGCGCGCGGCCCGCATGGCGAGGGAGCGGCGGCCGCTGCGGGCCGGGCCGGGCCGGGGCTGAGGCCGAGCGAGCCGCGGGGCCCGCGCAGCCCCGGCCGGAGCCCACCATGCGGCGGCTGCGGCGCCTGGCGCACCTGGTGCTCTTCTGCCCCTTCTCCAAGCGCCTGCAGGTAAGCGCGGTGCGCGCCCGCCGCCCCCGGCCGCCTCTGCCTGGGGAGGCCGAGCTCCAGCCCCGGAGTGGGCCGAGTACGGAGCGGGGCCCCGGGTTCGGACACGAAGGGTTCATGAGCCCGGGGTGGGCAGCGGGGAGGGGGCGAGTGGCTCCGGAAGGACGGGACGCTGGGGGAGGGGCGGTGGCGGCGACAGGAGGGTCCGGGCGCGGGGATGCTGCGGCCTGGAGGCCCTCGCCCCGACCTGCAGGCGGTCCCTGCCCCCCAGGCCCAGAAACCACACCGAAGTCCTTTCTTCTTTTCTCCACTTAAAAAATGAGGTGTGTTATTCTGCGGTAGAAAACTTGGGACGCACAGAAACGCCCTGGCAAGGACATGACCTCCCCGCCCCCTGCCCCTTCATCCCATCAGCCAGCCGTAGCGCGGGGACCCTGCCCTGACCCCGGGATGACCTTGAACCACCGTCCCCTCCAGGGGCCTGGCCGGGTCCGCAGGGGAGGCCCGGGCCGCCTTGGGTTCCAGCTGCCAGGAGCCCTTTCACCTTCTGCTTTGGGGAGATGCAGGCCAGGCCCATCAGGCTCCAATCATCCGGGGCCCGGCCTCGGATGGGATGCCCTCCCAGACCCTCCAGGACCCCAGCCATCTGCCGGAGGCGCCAGTCCTGGTCAGATTTGCCTGTATCTCCCCGGCCCCCGCAGGGTGGTCCTGGGTCAGCAGGAGGAACCCTGCCTGCGTCCTGCCTGAGCTCAGGGCCTGGCTGGCCTCAGCTCCCCTTCTGGGAAGAGCGTATGGAACCTGGCAACCCACAGATTGCAGCGAGACCCTCTGTGCCCACTTGGGGCTTCAGGTTGTGGTGGTCCCGGCTCAGCCTTGGGGCAGGGTGAGAGCTAAGGGGTCTGAGGACCACCCCAGTCGCTGGGAGGTGGGGTGCACAGTGGTCCCCTCCCCCGAGGAAAGGCCTCGACCAGCAGCTGCAGAAGAGATGCTGATGCTTGGAGCTCCGCCCAGGAATGGCAGCAGAGGGGTGTTGGCTGCTCCCAGGGTGGCTGGCTCGGGGCCAGAGCCCTGGTGGGAGCCCAGCCTGCCCCTCTAGTGGCGAGGGCCTCAGTTTCCTGGCCTTGTGAACTGCTTTTCTGGGTTAGTGCTGTGGGGCTCCTGGCCCACGGTCTGAGCCTGCTGGGCTGAGGACCACTGTGCTGTTCCCATCCCCTGGGTGACCTTCCCTATCCTCCAAGTGGCTACACCGGGAGCTGGTCCCCACCTGCCCCTGCAAAGCCCCAGCCCAGGTCCTGGATGGTGGGGCCACCTCCACACTCAAGCTTTGCCCGTCCATCTGTGCCAGGCCCGGGAGCCAGGGTGGGCCAGGGAGCACTGTGGGGGCCTTGCAGAGCAGCTGCTTGGGACCCCAGGATCCACAGCAGGGTCAGGGATGGCAGCTGGGGAAGATCAAGACCTAGGGGAGAGCTGGGCAAGGTGGCTCCTGCCTGTAATGCCAGGCCTTAATGGGAGGGTCACTTGAAGCTGGGAGTTCGAGGCTGCAGTGAGCTGTGACTGGACCACTGCACTCCAGCCTGGGCAACACAGCAAGACCCTGTCTCAAAAGAACAACAACAACGAAAGAGCTGGGGGATGAACCAGAGCTGGCCAGGCGGAAATAGGCCCTGGCCCAAGCCCAGTCGGGGCTCTGGGGAGCAGAACTGGGTAAGTCCCTAGCTTGGTGTCACTGTCCCCAGCTGGGGTCAGCCCTAGGCCCGAGGCCAGCTGCAGCCTCCCTCCTCCTGGCTGTCCTCCGAGGCCCCGCCCATGCTGGGCCTCCCTGCATGGCCCTGCCTTGGGCACGTTCACCCCAGACGGAGCCATCCGACCTTATCCTGCCAGAACAACACCCACCCCCCATTGTTTCTCTGCTTTCCTGTTTTTCATCTTGAGCAAGTCTGCCGGAAACAGATTCAGTGCCCAGGACAAGTGGTCTGAGGGGGCGGAGACCAACCTGGGCCTGGAGGGCTCCCCACACCGGAGCCACGCCCTCTGCTCCAGGACCCCCAGGACCCCACTGCTACTGGAGGTCTGGGCCCTTCCCCAGCTGCTGGGGGTCCTCCCTCTGTAGCCCTGCCTGGGGCGGCCATCCGTGAGTGGATGCCGGGGAAGCAGGAGACCAGGGCCCACCCATCCTGAAAGAACCAGAAAAAACGACCTCAGCTGCCTGGGCTGTGCCTTGTCCTCGTTGAGGAGCTGGTGGCCCCATTTTAGGGAGGAGTCCCCTGCTCACGGCCTAAGCCGGGCTGCAGCCCACGACCTCTGATGGGGGCTCTGGCTTGGGCAGGTGGGGGTGTGGCCAGGCGCTGCCGGGAGGAGGATGTGCCCAGGGCAGCCTCTCCCTGGCCGCAGGTGGACAGGAGGCCACAGGGAGTGCTTGGAGCCAGCAGTGGGGCCTCTCTGAGGGGAAGCTGGCCCCCAAGCCTGGGCCCTTCACCCTTCAGCTGCAGGTCAGGGATGTCTGAACCCCTGTGTAGGGCAAGTCCCCTCTGCTGGCCAGTGCCTGAGAGGCCTGAAATTTGCTAGGGGGCTGGGGAGAGGGAAGGTGGCATGCAGCTGTCCCTGGCTGTCACCCTTGGAAGCCCAGCTTGGAGGCCTGCACCCTAGAGCCGGTGCCTGAGCCTCCTCAGGCCGGTAGGGAAACCAAGGCAGAGGGACTGAGGATGGCAGAGTGACCTGGAGCCCTCCCTAAAAGCCGGCTCCCAGACATCTGGGTCAGAGCTTTAGGCAGGGGCCAGGGGCTGCCTGCTTACTTTTTTTTTTTTTTTGAGACGGAGCCTCACTCTGTCGCCCAGGCTGGAGTGCAATGGCGCCATCTCAGCTCACCACAACCTCTGCCTCCCGGGTTCAAGCGATTCTCCTGCCTCAGTCTCCCAAGTAGCTGGGATTACAGGCATGCGCCACCATGCCTGGCTAATTTTGTATTTTTAGTAGGGATGGCGTTCCTCCCTGTTGGTCAGGCTGGTCTCCAACTCCCGACCTCAGGTGATCTGCCTGCCTCGGCCTCCCAAAGTTCTGGGATTACAGGGGTGAGCCACCACGCCCGACCTTAATTTTTAACTGCGGTAAGATACACATGGCATAAAGTGTATCATCTTAACCCTGTTTAAGGGCACAGTTTAGTGGTCACCTCCCTCTGTCCGCAGAGCTCTCCGCCTTCCCAAACTGAAGCTCTGTCTGCATCAAACGCACACTCCCAGTCCCTTCCCAGCCCGCGGCTCCCTCTACTCTCCTTCCTGTCTCTATGGTTTTGGCGACTCTGGGGACCTCGTGTAAGTGGGTCCTGCAGGATTTGTGCTTTGGTGACGGGCTCGTTTCACTGAGCCTCTTGTCCTGGGGCTCCTCCCTTCTGGGTGGACATCAGATCTCCTTCCTTCTCAGGACACAGTCACTCCGCAGTGTGGATAGGATAGACGCAGCTGCTCTTCCATCCCCCGGCTGTGAACTTAAGGACTGCCCACCCCTGGGCTGTTGTGAACATCGGTGTCTGAGTCTGTGTCTTTTTTTTTTTTTTTTTTTTTTGAGACAGGGTCTCGCTTTCTCACCCAGGCTGGAGTGTAGCGTGGGGTCACAGCTCACTGCAGCTTCAACCTCCCGGGTTCAATCAATCCTCCAGCCTCAGCCTCCCAAGTAGCTGGGACTACAGGCGTGAGTCACCATGTCCAGCTAATTTTTGTATTTTTAGTAGAGATGGGGTTTTGCCATGTTGCCCAGGCTGGTCTCGAACTCCTGAGCTCAAGCAAGCCACCCACCTCAGCCTCCCAAAGAGCTGGGATCACAGGGTGAGCCACCGCACCCAGCTAATTTTTGTATTTTTGTAGAGGCGGGGTTTCCCTATGTTGCCCAGGATGGTCTCAAACTCCTGGGCTCAAGCAATCTGCCCGCCTCAGCCTCCCCGAGTGCTGGGTTTACAGGGTGAGCCACCATGCCCGGCCCGCCTGCGTCTCTTAAAGGCTTCCAGGATGTGGCTGCGTTGGGCTCCTAGGGCCCCGTTCTCCAAACCTGGTTCTCCTTGTGGGTCTGGTCCGGCCGGAACTTCCCACCAATCTGCATTACGGTGGACGGTGGGAAAAATAGGGGCAGTGTCTCTCGCGGTGGGCGCGCTCACCTGGCCTTGTGCGGAGGTGACGATGTTATGAAATGAGATCAGGATAGGAAGGGTTTGTAAAAATATCTTCATTCGGCCAGGCACAGTGGCTCACACCTGTAATCCCAGCACTTTGGGAGGCCAAGGCAGGTAGATCACCTGAGGTCCGGAGTTCAAGACCAGCCTAGTCAACATGGTGAAACCCCGTCTCTACTAAAAATACAAAAATTAGCTGGTCGTGGTGGTGCATGCCTGTAGTCCCAGTTACTCGGGAGGCTGACGCAGGAGAATCACTTGAACCCGGGAGGCAGAGGTTGCAGTGAGCCGAGATCGCGCCACTGCACTCCAGCCTGGGCTACAGAGTAAGACTCCCTCTCAAAAAAAAAAAAAAAATTTCATTCAGCAGAGGAAAGAATCGGCCACCCTGTAGTCCCCTGGTTTTGACATTTATTTGTACCTGCCCATAACACTGAAAAGTCTGGGCAGCGCCTGCCCCCACCTCCGGCCCCTGCAGCCCCTGGTATGTGACCCTGGAGAGGCAGAGCCAGGAGTGGGTGTCGCTGAGCTGGGGGTGATTCTAGAAGACGGGGGTGCCAGGGGGCCAAGGGGATGGCAGGGGAAGGCTGGGGTGGATCCGGAGGCCCTTCCTGTGGGAAGTGGGGTTGAGAGCACCCTGAGCCTGGGTGCCCCGAGGGCACCTCCTCACGCAGCCCCTTCCCCCACAGGGCCGGCTCCCAGGCCTCAGGGTCCGCTGCATCTTCCTGGCCTGGCTGGGCGTCTTTGCAGGCAGCTGGCTGGTGTACGTGCACTACTCGTCCTACTCGGAGCGCTGTCGCGGCCATGTCTGCCAGGTGGTCATTGTAAGTGTTGCTTGTGCGGGCTGGGGACTGGGCCGTGCCCCCTGCTGCCCAAGATGCTGGGGCACCAGGCCCTGGAGACACCTTCCTCCCCAGACCCAGGGCCCACGAGGCACGTGGGTTTCTAGGTGGAATCTGCAAAGCTGCCTCAGGCTGGGTGTGGAGGACAGGGGTCCAGGGGAGGACGGGGGAGACGTGCGGGGCTGCCTCAGGCTGGGTGTGGAGGATGGGGGTCCAGAGGAGGATGGGGGAGACGTGGGGGCTGGGGGCAGAAGGCAGGGCAGACTCCAGAAATCTTTGGGAGGGAGGATGTTTAGCAGGAAGCCTGGGGTGGGCAGCTGGCCTCACTGCTCCGGGATAGAGACCCCCGTGTGGTGTCCTCACTGGATGGGATAGAGACCCCCGTGTGCTGGCCTCACTGGTCCAGGATAGCGACCCCCGTGTGCTGGCCTCACTGGCCTGGGATAGAGACCACCGTGTGCTGGCCTCACTGGTCCAGGATAGAGACCACTGTGTGCTGGCCTCACTGGTCCGGGATAGAGACCCCCGTGTGCTGGCCTCACTGGTCCGGGATAGAGACCCCCGTGTGCTGGCCTTAGTGGCCTCGCTAGCCCCCCTGGGACCAGGGGTCCCCTGAGGCAGGTGGCAGGGCAAGGTCCTCCACAGCCTCCACCTCAGGGAGATAGGGCTAAGTCCCCTGGCGTATGTGAGCATGTGTGTGTCTGGGAGCAAACGTGTCCACATGAGTGCACACCAAGGTGACCCCCTGCCCCTCTCCACACCCTGTGACTAGCTCAGAGGGGAGGTCATCCCAGCTCTGTCTTCCTGGCAAACCCTAGACTCGCCCAGAACTGGGCAGGTCCCCCACTGAATTTTGACCCCAGGCTGCCCGATGACCAGGGTTCCGATGCCTCCACTCCCCTTGGGGTCAGGCCTGGGCATAGAAGGATCTGGCCTGTAGCAGCGGCCACTGTGGGTTGTCATAGGGTGATTGGGTGCAGGGAGACCCCAGGTTCGGTGTCTCCTCCGTCAGATGGGGAGAGCACCTCTCCTGGCAACTGGGTGGTGGATGAAGCTAGCCGGGTGGGCCTGGGCAGGCCTGTGTCCCACAGAGCCATGTCTGACGGGGGCCACATGTGGAAAGGCCCAGATGTGGCAGTGGAGGACTGGGGTGTGGGGTCCGGAGCTAGGAGAGCTTCTGTGCCCAGGACTTGTTTGGAGCCCATGCCAGCCCAGGGGAGGCCTCCGGGCCCCTGGACCAGGCCTTGCTCACCCTTGAAGTCCAGGGGGCCTCTGAGCCCAGCAGGGCCGGAGGGTGGCACATGGGGCTCGTCCTGGGGCCATGGGTGGGGAAGGCTGTGCCCCGATCAGATGCACCCCTGGAGCTCCTAGAAGGACCAAGGAGGTGGAGGGGCCGGACCTCCGGGCCGGGATGTTGTGGGTGGGGGCGGGTGGGGGTGAGCAGAGGATTCACGTGGCCAGGCAGGTTCTGAGCACCTACTGGGTGCCGGGCCGCAAAGCAGGAGGAGGTGCCCCCACAAACAAGAGGAAGCTGCAGCGTCGGTTTCCCAGGGTGCCCTGGCCCTTTGCCCAGTGGGGGTTTCCCTGGCTGCTCAGAGCCTTCCCAGAGGTCAGGCCAAGCCCAGCTCTCCCGAAGCCACCCCAGGGGCCATGGAGACGTCCCCTCCTTCCCAGAGGAGGTTCCCTGCCCGGCCTCGTGGGGGCATTGGACGCCTCAGAGAGGCGCAGAGGCTGGCCCAGCGCACACAACGAGGCAGCAGCAGTGCAGGGCCAGTCCCAGCTTCCACCAGGGCCCTCGCGAGGCCAAGAACTAGACCGTGAGTCCCCACTGAGCCCTGCTGCAGGCGGGGAACAGGCTGGGCGGTGAGGGGACCGATGTGCGGCAAGGGCCCTGAGGAGGCCAAGCACACGCCCGCCTCAGCCTCTGAGGAAGCCTCTCCACACTCTGCTAGGTGCTGGTAGGTGCCCAGGACCATGGAGGCAGCTCCATCTCCCCACCCCTGGGGGACCCTGGAGCCCCAGCCCCAGCCCCAGCCTGGCAGACAGCAGTGTGGCCCACAGGCTCCTTCCCCAGCACCACTGTGTGCCAGGAGCAGGGCAGCCTCCTGCGGTCCTGGGGCTCCGGGCACAGGGGCTGGTCTGGGGCTCCGGGCGCAGGGGCTGTGTGATCTGGGGCTCCGAGTGCAGGGGGCTGTGTGGTCTGGGGCTCCGGGTGCAGGGGGCTGTGTGGGCTGGGGCTCCGGGTGCAGGGGCTGGTCTGGGGCTCTGGGTTCAGGGGGCTGTGTGGTCTGGGGTTCCAGGCGCAGGGGCTGGTCTGGGGCTCCGGGTGCAGGGGGCTGGTCTGGGGTTCCGGGTGCAGGGGCTGTGTGGTCTGGGGCTCTGGGTGCAGGGAGCTGGCTGGTCTGGGGACGGGAGTGGACTCCGGTGGCAAAGGGCCTGCCTGCAAGGTGGAGGGTTGGACAAGTGTGCAGTTTTCCTTCATTTTCCTTTTCTGTCTTGACGAAGAGCCGGCGTTTTCTTGCTGCCGGGACAGACGCTGCCTTCATGACTCACGTGGCGGGGTCCTCGGCCTCCAGTTGGCCCATCTCACTTCTGTCCCCATCCTTGGTGTGTGGGGGGCGGGGACCCTCCCTCCTCCCCAACCCTGGAGGGCGGGGTGTTCCGCAGCTCCCTTCCCCAGCTCCCTCCAAGCCTGCTTGGCCAGGCTCCATGGCAACTGAGGCTGTACATCCAGGAATTCTCCCCCCCCCAGAGGGGCGGGCCAGCTCCATCCCTCCATCACCTCCCGTGGGGCGCTGGGATTGAGGGGCTGCCAGGCCCCTGGAGCTAGGGTGGGGGCTGAGGAGGGGCGGCAGCCAGCCCCAGGCCTGATGTAATTACTGCTAACAAAGTCTCCCTGGGGGTCTGGCTAAGGAGGGGGCCTGTGGGACAGGGAAGGACAGGCCCGGAGTCATTGTGGGGCCCCAGGGGTCCGTTTTCTCAGCCTTGACAAACAGCTCTGACAACGGAGCGCTTGAGCCTGGGCACTGGCCTCGGAGGGCTGGGAGAGGAGGTAGAGGCTGGGGCTCCGTTGCCGGCTCCACCCCAGGGGTACCCTTGAGACTGTCAGCTCTGGTGGTGAGCCCTGTCCTGGCTGCACTTGAGGCAAACAGTGAGGCCGCAGCCTGTCCTCCTGCCTCAGCCTGGGGAAGGCTGGGCCGGGCCAAAGAGGGAGGCCAAGTCCTTGGGACAGGAGGAGACCCACACCTGAGATTAGTGGAAACCCAGCCAGAAGCTGCCATGCAGGTGTGGCTCTGGGCATCAGGATCTGTCGTGAGAGCCCCCATGAGTGCCCAGTGCAGAATGGCTGGCAGCCCGCCCTGACGGGGAGCAGAGGGGCTGGACGCGGTGCCCTTCACGGGATGACACCCAGCTGTTTGCCCTGTGTCCAGGGGGTTGCTTCTCTGACAGAGGCCCTATGGCTCGTGTCTGACTCCTGTCCAGGTTCTGCCAGCCTGACCATCCATCGCTCTGGCACCAAGAGCCCACCCTTTTGTTCTTCCTGGCGTCCCAGGGAAAGCCCTGCCTGGGTGGGGCAGCTCCTGGCCCTTCAGATGGAAGACGCAGTCCAGTCAGCACCATCATAGGAAACAAGTTCAGAAATGTCTCACTTACTATTCCGGGCAGGGAGGGCGCCATGAGTCAGGGGGTGCATCCTCCCTCCTGGCGTCACCCGAGGCAGGAATGAAGAGTCAGGCAGAGAGCGCGCGTGTGGCAGCTGGTGGTGTAGATATTAGGGACTAGTGTGAATTCTAGTTCACCGGCCAATGCCTGGATGGTCCAGAGCTGGGTCGGCTGGGCGGAGAGCTGCCTCCAGGTTCCTGCCTCTGGCCCTGGCGTGGGGTCGACACTGGGTGTGGTGTGTGTCTCATGTCCAGGCAGTGGCCTTTGCTGTGCCGTCCTGTTACAGGAGCCAGGATGGTGGGGACGGGACCGGACCGGAGGGTTGGCGGGGCTGCCCCTGCAGCCGACAGCCCCATCCTGCAGCCACCAATGGCATGACCCAGGGCCCCGGCACTGCCTGTGTGAGGGGCTGGCAGCTTTCCAACTGCAGCAAGTGGAGGCCCCTGCCAGCTTCGGGCCTGTGGGCAGGGGCTCAGTGGGGCAGGGGTGTGGCTGCCCCGCCCGGCACGCCTGCACCTGTCTCCTCAGTGTGACCAGTACCGCAAGGGGATCATCTCGGGCTCCGTCTGCCAGGACCTGTGTGAGCTGCATATGGTGGAGTGGAGGACCTGCCTCTCGGTGGCCCCGGGCCAGCAGGTATAGCCACTGGCAGGGCGGGTGGGCCTGGGGCTGATACTGCCCGTGCAGTGGGAGGGGGATGTCTGCACGGAGGACCTCTGTGGCCCTGTCCAGGTGTACAGCGGGCTCTGGCGGGACAAGGATGTAACCATCAAGTGTGGCATTGAGGAGACCCTCGACTCCAAGGCCCGGTCGGATGCGGCCCCCCGGCGGGAGCTGGTACTGTTTGACAAGCCCACCCGGGGCACCTCCATCAAGGAATTCCGGGAGATGACCCTCAGCTTCCTCAAGGTCAGGCAGCTCTCCTAGGGGGCAGGGCAGGAGTCCACACCACGGTCATATGCCCAGCAGGCGGCCCTGGCACCAACATGCCCAGCGCAAAGGCACAGATGGGCCCAAGTGGACCCTGGGCAGACCTCCCATCCCCCAGCCCCTGGGCATGAGCCCTGCCAGGGAAGGAGCCTCTCCAGGGCTGGGGGCAAGGGTTGGGGGCGCCGGTGGGCTGGCAGCTGAGGTCGAGGGGAGGCTCCTGCAGTCAAGGGCCGTGTGTCCAGCAGGGCAGGTGCCCCGAATGGAGACCAGGGCTTGTGGAAAGGGGCCGCTTCCCAGGGCTTCAGCCAGTGCGTGCCCTCTGCCCTGTGCCGATTCTCATCCTCAGGGAAGCTCTGAGGCTTCTCTGCCCAGGTGCCCACCCCCGAGCTCCCCAGGTGCACCCAAGGCTGCCAGGAGGCGGGAGGTCTGTCTGGCAGCAGCCACACAGGCCAGCAGAGTGAGCTGACACATTGCTGGCTGCGTCCTCCACCCGTGTAGCTGTGGGCTGGGACCCCTAACCTGGCAGATGTGCTGGTCTGGCCGGCAGACCACCCCGCCAGGAGGACCAGGTAAAGGCCAGGTCGTGCTCCCAGACATCAAATCAGCTGGCTTTTCCTTTCTTTTGGTCCCAAACGCCAGGCGAACCTGGGAGACCTGCCTTCCCTGCCGGCGCTGGTTGGCCAGGTCCTGCTCATGGCTGACTTCAACAAGGACAACCGGGTGTCCCTGGCGGAAGCCAAGTCCGTGTGGGCCCTGCTGCAGCGTAACGAGTTCCTGCTGCTGCTGTCCCTGCAGGAGAAGGAGCACGCCTCCAGACTGCTGGGCTACTGTGGGGACCTCTACCTCACCGAGGGCGTGCCGCATGGCGCCTGGCACGCGGCCGCCCTTCCACCCCTGTTGCGCCCACTGCTGCCGCCTGCCCTGCAGGGTGCTCTCCAGCAGTGGCTGGGGCCTGCGTGGCCTTGGCGGGCCAAGATCGCCATCGGCCTGCTGGAGTTCGTGGAGGAGCTCTTCCACGGCTCTTACGGGACTTTCTACATGTGTGAGACCACACTGGCCAACGTGGGCTACACAGCCACCTACGACTTCAAGATGGCCGACCTGCAGCAGGTGGCACCCGAGGCCACCGTGCGCCGCTTCCTGCAGGGCCGCCGCTGCGAGCACAGCACCGACTGCACCTACGGGCGCGACTGCAGGGCCCCGTGTGACAGGCTCATGAGGCAGTGCAAGGGCGACCTCATCCAGCCCAACCTGGCCAAGGTGTGCGCACTGCTACGGGGCTACCTGCTGCCTGGCGCGCCCGCCGACCTCCGCGAGGAGCTGGGCACACAGCTGCGCACCTGTACCACGCTGAGCGGGCTGGCCAGCCAGGTGGAGGCCCATCACTCGCTGGTGCTCAGCCACCTCAAGACTCTGCTCTGGAAGAAGATCTCCAACACCAAGTACTCTTGATGGGGCAGTGAGGGGCCTGGCCACCCTTCCTGGAGCTGGCCAGGTGCCAGGGTCCAACCCTCCCTCAAGGAATCCTGTCAGAAGATGTGAAATGCAACTGTGTTGCAAAATCACTCCCCTACCGTCAGGGCTCTGGATTCCAGCACCACAGACATGAGACCCCAGCTCGGAGCAAAGGCGGACATGGACATCCCGGCAGGAGAGTCCTCCAAGGGGGTTTGTTACTCTGAAGAACGTAATGTCAATAAACAGCTTTTATGTAATGCCCAGGGCTGAGCACCCTGAGCCCCCATCGATGCTGTGTGTGGGACCCTTCGCCCCGCTGTGGATCCACCCAGCCCAGGCACTCAGGCTGGGGTTGAGCCCCTGAATCCTTCCTGGCGAGGCAGCCCTCAGGTGTTAGTCCAAGGTGAGGTCTATTGCAGAGCTGCCTGCCCTTCAACCCACACACACCTCTGAAGCCGCCAGGGCAGTTCCCCAAACACAGCGGCTTCTGAAACAGTCAATGACCAGTACCCCCCAAACCTGGGCTGTGCACAACAGACCAAGAAAAAGGTGTTCCAGTAAGAAAACAGATATATGCGGTATTTTAAAAACTGATTTTACAAAATCCAGCCATGAGATGTACAACTCATTCCCTAGGAAACAGCCCAGGAATGGCCATCTTCTCCAGCCCCGTACGCTCTCCCCAGTAGCCCAGGGCACCCAGCAACCATCCCCTAGGAGAACAGGCAAGGACCCTCGTGGGAAGATCCCACCACAGCAACACCTTTCTTCAGGGCGGGCTCTGCTCCGCAATGTGTGAGTCAAGACAATCCATTCCATTCAAGACCAATTTACTCTCAAATTTTGCCAACACAGAAATATTATCCTTAAAGAAATGTGCATTTAAATCTTTTAATTCACTTCATCCTGTATTTTAAAATAAATGTTTTCCATATAGATTTTCCCCTTGGGGGGGAAAAGAATTCAGGGTCTTAGGTTCCAGGCAGTTCAAAAACAGCCACGCGGTTCTTTTTTCTCCACCAGAATACCACAATAGCAGAACTTAAGAATCGGGATATGAAAAGGGAGGCGTGGTCCTGGCAGTGGCCCCTGGCCGGCAGGAATACACAGCAACACCCAGGCAGGGGCAGCGGCTGCCCCCATGCCAGCCTGCCCATCCCTGTAATGACAGCAGGGCAGGAGATGCAGCTGTGGCCCTGGGGGCAGGTGGGCTCTGAGGCTGCAAACACCCTGAGTGCCAGTGGTCCCAGAGGGGGTGAGGCCTCTATCTGTACCTTTATTCCAGCCAGCCTCCTGGCACAGGGCTGGGCCCACATCCTGGCCTCTGCATCTGAAAAACAAACAAGGACAGTGATGCAGACCAGGGTTCTTTAACCCGGATTCACCAAATGACCCTCAGGGAACCCAATTTATGAAATCCCGAAACTGTACTTTTTTTTTTTTTTTTTTTTTTGAGACAGAGTCCCACTCTGTTGTCCAGGCTGGAGTGCAGTGGTGCGATCTCGGCTCACTGCAACCTCTGCCTCCCGGGTTCAAGCGATTCTCCTGCCTCAGCCTCCCAAATAGCTGGGATTACAGGCTTGCGCCACCACACCTGGCTAATTTTTGTATTTTTAGTAGAGATGGGGTTTCAGGCAGTTGGCCAGGCTGGTCTCGAACTCCTGACCTCAGGTGATCCACATGCATTGGCCTCCCAGAGTGCTGGGATTACAGGCCTGAGCCACCGCGCCAGGCCTCCAGAAAGTGTATTTTGAAGTTATCTTTCTTGATACTGTCTCTTAGCAGGAGTCTGACACTGGCACTGCTGACATTTGGGCCACATCACTCTTCACTACGGGGCGTCCCAGGCACTGCAGGACATGCAGCTGCGTCTTTGGCCTCTGTACCCCCATTGCTACCCATTTTGGGGAGAGGATTCCTGTTTCCAAAGTGACCCAGACACATCTCTGGGCAAGGCAGCTCCTGACCCCTACCCAGGGCCCTTCCTTTGTGCACAGGAGTTGCAGCCCCGCCCCCGCCCCCCTGGGATGACTAGTGCTGGACAAGGAACAGCCTGTTTATCCAGCTCGACTGTTCTTAATCAAACTTGCCTAAGGCCTCCCAGACAGACCTACAGAATCGTTTCCAGAACGAGGCCTGGGAGTGAGACGCACACTCCTGGTAACCCCACAAGTGCCCGAGCTTCAGATACACACACAGCTCATTTATACATATCTACACCTCAGGGTTCCCAGCGATGTTGCTGCCCCTCCCTCATGGAGCAAACCAGGTAAGGTGGTTTCCAAAAGCGAAAATCCAAATGCTGCCTGGCTTTGGTTGCAAGTAATGTCAGGCCATAAACCATTCTCAGTGCCCACTGGTTCCCGAGCACTGAGTGTAGAAATCGCCACTTTCTCTTTGCCCCGAGGCCACAGGCACAGCAGAGCAACTGTCTGTGGTGCCAACAGGTCCAGGACAGCATCCGCAGGGCAGCCGCTCACACGCACCCGGCAGGCAGGGAAGGAGGGCAAGCCTCCGCCTCACCTCTTACCTGGATCAGGGCTGGTGCTGGTCAGCCTGGTCACTCTGGCCAGTGCTCACACTGGAAGTCCATCACAGGCGAAGTCACCTCCTTCCCGTGTTAAATAACAAGAATGCTTGGCAAAGAATCAAGAACACAAGCGGCTGCCGTTACTGCTATTAACCGAGACGCCAGCAAACCCTTCCCCAGTCCTGTCCTGCGTGATCCTGACACGGTGTACGGCATGATCCAGCGCGTACCTCACCTGACCTGACCGATCCTCACAGGTTCTTAAAACTCACTCATGAAGGCTGCTCCTGGTGAAGGCACCCTCCACCTTCCCACTATCCCTTCAGACCCCTAGAGGCCAGCCTAGCCCAGCGCGAGAGTTAGAAAGCCCACTCACAGGGCCCACCCTCTCTCCCAGATACCAGCGAAGGAAAACAGATGCCTGTCCACAAAACAGGAGTGTGAGACTATCAAACATTCAAACGTTCACGGGGCAGAACGCTGAGCGTAGACATAGCCTCTCTAATCTCTGCCACCTAATGACACAGATGTGACACGGCAGCCACAGCTGCAACGCCTCTAGGGGCAGTGTCCTGTTGAAGACTAAATAATCCGTTTTTACTCCCCTGGAGACAGCTTCTAGCCTCAATGTGAACACAAGACCGACTGGTCCCTCCAGTCACTTAAGATGTTGCACAGGAGGGCTTAGTTACATTGGAGGATTGACCCTGTTCCAGCTCCAATGCACCAACTTACCCAACACCCCACGCACGTGTCATCTCCAGTGAGCAGACGTCCTAGAGAAAAAAAGAAACCGCAATTTTGTATAAATCTTGCAAACACCACAGAGGAGCATCACATAAACACTGCGTTTTTTGGGAGGCCGAGGCGGGCAGATCACTTGAGGTCAGGAGTTCAAAACCAGCCTGGCCAACACGGTGAAACCCGTCTCTCTAAAAAAAAAAAAAAAAAAAGTTAGCTGGCCTAGTGGCTGGCGCCTGTAATCCCAGCTACTCTGGAGGCTGAAGCAGGAAAGTCGCTTGAACCCAGGAGGCAGAGGTGGTAGTGAGCTGAGATCGCGCCACTGCACTCCAGCCTGGGCAACTGAGACTCTGTCTCGAAAAGAAAAAGACTGCGTTTTGCTGCATCTGGTCTCCAGGAAGGCGGACCAAAGAAGCTCCCTGCCACCAAAAAGCTCACTGTCACAAGGGCCGTTCTAGAAAAATCCGACCCATGTTACTCTCTCCCCTTACTCTACGCTTAATTTGCGGGAGGGGAAGTTGGAGTTACAACACAGTGGCCACGAAACGCGGGCTGCTGATCCCCTGCAGGTATCAAGGGACCAGGACCACGAGGCGGAATGCCCACCAGACAACCGAGCAGTCCTCCTCCCGCCAGAACAGCCTCCCGCTGAGCAGCCACAGTGACAAGGAAACCACCTGACGCAGCATAAGAAATCAATTTTTCAAAGATGCCGACAAACATCTTCCCACAGCCTGAGCGACTCAGGGAAGCAGCGGCAGGAGCGGAAGGGTCGTGGGTGAACGGGGTGCCTTTCTCTAAGATCCGAATTCGCGCACTCAGCTCTCACCAGGCTTCCCGAAGCTTCCTGGCTGGAAACCGCGCAGGGCCGGCAGCGCCCTCTCCACCAAGGGACACACCAGCGGCGCCTCCTCCGCGGCCCGGGCCCCCATCCCGCGGCTCGCGCGGCCAGGACGCCCCAGGTCGGAGCCTGCCCCCACCCCGCACCCGGAGGCCAGCAGCCCAGTCCCCTAGGCCGCGCAGCGCCAGCGAGAGCGAGGCTGCAGGGCGAGGCCCGGTGAGGCGCTCGAGAACTGGCCGGGAGGAGAAGTCAGGCGGCCCACCCGCCACGGCAGCCTCCGGCGCACGCAGAGGACGAGAAGGGAAGCGCCGCGCCTTTTATAGCGCGTACGGCGGCCCGCAAGAGTCAATCCGCCCCGCCCAAGCAGCGCCCCCCAGCGGTCCCCGGCCGTTCAGCTCCCCGCGCCCGCACGTGGGCGCTGCTCAGTGGCTGGCGGGCGGGCGTGTGGGTTCGCCACGCAGAGCAGCGGCAGCGCCGTGACCCGTGTCCTGCACCGCGACCGCCCCACGGGGCCAGCAGCCAGGGCCGCGCCGTTTCCGACCCGCCGGGTGCCGGGCACGCCACGGACACGCGCGGCTCCCCGTTTTCGCGGAGGATTCCCAGGCCGGGTCAGGAGGACGCTCCACGAGCCCGTGGGTCCCGGTGGTCCCAGCCATTGGGGCGGCTCCCGTGACTGTCGAGCAGCGCCCACCCCGGGCAGCATGGGGCTCCCGCGACGCGCTCCGTCCCTTCCCCACCAGGGGCTCTGCCGGTGTCGGCCATGGGCGCGGGTACACACCAGGCGCCTAATGAGTGCTGAGGCGGGCGAGGGTCCCGGCAGGCGGGATTACCGCGGCCAGGCCTGACTAGCGCCCTGTCTGCGCTGTGTCCTGGGACCTCGGTCACCGCGCAGGGCGGGACACCGAGGCCTCGCGGCCAAGCGACTCGCCGCGGTCGCCGGGCTGCGAACGGTGGAGCCGCCGGGACTCGGACCAGGACGCGAGCTCCAGAGCAGGGGATGACAGGCCTGAGCCGCAGGGGCCGGGAGGAAGGCCGCGCTGCTGTCCTGGGGCTGGGCAGCCTCCGCATTGCACAGCGCAGACCGCTCTAGCCTTAGGCCTGGAGGGGACACCAGGAGATGAGGCTTCTGGCTCAGCCTGCTCTCTGCAGCCACAGGCAAAGGCCAGGAAGGCCGGGGTGCGGGAGCTGGCATAGGAGCTGGCTCCAGCTCGGGTACTGGCTTAGAGGGAGCAGGAGCTGGTGATAAATTCAACTCAAATTTTCATTGCCTTTGCAAAGCCAGAAAACACCCCAGGGCTCCTAAGAAAAGCCCCAGCGCAGGACCCCAGGACACTTTGCAACTGGGCTGCAACTGCGCGGTCTGAGGCTCCTCCCTGTGTGGCCCCACCAGCAGGCTGGGTTCTAGCTCTGGTGTTGGGGCTGGAGCTGGCACCACAGCAGGCTCCACCTCCAGAGATGGTGCAGGCTCTGTCCTAGCACTGACACGGTTGTTGGAGACAAGCTGGCTCTGCCCCGGGGACCGATGCTCTGGAGCTGCCTCTAGCTGTGTTGCTGTTGCTAGTCTTTGCCCTGGGAAAAGTGTCAGAGCTGGTCCTAGCTCTGGATATGGTGCTAGAGCTGGTTCTTGATTGGATTTCGCTCTAGAGCTGGCAGGAACTCTGGCTCTCGTTCTGAAGCTGGTGCAGGTCTGAGATGGCTGTAGCTCTGGAGCTGCCTCTAATTCTGGTTCTGGTTGTGGAATCAGCCATCGCTTTATATCTGGTGCCAGCTCTGGCTCTGGAGGTGGTGCTGCAGCTGGCCCTTCCTCTGAACCTGGCACTGGCTTGAGGTCTACACCTGGAACTGGCTGAAACTCTGGAAGTGGTTTTGGAGCCGGTGCCCGAGCAGTCACCGGAGGTGGCACCAGATTTGGTGATAGAGCTGCCTCTGTTTCTGGAGTAGGTGGTAGAGCTGGTGCGGCAGCTGGAGTGAGATCTGGAGTTGTGCTGGCTGTGGCCATAGTTCTTGAGCTGGTACAGGAACCCGCACTGGTGTGAGCCGCGGTGCTGAAGCTGGGCCTGTAGCTGATGCTGGCCCTGGCTCTTTTTCTGAACCTGATGCTGATATTTGGCCCTAACCATGCAAATGGTTTTGGAACTGGTCCTGGCTAGAGGGCGGATGCTGGAGCTATAGTGGAGCCGGCACAGAAGTGACCAGAGCTGCCCCTGTCTCTGGGTGTGCTGCTGGAGCTGTTGCTGGAGCTGGCTCTGATCCTGGAACTAGCACCCGAGTTGTAGCCGGAGCTGGCTCTACCTTCTGAGCTGGTGCAGGAGTTGGCTGTAGCTCTGTAGCTAGTGAAAGCTCTAGCTGTGGAGAGAGGGCAAGAGACATCTCCTCCTTCAGAGATACTGAGTCCATTGCACCCGACCCAGCACTTGCTCCATGCTGCGGGGTAGATCTACCAAGCACTTACTGAAACCAGTATGCATAGCCCCGGAGCAGACCATGACCTGCTGAGACCCAGGAGAGGACCTGAGCCCCAGCACCTGAGAGAGGAGCTACCCCATGACAGTGGGGTACTTAGAAGGTGGAGATGTCACATCCCCTGCCCCAGGTCACATGACAGAGGTCAGAGGGTAGGTAGATGGCACTTCTGTGCAGGTCAGCCCAGGCTAGGTGCGGTGGCTCACGCCTGTAAGGCCAACACTTTGGGAGGCTGAGGCGGGCGGATCACCTGAGGTCAGGAGTTCATGACCATCCTGGCCAACATGGTGAAACCCTGTCTCTACTAAAAATACAAAAATTAGCCGGGCATAGTGACGCAACCCTGTAATCCCAGCTACTTGGGAGGCTGAGGTGGGAGAATGGCGTGAACCCGGGAGGCGGAGTTTGCAGTGAGCCAAGATCGAGCCTTTGCACTCCAGCCTGGGCGACAGAGCGTCTCAAAAAAACAAAAAAAAAAATTCTGGAGAAGATGATGGGGGTGATGGTCGCACGACAATGTGAATGTACTTAATGCCACTGGAGTGTGCACTTAAAAATGGTTAGGGCAGGCCGGGCGCAGTGGCTCATGTCTGTAATCCCAGCACTTTGGGAGGCCGAAGTTGGGCGTATCACCTGAGGTCGGGAGTTTGAGACCATCCTGACCAACATGGAGAAACGCCATCTCTACTAAAAATACAAAATTCGCCGAGCGTGGTGGTGCATGCCCGTAATCCTGCTACCTGGGAGCTGAGGCAGGAGAATCGCTTGAACCCGGGAGGCAGAGGTTGTGGTGAGCCGAGATCCAGCCATTGCACTCCAGCCTGGGGAACAGAGCGAGACTTTGTCTCAAAAAAAAAAGGTTAAGGCCAGGCCGGGTGTGGTGGCTCACGCCTGTAATCCCAGTCCTTTGAGAGGTCAAGGTGGGCAGATTGCTTGAGGCCAGGAGTTCCAGACCAGCCTGGGCAACACGGTGAAAATTAGCTGGACAAAATTAGCCAGGCATAGTCTGTAATCCTAGCTACTCAGGTGGCTGAGGTGGGAGGATCCTTTGAGCCCAGGAGTTGGGGGCTGCAGTGACCTGTGATTGTGTCACTGCACTCCAGCCTGGATAACAGAGACAGAACCTGTCTAAAAAAAAAAAAAAGGTTAAAACGGTGAATTTTATGTTCTGTATATTTTACTGCAATAAAAAATTTAAGGAAATTATTTATTTACTGCCTTAGTTTATTTGTGCTGCTATAACAAAATACCTGGGACTGGGTAAATTATAAAGAACAGAACAGTTCTGGAGGCTGGGAGGTCTGGGAACAAGGTGAGTGTCTGGCGTCTGGTAAGGGCCTTCTTGCTCTGTCCCGTAGCAGCAGAGCAGCCTAGCAGGATGCTGCTTCAGAAGGGCCTTCATCCCATTCACACGGGAGGAGACCTCATGGCCTAATCGCCTCTTCAAAGGCCCCACCTCTTGATATGTTCACACTGGCAACATCTGAATTTTGGAGAGGACACATTCAAACCACAGAACTTACCATTCAAAACAAAATAGAAGCCCACCAGGCGCGGTGGCTCACGCCTGTAACCCCAGAACTTTGGGAGGCCAAGGTGGGTGGATCACCTGAGGTCAGGGGTTCAAGACCAGCTTGGTCAATGTAGTGAAACCCCATCTTTACAAAAATACAAAAATTAGCCAGGCATGATAGTGGGTGCCTATAATCCAAGCTACACAGGAGGCTGAGGTGGGAGAATCACTTGAACCCAGGAGGCGGAGTTTGCAGCGAGCTGAGATTGTGCCACTGCACTCTGGCCTGGGCAACAGAGTGAGACACCGTCTCAAAAAAATTTTAAAAAAATTTAAAAACCCAACCAAAGAGGCCTGGCGCAGTGGCTCACGCCTGTAATCCCAGTACTTTGGGAGGCTGAGGCGGGTGGATCACCTGAGGTCAGGAGTTCGAGACCAGCCTGGCCAACATGGGGAAACCCCATCTCTACTAAAAATGCAAAAATCAGCTGGGCATGATGGTGCGCACCTATAATCCCAGCTACTCAGGAGGCTGAGGCAGGAGAATCACTTGAACCTGGGAGGCAGAGGTTGCAGTGAGCAGATATTGTGCCACTGCATGCACTCCAGCCTGGGCGGCAGACTGAGACTCCCTCTCAAAAAAAAAAAAAAAAAAAAAACCAAAACAAACAAAACAAAAGTGACAGCAACAGACAGCCCGCAGTCTCAGAACACCCACACTCTGTGACGACTCAGAATTTCTTCCAGACTTCACGGATCACCATTCTGGATAAAACAACAAATCAACTAAACGTGGACGCCTTCCCCTCCCTGCTTTGGCTGCCTTGTGGACACAGGTTCACACCAAGGTCATTACCAAGGGTTTGCATCCCCCCCAAGCTCTCCCCCCCACCCCCCGCCACACCCCTGAGGGTTGGGACATTCTGGAATTGCTTTGTTGATTGGCGCTGATGAGGAGGGCTTTGAAGGAGCCGTGTGAACATCCTTCAGGTCAAGGCCTGGGCGAAGCTGGCCCTGAGGCTGGAAGACATTCCTGGAGAAAATGCAGGGGCTCCTGGCCCCTACACGAAGTCCAAATGCAGAGGGCTGTGAAGTGGGCGGTGGGTGTGGGAGTGGGAAGGTGGAGGTGTCACGCCCCTGCCCCAGGTCACGTGACAGAGGTGGAAGGGTAAGTACAAGTCAGAGTACCCAGTGGAGCCCTGCAGGGCTGCTGGCGAGTGCTGCTGGGGCTGCAGAGTGTGTGAAGCCAGGCACCCCAGGACGTTTTGGGCATGAACAGGGATCAGGCCCCCATGGGGAAGGGGAGAGTGCTGGGGAAGTCTGACCCTGGTGGGGGCAGATCGGGGGAAGGTGACTGTGCAGGGCTGAACACTGTCATTCCACCTGAACCTGTGAGCATGACCGTGTGTGGAATAGTGTGTCCGGGTGCAGCTGCTCACACCTGTAACCCCAGCACTTTGGGAAATCAAGCTGGGAGGATAGCTTGAGCCCAGGAGTTCGAGACCAGCCCAGGCAACATAGAAAGACCCTGGCTCTACAAAAAATAAAAACAAATTAGCTGGGTGTCGTGCTGCACACTCATCCCAGCTACTCGGGAGGCTGAGGTAGGAGGATCGATTGAGCCCAGGAGGTCGAGGCTGGAGTGAGCCATGATTGTGCCACAGCCCTCCAGCCTGGGCGACAGAGTGAGACCCTGTCTCAAAAAAACAAATCGAAAGACAAAATAAGGTCCTAGATCCAACGACTGCTGAGAAGAGGGGGGCTGGCCACAGCAGACAAGGCCTCCGGAGGGCGGGGGCAGTGATGGCAGAGGTGCAGCCCCAGCCCCAGAACACCCAGACCTACCAGCACCGCCCGCGGCTGGAAGAGACAGGAAAGAGCCTCCTTCAGTGCCTTCGGAGGAGCGTGACCCTGCAACACCTGGGTCTGGACTTGGAGCCTCTAGAACTGAGAATGAGCTTCTGATATCCCCAGTTTGCAGGGCTGGGGCGTGCCAGGACCTCCCACAGCTGGTGGCCGTTCACAGTGCAGGCCTGATCTGGGGCTGCAGACACACTCAGCCTGACCCCACGGTCCACCTGGTTTTCGTCAGCTGGAGGTTGGCCCTTCCTATCTGTAGGGTCCAGCCCCACAGGGTCGGTGGGTTTTCCTCCTCGTGTGTGCAGACGAGAAATTGTAGAAATAAAGACGCGAGACAGATAAAAGAAAAGACAGCTGGGCCCGGGGGATCACTACCACCAAGACGCGGAGACCGGTAGTGGCCCGAATGCCAGGCTGCGCTGATATCTATTGGATACAAGATAAAGGGGCAGGGTAAAGAGTGTGAGCCATCTCCAATGATAGGTAATGTCACGTGGGTCATGTGTCCACTGGACGGGGCCCTTCCCTGCTTGGCAGCCGAGGCAGAGAGAGGGAGAGGAGACAGAGAGAGAGACAGCTTACGCCATTATTTCTGCATATCAGAGACTTTTAGTACTTTCACTAATTGACTACTGCTATCTAGAAGGCAGAGCCAGGTGTACAGGATGGAACATGAAGGCAGACAAGGAGCGTGACCACTGAAGCACAGCATCACAGGGAGACGGTTAGGCCTCTGGATAACCACGGGCGGGTCTGACTGATGTCAGGTCCTCCACAGGAGGTGGAGGAGCAGAGTCTTCTCTAAACTCGCCCGGGGAAAGGGAGACTCCCTTTCCCTGTCTGCTAAGTAGCAGGTGTTTTTCCTTGACACTGATGCTACCGCTAGATCATGGTCCGCTTGGCAACAGGTGTCTTCCCAGACGCTGGCATCACCGCTAGACCAAGGAGCCTTCTGGTGGCCCTGTCAGGGTGTAACAGAAGGCTCGCACTCTTGTCTTCTGGTCACTCCTCACTATGTCCCCTCAGCTCCTATCTCTGTATGGCCTGGTTTTTCCTAGGTTGTGATTATAGAGTGAGGATTATTATAATATTGGAATAAAGAGTAATTGCTATAAACTAATGATTAATGATATTCATATATAATATGTCTATGATCTAGATCTAGTATGACTCTTGTTGTTTGATATATTTTATTAAACTGGAACAGCTCGTGCCCTCAGTCTCTTGCATCGGCACCTAGATGGCTTGCCGCCGACACTTACCCAGTTCTTTGAAACTGTTAGGGCTTTTGCTTAACAGAAAGCAGAAAGATGACTCAGCCATGTGCAGTGAAAAAGCCGTCAGCCCCAATTGGTGACTCTGGGTCTTTAAACACCTTCCATGGGGCCACACAGGTGCCCAGCCCCATGCCAGAACCTTTGGGAATTGCAGACTCTGACCAAAACTGTGGGGCTCTCGCAAGAGCCTCAGGCCACTCCCTGCTGCCTTTCGTCCCCAACCTGGACCTCAGAGGCCCAGTGAAGTGACCATTGTAACTCCAGGACAGAACTGCACAGGGCCCTCGGGAGGTGGGGGGTGTCCAGGAGCACTGGCCAGCCCCATCGGCCCGGCCGCAGCTGTCTCTGCTGCCAGCCAGCAAGGATGTCCACAGGCTGTGGGCTCACCGGGGGTTCATCTGTAGCAGACACACCTATGGGCTCCCCCAGATTTTTTTTTTGGTTTTTTTGAGACAGAGTCTCTCTCTGTCACCCAGGCTGGAGTGCAGTGGCACGATCTCTGCTCACTATAGCCTCCACCTCCTGGGTTCAAGCGATTCTCCTGCCTCAGCGTCCCAAGTAGCTGAGATTACAGGCATGCACCACCACGCCCGGCTAACTTTTGTATTTTTAGTAGAGAGGAGGTTTCACCATGTTGGCCAGGCTGGTCTCAAACTCCTGACCTCAGGTGATACACCTACCTGTGCCTCCCTTCCAAAGTGCTGGGATTACAGGCGTGAGCCACTGTGCCCGGCCTCCCCTGGATTCTTGTTCTCATCTTCCTCCAGAGAGAACCCTGGCCATGCCACTGCCTCTGAAATGGGGGTCAGGGAAATGGTGTTGTCTGGGAAGCAGCTGAGGCTATGGTGTCTCTGAGGCTCACTCCAGGGCCACAGAGTGGGCCTAACCCACAGGGCTGTGTGTGATGAAAGGGCATCATAGACCGCACGGGCCCTGTGGAGGGTGGAGGGTGGTACCCACAGAACCGTCAGCAATTCTGACCCACCAGGTGGCACGCTGCGGAGGGAGGTGCACTGGCACGGGTGGTGTGTACGCGTCTAACCCCTCCTGCTGCCCCTCCCTCCCTGCCCGTGGGACCCCAAGTGCTCCCCTCTCCCCATTCTCCCAGCTCCTTCCCTTCTTCCTTCTTCTCCTCCCCACTGACAGGATTGAGTTGTGGAAATGGCTGCTTCCCTGGGCCCAGGGAAGGGGGGCGCAGAGCCCGAGCCCCCGGGACAGAGCCAGGCCCAGGGAAGGGGGGCGCAGAGCCCGAGCCCCCGGGACAGAGCCATTGCCCTCACCCTGGTGAATGGGTGGTTCAGAGGCCCACACTCGGGGTTCTCAAGGCCGGACAGCAGTTTGGGGCTCCTGCTCAGCTCGTGTCCTGCCTCTGCAGCCAGCCTGCGTGAGGGAGCAGAGACATCGAAGGGGGGCCGGGGAGCCTGGGCCCACCTCTCCATGACTGTGCCTTGGCCTGGGATTCTGGAAGAAGTAGTCACGTCTCTGCCACTCTTTAATGTTTTTTGAGACAGGGTCTCCTCTCTCACCCAGGCTGGAGTGCAGTGGTGCAATCGGCTCACAGCAGCCTTGACCCCCTGGGCTCCAGCCATCCTCCCACCTCAGCCTCCTGAGGAGCGGTCACCACGAGTGCGTGCACCACACCTGCTACATCTAAATCCTGGAGTTTCTTTCTTTCTTTCTTTCTTTTTTTTTTTTTTTGAGACAGAGCCTTGCTCTGTTACCCAGGCTGGAGTGCAGTGGCATGATTTCAGCTCACTGCAACCTCGACCTCCCAGGTTCAAGTGATTCTCCTGCCTCAGCCTCCCGAGTAGCTGGGATTACAGGTACCTGCCACTATGCCTGGCTAATTTTTGTATTTTAAGTAGAGACGGGGTTTCACCATGTTGGCCAGGCTGGTCTCAAACTTGTGACCTCGTGATCCGCCCGCCTGGGCCTCCCAAAGTGCTGGGATTACAGGCGTGAGCCACCACACCCAGCCTGTATTTTTTTTTTTTTTTTGAGCTAGAGTCTTGCTCTGTCGCCCAGTGGAGTGCAGTGGAGCGATCTCGGTTCACTGCAGCCTCTGCTGCCTGGGTTCAAGCGATTCTCCTGCCTTAGCCTCCCGAGTAGCTGGGATTACAGGCACCCGCCACCGCACCTGGCTGATTTTTGTTTTTTTTAGTAGAGACAGGGTTTCAGCATCTTGGCCAGGCTGGTCTTGAAATCCTGACCTCGTGATACACCCATCTCGGCCTCCCAAAGTGCTGGGATTACAGGTGTGAGCCACCATGCCCGGCTGTATTTTTTTTTTTTTTTTTTTGAGATGGAATTTCACTCTCGTTGCCCAGGCTGGAGTGCAATGGCATGATCTCGGCTCACCACAACCTCCGCCTCCCGGGTTCAAGCTACTCTCCTGCCTCAGCCTCCCGAGTAGCTGGGATTATAGGCATGTGCCACCACGCATGGCTAACTTTGTATTTTTAGTAGAGACAGTTTTTCTCTATGTTGGTCAGGCTGGTCTCGAACCCCTGAACTCAAGTGATTCACCTGGTTCAGCCCCCCAAAGTGCTGGGATTACAGGCGCCCAGCCTTTTATATATATGTCATAATATATACTATATATATATAATATTATATTATATTATATTATATATTATATATATATCTCATATATATATATATAATTTTTTTTGAGACAGAGTCTCGCTCTGTCACCAGGCTGGAGTGCAATGGTGTGATCTCAGCTCACTGCAACCTCCGCCTCCTGGGTTCAAGCAATTCTTCTGCCTCAGCCTCCTGAATAGTTGGGATTACAGGCGTGTACCACCACGTTTGGCTAATTTTTTGTATTTTTTAACAGAGACGGGGTTTCACCATATTGGCCAGGATGGTCTCGATTGCTTGACCTCATGATCCGCCCGTTTCAGCCTCCCAAAGTGCTGGGATTACAGGTGTGAGCCACCATGCCTGGCATATATATATGTTTTTTGAGACAGTCTCACTCTGTTGCCCGGGCTGGAGTGCAGTGGCACGATCCTGACTCACTCAACCTCCCAGGCTCAAGCAATCCTCCCACCTTAGCCTCCTGAGTAGCTAGGACTACAGGCGCCCACCACCACGCTCAGCTAATTTTTGTATTTTTTGTAGAGATGAAGTCTCAACATGTTGCCCGGGCTCCAAACTACTTTTTTGCACACAGGAGAGCTTTATTTCTCATAAGAGATTGCAGCCAGCAGGGCAGCCCTTCTGACAGGCTAGGAAGCGTAGCCTCAGGCCAGAAGCCTGGAACAGACACTTGGAGGGGAGGGACAGAGGGGACAGGAATTTACGCTGAAGGAGATGGCCAAATAGAGATGTTCAATAAGCTTCAGGAGGAGTCATGAATATTCATGAAAGGAGAAGCGTGTACTGGTCCAGCTGAGCAAATTCTCCATGGACTGCCCAGAACCAATCTCTGATCTCTTCTCGGGCCAGAAGGAGGGGCTGACCCCTTACCCCGTCATGGCTGAGGACTCGGGTTCAGGGTTTCTTTGGGATCCCCTTGGCCAGAAGAAGGTCCATTCATTCAGTTGGGGGGTTCATCTCAGACAACCTCCCGTCATCACCCCTTGAGTGAGACCTAAGCCTTCACCGCAGCCTTCGAGGTGCCGTGGTCTGGTGGGCCCCCTCCTGCTCCTCTGTGGCTCTCCCCGCCGCCATTCTGATACTGGCGTCCCCAATCTCCTTGAGAAACCATTTTCTCTACTCTGATGTCTTTTCAGAAGTCACATCCTGTTCTGGGGATGCACCCCTGCTCCTCCAGCCCCACCCAAACTGACTTAACACCCACCACCCTTCCCAGGTCAGCCCAAATGCCACTTCCCCCAGGAAGCTCTCCCTGATGCTGCCCTGGATGGAATGAGTCAGACCTGCTGTTGTGGGGCCCTGGCCGCGCCTAGATACACTTCTAGGGTCTATACTCGAGTATCCAGGTGATCTAGGGTCTATACTCGAGTATCCAGGTGACCACACTGCTGAAGTTGGCTTCTCCTGATCAGGCATCAACTCTGGGACTGCGTTTGCCGATTCTGTTCCCTAACGCAGCCGCAGGGGCCAGCACGCTGCCTGGCACGTCATGGGGGCTCCTCCATGTTGGGTGGATATGCGAACGGCTTCCTGAGAAAGTGCAGGATGTAAAGGAACGCGGAGGGTGGCGGCGGCGTGGAGGGCAGAGGCAAGGCACACGGCGAGGACTGCGTTGGGCCGGCCTGTGGTCTGTTTCACAGCAGACAGGGAATAGCAGCAGCCTGCAGTGTGCTCCAGAAGACAGTGGGGAAGGGGCCTGGCTGACATCTCGCCACCCGGTCAGCCTGTATCCTCCTTCCCCCATCTTTCTGTGATCATAAAGGATCCCTTGAGCCACTTGATTTTCACACTGTCAATGACCTAGAGTCACCAAACACCTCTCAACAAGCCGTGGTCTCCACTTGACATCTGGAACAACGCTCCTCGGGTCTGGGAGGACCACGCGTCGAAAGGGAAGAGCAGAGGACGCTGGCTCTCATGGCAGGATGGTGTGTGTACGGGACGCTGTGGGAGAGGAAAACAGCCACATGTGGGCTGGCTGCTTGGAGGAGACACATGAGCCGTGAACACGTCTCCCCCGGCCGCTCCCTGGTTCCATGCGTGCTCGTCTTGGGCACCACGAGAACACAGCCATGCAGCCCCCGATCCTGCAGCCACAGCCACGGCATCGCCTGGTCGGATGCAGCATCTGCTCCGGACGCCTCTCGCTGTCGGTGCCAGGCCTGCCAGGCCAAGCCCCGATTCTCAGGGGCGGCAGGAGGTGGGAGGCACGTTTGGGCGGATCTTTCAAATGGCACCTTTCAAATGGATCCTTTCATCTCTCCTTCCCCCAATGAATCAGCTCCCCAATGGGACGGGCAGGTAGGGCCAGGAGGGCAAAGGGCTGAGGGCACAGCTTACCGTCTTTCGGGAGGATGACGGCGGCCTTGGAGAGCCCCAGAATGTCACAAGCGTCCATGAATTCCTTCAGACTCTGGAAGCTCGAAACATTCTGCCTATCTGAGGTTGAGATCAGGATCACATCAGAGACTCCAGCTCTGGCCATTTTAGGGTCTGCACCCTGACCCCCATCCCTACCCCAGGAGCTGCTGAAATGTCCTCAGAGCTTAGGCGTGAAGCAGGGGTTGGCCAGGGGAGGACAGCGGCCGCTGGGCCCCTCCCCACTTACGAGGCAGCCAGGCTCGGGAAGCCAGGGTCACCACGCTGTCACCTGGGGAACCCTCTCTGCCTGCAGAGTCCCCTCCAGCCAGCCCCTCAGCTGTGCCCCAGCTTGCTGCACCCTGAGCGTGCCCTGCCTCGACTGAGACCCCAGGACCCCACCTCCCCTCTACCCGTTCCAACCGGGAGGGCCACTCCTTTCCGTGTACCCCAAGTGGTTGGTGTCTAGAATTGGGTTTGTGGCCCTTAACCCACACTGGGTCACTTCCACACCCCTCCATCCCGGGCAGACCCTTACCTGGGACCCCTCCCACGCCTCCTCATCCCCACTGTGTCCCTCACCCAGAACGTTGCACCTGCACCCGCCACCATCCTGGTGGCCTCCGCTCCCCCTGGATGGCCCACCTTTCTCTGCAGCCTCTTCCTGACGTCCCCTATCCTTGCTTCAGCGACCTCCAGGACCTGACTGCTGTGGTCTCGGCTTCCATTGCCCCTGCCCTGACCACCGCCCCAACCCCCACTCTCCCTGCCCGCCTCACCTCCTGCCCGGCCCCCTGTGCCCAGCGCCCCTCTATGCCTCCCTCTGCACCCCCTCCACCATCCTCTGCCATCCGCTGTGCCTGCTCACGGAAGAGCAGCAGGTTCTTGTAGTTTTGGGTTGCACGCCCCAGGCGGAGGTAGACCAAGCCGTAGCTGTAGTCAGTGGACAGCACGTGGAAGGCCTTCACCCCTTTCACTGAAAGAGATGCCCAGAGATGCCCGCTGGTTCCCGGATGGCGTGGCTGTGCCCGCCCACAGCCCTGACCCCTGGTGCCCGAGGCCTCAGAGCCCCCACCCAGGTGCAGGTGTCCAGAGGGACTGAGTGCCCTCCCGGGGCCTCCCCTCCCGGGCCAGGCCGCCCAGCACATGACGTGTGGGCTCTGGGAACACAGCCAGCCTGACGCCTGCCTGCCACGTGCTCTCGGGGACAAGGGGCCTGCTCAAGGCACAGGGGGGTCAGAGGCATATCACGCAGCTCCTCCAGGGCCCAGAGCCCAAGCACACCTCCCTCCTGTCCTTCCCTCGGGCCCGCCGCGTATGCACAGGCGTTCCCAAACACCGGCTTCTTCCCGTCTTTCCTCAGGATCACCTCCTGGGACTGGCACCCCTTCAACCTGGGGCCAAGGCGGGGGCTCAGGCTGCAGACCAGGGAACCCCTCCTCCCGCCTGCCAGCCACCGAGCCCCACCCACACGTCTCGGTCCCGCCCCTGCTCCCGTGGGACCCGGGAAGGTTGGGGCCCCAGGTCCCCAGTTTTTTGCTTCACTATCCAACTCGTGTCAATCTGAGGCTCTGTGGTTTGAGGATTTTCCAATTCGGACTGGGGCCTGTCCCACGGCACGAGAGAAACTCCCAACACCCACCCGTGTGGGGCCCAGGAGCTGCAAGCGGCTTCCTCCCAACACCTACCCATGTGGGGTCCCAAGGTCTGCAGGCAGCTTCCTCCCAACACCCACCCATGTGGGGTCCCAGGGGCTGCAGGTGGCTTCCTCTGAGTTTAGGGGGAGGAAGTGGGGGGACGGTTCTTGTGGAACTTCCAGACAGACAGGCTCCTCCCAGACTCCTTTCCAGCCCCGAGGCAGCTCCCTCCTCCTGGAAGGGGAGACCCTTGCCTGGGGGGCGCTGCCCACTCACCGTCTGAAGGCGAGGAGCACGCGGAGCTGGCCCACTTTGTTCACCTTTACCACGGACGCCCCCAGCTTCCTCTTGTCCCTGGCCGGCAAGAATCCCTGGGCATCAGTGGCAGTGGCCAGAATGTACCAGAACCCTGAAAACTGCGCAGCGGATGTGTGGGCGGGGACAGGAGCTGCCACCGGGGGCTGTCCCCACCCCCGAGGTTCCCAGCTAGAGAACCCAGGAGACAAATGACCCTTCTGTGAGCCGGAGTCCCAGCTCCGCCCAGGTGCCGCCTCGGTCCCGGCCACTCAAGCCCTGGCCACTGGAGCAGGGCTGCAGAGAAGCAGGTGCCCGGCTGGTCAGGGACCCCAGGCAGCAAAGGGCTGGGCTGTGGGCGCCAGCAGGTGGGAGGCCCCCTACCTCAGAGGCCCCGGCTCCTTCCCACATGGCCTCCTGGGGGCTGGGTACTGCTCGGCCACTTCCCTTCCTGCCGGCCCCCGGCCCCCAACTCTGCCTGCTGCCAACCCTAGCGCCCTGGGCACCGCCGTGCCAATGAGTGCTGCTCCCACGGCTCACTCAGCAGGTGCCCGGGCCCTCCCGCTACAGAATATGCCCCGCTTGCTCCACACCCACTCTGCACTCTGGGCGTCTCCCGACCTCCTCGGCCACAGCTCTCTGGGCCCCTCCACCCTGGCCCTCCCTGACCCCCCTGGGCCCCCGAACCCCCTCGAGGCTCCCTGCCTTTGCCCTGCAACTTGCGGGGCCCCTGTGCTGGAGGCTGCAGTGGGAGAGGCCAGGTGGGCAGCGCCCGTGCCTGGAACTGCTGGTAGCCCTGCTCCTGGGCGGCTGCCGGGAGACTGTGCAGGAGCCTGCTCCAGCTCCAGAGCCGGCGCCCGGCTCAGGGACCAGTGGCACATGGCTCACCTTGTTCCAGTTGAGGGCGTGGGACTCCCTGGGGTACCACTCCTGCACCTGGGACCCTGCAGCCAGCACTAGCACCAGCACCAGCACCAGCGCCAGCACCAGCAGCCCCTGCCTCATCTTCACCCTCCTCCCTCAGCCGCCAAGGCCAGTGTTTAAACCTCTCTGGAGCCGCCAGCCTGTGTCGGGAGAGGAGGGAGGGGAGGGAGCGGAGGGAGGCAACAGGTGTGGCCTTGGGCTCTGCTACCCTCTCCCCGCCCAGGGACCACCCCCAGACACTCCAGGGAAGCCGGCACTGCCCCACCTGGTGGTCACTGCTGGCCTGGGCTGCCCTGGCAGACAGAGGCCCCTCTGAGGCCCCAGGACCCTCCTGCCCTCAGTGCCCGGCCTGGGGTCACTGTGTGTGCCCCTGAGACTCATTAAGCCCTGGCCCTCATCCTAGACCTCCCAGGTGACAGGCAAAGGGCTGGTCGTGGCCCTTCTGGGGCAGATGTGGACATGGTGAGCTCTGCGCGGCAGCCACACACACAGCCCCCACCACCTTCTTGAGGGCCTGGCACCAAGCACCTGAGCAGGTGCCGAAGGGCGGGCCGGGGCTGTGTGCCCGTGCCCATGAATGTGTGTGTGTGCATGTGTGGGTGTGTGCTCACATGTGCATGCGTGTGCATGCCCAGCCTTGCAGGTCAAGGCATCTGTGTGCACCTCGCCTCACTCCAGCATGAGCCTCACACAGTCCCCAGCCCCCCATCCAGCCCCGAGACCCCCATGGCCTGTGCTTCTCCCAGGACGGCAGGCAGCGCAGCCCCCCACACCCATCAGAACACAGGAGGACCTGCAGGCTCAGGTGTCTGGGGTCCCTGCCCCTGCCCAGGCAAGAGACACAACCCCAGCCCAGAGAAGCCTGAGCCTGGGGAGTCAGGGGCTGCTCTGAGCCCCACCAGCCACCTCTCTCTTGTCCTGGGCAGTCCTTGGAGCCTCTGGCACCCCAGCTGCGGTCCTGGTGGAGCTCACTGCTGGCTTCCTCCCAGGCTGTGTCCTCTGACCAGCCCCCGCCTCTGAGCCCGGGCCTGAGTTTGGGTGTCTGAAGACCCAGAGGGGCTCTGGCAAGGGACTGGGTTGGGCACGCGTCTTCTTTGCAGCTGGCTCTATGGTTCTGTGGCTTGGCCCTTGGTGACGACCCCCGCCATCCTCCCCGCAATTCCCCGGCTGGCCCCCAGTCAAAAGCATCCTTGGTTTGCTGTGGAATCGCTTTATTCTGAGCTGGTGCTGGGCCCCGGGAGCCGCTGAGCGAGGTGGGTGGACACTGGCCGAGGTCACAGGACCCTGTGGGCGCCATCCCTACTGGGGACGCAGCACTCACTGAAAACCAAGAGGAGTGTGAGGGGGCCCAGCCCACCATGGAGGCTCCTCCACACCCTCAGCTGCCTTAGAGACAGTGGAGCCATGAACCCCGTGGGCTTGGGCAGAGGGTCCTCCCACCCACTGTGCGTAGGGTGGCCTCCCCCACCCCCTTCCCCCAAGAGAGCCCAGGGTGAGGCTCAGGATGGCGGCTTACCAGAAGGATCTTGTGAGCACAGGTGACTAGAAGGGGAGGCAAGACTGGCTGTGAAAAAGGACTGAGCCCCCCAGCACCCCAGGGCCCCACCCACAAGACTCGCCTGCCGTGGGGACAAGACCCCCAGGCCTGACTTTGGGCAGGGGCAGGTGAAGACCCCCTCAGCCTGCCTGACTCCTTCAGGGCGACTGAGTCAGGCAGAAGCCAGAATCAACCCCAGGGTCTCTGTCACCCCATCACGCCCTGTGGGCTCCAGAACTTGCCCCAAGCCTCCCCCGAGGCTGCTCCGGTGGACACTCACGGTCCTTCTGCAGCTGGGCCTGCTACTGTGACAGGAAGCCCAGGCTCCTGCTCCACTTGGTGAAGAGCCCCATGGCCTCCTGGCTGGCTGTCTCCGTCAGACCTGGGGGCACCAGGGCAGTGCAGGGGGAAGCAACCTCTGAGAGCTGGGGAGGGGCCGGGGAGGGGCTGGGAAGGGTCAGGAAGGAGGCCACCTGCCCTGGGATGCTGGCCCCGGTCCTTCCAAAGCCACCTCCAGTGCAGCGAGCCTCAAGGTGGGGGAACTTGGCCTGCATGTGGTCCTGTGCGGCCCACCCACCACACAGCTCCCCACATGGCCCCCGAGCGGCCCACTCACCACACAGCTCCCCATGTGGCCCCAAGCGGCCCACTCACCACACAGCTCCCCACATGGCCCCCGAGCGGCCCACTCACCACACAGCTCCCCACGCGGCCCCCAAGCGGCCCACGCACCACACAGCTCCCAACGTGGGCCCCGAGTGGCCCACGCACCACACAGCTCCCTACGTGGGCCCCGCACAGCACACTTACTGTACAGCTCCACGGTGTTGAAGGGCTCGTCCCCGAACTCCAGCTGAGTGAAGATGATGGCATAGTCTCTGAAGTTGGTGGCCAGCACCCAGAGCTCCAGCACGCCTATTGCTAGGAAACAAAACCCCCCGCCTCAGGGGAGGGCAGCTGCTGTATCCATCCAGGGGCCGCTGAGCTGATGCTGGCCACAGGGACAGAGGGGCCAATTCAAGTGAGAGCCCCCCTCCCCAGGAGACCCCTCCAAGCACACCCAGAGCCCCCAAGCTTTGTCCCCCACCCCCGACCCCACCTGGTGCCAGCATCAAGGGGCTTTCAGACACTGACGGACAGACAGACAAGCACTGCCCCAGCCTGTCCCAGGTGTGAACGAGGAGCGGCTGGGTCACACCAGCCCAGCCCTGTACCTGTAGACAGCCACTAAACAGGCCCCTCGCCCTCTGCACCTATGGGGACCTTGGCTGGACCTCACTGGTGTCTGAGCCTGCTGGGAACAAGGTTCCAATCCTCTGTCCAGGGGCTTCTCTTCACCCTCAGGATGGGCAGCAATCCCAAGACCAGAACCTGTAGCCTCCTGGCTCTCGGGAGCGGAGTCAGCCCTCCGTCCCTGCCCGCAGGGGGCCTGGGGATGCTGCAGGGAAGAACGGCCTGGGTGAGGCCGTGGCCGTCAGACTCACAGGGATTCTCAAACACCCATCCGGAGTTTCGCTTTATCAGGTCCATGACACTCTGGTCACACCCTCCCAGCCTGGAAAAGAAGGGGCCTGTCACCCACTCAGGGTCAAGACCCCGGGGCCCGGTGAGAGGAGACGGAGCTCAGGAGTCCAGGCCAGGCCAGCCAGCAGTGAGGCCAGAGCTTCCATCTTCTGCCAGATGCCCCGATGCCCGGAAACCTGTTCTCGGAGAGTGGACGGCGTGGGAGTCCTGAGAGGGGCGGACACTCCCATTCACTTCCTGAGAGATCCTCAGTGCCAGATCTCCACCAGGAACGCTGAATGCTGCTGAGGACACAACAGGAGACTCGACAGACGGGAGGTTCGCCCGCGACTCGGGGGAAAGATGGGGTGGGGTGGGGGTTCGCCCGTGACTCAGGGGAAGGATGGGGCGGGGTGGGGGTTCGCCCGCAACTCAGGGGAAGGATGGGGCGGGGTGGGGGTTCGCCCGTGACTCAGGGGAAGGATGGGGTGGGGTGGGGGTTCGCCTGCGACTCAGGGGAAGGATGGGGCGGGGTGGGGGTTTGCCTGCGACTCGGGGGAAGGGGCCGGCGCTCCCTAAGTGGTCAGTCCCCAGAGTGAGCAAAACCCAGCAAAGGTGCAATGGTGTTTGCCAAGGAAGGAAACTGAGGCTGAGTCCATGCGGGAGGAACAGCAAGAAGAACTAGGAAAGCCACGTGGGAGCTGCCACCTCAGCCTGGAGCCCCTTGGTCCCAGCTCGCCCTGAGGCCAGGCCTGGCCCGGGGGGTGCAGTGGGGCCCCTGCCCATACCCTGCAGGCGCAGGTGCAGGGGGAAGGCACGCTGGTGAGGAGGGCAGGTTCTTCTCTCTGGGCCCCGTACCTGGCTCAGTGGTTCAGGCCTGGGCTCTGTCGCCAGCCTGCCAGGGGGTAGACACCCACCACGCCACCCAGCAGGCCACTCTTCTGTGAAGGGAGGCGGGCACCGACTCCTGCCCCAGCACGGCTACCCCCACAGCCCGGCTGCCCTGTAGGTGTCCCCTGTGTAGCACGGCCGCCCCACAGCCTGGCCCACCCGACCCCTGCACGCCGCCACCAGCCATGCATGTGGTCGGGTGCGCCTGCCTGAGGCCACAAGGCCAGTCTGGCCAACAGCGTCCATGACCATATTGTTTGGGGATTTATGTTATGAAAGAACCAGTGGTTCTTAGGTCCGAATGCATTATCCTCCTTTAAACAGAATTCCCGAAAAAGGCCTGCTGAGAGGACAGGCTTCCCCAGCTCTGACCACAGCCTGCAGCCCAGATGACCCAGGACAGGGATGCATGAAGGAGCATAGTCAGAGCAGTGCCCGCCGCGGTATTGAAGGTGGGAGTGCCACCTGGAGGCCCCAGGGACACAGATGTGAGTAGCTGGGCAGAGGGCTGGTGGCTCTGCACAGAGCCCAGTGGGAAAAGTGACGGGGGTGCAGAGGGGCCGTGGGAAGCCCCCAGGCCGCGGTGCCCGGGAGCAGATGTGCAAAGTACATGATGTGGCTGAGCCACAGTCCTGCCTGCGGGAAGGCCTGGCAGGACCCGCCCACTCACCCGTGCTGAGAGGACAGCGTCCGCAGGTTGTTTTCTGGAGTGAGGGTCACCACCACCCCCACGACGTTCTTCATGTCCTTCTCCATGGCAAAGCCCTTTTCCCGGGAGGCCACCGCAAGCACGTACCAGGGCCCAAGAAGCTGCATTGAGGCGGCTCCCGTTAGGGCCGCCAGCCCTCCAGCCTCCAGCCTCCAGCCTCCAACCCTCCAGCCTCAGCCTCCAGCCTCCAAACCTCCAGCCTCAGCCTCCACCCTCCAACCATCCAGCCCTCCAGCCTCCAGCCTCCAACCCTCCAGCCTCCAGCCTTCCAGCCCTGCAGCCTCCAGCCTCCACCCTCCAACCATCCAGCCCTCCAGCCTCCAGTCTCCAACCCTCCCGCCCTCCAGCCTCCAACCTTCCAGCCTTGCAGCCTCTAGCCTTCAGTTCTCCAGCCCTCCAGCCTCCAGCTTCCAACCCCCCAGACCTCCAACCCTCCAGCCTCCAGCCTTCCAGCCCTACAGCCTCTAGGCTCCAGCCCTCCAGCCTTCCAACCTCCAGCCTGCAGCCCTGCAGCCTCTAGTCTCCAGCTCTCCAGCCCTCCAGCCTCCAGTTCTGCAGCCCTCCAGCCTCCAGCCCTCCAGCCTCCAGTTCTACAGCCCTCCAGCCTCCAGCCCAGCAGCCTCCAGCCTCCAGTTCTCCAGCCCTACAGCCTCCAGCCCTCCAGCCTCCAGTTCTCCAACCCTACACCCTCCAGCCCTGCAACCTCCAGTCTCCAGCCTCCAATTCTCCAGCCCTCCAGCCTCCAACCCTCCAGCATCCACCCCTCCTGCCCTGAGGCTCCTGCCTGTGGGACTCCCCAAGGGCTGGCCCAACTAATTCCCCACTGCTCATGCTGGTCTGGGCTAGCCCTGGGGGGCCCAGAAGCTGTGTGGCCTTAAAGGAGGGGCTGGCCCCCGAGGACCAGCTCTCCCCACCCCCAGGAGGACTGTACCTGCTCAGGGTCCAGTCTTCCCAACCACACGGCCTGGGCCCTGGGCACCGAGACCAAAGCCAGAAAAGCAGCCAGCAGCAGGCCGCCCATCCTCCCAGGTCTACACTGCGCCGCAGGCCCAGGATGTGCAGTCCCTCCAGGCCCTGGAGACCCGTTTATATGGCTCTGAATTTCTCCGTGTGGGTGGCACTAACTGCCAGGAACCCTCCTGGCCTCCTGCAAAATTACCCAGGGGAGCACTGAGCAGTGGCAGCCTCTGAGCCCAGATCAGACCAGCTGCACAGCCAGGAGAGGGTCTGGAGTGTGTGGATCAACCATACTATACTGATCCCCTGCTTTCTTCCACCAGAAGGTTCCAGAATGGGCATCCTAAAGCCAGCCGCACCACCTCCCCCGTTCCTGGGGACCCACGCTCTCCCTCGCCCAGCCTGGGAAGCAGGGAGACTGCTGTCCGCTGCCAGGCCCGGCAGGAGGCCAAGGTCAAGCCCAAGGAGAGGAACCAGGGCGAGAACAAGTGGTTCTCAGGAACTGCGGTTTTGGATATCTTTTGTTTCAATCATTAAATATAAAAAGTCCCTGAAAGCCTTTTGAAAAAGGCTCCCACCTCCTCCTGGCCCACCCACCATTCTGCTTTGTGGCCTGGCCTCTGTCCCCCACAGCCAGCACCCCCAGAACAGACTGTCCTGTTCCTTCCACCTCTGCAGCCCACCATCCGGCCCTGCTGCCTCCTGCCTCCCCTCCCTGGGACCCTGGCCTGCTTGTGCCTCCCAAGGCCCCTTGAGAGCTCTCTGCAGCCCCAGTCCGGGAGCAGAGGACAGAGGTGCTCGGCAGGGTCTATCTGAGCCCCTGAAGCCCACTGGGAGGCAGCCGGGAGGGTCCTCCCCCAGTGCCGTGGCCTGCACCCTCTGGGATTCACTCCCACACACCTTCGCTCATTCATCAACAAGGGTGCAAGGAGCACGTCCATGCAACAAGGCTCCAGTGCCCAGGGCCGCCTGCACTCACAGAGCTTATGCTGCAGCCCTGGCCACCTGCCCTGTACCCACGCAGCAGGGCCTGTGACCACCAGAGTGCAGGAGGAAGGCAGAAACCACACAGCTACTGGGGGCTGGGCCTGCGAAGACTGACCGGGCAGTGGGGCCACGGAGGTGCCAGCCACAGCCATGGCAAGCAGGAGTTGCCCAGGGGCTGAGCCACAGAACAAGGGAGCGGGACACTTAGGCCTGGAGCCTTCAGGAGGGAGCCGTGGCTGCTCGCGGTAATCCCAGCACTTCAGGAGGCTGAGGCGGGAGGATCACTTGAGTCCAGGAGTTTGAGACCAGCCTGGGCGACATAGCAAGACTTCGTCTCTACAAGCAAGTTTAAAAATTAGCTGGACATGGTGGCGTGCTCCTGTAGTCCCAGCTACTCAGGAAGCTGAGGTAGGAGGATTGCTTGAGCCCAGGAGGTTGAGGCTGCAGTGAGCTGTGATCGTGCCACTCCTCTCCAGCCTGGGTGATGGAGCAAGACCCCATCTCTAAAATAAAATAAAAATACAAAAAGGAGGAAGCCGAGCAGCTGGGCCAGGCCTCTGAGAAGGAAACACCTGCCAGCCCCACTAGTGTCCCTAAGGGCTGCGGGGAGCCTGGTTCTCGAGGCAGCCACAAAACAGCACGCTACATCAGCCGGGTGTGGTGGCTCATGCCTATAATCCCAGCACTTTGGGAGGCCGAGGCGGGCAGATCACCTGAGGTCAGGAGTTCGAGACCAGCCTGGCCAACTTAGTGAAACCCCATCTCTAGTAAAAGTACAAAAATTAGCCGGGCGTGGTGGTGGCGCAAGCCTGTAATCCCAGCTACTCGGGAGGCGGAGGCAGGAGAATCGCTTGAACCCGGGAGGCAGAGGTTGCAGTGAGCCGAGATTGCGCCACTGCACTCCAGCCTGGGTGACAGAGTGAGTAAGACTCCGTCTCAAAAAACAAACAAACACACAAACAAACAAACAAACAAAAACAAAGGATAAACCTCAGAGTCTAATGAGACTAGTTCCCTGCTGGGGTGGGGAGCTGGAACAGGGTGGGGGGATGAAGTTAGACTTTTTTGAGTAAACGTTTTTGTATAGTTTTGACTTTGGAATCAAAGTAATTTGGTATGTTATACTGTTATACTCAAAAGTAAAATAAACAAATTCCAAACATGGGATATAGTTGCATTATAGATAAATGACAGCCACACTGAAGGGGAAAGGACTGCCCCTGGTAACTTCTGAACACAGTAGTTTTTCTCTGTATTCTCAAGCTAACAGCAGAAAGAGCTGTAAACACATCCTAAGCTCTCATGGGCAGGTTCATGACTAACAGTGGTTTGGGTGAGCAATTCTGATACTACTTTCCGTGTGCTCTAGAAGGGACCAAATGAGTAAATATATCAAGGATAATGGGTTTCTCTGTGTTGGAAAAGAGAATTATAAATATAGACATATAGAAAGGGGAGAGATCAAAGTGAACCCTGTGGCGTCTGATTAGAATTGGAAATATCCATGTGAACTCCAATTTTGGTAGACACATGGGGAGAGGCAGGGAGGGAAGGAGAGAGGGAGGAGGGGAGGAAGGAGGGAAGGGAGGGAGGGAGGGCAGGGAGGAGAGGAAGGAGGGAGAGAGGGAGGGAGAAATGGGAGGGGAAGGGAAGAAGGAGAGAGAGAGAGGGAGGCAGGAGAGGGGAAGAAGAAGGAGGGAGGAAGAGGAGGAAGGAAAGTCCAGGCTCTGTGTGTTGAGAAGGTTTAGATACAATCGGACCCAGTAAAAGTAAAAGCACACCCAACACTCAGAGCTTGGTTTCTCCACACACCATTCTATATGAAAAGGAACCAGGACTCTGGTGAATTATTCAAACCTGTGTACAGAAAATGCAAGAGGAACTTGGAATGTTTTTTGTGCCAAAAAGCAAAAATGTGCTCAAGGAATCAGGGAATGTACCAACAACACTCTGAAGCCACTTTGAAGGCACTCCCATTGGGTAGAAATGATTGTCATAAATTGTAACCTATGGAAGAAAACAGGAACTGCTGAGTCCATGCTGATATAATTAAGTAACCAAATGGAGGGCAAGGAATGCAGGTTCCAGTGGGCTCACTTGGTCCCCACTTGTCACACGGATCTTCTTCCTGCAGACCTGAGTGGCCATCCAGAGTCATTTCCCTCTGCCTAAGGAACATCCTTGGCATTTATTTATTGTACTGAAGCTGTGCTAGAGATAAATTCCCTCAACTTCCATTTGTTGAAAAGTATGTTTATTTGACCCTCAGTTTTGAAGGATATTTGTCCTAGATAAAGAGCTCTGCGTTGATTTTTTTTTCATCAATGTAAAGATGGCCTATTGTCATCTCCTGGTTTCCATTTGTCATGAGAAGACAGCCATTGTGTCCCCCTGTTTATGCCCTGTATTAGTCCATTCTCACATTGCTATGAAGAACTACCTGAGACTGGGTAATTTATGAAGAAAAGAAGTTTACTTGACTCATGGTTCCACAGGCTTTACAGGAATCACAGCTGTGGAGGCCTCAGGAAACTTTCAATCATAGCTGAAGGTGAAGGGGAAGCAGGTACATCTTTACATGGCCAGCAGGAGAGAGAATGAAAGGGCAAGTGCTACACACTTTTAAACAACCAGATCTCCTGAGAACTCACTCACTGTCACAAGACCAGCAAGGGGAAATCTGCCTCCATGATCCAATCACCTCCAACCAAGCCCTACCTCCAACATTGGGCATTGCAATAATGCCACATGAGATTTGGGTGGGGACACAGAGCCAAACTATATCATGCCCTGTCTTTTTTGTTTGTTCTTAAAGAGAGACAAAGTCTCACTATGTTGCCTAAGCTGGTCTCAAACTTCTGACCTCAAGTGATCTTCCCGCCTCAGCCTCCCAAAGTGCTGGGATTACAGACGTGAGCCACCAAACCTGGATGTGCCCTGTCTTTAATCCACAGATCCCTTTAAATTTTTATCCAAATCATTGGTTGGCAGTGCTTTGACTATAATGTCCCCAGGTGTGATTTTTGTGAGGCTTTCTTTTTCATCCTGCCTGGGTTTCTCTGAGCCTCTGGGCTAAGTTGATGTTTCCATCAAGTTTGGGTTATTTTGGCCACTGTTTCTTCATGTATTCTCACTCTCTTCTCTTTCTCAGGCTAGTTTACATTCTTTATCTTGCCCCACATATCTTTGAGGTGCTATCAACCATTTTCTTCTCTGTTCCTCAGACTGGATAATTTACATTGATTTGTGCTCAAATTCATGGACATTATTTTTGCCATGGCCAACTCCTATTAGTCTTTCCAGTAAATTTTTCATTTATTGTACTTTTCAGTTCCATAATTTTTTCTTTTTTATAGTTTCCATTTCTCTCTTGATTTCCTGATCTGATCTCCTACATTCACTCCTTAATTCTTTATCAATTAGTTAGTCCTTTAATGCTATTGTGTCACTATTTCTTTCCTTAGAGTATATCTTGCTTTTCTTTTAACTACTTATAATGGCTGTTTTAGACCTTTATCTTCTGAATACAACTTTGGGTCTTCTCGGTGTCAGTTTTTAGTAACTTTTTTTTTCTTTTTTTTTTTAACATAGGTCATACTTTTCTGTGTCTTTGGACGTCCAGTGACTTTTGGGCAGGACGTTGTTGATGACGGCAGCCCTGCATCTACTGTCACCCTCTAAACAGCACTGACTTTTGTTCTGGGATGAATTCTGCCCTCCCAAAATTCCTGCGTTGAAGCCCCAGATCCCATGGTCACTGTTTCAGGAGATGGGACTCTTAGGAGACAATCGAGATTAAGTGAGGTCAAAGGGAGTGGCCCTAATTTAACAGGCTGATGTCCTTATTAGGAGAAAAAGAGGCACCCAGAGAGCGCTCCCTGCCAGGTGAGGACACAGCGAGGGGCTGCCTTCTGCGAATGGGCAGGAAGCCCTCACCAGAAACTGCACTTTCCGGCACCTTAATCTTGGACTTCCACCCTCCAGAACGGTGAGGAAATACAGTTCTGTTGTTTAAGGTGCCCAGTCTGGGGTATTTTGTCACGGGAGCCTGAGCTGACAGCGAGAGTGACAGCCCCTCCAGCAGGAAATCCAAGTCCAGGCGAAGCTCCTTGAACCCGTGGGCTTCGGCCAGGCACAGCTGCGCAAAGTCACGGCTGTTTCCCAGGAGCCCCTAACTTGTCAGAATGCAGCCTCTACATGTCCCTCCTGTGGGTCTCGGGGGCACAGTTCTGGATTTGAGGCGCATCTAGGGTGCAGCCCTTGTTCCTAGCAGGGCCTTTCCAGTGTCCCGGCCGTGCTGGGGGCTGGCGAGGTCCCCCTACTCGGGCTGTTCCCCCAGAGCTCCCGGCACCACTCGACCTCAGGTATCATTTTCCGCCGCCCCGACGAGGCAGCCACCCTCATAAGCCTGGGTTGTCTCACCTGCATATGTGGGGACCGGCTGATTCCCCAGGGGCCTGGGCGCAGAACCTCCGGGCTGACACTGTCACTTTCCTTGCCCTTCCCGTGTCCCAGGCCAGGCGGGAGGAGAAAGTGATGCAGTCGGCTGGTGGCAGCCGAGGCCACGGGGTGACAGCCCACTGTGGAAGCGGACACTGAGCAGGGCTGGGCAGCTGGGGGTCCAGGGAGGCTGGAAGCGGGGCCCATCGGGTAGGGCCTTCAGCACGGGCCGTGAGCCTGGAGCCCTGGGCAGTGGGGAGCCATGGAGGATGCAGGCAGGAGGGGTGTGGCCTCCATGCGTTTGACAGACCTGCTGAGACTCCACCAGGAGCCCTGTTTCTGTCTCTGGTCTATACCCTGGGGCAGCCTGACCACGACCCTAGCAGGGCGGGAGGGCAGGGGTTGCTGCCTTGCACGTGAGCTGCACTGTTTGTCCAGTAACCACGGAAAACACACCTCCTGTTGCCAGACCTGGGGCGGGTGAGTCCCCCCACACCTGTCACCCATCGGCCCTCCGGAAGGACACACCAGGCAGTGGCTTGACTTCACAGTTTATTCAGAGCAGGTGCAGGTGACCTGGTGGGCAGGGTGCCCAGGAGGGGCAGGGGTGGGCGGGCGCTCCGAACCTTGTGGTCTGAGGCAGGAACTCCATTAAATCAGCTCCTGCGACACAGAAGTGCAGGGGCTCAGGCCCGTGTGGTCTCTGGAGGCCCCACGGGGCTTCGATGAGGGCCACACGGCGGGACTTCTGTCCTCGCTGCCTGGTTTTGCGCAAAGCACCCAGCTCCCTGAGCGCCTTCTCAATCTGCAAAATGGGGTAACAGGCCCAGCCTCTAGGGCCAAGACAAAGCGAGGTGAGGGAGACACTGGGTTCTCGCAGTGCCCAACATGGGAGCCCTGAGGCAGCGCCCGCAGGATCTGTGCCCCGCCGCCGACGGGACCTTCGGGGGCAGAAGCAGCCGGCAGTCCTGCACAGAACACCGAAGAAAAGGCGCCATTTCTGCTCCCCTGCCCCACCCAGCTCTGCACCCCGTGACCCCAGCCTCCCAGGGTCCCTGCCTGGCAGCCTAGGGTCACCACCCTGGAGGTTCCAGCTCTTTCCAAACCAGGAGACAGACTCATCTCTGGAGCTGCCCACCAGTGGTGTTTGGTGTCCTGTTCACAGGAAGGGGTGAGAAGGCCCAGCCCAGGGCCGGGAGGCGGAGCCACGGGGGCTCCTGACAGGGCCAGGGACTGGGCCAGGGGCCCGGGAACTTCAGCACAGGCCAGGGTCGGGGGTCAGGCTCACCTCCTTCAGGAGCTCGGCACACCGCCCTGCAGGATAGGCCAGCATGAGGAGCTGCAGAGTCAGCCCACAGGGCCCAGCCCAGCCTCCACCCCAAGGCCCCTGGGCTCACCAGGCCGGGCCGCCAGGTAGAGACCAGTGTCTGCTGTCAGCTCCCGAAACTTCCAGAACCCCAGCCGGTCCTTGTCCTCAAGGCTCCGAGCTGTGGGGCACAGGGGGGCTGGGCGGGCAGTCCCTGGGAGAGCAGCAGCTGGGCAGAGCCCCCCAGGGCCAAGCTTACTAAAGTACTTGAGGACGCGAAAGTTCCTGCCCCGCCACATCAGGGACACCCGCAGGATGGCGTAGCCCTCGTAGTCGGTGTCCAGCACGTGGATCTCTCTGTGGCCTTCAAGAGCCGGCCATGGCGTTGGGGGAGACGTCTGAGGGGGACGGACCTCGAAGGCCAGGGTCTGCAGGGTCTAACTCCATCCTGCCCCCACCCAGTCCCAGCACTTGAGTGGTTGGAGACACTACAGAAGCTTTTGAAGGATGATCCAGTGTGTTGGTGGGAGAATGGGAAGGTCTGGGGCATGAAATGTGCAGGGAACAGCATGGGGAACAGTGCAGGGAACCCTGCAGGGAACAGCATGGGGAACGGTGCAGGAAACAGCATGGGGAACAGTGCAGGGAACAGCATGGGGAACAGTGCAGGGAACAGTGCAGGGAATGCATGGGGAACGGCACAGAGAAAAGTGCAGGGAACAGCATGGGGAATAGTGCAGGGAGCAGTGCGGGGAACAGTGCAGGGAGCATTGCAGGGAACAGCATGGGGAACAGTGCAGGGAACAGTGCAGGGAATGCATGGGGAACGGCACAGAGAAAAGTGCAGGGAACAGCATGGGGAATAGTGCAGGAAACAGCATGGGGAACAGTGCAGGGAGCAGTGCGGGGAACAGTGCAGGGAGCATTGCAGGGAACAGCATGGGGAACAGTGCAGGGAACAGCATGGGGAACAGCGCAGGGAACAGCATGTGGAACAGCGCAGGGAACAGCATGAGGAACAGTGCAGGGAACAGCATGGGGAACAGCGCAGGGAACAGCATGGGGAACAGTGCAGGGAACAGTGCAGGGAACGCATGGGGAATGGCGCAGAGAAAAGTGCAGGGAACAGCATGGGGAATAGTGCAGGAAACAGCATGTGGAACAGTGCAGGGAGCAGTGCAGGGAACAACATGGGGAACAGCACAGGGAATAGTTCAGGGAACAGCATGGGGAACAGTGCAGGGAACAGCACAGAGAACAGTGCAGGGAACAGCATGGGGAACAGTGCAGGGAACAGCATGGGGAACAATAAGGCCTAGCTGTGTGCACAGCCGGGTTCCACCTGCCATCACAGGGCAACTGCACTTACCAGGAAAAGCGAATTTTCCCGTACTGTCTATTTCTGAGCCCACGATCTTCTCTATCTCACAGCTTCCTGAGCTGAAAGGCAGCAAAGTGCCCATCGGTAAAATGCTAGCCTGTGTCCCGCCTGCTGGGCTCCTTCCCGGAGTGGGGCTGTGTCTTTAGGAAGGGCACAGGCAGCACTGTGGAGTATCCCAGGCCTGGAGCAGGATGAGGCGGGGAATGTGCCAGGTGGGGCCTTCCCCTGGGGATTCTGTTCCCTCCAGCCAGTCACCTGTCCCACACCCCTTTTCCTTCCTTCTAAGTTCACGGGGCTTCATTAAAACACTATGCTTATATTTGGGATAAAATGCAGATCCAGGAGCCTGGGGGTCGAGGGCTCAGGCAGACGGGCACCGGGAGTGCTGGCCCACCAGCGGGACGGCACTCAGCCCAGACCCCACGCTGCAGCGGGTGCAGCAACCCACGCCCAGTCCCCGGCCATGCATGCCTCTTCCTCTCCAGCAGCCCCCAGGCCTCTTACCTGTTATATGCAACCTTCACGGTCAGGTTACTCCCGCTCAAGGTGAGGAACAAGCCCTCCACCCGCTTCGGGGCCGTCAGCACCAGGCTTTGATCGGAGGCCACACCGACTTCCCTCCAGAATCCTCCAATCTAGAGAGATACGGAGCCTGGCCAAGAGCTGAGCAGTGGGTCTGAGACCCCCAGGGGCATTCCACGAACCCCCGGGCAGGGGCCTGCTGGGCTCTGAGAGGTCAGCAGATGGCTGTGAGGCTCGGTGGCAAAGCAGCAAGACATCTGTGAGCCCACTGTCCCCAGGCATGTGTCCCTCCAAGCGGTGCCTTCAGGCCATCAGACAGCAATGCCCACAGGGCAGCCCCTCCCCACTGGGCCATCTAGAGCTGCGGAACAGTCCCTAGGGCTTCTGCGACATGTCGGGAGGAACCACAGGCCCTGCCTGACCTCGGAGGCAGGACCCAGGAGCAGAGGCCTGGAAAAGAAAGCCCGCAGGGCGCGGCGGAGTGAGAAACGCCAGAGAACAGGTGGCTCGGGTAGCGCAGCTCGCCAGCCTGCCAACCACGCCAGAGGATGGGCCTCCTGCCCTCAGCAACCCGCCCAGAGCCGGGACTTCCGCTGAGACTTTTAAAAACCCTACCATTTTCGGGAGGAAAGAATCTTCGTCTCCGGCATCTACCTTCTCTGGGCCTGCTAATGTGCCTCTGGCCCAGCAGCCGGCACAGACTCAGCGGAGAAGAAAATGCCGCTAACAGGAAGTGTCTAGCCGGGCACCAGCGTCCCCACGAGCTCCCCACACCGGGAGAGGCCTCCTTCCCTGAGCCTGAGGGGTTGGGGGTGTAGGAGGAGCCCCACCAACTAAGAAGGAGAAGCCACCTTCTGCCGGTCCAGCTCCTCCATGGCTGCTGCCACCTGCGCCCGGAGCACCACGAGGACACCCAGGATGGTGCACGGCAGCCTGGCCTCCGTGGCGGGGTCCGGGCTCCGGGTTCCCCTGCTGCACAGCCTGGGCCGATTCTATACGGACAGTGCAGGCTTGTGCGCCCACCCGGGAATGTCATCAGGACAGCTTGGCTGCTGGCAGCTCAGAGACGTGGGTTTCTGCACAAGCGCCATCGGCCCTGGTGACACCCACGCCCACCGCAGGGGTTAGCCTGGCCTAGACAGCAGCCTGCCCAGCCACCCTCCTGGCATATGGACAGCGGTGGACGCTGCTGGGGCCGTCTCGGAGCCTGAGAGGAAGAGGAGCTCCACCCACACCACCTGGGGCTCGGTGACCCCCACCCCACATGACACTTGTTTTTTTGGGCTCGTTCTGGCCTGCGCTGCGAGGGCTGTGGGCACTGATGGGCAACGGACCAGAGCCTCCAGCACTTTCCTGTGCCACCCCACGCCTGGCCCTTTGAAATGTGTGCCAGACGCAGTGGGCAGTCAGAGCTCCGGAGGCCGGAGGCACAGCGCCAGCGACCAGAGTGACAGTGACAGTGGGGAGGGCCTCTGCTGCACCAGGCATCACCACCCGGGGGCAGTGTGGAGCCCGGCCCTGGAGCCTGATCACCCAGGCTTGCAGCCCGCCTGGCCTCTTCCTGGCTGTGCAGCCTTGGATAAGTTACCCAACCCTTCTGTGCCTCGGTTTCTTGATTTTTTTTTTCTTTTTTTTTTTTTCCTGAGACAGAGTCTTGCTCCATCGCCCAGGCTGGAGTGCAGTGGCACAATCTCAGCTCACTGCAGCCTCTGCCTCCTGGGTTCAAGCGATTCTCCTGCCTCAGCCTCCTGAGTAGCTGGGACTACAGGTGTGCGCCACCACGCCCGGTTAAGTCTTGTATTTTTAGTAGGGACGGGGTTTTGCCATGTTGGCCAGGCTGGTCTCAAACTCCTGGCCTCAAGTGATCCACCCGCCTCGGCCTCCCAAAGTGCTGGGATTACAGGCATGAGCCACCGCGCCAGGCCAGTTTCCTGATCTTTGAAATGAGGAGTACGCTGGGTAGCTACCTATGTCTGTGGGTCTGCTGTGGAGCGCTCAGGCTGGCTGGCAGTCCCCTGGCCACAACGGTGACCCATTTCCAGGGGTGTAAACCAGGTGCCCACGATCATATCAGTGGTGAGGGGCAAAACCCAAGTGGGCCTAACTCCCCGGCCTCCTGCAGCTCCCCCAGCTCCCCCCCCGGCACCGGGGCCTGTGTGCCCAGCACAGCCCCAGTGGCCGGGCCGTCTTCACAGGGTGCCCAGTTCCCCACAGCACTGCAGACCCATAGGGACTGGGCCAGGATGCTCCATTCTTCCTGTGGGTGCAGCCCCCACACAGGCCAAGAGTGGCTGCTGCCTCCTGCCCCTCCCCAGGGCCCCTCACCCCTGTCCCCTGCCCCCTCACCCAGGGCCCTTCACCCCTGCCCCCTGCCCCTTCCCAGGGCCCCTCACCCCTGCCCCCTGCCCCTCCCCAGGGCCTCTCACCCCTGCCTCCTGCCCTCTCACCCCTGCGTCCTGCTCCCTCGGCCAGGGCCTTCTCACACTTGCCTCCCTGCCTCAGTCTCCCCAGCAGTGCTGGGGTCAGTCAGGGGCCCGCATTGCCCTCCCCCAGGGCATGTCCAAAGAGGTGAGGGCCATGAGGCTGCAGCATCTGTTTATTGAATAGAAAGAGACGTCCCACAAGGCATCCCACAGGCGGGGGGTGGAGGATGGAGAGACTCCAGGTGGTCCCCGAGGGCTGTGGGTCTTGACTCCAGGGGCAAAGGCGCCTGCTGCTTTGGCTCCACCTGCGTAGAAAACGCATGCCTACTCCATCACCCACTCCCGCGACAAACGCCCTTCCTGCTCCCCACAAGCTGGGCATCACTCTTCCAAAGCCACCACTGACAGGCCAGGGAGAGCTCATTCTGCTCCCAAAACTCCTGCAAACCTGGAAACACACACCAGCTACCACTGCTGCCCCAGGCGAGAGGCTGCCCCAGAGGCCATCCCTGGCTCCAGCACTTCCCCACCTTCCCCGGCGCGGGAGGACCCAGTGCCATGCCCCAGTCCCTGGCTGAGTGGCAGTGAGCCATGGCCTCTGCCTGGTCCTCGGTGAAGGGGGCTGCATGGCAAGAAAAGCCCCGGAATGTCCATGAAGCCACCACAGAACCCACAGCCTCCACGGTCACGCGTGGTGGCCCAGGCGGGGCACTCTACCCCGAAAGCTGCTTCTTCAAGATCATGGCGGGATGGGGCTACATGTTCTGCCCACAGAACCTTCTGGACAAGGGCGATTTGGTGTTGCCCCCCATGTTTCCCAACCCAGCGGGGGTGTGCAGGGAGACGTTGGTGCAGACTTGTGCAAAGCTGAACAGCCCCAGTGTCCCCAGGCAGGACGGCGAGTCTCCAGGGAGAGGGTCCTGGGAGTGGAGGCGAAGCTCATGGAGAGGAGCAGAGATGCAGGAAACGCAACAGCAGCACGGCAGAAACGCAGGAGAAACAGCCCCGCCTCAGAGCCGCCCACCTCCTCCCGCCATGCCAGGAAGGGCCAGTGTCCCTCCAGACGCCGGTGACTGTCACGTCAGACACGTGACGTGTGGCTGTGCCCAGATTCTTGGCGGTGAGCCCCGGCGAGGGACCCAGCGGTCTCCCGGCGTCTGGTTTAGGGGGGGATCTCCGCAAGACCCCGCCCGCACGTGGCTCCTGTGAGGGGCACTGCGCGCGAAGGCTGTGGTCTGCCCTCCTGGGCCCTGGGGGAGAAGACAAGGCTCCCACAATTACAAGGCAGGACCCTGCCCTGGGGAGGGAGCCAGGGGCTGTGTGGATACAGCGGGGACACAGAGCTGTGGATTGAATCGTGTCCCCAAAACTTCAGGCCCACCTGGAACCTCCGAACGTGGCCTTATTTGGAAACGGTCTTTGCAGATACCACTAGTTTAGAATCTGGAGATTAGATCATCCTGCATTTACAGTGGGCCCTGAATCCAAGCACAGGCATCCTCCTAAGAAGAGGGCCGTGGGGCACTCGCTTCGGCAGCACAGACACTAGGGGGCAGTTTGGACACAGATGCACAGAAGGAAGGTGGCTGTGGGAGGACGGAGGCGGAGACAGGGCTGATGCTTCCACAGGCCAAGAAATGCCCAGGACAAGCGGCAGCCGTGGGAGCTGGGGGGGCGGTGTGGGAGGGAGTCTCCTTCAGAGCTTCCAGAGGAACCAGCCCTGTGGACATCTTGATTTTGGACTTCTGGCCTCCAGAACTGGGAGAGATAAACGTCTGCTGGTTTTGTCTGTTTGTTTTGAGATGGAGTTTCTCTCTTGTCACCCAGGCTGGACTGTAATGGTGCAATCTCGGCTCACCGCAACCTCCGCCTCCTGGGTTCAGGCGATTCTCCTGCCTCAGCCTCACAAGTAGCTGAGATTACAGGTGTGCACCACCACGCCCAGCTAAGTTTTGTATTTTTAGTAGAGACGGGGTTTCTCCATGTTGGTCAGGCTGGTCTCGAACTCCCAACCTCAGGTGACCCGCCTGCCTCGGCCTCCCAAAGTGCTGGGATGATAGGCATGAGCCACTGCACCCGGCCAAACTTCTGCTGTTTTAAGTCGCCCCATTTGTGGTACTCTGTGATGGGTACCTTAGGAAATCAAGGGAGGCTTCCTGGAAGAGGTAATGTCTAAGCTGAGGCCTGAAGCATGGGGTCGCCAGGCAGAACAGCGGGGCAGGCATGGGGCAGACAGAACCAGATGTCAAGCTGCGATAGGGAGGGGAGAGGCAACCAGGGCATCCCCTGCAGGGCCTGGAGAACCCACCTGGGAAGGGCGGGGGTGGGGCTCCGGAGGTGTCAGGGCGCCTCCTTGCTCTCAGGGTTGCATGCATCTGTGGGGAGGAAGACATCCGTGAGATGCTGACGGCCAGGACCGCCCTCGCTTCCCGCAGCCCCCAACCCCTGGGTGCCAAGGGCCACTGGACAGCTCCACCATCCCCAGAGAGTGGAGCCCAGAGCTTCCCTCCCAGCGCTGCCCAAAGCCTCTCCCGTAGTCTGTTCTGGGGGAGGTGGGGTAGGGGCTGCAGGGGCTGCCAGCCCACCCCTGGAAGAGAAGACCACCTGCTGCCCGCACACTGCCTGTGCTGTGAGGGGAAGGAAGGGTGGGCTCATGGGAAGGGAGGGAGAGGCTGGGGGGCATGGGGTGGGCGGGGCTTGCCAGGGTACCTGACTGGGGCAGCATGACCATCATGTCCTTGGGGAGCCCCAGGGTCGGGTAGAAGTCCTGGAAGGACTTCAGAGCCTGGGGACTCACATCCTGGGTCCGGCCTGGGCAGAGCAGAGGTCACTGTGAACTCAGCAGCTCACAGGAGTGCAGCACGGGGTCTCCTGGCCTCACTCCACCAGCCTGAGGGCTGACAGCAAGGCCGCCACCCTGGGTTGGGCAGGTTGTGCGCGGCATAAAGCTCCTGCCTGGCTGAAGGAAACTTGGGGCCCCCTTCCCCAATTCACACCAAGATGTCTGGGAGGTTGGGGTGGTCTGGCTGTCCTCCTGGGCCCCACTACCCCTTGAGCCTCTTTCCCTGCAGCCCGGAAGCCTCCAGCCTCACTCTGTCGGCTCCAATCGGGGAGTCCCCAGGAGTTAAAGAACCTGAGCCCCAGCCGGCGCGGTGGCTCACGCCTGGAATCCCAGCACTTTGGGAGGCCGAGGCGGACGGATCACGAGGTCAGGAGATCGAGACCATCCTGGCTAACACGGTGAAACCCCGTCTCTACTAAAAATACAAAAAATTATTTATATTTTTACAAATACAAATACGGGCATGGTGATGGGCGCCTGTAGTCCCAGCTTATCGGGGGGCTGAGGCAGGAGAATTGCTTGAACTGGGGAGTCGGAGGTTGCAGTGAGCCGAGATCGCGCCACTGCACTCCAGCCTGGGCGACAGAGTGAGACTCCATATTAAAAAAAAAAAAAAAAAAGAACCTCAGCCCCAGCCCCAGAACTCAGGCAGCGAGGCCAGGCAGGGAAGGGCGGGGCACCACTCTCAGGAGGCCAGAGAGGAGCATGCACCGCGGGACCCTCCCCCAAGCCAACCTCCTCCACATCCAAAGCACGGCGGGCCCAGCTCCCACCCCACCCGGTCCTGGCCAGGCCAGGAGTGTGTGCGAAGGGTCACAGCAGGAGAGGGCATGGGGCAGCACCAGAAGGGGCGGGCCCGGGGATGAGGAGGCGGAGCCTAAACTCGGCCTAAAAGGCGGGGGGCGGAGGGGTGAGGGCGGGGCCTGTGAGGAGGCGCGGGGCGGCAGGCGGGCGGGGCGGGGGTAGGCAGAACGGGGGGCGGGGCCTGTGGGAAGTTGGGGAGGGGCCAGTGCGGGGAGGTGGGACAGGCACTCACTGTAGAGCTGCACCATGGTGCTGAGGGCCCCCTCCAGCTCCTTGTAGATGTAAAGGACGGCGAAGGAGCTGTAGTCTGTGTCCACGATGCGCACGTCCAGGTAGCCCAAGGCTGCGGAGAGGCAGGCGGCCTTTTCAGGCTGGAGAAGTGGATGGGCCCGGGCACCGACCCCACCCATGCCTGCCCCTGCTGCTGGGCTGTGAGCCTGTTCCCCGAAGACAGAGGAGGGGCGGGGAGGGCGGGCAGGGGGCTGGAGACTGGGATGGACAGCTTGGGCCCGGGTGGAAAGTCAGCCCCACGTCACCCCCAGAGAAGCGGCATCCAGCACCCCTGAAGGCAGAGGAGGCAGGACCTACCCGGGACTCTGAAGTGTCCCTCGGAGCCCACCTTCAGGTACTCGGCATCCACCTGGTTACAGCCGTCCGCCCTGGGGGTGCACAGCCGGCTCACTCATGGCACCCAGCTACCTCAGCTCCCCAGCCCAGCCCAGGCAGCCCAGCCCAAGTAACTCACCCCGGGAACTCCATGTGGACGTGGAGGCCGCCCTCCTCTGTGGGCCTGATGGCCCTGGTGGACATGGACAGGTGGTCCTTCTTGCCCAGGAAGACCCTGCAGTCAGATGCCATGGAGACCACGTACCAGAGGCCTGAGAACTGCCGGGGGCTTAGTCACCCGCAGGCCAGGACAGCCAGCAGCAGGGCCCTCCTTGCCCAGGGACCCAGGGGACAACTCAGAAGTCACACAGCAAGGGGTCTCGGAGTGGCCATGTCTTGGGTGTGAGCTGAGCCCAGGTGGACAGGAACTCATCTTGGGTAGGTCACAGTGCAACTGTGAGCCTCAGTTCCCAGCTGTGAAGTGGGTGCAGTAATGATCCATTCACAGGTTGGTTTAGGATTAAGCGCAGAGTGGGTCTATAGCACGTGCCTGGCCGGGCACAGAGCAAGCGCCCCAGGAAAGGCAGTTGTCACAATTATCACGTTGTCTCTGGCAGGGGCCCAGCTCCCACCCACCACAGGACAGCAGAGGCCCCTGGTACCTTTTCAGCATTGAAGTCAGGCTGCAGCAGAACCTCAGCCTGAGCCGTGGGCGCCCAGAGCAGGGTCAGGATTGCGCCGAGCAGGAATGACATCATCCCCTCCCCTGCCCTCCAGCCCCTGGTGCTGAGTCCCCAAGCCCCAGGGGGCCAGCTTTATAGCCCAGGCCACCACCTGGGTGCACCTGCTCCTGGGCGGAGCAGATGGAAGCGGAAGGCACTTCGGCTCTGAGACTCCGGCCCCCTTGTCCATTGTTTGGCACAATCACTCGGATGTCCCCCAGCCCAGGGGGTCATTTCCTGGAGGGCTCCAGACAGCCAGGCTCTGGCCTGATGCACCCGGGCTGAGGATTTGTCCCCTAGGCCTGCCAGACTATGTCACCAGTCACGGGGCCACTGCCAAGCCACAGCAGAGACTTGTCCTGCCTTGCCTGGACTCGCACCCAAGCCCCTCTGTCCACACTCTGTCTGGCTGGGCTGGGCCAGGGCCTTTGGGGTACAGCTGCAGAGAGCTGGGCTGGGGTTGGTCTGGCTAGGCCCCCTCTCCTGGGATCTGGCCACCCAGAAAGCCCCCTTCTCTCACCCCCAACATGGGGGGTAGGGTCACACTGGCAGAGTGTCCAGGGCAGAGCTTGTGCCCCCACACTGTGAGAGAGGCCTGGGCACCCCTCACTCCAGACCCCCACCACCCCCGATGCAGCCCCCAGCTGGGCTTCCAGCAAGCAGGCCAGGGACCGGACGGGACCGGACAGGGCTGGGCTGGCCCTGGGGAGGATTACGGCATTGGATACCGCCTTATCACTGGTTGTATAAGCGTGCAGGGGGCAATGACGCCAGGAAGGCGCCGCAGTCTGGCAGAGGCAGGAACCTCCCAAGTGACCTCTCTGTGTCCCCACAGAGCACCCAGGGACACTGGGCAAGGAGCAGCAGGTGGCCTCGGAGCACGCCCAGACCCCTCTGGTCAGGGGCGGGAGTCCTGCCAGGGAGGCCAGCACTGCCAGTCCTCTGGAGTGAGAGTGAGGCAGGAGAAGAGGGCCTGGACGCAGGGAGCCCAAGGGCGTCCTAGAACCAAATCAACTGGAAACACTAACGATGACGGGAATGTGAATGGCTTTGTACCTTCACTCCATCCTCTCCGTTTACGTAGGGCTCATACCGAGTACATGACTTCGTTTTGTTTGTTTGTTTTTTGAGATGGAGTTTTGCTCTTGTTGCCCAGGCTGGAGTGCAGTGGTGCACTCCTTGGCTCTCTGCAGCCTCTGCCTCCCGGGTTTAAGCGATTTTCCTGCCTCAGCCTCCTGACTATCTGGGATTACAGGCACCCGCCACCACACCCAGCTAATTTTGTATTTTTAGTAGAGACGGGGTTTCTCCATGTTCATCAGGCTGGTCTTGAACTCCCGACCTCAGGTGATACACCCACCTCAGCCTCCCAAAGTACTGGGATTACAGGCGTGACAGTATGCTCAGCCGAGAAAATGACTTTGACTTCATCCTCTTCATTTACATAGGGCATACACCAAGTAACCAATGGTAAACCGCTAGAGGATATTGAAACACTAGAAAATTCTGTAACCGGGGCCCTTGAGCTGCTTGCTCAGCCCGCTCCCACCCTGTAAAGAGTGCTTTCATTTTCAATAAATTTCTGCTTTTGTTGCTTCATTCTTTCCTTGCTTTGTTTGTGTGTTTTGTCCAATTCTTTGTTCAAAATGCCAAGAACCTGGACACCCTCCACTGGTAACGTGAGAGGGGGACAGGGTCAGAGAAAGACCCTTGGCCCCCAGCATCGGGGAAGGGAAGGAGCCGAGGGCTTCTGCTTGTGGCCTCCACTGGTCTTCAGGAGGTTCCAGTTCCCAGCCACGCCCCTGACAGGTTCACCTAAGCCAGCAGTTAGATACAGCAGGAAAACTGTGGTCAGCAAGCCACCCAGATGCCGAAGCAAGAGACCGAGGGCACGAGCTGTTCCAGTTTAATAAAATATATAAAATAACAAGAGTTATACTAGATCTAGATCATAGACATGATTATATATGAATATTATTAATCATTAGCTTGTAGCAATTACTCTTTATTCCAATATTATAATAATCCTTGCTCTACAATTATAACCTAGGAAAAACCAGGCCATACAGAGATAGGAGCTGAGCGGACATAGTGAGAAGTGACCAGAAGACAAGAGTGCGAGCCTTCTGTTACGCCCTGACAGGGCCACCAGAGGGCTCCTTGGTCTAGTGGTGACGCCAGCGTCTGGGAAGACACCTGTTGCCAAGCGGACCGTGATCTAGCAGTAGCGTCAGTGTCAAGGGAAAACACCTGCTACTTAGCAGACAGGGAAAGGGAGTCTCCCTTTCCCCGGGGGAGCTTAGAGAGGACTCTACTCCTCCACCTCCTGTGGAGGGCCTGACATCAGTCAGACCTGCCCGCAGTTATCCAGAGGCCTAACCGTCTCCCTGTGATGCTGTGCTTCAGTGGTCACGCTCGTAGTCCGCCTTCATGTTCCATCCTGTACACCTGGCTCTGCCTTCTAGATAGCAGTAGTCAATTAGTGAAAGTACTAAAAGTCTCTGATATGCAGAAATAATGATGTAAGCTGTCTCTCTCTCTCTCTCTCCGCCTTGGCTGCCAAACAGGGAAGGGCCCCCCATCCGGTGGACACGTGACTCACGTCACCTTACCTATCATTGGAGATGACTCACACTCTTTACCCTGTCCCTTTTGCTTTGTATCCAATAAATATCAGCACAGCCAGACATTCGGGGCCACTACCGGTCTCCACGTCTTGGTGGTAGTGGTCCCCAGGCCCAGCTGTCTTTTCTTTTATGTCTTTTTCTTGTGTCCTTATTTCTATGCCCTCTCATCTCAGCACACAGGGAGAAACTCACCAACCCTGTGGGGCTGGTCCCTACAGAAAACATCTACAAAACGCATACACCTGAGACGAGACTGAAATCCAGCATCCATGAGGAACTCCCAAGACTGAGTAATAAGAAAACAAGCCACTCCATTAAAAATAAAAAGAGGCCAGGTGTGGCATCTCACGCCTGTGATCCTCGCATTTTGGGAGGCCGAGGCGGGTGGATCACCTGAGGTCAGGAGTTCGAGACCAGCCTGGCCAACATGGTGAAACCCTATCTCTTCTCAAAATACAAAAATTAGCCGGGCATGGTGGCGGGCGCCTGTAGTCCCAGCTACTCGGGAGGCTGAGGCAGGAGAATCGCTTGAACCCAAAGTGAGGTGGGTGGGGGGAGGTTGCAGTGAGCCAAGATCGCGCCGTTGCACTCCAACCTAAGTGAAAGAGCAAAATTCCGTCTCAAAATATATATATAAACAAATAAAAATAAAAAGGCAAGAGATCTGAAAAGATACTCCACCAAAGAAAACATCCGGATGGGAGATGAGAACACGCTCAGCATCAGTCCATGGGAAGATGCAACCTGGAAGCTTTTTGAGACCCCTCTGTGCACCTCGCAGACCATGGAAGGCGTTCCACAGAAACAGGCTCAATCCCTAGAGCCTGTGAGGGCTGGGAGTCAGCAGAGCTATCACCCTCTGCGGGAAGAACAAGACGGGACCACACTGCAAAACTTCCTGGCAGACTCTCATGCAGTGAAACATTCCACCAACCTACCTACTTATGGAGGTCTCCACCCGGGAGAAATGAAAACTACGTTTACAGCGAACTTGAGCACTTCTGCATGAGCAGCACGTGATGGACACTCAGCAGTAAAAGGAACGAAGGTGGCTGAATCCCAGGTGCACCCTGCAGAGGGACAGAAGCCAGGTGGAAAAGGCTGCGATCTGCGACTCCTTTTATACGACGTTCTAGGACAGGTGAGCCCACAGGGCAGGGGGCTTCCCAGTGGCTCTGAGGGCTGAGGTGCGGGCAGTGATTGACCGCAAGGGACCTCGAGGAAGCTTTGTGGGCACCAGAGCTGCTGTGTCGCACTTGCAGTGGTTCCATGAACATTTGCATTTGTCTAAACTCACACAACTGTGCCCTCAAAGGGGCGAATGCAGCTGTGCATACATCATACCTCAACTTTTATTTATTTGTGGTTTTTCTTCGTTTTCTTTTCTTTTTTTCTTTTTTCTTTTTTTTCTTTTTTTTTTTTTTTTTTTTTTTTTTTTTTGAGACGGAGTCTCGCTCTGTCGCCCCAGGCGGGACTGCGGACTGCAGTGGCGCAATCTCGGCTCACTGCAAGCTCCACCTCCTGGGTTCACGCCATTCTCCCACCTCAGCCTCCGGAGTAGCTGGGACCACAGGCGTCCACCACCATGCTCGGATAATTCTTTGTATTTTTAGTAGAGACAGGGTTTCACCATGTTAGCCAGGGTGGTCTCGATCTCCTGACCTTGTGATCCACCTGCCTCAGCCTCCCAGAGTGCTGGGATTACAGGCATGAGCCACCGTGCCTGGCCTTGTTTTGTTTTTTAAGACGGGGTCTCACTCTGTCACTCAGGCTGGAGTGCAGTGGTGCAATCTCAGCTCACTGCAATCTCCACCTCCCGGGTTCAAGCGATTCTCCTGCCTCAGCCTCCCATGTAGCTGGGATAACAGTAGCCACCATGCCCGTCTAATTTTTTTTGCATTTTTAGTAGAGACAGGATTTCACCATATTGGTCAGGCTGGTCTCAAACTCCTGACCTCAGGTGATCTGCCCTCCTTGGCCTCCCAAAGTGCCGGGATTACAGGCGTGAGCCACTGCGCCTTGCCTTTTTTTCGTTTTTGACATAGTGAACTGGGGTCCTTTCTCAGAGCTCAGTCCCCTCCCACCCCAACCCCCATGCACGGCCCCCCCCCGCCACCCTGCCACCCCCCCATGCACTGCCCCCCCCGCCACCCCCCCATGCACTGCCCCCCCCGCCACCCCGCCACCCCTCCATGCACTGCCCCCCCGCCACCCCGCCACCCCTCCATGCACTGCCCCCCGCCACCCCCCCATGCACTGCCCCCCCGCCACCCCGCCACCCCTCCATGCACTGCCCCCCGCCACCACCCCATGCACTGCCCCCCCCGCCACCCCGCCACCCCCCCATGCACTTCCCCCCCGCCACCCCGCCACCCCCCATGCACTGCCCCCCCCGACACCCCGACACCCCCCATGCACTGCCCCCCCGCCACCCCGCCACCCCCCATGCACTGCCCCCCCCGACACCCCGACACCCCCCATGCACTGCCCCCCCGCCACCCCGCCACCCCCCATGCACTGCCCCCCCGCCACCCCGCCACCCCTCCATGCACTGCCCCCCGCCACCCCCCCATGCACTGGCCCTCCCGCCACCCCGCTACCCCTCCATGCACTGCTCCCCCCGCCACCCCTTCCCCTTGAGCTCTTGCTGGGCTCCTGGCTCCTGCCCTGAGAGCTGCTCCAGTCCCCACCTGCTTGTTCTCCAGCCTCCGCTAATCCTCTGAGCTCAGATATTCTTCCAATAAATTCCCAATGGCTTCGGTTAGCCAGGGCTGCCACTCATCTGTCTCCCCCACGCCAGGCCTCGCCCCCACCCCGAGTGTCCCAGGCCCCCGCCACTGCACCCTGCCCCTAATAGCACTTCCTAACCCGAGACCTCTGCCCTCAGAGGAGGAGGAAAAACCTTCCTCTCTCTCTTTGCCCTGCTGAGGGGGTCTGCCCTGCACGACAACACCAGGGGGCCCCGAGCCCCCTCCCCTTCCCTGGGCAGCCTCCTCACTCACGCAGCCTCATCTGCATGGCTCCCCTCCGCGTGCTGGTGGCGTCCCTCCATTCTTCCACCAGGGGGCAGTCTGCTCTGCTCTGCGCTCTGGGCCCCGCCTGCCCGCACCCCGCCTGCCCCTCACCCCGCCTGCCCCGCACCCCGCCTGCCCCTCACCCCGCCTGCCCCGCACCCCGCCTGCCCCTCACCCCGCCTGCCCCGCACCCCGCCTGCCCGCACCCCGCCTGCCCGCACCCCGCCTGCCCCGCACCCCGCCTGCCCGCACCCCGCCTGCCCGCACCCCGCCTGCCCCGCACCCCGCCTGCCCGCACCCCGCCTGCCCCGCACCCCGCCTGCCCCTCACCCCGCCTGCCCGCACCCCGCCTGCCCCGCACCCCGCCTGCCCCGCACCCCGCCTGCCCGCACCCCGCCTGCCCCGCACCCCGCCTGCCCCTCACCCCGCCTGCCCGCACCCCGCCTGCCCGCACCCCGCCTGCCCCGCACCCCGCCTGCCCGCACCCCGCCTGCCTCTGGGTACATCGTTTCTTTGGGTTGGAGCTACCCCTCAGCGTCCCTCCTGAAAGTGTGTCAGCGCTGAGCCAGGATTGGAAAAAGAGATCGTCAACGTTTTATTCTGGTGATAATCCTCCAAATAAAATCATTACCAAGTCACGAATTCTCCCTGAATCATCATCTATAAACTTTTTTATCTTTATTTATTTTTTAAATTTTTCTGGAGACAGAGTCTCACTCTGTCACCCAGGCTGGAGTGCAGTGGTGCGATCTCGGCTCACTGCAACCTCCGCCTCCCGGGTTCAAGGGATTCTCCTGCCTCAGCCTCCCGAGTAGCTGGGATTACAGGCGCGTGCCACCTGGCTAATTTTTGTATTTTTAGTAGAGACGGTGTTTCACCATGTTGCCCAGGCTGATCTCGAACTCCTGACCTTAAGTGATCCGCCTGCCTCGGCCTCCCAAAGTGCTGAGATGACAGGTGTGAGTCACCGTGCTCAGCTTATTTCTTTACTTTCTTAATAAACTTGCTTTCACTTTGTGGACTTGCCCCAACTTCTTTCTTGCACAAGGTCCAAGAACCCCTCTCTTAGCGTCTGGATCAGGACCCCAAGAATGAGAGAATGGGAAGGCGCAGGGCGTCCAACAGGACTTTCCGGGAGCATGTTTGCCTGACTCCAGGTGGGCCCTGTCGGAAGCTGGGTCAAAATGAAAGACAGCTGCCAGTTACTACCCACGTCCTGGGCACGGGGGCCATTGCTCCGGGCTTGCTGTGGGCTTCCCGCTGGCTGCTGGAATCAGAGCTCTGTCCTGGTAGGGTCTGCTCATTGTCCATTTGCATATTCCCGTCTCCCACCATCCAGAAAACAATGTAACAGGAAGGGCACAGTGGCTGACGCCTGTAATCCCAGCACTTTGGGAGGCCAAGGTGGGCAGATCACCTGAGGTCAGGAGGTCGAGACCAGCCTGACCAACATGGAGAAACCCCGTCTCTACTAAAAAGATACAAAAAAATTAGCCAGGCGTGGTGGCTTACGCCTGTAATCCCAGCACTTTGGGATCAGGAGTTCGAGACCAGCCTGACCAACATGGTGAAACCTCGTCTCTACTAAAAACATATAAAAAAATTAGCTGGACATAGTAGTGGGCACCTGTAATCCCAGCTACTGGGGAGGCTGAGGCAAGAGAATCACTTGAACCCAGGCGGCGGAGGTTGCAGTGAGCCAAGATAGTGCCAACTGCACTCTCCAGCCTGGGTGACAGAGCAAGACTCTGTGTCAAAAAAAAAGAAAAAAGAAAAAAAAAAAAGAAAACAGTGTAGCAGGCAAAGGTTTGATTTCCACACCAAAGCCTAACTCTGAGAGCATGGTTTTCTTCCAGATTCTCTCTAAATACTAATTTCAGGGAAGACAGGCCCATTCCCAGCCTCCTGGAAATCCTTCTCAACACAGTTCTTGAGTCTGTGGTCCCTCCCATGGTCCTCCCCACCAGCACTCTGCTGTAGCTCTCAGGCTGCTCTGCCACCTCCCCTCCCCATCTACCTGCTCAAGGACTGGCCCGTTTGCTGTCTTGGGTGGAAGGGGCAGTCCTGAACTCTCTTCTTCAAAGTGACAGTTTAATTCTCCACCCCTTAAATCTTGGCGGGAGGGGCACCTTGTGACTGCTTTTGTAACCGAACACACATTCAGCTGCTCAAAAGCCAAAACTCAAGAGACAGGAGTTGGTGGGAAGAAAGCAATTTATTCAGACAGCCAGCAAACCAAGAAGATGGTGGACTAGAGTCCTAATGTGCCATCTCAGGTGGGTACAAATTTCAAGCTCTTTTTATGTTAAGGGCAGAGAAAGAGAAGGTGGTTAGGATCAAGAAGTGATCTACAGTCGGGTGCGGTGGCTCACGCCTGTAATCCCAACACTCCCACTTTGGGAGGCCGAGGCGAGCAGATCATCTGAGGTCGGGAGTTCGAGACCAGCCTGACCAACATGGAGAAACACCGTCTCTACTAAAAATACAAAATTAGCCGGGCATAGTGGCGCATGCCTGTATTCCCAGCTACTCTGGAGGCTGAGGCAGGAGTATCACTTGAACACAGGAGGCAGAGGTTGCAGTGAGCTGAGATGGTGCCATTGCACTCCAGCCTGGGTGACAGAGCAAGACTCCGTCTCAAAAAGAGGTGACCTACATCTGGGTGGGGTGGCTCAAACCTGTAATCCCAGCACTTTGGGAGGCCAGGGCAGGTGGACCACTTGAGCTCACAAGTTCGAGACCAGCCTGGGCAACATGGTAAAACCCTGTCTCTACAAAAAATACAAAAATTAGCCTAGCATGGTGGTGTGCACCTGTAGTCCCAGCTACTCAGAAGGCTGAGGTTGGAGGATGACTTGAGCCCAGGAGGTGGAGGTTGCAGTGAGCCGAGATGGCACCACTGCACTCCAGCCTGGGTGATAGACCTTGTCAAAAAAAAAAAAAAAAAAAAAAGAAGTGGCCTATGAGCACAGACATCTCAGACATCTGGGCACCAGCAAGTCTGAGGAGGTTGGGAACTTCTTTGTCCTTAGTCAGGTCGCAATGCTTTTACACATATTTAATAAAATATTGTTAGTTGTTTATATACTTTCAACCTCAGAGTTAGTTTTTAAAACTACATGATTACTGTTTTTCCATATTATCTCAGTGCTCCGAAATTATCCTAGCCTACGTGCAGGATGGGTAAAGGCCCCTTGAACACAAACGGAGTGAGTTATGTTAGTTCTACTGTTTTACTGTTATACTTTGGCCAATTGAATACAGTGGAAGGGATGCTGTGCCAGTTCGGGAGTGGCCTGGAAACTGCTGGAAACTGCTAAACTGGCCTGGAGACTGCTACTTCCTGTGTCTTCGAAGTCCACTGGCACATGAGAAGTACAACTGCTCAGAGGCAGCCATGTTGAAAGGAAGCCCAAGCAGCCACATGAACACCCTGGTTTACAGGCCAGCAGATCCCCCAGCAACAGCCATCATTAGCTGCCAGCTACTTCCTGCAACAATGTGATCCTAGATTCAGCAAAACAAAACAAATCCTGTTGCTGGTTTCTCCTGCTCAGGCCTGGAGGCATCCAGACCTCACCAGAACAGACACACAATATAGTGGAACTGATGTGTAGACGCAGTCAACACACAAGAACAACCATCACCCGGGGAGTCAACCCTGACCCCAGGGCGGGGGAGACCAGAAACTCTCTCCCATGTCCTCTCTCCCCTCGGCCTCAGGAGGGACCCATGTGGGCACTGGCATCCAGGATGAAGACTACACTTCCCAGCATCCCTTGCAGCAAGCAGTGGCCATGTGACCAGGCTGTGGCCAATGGGGAGGCGAGGCCTGTGCACAGCGGCTGCCTTTAGAGGAAGGAAGTTTTGTGCCCTGTTGTCCCCTTCTCCTCTCCCTGCTGGCTGGCAGGAGACAGGGTGGACTCTCAGGGGGAAGCTACACCCTAAGGAAGTCAGAACAGCAAGATGGAAGGAGGCTAAGACCCTAAAAACTGCATAGAGAAGAATCTCCCGACTGCCTTGGACTTTCATGTGAAGGGAATGAACCTCTGTCTTAGTTAAGCCACCGTGATTCAGGGTCCTTGTCACATTCACCGAGGCTGTAACCTAATTGGTAGAAAGAACAGGAGCGGGAGGGGAGATGGAGTCAGAGAGGCAGGCAGAGGTCAGATCACATCAGGCCTGCAGGTCAAGATGGAGGAAGAAACAGGCAACATAGGACTCAAGGACCACACCTGCTCCCAGGTGAAGGGATTTTGCCGTGGGTGCCCCTCCCTGTCTGCTGGAGAAAGCTAATTTGACCCACTTCCCTTTAGGACTTTGCAAGATGCACATCACAGTCACAGGTACTTGTCTCCTAACAGTCCTTTCAGGGGAACTGCCCCACCCCTAATTAACCCAGCCTCAGGTATTCCTTTATAGCAATGCAGGTGGACTGACACATATCTTTAGTGTCGTGAGACTGTGACAAGAGCAGGAAAGAATCCTCGTGTGCATCCCTCTGAGCGTTGGGAGCTGTTGTTGTAGCAGCTGCTGTTACTCATCCTGACTGATACACAGACACCGCCAGTAGCCCTCTCTCCTGGAAACGCCATGTAAGTTAGGTGAGGCATGACCCAGGAAAGCTCTCAAGCTGACTTCCCTCCTACCCTCAGGGCTGCGGAGCAGGTCCCTCATTATCTAAGATCAGTTGGACACCTGTACGCCTGCCATGGCCTGGAGCAAGTGCCAGGCACTGTGGATGATGAATATGAGAACAGCATCAACCCTGCCCTCCTGCAGGTGACTGGCCAGACCGTGGGATTCCTCCACAACCAACTCTGCACACACAGCTCACTCATGTCGAGCAGGAAGCGGAGCTTGGGATCACCTGACCCGCTCCCCTCACCTGGGAGCAGCTTATATAGAAGCGCCTGTAGTTCACACAGGGCTGATGGTTCCAGCTTCCAAGACACCCCGAGGCCTCCTGGGCTGCTTGGTAATCAGACCAGGTACGTGCAAAGAGGCATGGCTCTTTATTTTCACTTAATTGAGAAAACCACATCAGCAAAGAGAGCATCCAAGCTCAGTGGCCCTTTCTCCCCACAACAGTGACCATTAACCTTTTAAAAGATGCTTTATGGGTTATTTGCCAAACCTCCTTCTTCATGCCGAGGTGTGATGAGGCTCATAAATAGGCCAGACTTGGGAGGGGACAAATGCGAGCAATGCCACCAATGAGAGGCCCAGGCAGAGCCGGTCTCGGGGCTGCCCAGCCATGTGTGCACCAAACATGGATGTGTCAGTGGCCGTGCCAGGAGTCAAGCTCTTGGCCAGGGGCCTCTGGGTGGCCAAGGCCAAGTCTTGTTCAAAAGGTGAGTTCAACTGAGCCAACCATGGCAGAAATACATAAGGGAGACCCCATGCCTCCTCTGGGTAAAATCCCCTGCTAATCCCACCTGGCTCAGAGGAGGAGCCATGTCCTCACAGCAGCCTGCAGTCCCCGCCTGACTCAGCCTCCTCTCGGCTCTGATTCTCCATGCCCCTCTACCCCTCTCTGTCTCCTCTCCCACCCCAGAAAGGGGATCCTGCAGGTTCATCCTGGTGGATTCAAACCCATCTTTGCCACACAGATAGTCATCAGAATGAATGGGCATAATCTATAAAGAGTCCTCTTGAAAAAGAAAAAGGCAGGCCAGGTGCGGTGGCTCACATCTGTAATCCCAGCACTTTGGGAAGCTGAGGCAGGCAGGTCACCTGAGGTCAGGAGTTCCAGACCAGCCTGGCCAACATGGTGAAACTCCACCTCTACTAAAAATACAAAAATTGGCTGGGCATGGTGGCTCACGCCTGTAATCCCAGCTACTCTGGAGGCTGAGGCAGGAGAATCGCTTGAACCCGGAAGGCAGAGGCCACAGTGAGCGAAGATTGTGCCATTGCTCTCCAGTCTGGATGACAGAATGAGACTCCGTCTCAAATAATAATAATAAAAGAAAAAGGTGCCAGGTGCTGTGGCTCACGCCTGTAATCCCAGCACTTTGGGAGGCCGAGGTGGGCGGATCACGATGTCAGGAGATCAAGACCATCCTGGCTAACATGGTGAAACCCCGTCTCTACTAAAAATACAAAATAATGGTAATAATAATAATTAGCCAGGCGTGGTGGCGGGCGCCTGTAGTCCCAGCTACTCTGGAGGCTGAGGCAGGAGAATGGCATGAACCCGGGAGACAGAGCTTGCAGTGAGCCGAGATCGTGCCACGGCACTCCAGCCTGGGCGACAGAGCAAGACTCCATCTCAAAAAAAAAAAATGAAAAAATAAAAAGGCAAAAATTCAGACAACTAAACGGAAACTGGGCAAAAGAGTTGAACCAGACCTGGCTGGGCACAGTGACTCACACCTGTAATCCCAGCACTTTGGGAGGCCGAGGCGGGCGGATCACGAGGTTAAGAGTTCGAGACCAGCCTGGCCAATATTGTGAAACCCTCTCTCTACTAAAAATACAAAAAATTAGCTGGGCGTGGTGGTGCATGCCTGTAGTCCCAGCTACTCAGGAGGCTGAGGAAGAAAAATTGCTTGAACCCAGGAGGTGGAGCTTGCAGTGAGCCAAGATTGTGCCACTGCACTCCAGCCTAGGTGACAGAGTCAGACTCCGTCTCAAAAAAAAAAGAGTTGAACCAGCCCTTCACAGAAAAGGAAATGTGAAGGAAAGGGCAATAAAAACATGAAGAGGGTCTCAGCTAACAGGATGAGGATCACGTGTCACCCACCAGACAGCAAAAATCCCACAGCCCAATCAATGCAAGGATTGGGAAGAATGGAGAGCAATAGGAACCCTCAGCCACTGCTAAGAATGATGTGAAATTGTTTTTGGTATCCCTGCATATGAAAGGGTGTGTTTTGTGGGTTATGAGGAAAATTACATTTCTTACCTGGGATGAAATTGTAAAAACTGAAAGCTACTGACCAGGAGAAATGTGCACCTGTGTACAAAAGAAAGGCCCAAGAGCATTCCCAGCAGCACAGTCCTCAGGGCCCCAGCCTGGCTGAACTCTCGTCCACAGGAAGATGAAGACATTTCCCATGCTCCCCTCAGACGGCGGGAGATCGTGCAGCAATGAAAAAGACTCATGTTAGTGTGGGTGGGTCTCAGGAAGAGAATGGAGACGGGAGATCACGCAGCAATGAAAATGAACCATGTCAATGTGGGTGGGTCTCAGGGAGAGAATGGAGGACAGAAATAGACATCAAGCAGATACTCAGACCCAACGCAGTGTAGGAGCAGCCACCCAGGAGAATTCCTTCACATCAAAGTTCAAAACTACAGCCGAGGCAACAGAGCCCTGTCTCAAAAAGACAACAGAAAGTTGAAACAGAAACTAGAACGAGTCTGAGGGTCATGGAGCTGGAGACCCGGGGAGGAGTCAGTGCTGCTGTTCCAGTTTGCGGGTCGTGGATCTGGAGACCCAGGGTGGAGCTGGTGCTGCTGTTGTAGTTTGACGGTCATGGAGCTGGAGACCTCGGGAGGGTCCATTTGAAGAGCAGCACCGGCTCCTCCCTGGGCCTCAGGCTCCACGACCTTCAGACTTTAAAAGCGGTAATACCGGCTTCTCCCTGGGTTTCCAGCTATATAACCCTCAGACATGAAGCGCAACAGCACCGGCTCCTCCCCGCCTCCAGTTCCATGACCCTCAAACTACAACAGCAGCACCAGCCTCTCCCCAGGTCTCCAGCTCCACCACCTTCAAACTAGAACAACACCACCAGCTTCTCCCTGGGTCTCCAGTTCCACAACGCTCAAACTAGAACAACACCAGCTTCTCCCCAGGTCTCCAGCTCCACAGCCCTCAAACTAGAACAACGCTGGCACCTCCCTGATTCTCCAGTTCCATGACCCTATAATTAGAACAACACCAGCTCCTTCTCTGGTCTCCAGCTCCACAACCCTCAAACTAGAATAACACCAGCTCCTCTCCAAGTCTCCAGTTCCATGACTCTCAAACTAGAACAACACCAGCTCCTCCTCAGTTCTCCAGCTCCACGACCCTCAAACTAGAACAACACTGGCTCCTCCCCAGGCCTCCAGCTCCATGACCCTTAAACTAGAACACCACCACCAGCTTCTCCCCTGGTCTCCAGCTCCATAACCCTCAAACTAGAAAACACTGGCACCACCCCGATTCTCCAGCTCCACTAACCTCAAACTAGAACAACACCAGCTCCTCCTCAAATCTCCAGGTCCAGGACCCTCAAACTAGAAAAACACTGGCTCCTCCCCAGGCCTCCAGCTCTGCAATCCTCAAACTAGAACAACACCATCTCCTCCCCAGGTCTCCAGCTCTGTGAACCTCAAACTAGAACAACACCACCAGCTCCTCCCAGGTCTCCAGCTCCCCAACCCTCAAACTGGATCAACACCAGCTCCTCCAGGGTCTCCAGCTCCCCGACCCTCAAACTGGATCAACACCGGCTCCTCCAGGGTTTCCAGCTCCCCAACCCTCAAACTGGATCAACACCGGCTCCTCCTCAGTCTCCAGCTCCGTGACCCTCAAACTGGATCAACACCGGCTCCTCCTCAGTCTCCAGCTCCCCGACCCTCAAACTGGATCAACACCAGCTCCTCCAGGGTCTCCAGTTCCCCGACCCTCAAACTGGATCAACACCAGGTCCTCCAGAGTCTCCAGCTCCCCGACCCTCAAACTGGATCAACACCAGCTCCTCCAGGGTCTCCAGCTCCCCAACTCTCAAACTGGATCAACACCGGCTCCTCCAGGGTCTCCAGCTCCCCGACCCTCAAACTGGATCAACACTGGCTCCTCCAGGGTCTCCAGCTCCCCGACCCTCAAACTGGATCAACACTGGCTCCTCCTCAGTCTCCAGCTCCGTGACCCTCCAACTGGATCAACACCAGCTCCTCCAGGGTCTCCAGCTCCCCGACCCTCAAACTGGATCAACACTGGCTCCTCCCCAGGCCTCCAGCTCCGTGACCCTCAAACTAGATCAACACCAGCTCCTCCAGGGTCTCCAGCTCCCCAACGCTCAAACTAGATCAACACTGGCTCCTCCAGGGTCTCCAGCTCCCCAATGCTCAAACTAGATCAACACCAGCTCCTCCAGGGTCTCCAGCTCCCCAACCCTCAAACTAGATCAACACCGGCTCCTCCTCAGGTCTCCAGCTCCCCGACCCTCAAACTGGATCAACACCAGCTCCTCCAGGGTCTCCAGCTCCCCAATGCTCAAACTAGATCAACACCGGCTCCTCCTCAGGTCTCCAGCTCTGCGACCCTCAAACTAGAACAACAACACCATCTCCTCCCCGTCTCTCCTACTTGCATGTCCATTTATAGGCTCTCTGCAAGAAGAAAAATATGGCTTTTTTTGCCCGAACCTGCAGGCAGTCAGACCTTATGGTTGTCTTCCCTTGTTCCCTAAACATTGCTGTTATTCTGTTCTTTTTCAAGGTGCACTGATTTCATATTGTTCAAACATACATGTTTTACAATCAATTTGTACAGTTAACACAATTATCACAGTGGTCCTGAGGTGACTTACATCCTCAGTTTACAAAGATAACAGGAGTAAGTGACTAAAGTAAAGACAGGCATAAGAAATTGTAAAAGTATTATTTGGGAACTGACAAATGTCCATGAAATCTTCACAATTTGTGTTCTTCTGCTGCGGCTCCAGCTGGTCCCTCCATTCGGGGTCCCTGACTTCCTGCAACATGCTGGCATGCACCTGTAGTCCCAGCTACTCAGGAGGCTGAGGCAGAGAATTGTTTGAACCTGGGAGGTAGAGGTTGCAGTGAGCCAAGATCGCTGCCACTACACTCCAGCCTGGGCCACAGAGCGAGACTCCGTCTCAAAAAAAAAAGAAAGAACTGGAGGCTGACACAGGCCAAAGAAGCAGCTCAGGCTGAAATTGAACAGTACCACCTGCAGAGGGAGAAAGAGTTGAAAGCCAAGGAAGCTGCGGCACTGGAATCCATGGCACTGGCAGCACCAAAGTGGAGAAGGAGACCCAGGAGAAGATGACCATCCTCCAGACCTACTTTCCTCACAACAGGGATGAAGTCTGGGATAACCTCTTGGCTTTTGTCTGTGACATTCAGCCAGAAATGCATGAAAACTACCGCATAAATGGATAGAAGAAGAGAAGCACCTGTTCTTTGGATAGGCATTTTAGATGCCCTCATGAAATATGAAGCTTTAGCATAGCTCTAGTTATAGTCTTATGAAATTATGAAGGGGACCTGCCCCTCCACACCTGCGGGTATTTCTCACCAGGTGGAGATGAGAGACTGAGAAAACAAATAAGACACAAAGACAAAGTATAAGGGAAGAAAAGTGGGCCCAGGGGACCGGCACTCAGCAAGTGAGGAACTGCACCGACGCTGGTCTCTGAGTTCCTCAGTATTTATTGATCACTAGCTCTACTATCTCGGTGAGGGGGACATGGCAGGACTATAGGGTAATGGTGGGCAGAGGGTCAGCAGGAAAACATGAGCAAAGGACTCTGTGTCATAAATAAGTTTAGGGAAAGGTGCTGTGCCTGGATGTGCACGTAGGCCAGGTTTATGTCTGACTTTACACAAACCTCTCAGTGCAGTAAAGAGCAGTATTGCCGCCAGCATGTCTCACCTCCAGCCATGGGGCAGTTTTCTCCTATCTCAGTAAACAGAATGTATGATTGGGCTTTACACCAAGACATTCCATTCCCAGGGATGAGCAGGAGACAGATGCCTTCCTCTTATCTCAACTGCAAAGAGGCCTTCCTCTTTCACTAATCCTCCTCAGTACAGACCCTTTATGGGTGTCAGCCTGGGGGACGATCAGGTCTTTCCCTTCCCATGAGGCCATATCTCAGGCTGTCTCAGTGGGGGGAGACCTGGACAATACGCAGGCTTTCTTGGGCAGAGGTCCCTGCGGCTTTCCGCAGTGCACTGTGTCCCTGGTTAATGGAGAATGGAGAATGGCGATGACTTTTACCAAGCATACTGCCTGCAAACACATTGTTAACAAAGCACATGCTGTATAGCCCTAAATCCCTCAAACCTTGAGTTAACACAGCACATGTTTCTGTGAGTACAGGGTTGGGGCTAAGGTTACAGATTAACAGCATGTCAAAGCAGAAGAATTTTTCTTAATACAGATCAAAATGGAGTTTCTTATGTCTTCCTTTTTCTACATAGACACAGTAACAGTCTGACCTCTCTTTCCCCCACATTTCCCCCTTTTCTTTTTGACAAAACCACCATCATCATCATGGCCCATTCTCGATGGTCGCTGTCTCTTCGGAGCTGTTGGGTACAGCTGCAGACTGACAACAGACAGAAGCATTAACACGAAATTTACGATAGCGGAACTTCCGAGGGTTTTAACCCAAGTGACAGGGTTAAGACTTGTGAGGCCGGCTGGGCACGGTGGCTCACGCCTGTAATCCCAGCACTTTGGGAGGCCAAGGTGGGTGGATCACGAGGTCAGGAGATTGAGACCATCCTGGCTAACAGAGTGAAACCCTGTCTCTACTAAAAAAATACAAAAAAATTGGCTGGGCGTGGTGGCAGGCGCCTGTAGTCCCAGCTACTCAGGAGGCTGAGGCAGGAGAATGGCATGAACCTGGGAGGTGGAGCTTGCAGTGAGCCGAGATAGTGCCACTGCACTCCAGCCTGGGCGACAAAGTGAGACTCCGTCTAAAAAAAAGAGAGAGAGAGAGACTTGTGAGGCCATCAGCAACTCCCGCAATTGCCTCAGTTCCTGGTACCAAATTTAAATGGGCTTTTGATGCTTCAAAAATTTGTTCTTTTAATATCACCATTCTGTTCATCTGGCGAGTCAATGGTGCTCAATTGCGGTGTCTCTGTCTCCACGGAGGCGTTTTTCTTTGCATCTCCGATGGGTTCATTGTAGAACTTTAAATGTCTAGTGGGTATCCAAACAGGAAGCTGATTTTCTCCTGGTGAAACACAAGCAAAACCTCTCCCTCACGTTACCACCTTCCCTATTTCCCATGTCTTATTTTTGTTGTCTTTCCACCAAATTAGTTTTCCTTCATGTGGGCTGTTCTTTTTACCAGTAAGATGTTGTTCTGCAGAGGTAGTAGTCTGATTTCTATAAAGGTTTAAAAAATTTAAAGTATAGAGTGCTAGGTTAAGTTGCATCTGAAGAGTGATATACTCCGTACTGTCTCCCTCTTTTCTTTGTTTAACCAATTGAGTTTTCGGTGTTCTATTAGTTCTTTCAACTATGGCCTGTCATTGGGAATTATAGGGAATTCCTGTTGTACGTGCAATTTTCCACTGATTCAAGAATTTTTGGAAAGCTTTACTATAGTATCCTGGTCCATTGTCAGTTTTAATTTTTTCTGGAACTCCTATGACAGCAAAAAAAGAAAAATAAATGTCTTTTAACATGGGAAGTACTTTCTCCTGTCTGTCAGGTTGCCCACATGAAATGTGAATAAGTATCAACTGTTACATGAACATATGACAATCTTCCAAATGAAGGAACATGCGTGACATCCATTTGCCATAACGCATTAGGACGCAGACCTCTGGGATTAACTCCTGCCTCCTGAGTGGGCAGGTGTAGGGCTTGACACCAGGTGCAGTGTTGTGCAATACTTTTTGCCTGTTTCCATGTGATATTAAATTTATTTTTTAAACCTGTTGCATTTACATGACTCAAAGCATGAAGTTCTTGTGCTTTTGTGAATGCAGATGATACCAGTAAGTCAGCTTGCTCATTTGCTTTAGTTAAAGGCCCTGGTAAATTAGTGTGTTCTCAAATATGAGTAATATAAAATGGGAGATTTCTTCTTCTCACAGTTTGTTGTAATAAATTGAACGGCTGGTTTAACTGATCATCCATGCTATGTTTGATTAGGGCTGTCTCAATATCCCTTGTGGCCTGTACTACAGATGCAGAATCTGATACAATATTAATAGGCTGATTAAAATCTTGTAACACTGTAATGACGGCAACCAACTCTGCTCTTTGAGCCGAATGATATTGAGTTTCAAGGCCTCCTTCTTTTGGCCCAGTGTAAGCTGCTTTTCCATTGCTGGAACCATCAATAAACACAGTCAGATCATTTTCTAAAGGTTTATGTCTGGTAATTTTAGGTAAAATCCAAGTAGTCAGTTTTAAAAACTGGAAGATGTTTGTTTTTGGGTAATGATTATCAATAATTCCCACAAAATCAGCAAGACCAGTCTGCCATGCACTAGAATTGATAAAGGCTTGTCTAAACTGTTCCTCGTTTAAAGGAACAATGATTTGTCTGGGTCACTTCCACACAATTAGATTATTCGTAATCTTGCCTGACCAATTAATGTAGCCATTTGATCCAAGTACAATGTAAAAATCTTAACTGTACTGTGAGGAAGGAATGACCACTCCACAAGATCTGTATTTTGAACAATGATGCCTGTTGGAGAATGTGCAGTAGCAAAAATCAAAAGTTGGAGTGGAGCCAAGGGATCTAGTCTATTTACTTGTGCTGATCGAATTTTCTTCAAATAATTTGGAGTGCAGTGGTGCGATCTCGGCTCACTGCAAGCTCCGCCTCCCGGGTTCATGCCATTCTCCTGCCTCAGCCTCCCAAGTAGCTGGGACTACAGGCACCCGCCACTGCGCCCGGCTAATTTTTTGTATTTTTAGTAGAGCTGGTGTTGCACCGTGTTAGCCAGGATGGTCTCGATCTCCTGACCTCGTGATCCACCCACCTTGGCCTCCCAAAGTGCTGGGATTACAGGTGTGAGCCACCGTGCCCGGCCTCATTTAATATTTTTAATGTATCTTTTCTTATTTCTATTTTTTGTGGTTTAATTTTTCTATTTTCTACCTGTATCCCTAAATAATGAAAAGGAGTTGTTGTTTGAATTTTATCAGATGCTATCATCAGTCCTGCGTTGGCAACCTCTGCTTGTAGAAATGTGTAACAGTCAGTTAATTTATCTCTCATTTCTGAAGCACATAGAATATCATCTACATAATGAACAATATAACAGTCTGGAAACTTGTCTCTAACTAGTTGAAGAGCTTGACCTACAAAAGTCAGACAAATAGCTGGGCTGTTTAACATTTCCTGAGGTAACACTTTCCACTGAAACCTGGTGGCTGGTTCCTTATTATTTATGGCTGGTATAGTATAAGCAAATTTTTCAAAATCCTGCTTCACCAGAGGAATGGTAAAAAAAAGCAATCCTTCAGATCAATTATAATTAAAGGCCAATCTTTGAGGATCATGGCTGGAGAGGGCCATGAGGGCCAGAGAGGGCGGGTTGGAGAGGCCCCCATGGGTTGAATTATGGCGTTAATGGCTCTTAAATCATTTAGCATTCGCCATCTGCCGGATTTTTTCTGAATTACAAACACAGGAGAATTCCAAGGCGAGAATGAAGGCTCAATATGTCCCTTTTCTAATTGTTCCTTTGCTAATAAATGTAAAGCCTCCAGTTTTTGTTTTGGTAGCAGCCATTGATCTACCCATACAGGTTTTTCTGCTTTCCAAGTTAATGGAATGGGTTTTGGAGGCTGTACAGTGGCCGTCCCTAAAAAGGATAACCTATTCCCTTTTTTTCCTTGATTTCCCTCAGCCTCAATTGGGACTTCAATACCATTTTCACTCTTTCCTAGTCCGTTTTCTGGTACATGTCCCATTTCAGTCATGATTTTTTGACTCATGGGGCTGGATAATGGAGCGGGCATACTGATTTCCATACTCCATTGTTGTAATAAATCTCAACCCCACAGATTAACAGGAATTGGAGTAATCATTGGCTGAGCAGTACTTTTTTGATTATCTGGCCCTAAACAATGTAAAATCATAGTACTTTGATACACTTCTGAGGCAGTGCCTACGCCCACCAAACTTGCAGCCATCTTTTGGCCAATTTCTTGGCCACTGATGCAAAACAATGATAGAGACATCCGCCCCAGTGTAGGGTCCAGCCCTACAGGACCTTGTGGGTTTCCTCTTCATGTGCAGAGATGAGAGATTGTAGAAAGAAAGACATGAGACTAAGGGATAGTAGGAAAGACAGCTGGGCCCTGGGGCCACTACCACCAATGCGCGGAGTCCGGTAGTGGCCCCGAAGGCCTGGATGCACTGCTATTTATTGTATACAAGGCAAGGGGGCAGGGTAAGGAGTGTGAGTCACCTCAAGTGATTGATAAGGACAAGCAAGTCAAGTGTCCACATGACAAGGGGACTTTCCCTTTGTGGTAGCTGAAGCAGAGAGGGAGGACAGCAGACGTTAGCATATCTTCTATGCACTTATCAGAGAGATCAAAGACTCTAATACTTTCGCTAATTCTGCTACTGCTATCTTCTAAGAACTTAAGAGAAGCAGCAGGTGTACAGGCAGAATATGAAAGTGGACAAGGAGCATGACCACTGAAGCACCACAGGGAGACGTTGAAGCCTCCGATGACTGCGGGCAGGCCTGGGGAATGTCAGGTCCCCCACAAGAACTGGTGGAGCAGAGTGCTCGCTAACTCTCCCAGGGAAAGGGAGACTCCCTTTCCTGGTCTGCTAAGTAACGGGTGCCTTCCAGGCGCTGGCGCTACCGCCAGGCCAAGGTCCGCTGAGTAACGGGTGCCTTCCCAGGCACTGGCGCTACCGCCAGGCCAAGGTCTGCTGAGTAATGGGTGCCTTCCCAGGTGCTGGCGCTACCGCCAGGCCAAGGTCTGCTGAGTAACGGGTGCCTTCCCAGGCACTGGCGCTACCGCTAGACCAAGGTCCGCTGAGTAACGGGTGCCTTCCCAGGTGCTGGTGCTACCACTAGACCAAGGAGCCCTCAAGCAGCCCTTATCTGGGCGTGACAGAGAGCTCACACTCTTGTCTTCTGGTCACTTCTCACAATGTCCCTTCAGCTCCTAACTCTGTATGGCCTAGTTTTTCTTTGGTTATAATAATAATACAAAGGTTAATACAGAAAACTAATGATTGATAATATCCATATATAATCATCTCTATATCCTATTTCGAATATAACTTTCTCTTTTCCTAACTATTTTCTTGATTATACTGGAACAGCTTGTGCCTTCAGTCTCGTGTCTCGGCGCCTGGGTGGCTTTCCGCCCACACCCCAGGGTCTACTAACCCTTCAAACTGTTTTCCCTGAATAATGGCCTTACACACAGGTCTGCTTTCTGAGACCTGACTTGCCCAATATGCAGCCTTTCCTGCCAGATCAGTGCTCCCAAACCCTCCTGTTCTTTTTGTCTCACTGTTTCCAACCTTAATATAAGGCAGGAGTAATAATTGAGCAATTCCGTCTCCTGGACGGGCACTCCAAGGAATTGAGGAGCTAATAACCAATTGAATTTCACCTTTGTAATCTGTATCAACCACACCAGTATGAATTTGAACTCCCTTTAGATTTAAACTTGATCTTCCTAAGATGAGTCCTACAGTCCCCTCGGGCAGTGGGCCGTATACCCCTGAGGGGATTTTTTGTGGGGGCTCCCCTGGAAGCAGAGAGACTGCTGGTATAACACATAAATCTACTGCTGCACTGCCGCTTGTGGCGGGGGACAATTGTTGTATTGTGGTAACTGGCCCGTTCCCTGAGGCACTTGTGACAGTGGAGGTTGTTGTCCCTGAAAACCCTGAGGAACAAAAGGCTGAATCGGGAACGCCCCAGTTTGTTGCGAGGCCTGAGGCTGGCCCCTCTTCCAGTTTTCCGACAATGGTTGCCCATTTTTATCAAATTTAGAACGACATTGATTAGCCCAATGTTTTCCTTTTCCACATCTTGGACACAGGCCAGGTGGCTCTTTATTTTTGGCTGTAGTAGTTTGATTTGTTATATTCTGTTTATTTAAGACTGGGCAATTCTTTTCTAAATGACCAATTTGACCACAATTATAACATTTTCCCTCAAATGTTCTAACTTGTCCTCCTAAAGCAACCCCAGTTTTTGCTGGAGCCATTAGCATAGCTTTATGCATAGCCCCTCCAATTCCATCATAGGCTTTTACATACTCTGAGACTACATCTGACCCTGCTGGGACATTCCCTTTTAATGGCTTAATGGCTGATTGACACTCAGGATTGTCGTTTTCGTATGCCATCAACTCCACTATGACCTTACGGGCATTCTCATTGGCCATTGACTTTTGAGCAGCATCTTGGAGCCTTGCCACAAAATCAGGGTAGGGCTCTTTAGAGCCTTGTCTTATTGTATTGAATGAGGGGCAGGTGGTTCCCGGGTCTTGGATTTTTTTCCCAGGCTCTAAGGCAGATAGCTCTAACTTGCTCAATGGCCACATATTGTATTATTGCTTGTTGATTAGTAGTGCTCCAATTTTGACCTGTTCCTAATACTTGATCTGCATCTGTGTTAACTGGAGGATTGGCAGCCCTATTTTTTCGGACCTGTTCTTGTGTCCCATCAATCCACCAGGTCTTAAATTGTAAAAATTGAGGTGAGAGTGATGATTTGGCCAAAATCTCCCAATCATAAGGAATGAGTCTATGTCCATGAGCAGTGGAATCTAATAATGTTCTTATATAAGGGGAGTTGGGTCCATACTGTTTTACTCCCTCTTTCATGTCTTTTAGCATTTTCATAGAAAAGGACCCATTTCTGGCATCAGCTCGGGGAGGCGCTCCCTCTTGGGCCCCTCTTCCAGGTGGTATGGGTTCTAATATTACCGGGGTCTGCCACGCGTCAGTATCCCCTTGTTTTGTCTTTTCAATAATTTTATGTAATGCACGACCCTGTCCACTAGGTGGTGCTGTAGGATTACGTCTCATAGTGGGCGGCTGCGGCTATAGCGCCCTGCCCTGCGGTGCTGGAAACATCCTGGCCATCCATACTGATACTCTGGGGGCGGCCGATACTGAAGTTTGGCTGGCGGCCAGTATTGATAGGCTACCGGCAGTTGGGTCTTATTTTCTACCAGCTGATATTGTGGATACTGCATCTGGATTGGCATTGCTGGGATAGAGACTCTTTCCTTTTCTATTTGATATTCTCTTGGGGTTTGTACTTGTCTAACCTGCATTTGAGGTTGTAATGTTACAGGCATCTGAACCGCGGGAGGAGGAGTTGATGGCCATCGTGGTTTAGACTCTGATGGCCCCAATAATTCTGGACCTTTTCCCCCCAATTTTAGTGGTCCAGAATATATTACCTCCTGTAATTGATTGTAGTCAACATTTTGCGCTGACCGAGGCATTACAGACTCTGCTACATATTTACAATGTGAACTTTCCGTTCCTTTCTCGAATTCTGTCCCTGCCTCTTCTTCACAATCTATTACACAGCTTTCAGGGGCATCAGAAACTGAAACGCTATCTTCTCCTGTTTGAAATGATTCTAAAGCTGCTTTAATAATGGCCCAATCATTCCATACTGTAAGTGGGATGATTTTACCTTCCCTATTTGCTTGCTTTAATTCTTTGCCAATTTTTTCCCAATCTTTTAGATCTAAAGTTCCTTGTTTTGGAAACCATGGGCAGAATTGTTCTATTGTTTGAAATAGTGTAATTAGATTTTCTGTAGAGGCTCTAACTCCCCCTCTTCTTAAAAAAATTTTAATGAAGCTGAGATAAGAGGCATATTTACTTTCAGTTTGTCCCATTGTTACCCTGGGTTCCTCCGAGTGCACAAGCTTACCGCGAAGCTGACCACGGACGTACTCGTTTTGTCCTAAACTATCACACCATAGCGTATCTTCACCTTACAGAACGGAACCCACGATGGGTGCCAGATGAAGGGGGCCTGCCCCTCCACACCTGTGGGTATTTCTCACAAGGTGGAGACGAGAGACTGAGAAAAGGAAATAAGACACAAAGTATAAAGGAAGAAAAGTGGGCCCAGGGGACCGGCGCTCAGCAAGTGCGGACCCACGCCAGCACTGGTCTCTGAGTTTCCTCAGTATTTATTGATCACTAGCTCTACTATCTCGGCGACGGGGATGTGGCAGGACTATAGGGTAATGGTGGGGAGAAGGTCAGCAGGAAAACATGAGCAAAGGACTCTGTGTCATAAATAAGTTTAAGGAAAGGTGCTGTGCCTGGATGTGCACGTAGGCCAGGTTTATGTTTGACTTTACACAAACATCTCAGTGCAGTAAAGAGCAGTATTGCCGCCAGCATGTCTCACCTCCAGCCACAGGGCGGTTTTCTCTTATCTCAGTAAATAGAATGTACGGTTGGGTTTTACACCAAGACATTCCATTCCCAGGGACGAGCAGGAGACAGATGCCTTCCTCTTATCTCAACTGCAAAGAGGCCTCCCTCTTTCACTAATCCTCCTCAGCACAGACCCTTTATGGTTGTCAGCCTGGGGGACGGTAAGGCCTTTCCCTTCCCACGAGGCCATATCTCAGGCTGTCTCAGTGGGGGGAAACCTGGACAATACGCAGGCTTTCTTGGGCAGAGGTCCCTGCGGCTTTCCGCAGTGCACTGTGTCCCTGGTTAATGGAGAATGGAGAATGGTGATGACTTTTACCAAGCGTACTGCCTGCAAACACATTGTTAACAAGGCACATCCTGCACGGCCCTAAATCCCCTAAACCTTGAGTCAATACAGCACATGTTCCTGTGAGCACAGGGTTGGGGCTAAGGTTACAGATTAACAGCATTTCAAAGCAGAATAATTTTTCTTAGTACAGATCAAAATGGAGTTTCTTATGTCTTCCTTTTTCTACACAGACACAGTAACAGTCTGATCTCTCTTTTCCCCACAAATGGCATTAAATTATTTCCATATATTATAGAGTAGGTCCTTCCACATTTTGAAGAGTAGCAAATCTAGCTTTTTTGTACAGACTTATAAATTATCTAAAGACTTCAGCCTTTTTTTTTTTTTTGAAACAGAGTCTCACTCTGTCGCCCAGGCTGGAGTGCAGTGGCACGATCTTGGCTCCCTGCAACCTCCACCTCCCAGGTTCAAGTGATTCTCCTGCCTCAGCCTCCCCAGTACCTGGGATTATAGGCACCTGCCACCACGCCCGGCTAATTTTTGTATTTTTAGTAGAGACGGGGTTTCACCATCTTGGCCAGGCTAGTATTTAACTCCTGACCTTGTGATCCACCTGCCTCGGCCTCCCAAGGTGCTGGGATTACAGGCGTAAGCCACCGCACCTGGCCAAGATTTCATCTTTTTACCTCATATTTCTTAGGAATTTAATGGTTATATGTTGTCTTTTTTCCCATGCCTTTTGGCTCAAGCAACACGTATATCAGTGTTGACTTTTTCTTTCTTTGATCTAGTTTAAAAAAAAAAACCACATAATAATTCTTTGAAGAAAGGAAGGGGTTAATTTTTTTCCCTAGCACTTTCTTGAAGATCAGGGACTTTATCGATGAAAAAGTAGTAAATAGTTATTTGTAACCTGTGTGAAGCAGCAGCCTGACTTGAAGTCCTCCGTTCTTGCTAATGGTTACACCAGTGAATACTAGTGGAATTGTTTGGGCTGATTTTAGTTTCTCTTAATCAAAATTACTAGATGATAGAATTCAAGAACTTGTACATGTTATTACTTGGTGTATCGATAATTATTTGAAAGTAAAGACTCTTTGTCATGCAAAACAAAAGGAGTTTGAGGCTCAGCTACTAAGCTGCTGGTTACAGAACCACTTTGCTAAACAGTGATTTTATACATCCCCACTCCGTGGTGGCTTATGAGAAATTCAATCCCTGATTGTAGTCCTCAAGCAAAATAACACTGACAATCATCAGGCCTCTGCAAGTGTGGGAATGAGGCCCGGCCGGGGGGAGGAGCGCACGCTCTCAGCCACGCCCCGCCCGGTGCCCGCCTTCGCCCCGCCCAGTCGTCGCCGGAGGTCACAGGGCCCAAGCTCCTAGAGGCGTGGCCAGGCCCCAGGCCCCACCCCTCTCCCCTGCGCTCTAGCAGGCTCGATCCATGCTCCGCCCCCAATCCAAGGCCCTGGCCCCTCCGCCTGCACCCGGCAGGACCCGCCTCTTAGAACCCGACACCTCCGCCTGCGCAGGCCCGCTCCCCGGTCCTGTCTCTCAGGCCCCGCCCCCAGGTCGCGTCTCCAAAGTCCCGTCTCTCAGGCCCCGCCCCCAGATCACGTCTCCCAGGTCCCGCCCCCTCCGCCTGCTGCCGCGCGGACCCGCCCTCAGGCGCCGTCTCCTAGGCCCCGCCCCCTCCGCCTGTTCCAGCGCGGGCCGGTCCCTAGGCCTCGCCCCCAGATCCGGGCCCTGCCCCTCCGTCCGTAACTGCGCAGGCCTGTCCTCTGGGCCACACCCCCAGGTTCCCGTCCCGCCCTTCCGCCTGCGCCTGCGCAGGCCCGCTCCCCGAGCCCTGCCAACCATGGTGAACTTGGGTCTGTCCCGGGTGGACGACGCCGTGGCTGCCAAGCACCCGGTGAGAAGGCCGGTCTGGGACGCGGGCCTCAAACCCCAGAAGCTGACCTGAGCGAGGCGGGGGGCCGGGGCGTGGGGGTGCCCTCGTCAGGGAAGAGTGGCGGAGGCTGGGGGCACTCTCTTGCTAAGGGGCTCAGGGCGTCCGGGTGGGCATAGGGGAGGTGGGACGTGTCCAAGCGCCCAGGGTCTCACTCCTCCACAGCCAGGGTGTGCCCAGAGGAGGGACAGGAGAGGCGGTGAAGGAAGAGGGCAGGGGATCGAGCCTTCACCCGCCTCTGCCACCCCAGGGACTCGGGGAGTATGCCGCATGCCAGTCACACGCCTTCATGAAGGGCGTTTTCACCTTCGTCACAGGTAGGCTGCGTCCAGGTGTCCTGCGGCTGGGAGAGAACGCACCCTCCCGCCCTGCCCTGACTCCCCAGCAGGGGGCGCCAAGTCACCTGCCCGCAGGTGCTGGGGGCCTGGCAAGGTGGGCCCTGGCTATCCCCGGGTACAGGTTGATGGGGACCTCGGCTCTTTGCAGGCACCGGCATGGCCTTTGGCTTGCAGATGTTCATTCAGAGGAAGTTTCCATACCCTTTGCAGTGGAGCCTCCTAGTGGCCGTGGGTGGGTACTCCAGGGCCCCTGCCTGGGCTCTTTGAGGGGTGGGTTTCTGCTAGGGTTGGGGCTGTGGTTCTGCGTCCCTGACTCTGACATGGAGCCCCAGGTCTCGGCGGGAGCCCCACCTGAGCCCACCCACCACGTCTGTCAGGAAGTAGCCTGTGCCCGGTTCTCTTAGCCTGGGAAGCACAGAGGCCCCAGCCCTCTTCCATTTCCTGCTCCACAGTTGCAGGCTCTGTGGTCAGCTACGGGGTGACGAGAGTGGAGTCGGAGAAATGCAACAACCTCTGGCTCTTCCTGGAGACCGGGCAGCTCCCCAAAGACAGGAGCACAGGTGAGAGAGCCTGGGGGTTAGCGAGAAGTGAATGCCACCTCTCCAGCACCCAGAGTTTTGGGCAGCCAAGCCTGGGTGCACCATGCGATAGGCTAGACAAGGTCCCTCCCTCTGGCCCGGCCTCCTCAGCATGTGACTGCCAGATGGGTTGGAGCTGGGGGTGGGCGCAGTAGACAGATCTTGGAGAGCTCCCTTTGAGGAGAAAGAACCAAGAGGGGCTGGGGTGCCCCTGAGATTGAGAGGAAGGGTGCAGAGTGAAGGGTGTGGCAAGGCCACAGCAGCCACGTGGGCACCCGAGAGGAGTGAGGCTGGACTGAGAAGCCCCGCATTGGACCCAGGCCTGGCCTCCACTGCCCGTTGTCCTTGTTACGGAACCCAGTTTCTGCCATGATAAAATGGGCACAGGGATGCCCAGCCACGATGGATGTGGTTCGAGCTTGTCTCTCTTTGCCTTTTACAGATCAGAGAAGCTAGGAGAGCTCCAGCAGGGGCACAGAGGATTGGGGGCAGGAGGAGTCTGGAACACAGCCTTCATGCCCCCTGACCCCAGGCCGACCCTCCCCACACCCTAGGGTACCCCAGTCGTATCCTCTGTCCGCATGTGTGGCCAGGCCTGACAAACACCTGCAGATGGCTGCTGCCCCAACCTGGGACCTGCCCAGGAGGTTGGAGCAGAAAGGGCTCTCCCTGGGGTGGTGTTTCTCCTCTAGGGTATTGGGATGCATGTTCTGCACTGCCAGCAGAGAGGGTGTGTCTGGGGGCCACCACCTATGGGACACGGGGTCGAAGGGGCCTGTACACTCTGTCATTTCCTTTCTAGCCCCTGCATCTCCAACAAGTCCAAGGTGACAGCTGGTGCTAGGGGCGTGGGGTTAATAAATGGCTTATCCTTCTCTCCACCCAAGTTTCCACCTGACCAGGTGAAAAACAAATCAGAAGGGTAAGATGATGACAGGTCACATGAAACCTTTATTACCCTACAGTTGATATATGAGGATCACATGCAAGTTACATACTGAGGATGTACAGGGAAGTTCCCAGCGCTGAACCCCAGAATTAGACGTTCGCATCAGCCCCGTAGGCCACGTGACACCACCACAGCCTCTCTGTATGGGGGTCTGCCTCTGTAGCACTTGGCATGTAGGGGCAGAGCAAAAGGGGCCAGGCTGGCCAGAGCCTGGCTGCTGGGAGAGGAGGGACTTGTGGGCCACGCCCACCTGCCTATCATTCCCCACTCATCTATTAGCCAAAGTCACTCCCCAGAGGCAGAGCTAGCCCGTTGTAGCCGTGTCTGTGTGGAGGGAAAGCTTCTGAGTGGGCAAGCCTACACACAGCCCCGAGCCCCAAGAGGAGGAAGAGGTGGAGACCAGACGGAACCTCCACAAGTCCATCATGGTTACAGCTGGCTTCCCCGCAGCACCGAAGACCCACAGCATGGGCCCTGCTGCCCCCGACCCAGCTCAGCTGCCACGCCTCACCTTGCCAGGCACTGGAAAGAAAGTTTATTGAGTACCTACTGGGCCTTCAGAGTGACAGGAAGCTCAAGTTGACAGTGGCTTCAGCAAGATGGAGCTTTATTTTTCTGTTTTTTGTGGTGTTGTCGTCGTTGTTTGGAGACAGAGTCTCGCTCTGTCACCCAGGCTGGAGGGCAATGGCGTGATGTCGGCTCACTGCAACTTCCACCTCACCAGTTCAAGCCATTCTCCTGCCTCAGCCTCCCAAGTAGCTGGGATTATAGGCACCCACCACCACGCCTGGCTAATATTTATTTATTTATTTATTTTGAGATGGAGTTTCACTCTTGTTGCCCAGGCTGGAGTGCAGTGGTGCAGTCTCAGCTCGCCACAACCTCTGCTGCCCGGGTTCAAGCGATTCTCCTGCCTCAGCCTCCCGAGTAGCTGGGATTACAGGTATGCGCCACCATGCCCAGCTAATTCTGTATTTTTAGTAGAGACGGGGTTTCACTATGTTGGCCAGGCTGGTCTCAAACTCCTGACCTCATGTGATCTGCCCACCTCGGCCTCCCAAAGTGCTGGGATTATAGGCGTGAGCCGCTGGGCACCGCGCCGGGCTGAGCTTTATTTTTCTTTCATGTAAAAGTCCAAGTGAGTGGTCCAGGGTTGACAGGGAATCGGGGACCAGGCTCCTTTCAGTCTGCTCCCTGCTGTAATGGTCTCTGTTCCCAAATCTGCCTCATGGCCCCAGGCGGCTGCACCAGCTTCGGCCATTGTGTCTTTATCTCATTTAAGAGGCAGGAGAGAGGGCAGCTTGCCTGCCACTGCTGCTCTCACTCTGTTGGCCTGAACGAAGTCATCAGGCACATCCAGTGCCAGGATGCTCAGGAAGGCAGAGTTGCTCTGGGCAGCCATGCGCCCACTAAAATTCAGGTGTTTTATATCTGAGGAAGAAGGACAGCAGGTAGGCTCTGCCTCAGCTAGATTCCAAGCCTGGCCCCCAAGAACGAGGGGGAGGTAAGCAGACCACACCCTTAGCAGGACATCCCAGCACCCTGAGGGTGAGGCCTGGGTGGGAGGGAGAGAAGGGAGAACCTGGAGTTTGCCTGGACTGGCTTTCCAAAAACAGTGACCAGAAAGGGAAGGGATCTATGTGACAGCACATGGGCAAAGGCCATTGTCGGGCTGGCTTGGGTCCCCCCAAATTTCTGTCCCCCAGGACCTCTGCATGTCTCTGTATTTGAAGACAGGGGCTTTCCAGAGGTCATTAAGGTAAAATGAGGTCATTGGGGTGTCCTCATAAGAAGAGGAAATTAGGACACAGACACACAGAGGGACGGCCACGTGAGGACACAGAGAAGACAGCATCTGCAAGCCAAGGAGAGGGGCCTCAGGAGACACCAGCCCTGCTGACCCGTGATCTCAGCCCCCAGCCTCCAGGCTGCTGTTCACATCCCCCAGTCGGTGGCGCCTTGTTTTTTTGTTTTTTTGTTTTTTGTTTTTTTGAGATGGAGTCTTACTCTGTCACGCAGGCTGGAGTGCAGTGACGCGATCTCAGCTCACTGCAACCTCCACCTCCTGGATTCAAGCAATTCTCCTGCCTCGGCTTCCCAAGTAGCTGGGACAGGCGCCCACCACCACACTGGGCTAATTTTTGTATTTTTAGTAGAAACGGGGTTTCACCATGTTGACCAGACTGGTCTTGAACTCCTGACCTCAGGTGACCCACCCACCTCAGCCTCCCAAAGTGCTGGGATTACAGGCGTGAGCCTCCACACCTGGCCAGTGGCACCTTGTTATGGCCGCCTGAGCCTACTAAGGCAAGGCTGGGAAAAAGTACCCCATCTCGTGTGTACCCCATCTCGTGCATACCCCACAGAGTTCCAGGCTGCCTGGTGCTCCAGGTACTCCCCTCTAAGGGAAGGGTGGAGGGGGTGCAGAGATGGAGAACATACCCTTTCTGGAGTGACACATGAACCCAAGACCCAGTAATTCCCAAAGGAAAGTGGGGGTGAAGCAGGGTGGGCTCCAGACAGCACAGAGAGGTCAGGGACAGAAGTCAGAAGAGATAAGGTGGGGGTGTCCCAAGAGCCAGGTTACCCAGTGCATGGAGTTTGGACTTGGGGCTGGGGGTGGGGGGTGCAGAGGGAGGTCCCGTAAGGCAGTATCAGAATAGTATCAGAATCGTTTTAGGAGGCTCGGCCTGCTGCTTTGTGGAGGATGGCTTGGGGCATGGGAGGGGCCAGGGAGGGAACCCAGTGCAGGTGTGAGCTGCCGGTGCTGCAGACCCATCACAAACCTCCCCCTCAAAGAAAGCACATCCGCCCGGCAGAGCTCCTAAGCCTCGAGCAGCTGCCAGGAGACTCATTTCAATTAGGACACATGTCTGGAGGCCACCCCAAGGTGGCTGGGGGCAGAGTGAGGCAGGAGGCCCTGCAATTCCAGGGTTGCCCAGGCACTGAGAATCCTGGCTCTCATCATAATGGGCTGAGGTTCTGGGGACAATCTGAGTGGCGGCTCTGAGCAAGCTGAGCCCAGGGAGGCTTTGAGGTACACAGGGTCCCTTGGGGGGCCTGAGAGCAGCCATGAGGAGGCACAGTGAGACAGATGTGGAAGAGCAGACCCAGGAGCTGAAGACCATCACTCAGCTCCAGGGTGAGCCTGCACCGCCGTGACCAGTCTCCCTTTCCCGTCTGGGGGTTTCTGGGTGCACAACTTTTTGTGGGGAAAAGAGAGATCAGATTGTTACTGTCTATGTAGAAAAGGAAGACATAAGAAACTCCATTTTGATCTGTACTAAGAAAAATTGTTTCTGCTTTGAGATGCTATTAACCTGTAACTTTAGCCCCAACTCTGTGCTCACAGAAACATGTGCTGTATTGAATCAAAGATTAATGCATTTAGGGCCGTGCAGGATGTGCTTTGTTAACAATGTGTTTGCAGGCAGTATGCTTGGTAAAAGTCATCCCCATCCTCCATTCTTGATTAACCAGGGACACAGTGCACTGCAGAAAGCCGCAGGGACCTCTGCCCAGGAAAGCCTGGGAATTGTCCAAGGTTTCCCCCCACTGAGACAGCCTGAGATATGGCCTCGTGGGAAAGGAAAGATCTTACCATCCCCCAGCCCGACACCAGTAAAGGGTCTGTGCTGAGGAGTAGTGAAAGAGGGAGGCCTCTTTGCAGTTGAGATAAGAGGAAGGCATCTGTCTCCTGCTCGTCCCTGGGAATGGAATGTCTCAGTGTAAAGCCGACCATTCCCATTCGTTCTATTCTAAGATAGGAGAAAACCGCTCTGTGGCTAGAGGCAAGATATGCTGGCAGCAATACTGCTCTGTTACTCTTTGCTACACTGAGATGTTTGTGTAACGTGAAACAAATCTGGCCTACGTGCACATCTGGGCATAGTACCTTTCCTTGAACTTATTCATGATAAAGATTCCTTTGCTCACATGTTTCCCTGCTGACGTTCTCACCACCTGTTGCCCTGCTACACTCCCCTCACCAAGATAGTAAAAATAATGATCAGTAAATACTGAGGGAACTCAGAGACCAGGGCTGGTGCAGGTCCTCGCATGCTGAGTGTGCCAGTCCCCTGGGCCCACTGTTCTTTCTCTATACTTTGTGTCTTTTTTTTTTTTTTTTATGAGATGGAGTCTTGCTCTGTTGCCCAGACGGCAGTGCAGTGGCGCGATCTCGGCTCACTGCAAGCTCCACCTCCTGGGTTCACGTCATTCTCCTGCCTCAGCCTCCCAAGTAGCTGGGACTACAGGCACCCACCACCATGCCCGGCTAATTTTTTGTATTTTTAGTAGAGATGCGGTTTCACCGTGTTAGCCAGGATGGTCTCGATCACCTGACCTCGTGATCTGCCCGCATCAGCCTCCCAAAGTGCTGGGATTACAGGCGTGAGCCACCATGCCCAGCCTCTGTGTCTTATTTCTTTTCTCAGTCTTCATCCCACCTGACGAGAAATACCCGCAGGTGTGGAGGGGCAGGCCCCCTTCACTTTTAGGGGATGTTTGTTTGGAGACAGAGTCTCGCTCTGTCACGCAGGCTCGAGTGCAGTGGCATGATCTCGGCTCACTGCAACCTCCACCTCCCGGGTTCGAGCGATTCTCCTGGCTCAGCCTCTTGATTAGTTGGGACATCAGGTGTACGCCACCACACTCAGCTAATTTTCGTATTTGTATTTTTATTTATTTATTTATTTTGAGACGCAGTCTCGCTCTGTCACCCAGGCTGGAGTGCAATGGTGCAATCTCAGCACACTGCAACCTCCACCTCCCGGGTTCAAGTGATTCTCCTGCCTCAGCCTCCCGAGTAGCTGGGATTACAGGTGCCCACCACCACGCCCAGCTAATTTTTGTATTTTTAGTAGAGACGGGGTTTACCCATCTTGGCCAGGCTGGTCTCAAACTCCTGACCTCAGGTGATCCATCCGCCTCGGCCTCCCAAAGTGCTGGGATTACAGGCATGAGCCACCGGCGCCTAGCTTATTTATTTTTTTGAGACAGAGTCTCATTCTGTCGTCCAGGTGGAGTGCAGTGGTGCAATCTCAGCTCACTGCAACCTCCACCTCCTGGGTTCAAACAATTCTGCCTCAGCCTCCTGAGTAGCTGGGACTACAGGCACACACCACCACACCCAGCTAGTTTTGTATTTTTAGTAGAGATGGGGTTTCACCATGTTGGCCAGGCTGGTCTCGAACTCCTGACCACAGGTGATCCGCCCACTTCGGCCTCCCAAAGTGCTGGGATTACAGGTGTGAGCCACCGCTCCTGGCCTAGGACTTTTAGTTTTAATACAGGGACAATCCAGGACATGGAGGGGAAAACAGACCCCCCTACTGCCCACTCCCTGACAGAGCTGGGAGAAGGGATCAAAGGGACCTGCATGGAGGGACTAAATCAGAGAGAGGGGCTTCAAGGAGACGTGAGCATAAGAGCAACACGGGCCCCAAAGCCAGAATGGACAGGAAAACACCCACCTGCTTCCATGGGCAGCAAATCTGGACGGGACCACAGGACCCTGCCATCCCTCTCCTTTGCCTCACCCTCCCCACCTGTCCACCTCCCCGCACCTGTCCACTGAGAGCCCTTCAGACAGCTGCTGCTGGGCAGTGGAGCGGTGTCCCCCAGGACAGGGCGGGAGGAGGGATCTTGGCCATGGAGGGGGCATCCCCCTGGACCCTGGGGCCTGGGGCCTCCCTGATGCAAGCCTCCCCCAGGGGATTCCAGGCCAGGCCCTTGGCCCAATCCTAGCCACTGTGTCCCCTCCACCTGCCCACAGAGCAGTGTCGGGCACTCCAGATCCAAGGGGTGAAAGAGAATATGGACCAGAACAAGGCCACGCTGGCCCTCCTGCGCAGCAACATCCGCCGCGGGGCCCAGGACTGGGCTTTGGCCAAGAAGGTACACAAACGCCGCCCCTCCCCTCTGCCTGGCGAGCAGGGCAGGAGCTGAGTACACACACACTCGGAGGGCGGGCACCTCCTCTCCACCCCCACCCCAATCTTTCTGGATCCAGGGGGCATGTGAGGAGGGGCTCTGCTAGGACCTGTGCCCTGGGCTCCAGTCACCCCAGCATCCGGTGGGCAGGTTTCCCACCACCCAACCCGAGGGCTTGGCATCTGTGAGCCCACATCCTGCAGCAGGGGCCCCCTCTGGCTCTCCGGCCAGCTAGGGGACACCCAGGCCCTCCTCTGCATACCCCCCTACCACGTCGCCTCCGAACTTGGATGGCCAGGATGGGGTCCCGCGGCTCTCTGCTCCTCGTGGAAGCAGGGATCTCGCTACTGGGCTAGCGTGGGATACAAGAGGCCCTGGGGAGAATGCCTGGAGGAGCCAGCGGCTGCGGGTGCGCAAAGGGCCCGCTCTAGCTCAGCCGCCGCCGCTCCGCAGTATGACCAGTGGACCATCTCCAAGGCCTGCGGGAAAAACTTGCCTTTGCGACTGGCGCACTGCCGCAGCACCATGGAGGTAACCAGGCAGGAGGGGCCTCGAGACCCAACCCTCCCCACCCCTGCCAGCACCCCCCCACTAGATGTTGCGGAGCCGACGAGGGACGGAGCAGGTGCCCAGCCCCAGGTTCCCTGTGGGGTTGCCACGAGCCTCCACCCGCCCGCCTGCTGGCGGGCTCCATGGCGGCCCCCTACGCAACCACGAGTGGGCGGTGCCCTTCCCGACCCAGGTGGTGCGGGAGAAGCTGCGCAAGTACGTCTTCGACCGCGTGAACATGCACAACCTACTGATCCACCTGGTGCGGCGGCGCGGGCAGAAGCTGGAGAGCATGCAGCTGGAGCTGGACAGCCTGCGGAGCCAGCCCGACGCCAGCAAGGAGGAGCTGCGGCTGCTGCAGGTGGAGAGGCGGGGCTGGGAGGGCGGGGCGGAGTCCACTGGGGCAAGACTCACGGGAGGGGCGGGGCCACCGGGGGGCGGGACTTGCGGGTCCCCTGGGGAGGGCTCACGGGAGGGGCGGGGCTAAGAGAGCACGACCCTCTCCGGAGAAAACCCAGCCCCGACACCCTCCGGGCGGCCGGTCCCCACGCCCTCTCACTGCGCCCTCGGTCCGCCCCAGATCATCCGCCAGCTGGAGAACAACATCGAGAAGACAATGATCAAGATCATCACCAGCCAGAACATCCACCTGCTGTATTTGGACCTGCTGGATTATCTGAAGACAGTGAGCCCAGCGGCCCGGGAAGGGCGGGGGTCAGGGGCTGGGATCTGGGAGGGGCGGGAGCGTCCTGGGGCGGAGCCGCCCCGCACCCGCCAGGGAGAGGGAGCTCTGCCTGACCACCGGCTACGCAGGACGCCGAGGCATGTGGAAAACGTTTTTTTAAACTTCATTTTTGGCTATTCCAAAAAAGCATATCGTGGGGTATATCAGAATTCTTCGGACTTTCTTGCACGTATTAAATGATTTGGTATTGTTTGTATCTTGCCTGTCATTTTCTCATTGCCTGGGCCTCTGAGAGTCAGACAGGTCCTGCACCCTCAGAAAGTCCTTGCACCTTTGAGGGTCCGCTGGGCCTGTAAGCAGGGCTTGCTGCCGTCCCAGCCAGCCCACCCGCCCTGCTCCCTGCAGACGAGGCCAAAGGCAGCCAGCAGTCCGATTGTGAGGGAAGACCCCCTTCATGGGAGGCTGAGCACCGCCCCTCGGGCTGCCACAAAGCAGAACCTACTCCAGATGGGCTGTAGATAGGGAGAGCACAGGAGGTGCTAAGAGGAGCAACCTGTGGATGGGGCGGGGAGCCAGCTGGAAACACCCTCACCCTAAGACTGGGCAAAGGGGAGCTCTGGAGAGCCATGCTTCGGGAAGGTGACAGCATGGAAGTGCAGTTTAGGAGGAGTGGTGGACGGAGGCTGCATCGCAGCTCTTTTCCTGCTGTGGTCCCAGCCCAGGTGGCTCTCAGCACCGTCCTCTGCTTGTCCCTCTTGCCTTGGCCCCTGGTCCTATTGGCTCACCTGGAAGCCCTGCCCCTCTATGCTTCCTGGGCCCACCCCTCTCCCCACCCCTGTCCATGCCCCTCCTTCGCCTGGGTGCTTTCTGTTCCTCTGGTAGCGCCTTCTTCTGTTTAGAACATACACACTTAAAAAACAATTATTCCCGGCCTGGGCATGGTGGCTCATGCCTGTAATCCCAGCACTTTGGGAGGCCAAGGCAGGCGGATCACTTGAGGTCAGGAGTTCTAGACCAGCCTGGCCAACATGGTGAAACTTCATCTCTACTAAAAATACAAAAAGTAGCCTGGCATGGTGGTGCATGCCTGTAATCCCAGCTACTCGGGAGGCTGAGGCACGAGAATCACCTGAACCCAGAAGGCAGAGGTTGCTGCAAGCCGAGATCGTACCATCGCACTCCAGCCTGGGTGATAGAGTGAGATTCAGTCTCAGAACAAAGGAAAAAACAAGCAATAATTCCCATAGTCATCCATATTTTTAAAAATGAAGATTCTACACTTCTAGTTTTGTTTTTGTTTGTTTTGTTTTTTGAGATGGAGTTTCACACTGTTGCCCCAGCTGGTGTGCAGTGGTGAGATCTCGGCTCACTGCAACCTCCGCCTCCCGGGTTCAAGCGATTCTCCTGCCTCAGCCTCCCGAATAGCTAGAATTACAGGCGCCCACTACCACGCCCGGCTGATTTTTTTTGTATTTTTAGTAGAGACAGGGTTTCACTATGTTGGCCAGGCTGGTCTCTAACTCCTGACCTCATGATCTGCCTGCCTCCGGCCTCCCAGTGTTGGGATTACAGGCGTGAGCCACCGCACCTGGCCTATACTTGTAGTTACAAAAAACAAACCACTATAGCAAAGCTATCCTGAGCACGTATGTACCTGGTTCTGGGCTAAATAATTCCTTTTACACTCAATTCATCCTGATGGCAACCTTCTGAACGAGCCATCATCTTACAAATGGGGACACAGAGAGATTAAGTAACTTTCCCAATGTCACACAGCTAAACTAGCTGGTCAGAAGCTGCCTTGGCCTTGAATCCTGACTCTCTGACCCCAAGCCCATGTCTTGAGCCCCTCTGTTTCACTTCAAAGCAGAACTGTCCCCAAACCTCCCCGGGTTTCAGTCAGCCTTTTCTGCAGAGCATTTCATCACAAACTCTCTCAGTCTCTCTGGGTTGTTGGACCCTAGGTGGTGAAAGAGTCCACCAGGCCAGCACTGTCCACTCCCTGTGAAACACCTTTCATCACCGTTGTGCCCAGCGGGGAGTGGGGGAGGTGGCTGGGGCCACAGAGGAGAACCTATCACTGTTCTCAGGGCTCTTAGTCGGGGGATAAAAGCTCGGGGCAACTGCAGCCCACTCTGTAGGGGCCACAAGAGAACCCCATTCAACACAGGTGCTGGCAGGATACCCCATTGAGCTGGACAAGCTGCAGAACCTCGTGGTCAACTACTGCTCAGAGCTGTCGGATATGAAGATCATGTCCCAAGATGCCATGATGATCACGGATGAGGTCAAGGTGAGCTCAGGGCCCAGGGCTGGGGGCCCCCCAGGGCCAGCCCTCTTGGATCTTCGGATGGGGTCAAGGTGAGCTCAGGGCCCAGGGCTGGGGGCCCCCCAGGGCCAGCCCTCTTGGATCTTCGGATGGGGTCAAGGTGAGCTCAGGGCCCAGGGCCGGGGGCCCCCCAGGGCCAGCCCTCTTGGATCTTCGGATGGGGTCAAGGTGAGCTCAGGGCCCAGGGCTGGGGGCCCCCCAGGGCCAGCCCTCTTGGATCTTCGGATGGGGTCAAGGTGAGCTCAGGGCCCAGGGCCGGGGGCCCCCCAGGGCCAGCCCTCTTGGATCTTCGGATGGGGTCAAGGTGAGCTCAGGGCCCAGGGCTGGGGCCCCCCAGGGCCAGCCCTCTTGGATCTTCGGATGGGGTCAAGGTGAGCTCAGGGCCCAGGGCTGGGGGCCCCCCAGGGCCAGCCCTCTTGGATCTTCGGATGGGGTCAAGGTGAGCTCAGGGCCCAGGGCTGGGGCCCCCCAGGGCGGGCTCTCTTGTGTCTTCTGGCCAGGGTCTCTCAGGAGACCCCCATGCCCACACTGCCTACAATCCCCAGAAGGATCCAGTGGCCAGCCCGGCCAGCCTGCTCTGCTCACCCACTGGACAGAGCAGGTCCCATCCAGCACAGGAGCCATGAAGTAGAGGAGAGGGAGAGAACTGGCCGGGCCAGGGCGGGGGTCACCTATTCACCCAGTCTGTGCCAAGGTCCCTGCAAGGCTCTGGGGATACAGCAGGGACCGGGACAGGCAGACCCTGTCCTCCTGAAGTGGGTGGCACTCATCCAGTAGTCCATGAAGAAATGCCACACAGCCCCTGAGCCAGCTCAGCAGAGACAGGTGGGGTGGCAGATGGCTTTCCAGGAAGACAGTGCTTGAGCTGGGCTGAGGGATTGAACCCGCAAAGGTCAGGTGTGGCCAGGGCTAGGGAGGAGGAGGTACAACTTGGGAAAAGGCCCTGGGCTGGGAGGGGTGTGATACATGGAGCAGCGTGTGGCCAGGGCAGTGGAGGCTGCAGAGGCACAGGCCCCAGGAGTCCACGGAGGCGGCTGGGCTGGGGGCCCAAGGACTGACCTGGAGCCCTGGGAGGAGGTGGAGGAAAGATGTGACCAGGTCTGTGCTTCAGAAAGGGTGTACTCAGGCTGCAGGGACTGGAAGGTGCCAGGGCAGAAGCGCTGATCACCTGGGTATACCCGGGGTGGAGAAGGGGTGGCCAGGAGCAACGGAGCTGAGAACTCCTCAAGAGGCAACCCCACTAAGCGCTGGCAACGAGAGTGGCGAGGGTGAGAGCAGTGTCTGGGGTGCGTGAGCAGGGGTTAGCAGATGACGGTTTTAGCTGCCCAAGGGCACGCTGGAAGAGGCCAGGTTTTGGGGAAGAGGATGAATCTGTCTTCAGGCAGGCTGAATGCACTTCCGTGAGTTCTAGGTGGACCTGGCCAGGAGGCAGCTGGGGGCCAGCGGCTGGAGGGCAGCAGAGCGTCTGGGCTGGCACATGCTCTGAGGCATGGGCAAGGAGGGCCGTGAGCTGAGGGGCCACGGGCACAAGTGGTTTAGGAAAAGGGTGTGGCCATTGGCCGGGGATGCAGTTCCAAAGTCTAGTAAGGTGAGCATGGCCAACCGCCCGCTGGCTTTACTGCCATTAGGGGCCTTGTTGAGACAGCTCCCCAACCCTGTGCCCACCCGCATGTCCCCAGAGGAACATGAGGCAAAGGGAGGCGTCCTTCATCGAGGAGCGCCGGGCAAGGGAGAACCGGCTCAACCAGCAGAAGAAGCTGATCGACAAGATCCACACGAAGGAGACCAGCGAGAAGTACCGCCGGGTAAGCCCCAGGCCAGGGCCTGGCTGGCTGCCCATCCCCATGACAGCTGGGTGGACACAGGCTCAGGGCCACCACTCAGGGCCCACTCCCTGCCAAGGATGTCTCATCCCTTCCCCGCCCCCACCTCCCATCAGGGCCAGATGGACTTGGACTTCCCCTCGAACCTGATGAGCACGGAGACCCTGAAATGTAAGCGCTCAGCTCCCCACCTGCCCCCAGCCAGGGTCCCAAGGAGAGGCTGGCACTGATTCAGGCCAACGGATCAAGTCACCCTGAGGCCAGGTGTGACATGTGGTCGCCAGGGTGAAGGGAAGGACAGGTCCCTGCCTCTCCCTCCAGAGGCTGAGAGCCTGTAGCCAAATGTGGCCTCAGAGATGCTGGCCCCAGCACCCAAGGGCCCTGCACCAAGGGCCCAGTCCCCAGTGACTCTGCAGAGGATGAGCATCCTGACCCCTAAGCTGCCTCTGAGAAGCACCACCGGGCCCACAGTGCTCACAGTGCTGCGCCACTCACTCCGGGTCCACCTCTGCTCTGGGGCTGCCTGGGGCGTCCCTGCAGGGCTGGGCTGAGGAGGGAGCAGGTTGGGGCGGGGGCAGGCATCTCTGAAGGATGCCTGTGTCTTGGGTGGCCGCCCCAGCAGCTGGGCAGGTACAGAGGTGTCTGACAGCCTTACACAGAGCCCCTGAGCCATCCCTGCATGCTGACTGCCCCTCCCCTCTGCTCTGCCAGTGAGGAGAAAAGAGACCTCCACAGCAGAAATGGAATACCAGTCGGGCGTGACTGCTGTGGTGGAGAAGGTCAAGAGTGCTGTACGGTGCTCTCACGTCTGGGTAATGCCCCTGGCGCTCCCAGAGAATGGCAGGAGGGTGGCTGAGCCTCTCACGTCTGGGTAATGCTCCCTGGCACTCCCGGAGCATGGCAGGAGGGTGGCTGAGCTGGGCTGGGGTCTGAGGCACTCTGAAATGGACACACAAAGTGGCAACTCCCTCGGCCGCCCCAAATCCTTTTATCTTAATCCCATCTGTGTATCTGCGTTTATTATTATTAGGCCTTGAGCTCCTAACCACTGCCCTGACACAAGCTTGTCCACTGTCAGACAAGTGACTCAAGTGACACAACGTCCTTCAGTGATGATCTCCTTATCTCTACATGGGGTTATCTACCCTCTCTGCCTGCCATTAGGGTCGTGTGCAATGACATCCACAAAGCGCTTCACCCCTGCTAAGTGTGGTGGTGCACACCTGTGGTCCCAGCTACTCAGGAAGCTGAGGTGGGAGGATCGCTTGAGTCTGGGAGGTTGAGGCTGCAGTGAGCTGTGATCACACTTGTGAATGAGCACAGAGAAAGTGCACTAGCGTCTAGGAGGGGCCCAGAAGAAACCAGTTCTGTGAAGCCCCCTCTGCCCACCATCCTGGCCCACACCTGCTTCTCTCTCCCCCGGACTGGCCAGGACATCACTAGCCGCTTCCTGGCCCAGAGGAACACGGAGGAGAACCTGGAGCTGCAGATGGAGGACTGTGAGGAGTGGCGGGTGCAGCTGAAGGCCCTGGTGAAGCAGCTGGAGCTGGAGGAGGCCGTGCTCAAGTTCCGCCAGAAGCCTAGCTCCATCAGGTGCCCCGGGCTTCCGGGGCTGCGGGCCACCCACCCCAGTCTCACAAAGGCCCCGGGCTGCAGCCAGGCTGGGAGCTGGGAGTATACCCACTGCCAACAAGCCTGTGTGTCCCACAGAGGGGCCAGGGGACTCCACTTGCACACACCTGAGCTTCTGAGTCCCTGATTCTGGCACAGCACCCAACTCAGGACTGGGCTCCTGGGTGGCCCACCATGGCTCTCGGGCCTGTGCCCCTCACTGCTGTGTCCCTATTGCCTTCTGCAGCTTCAAGTCCGTTGAGAAGAAAATGACAGACATGCTAAAAGAGGAAGAAGAGAGGCTCCAGCTGGCGCACAGCAACATGACCAAGGGCCAGGAGCTGCTGCTGACCATCCAGATGGGCATCGACAACCTCTATGTCCGGCTGATGGGCATTAACTTGCCTGCGACCCAGGTACCGGGAGTGAGGCTGAGCTGCCACACACCAGGTCCCTGGGCAGGGCCAGAGGGGAGATGAGACCCTCCTCCCGGCCTACAGAGAGAAGTGGTGCTCTCCAACACCCTCGATTTGAACAGCAAGCTGGCGTACTGCGAGGGGAAGCTCACGTACCTGGCTGACAGAGTGCAGATGGTGTCCAGGACCGAGGAGGTAGCCCCGGGCTGGGAGGAACCTGCACAGCCCACGTCCCCTCAAAGCTGACAGGCTCCCGTTCAGAGTGTCTGCACGGCTGAAGGGGGCTTTGCCCTGCAGGGCGACACAAAGGTGAGGGACACCCTGGAGTCCTCGACTCTGATGGAGAAGTACAACACCAGGATCAGCTTTGAGAACCGGGAGGAGGATATGATCGGTACAGGCCCCGGAACTGGGGCCCGGGCTGCAGGCGGGTGGCTGGAACACAGGTCGGGGTGGCGCCGGCTCCCATCCCACCGGGACATCCTGGAGGGACAGCGGGGCTACAGGGTGCATCAGTTGTACCTGCAGGACTTTAATTGATGGAGGTGACTTAGTGATGCCATGGGGAGGCTAAAGCCACTGAAATACCTTGTTAATTTCTCCGAAAGGAGGAGGCATGCCATGCCAGACGGGCCCGGAGGAGAGGCACCAGGGCTGGAGCAGGGAGGAGCGCGGTGAAGGCCTGGGCCGGAGCTTCCACTGGGGGTTCTGCGGGAAAGGCTAGGCAGGGCAGCGTGAGCCGCTGCGAATGGGCTGGGCTGAGTCCTCCCGGCACGCTGGGGCTGTCCCTGGGGCAAGGCACCTGGCCCGGGTCGGTGGAGGGCGGGGGCGAGAGGCGGGTCGGGCGGCTGCGCCTAGCTGGGCTAGCCCCGTGTGCGAGCCGCCGCCTCCGCCCGCAGACACCTTCCAGTTCCCCGACATGGACCACAGCTACGTCCCTTCGCGCGCCGAGATCAAGAGGCAGGCGCAGCGGCTAATCGAGGGGAAGCTCAAGGCGGCCAAGAAAAAGAAGAAGTAGCCCCGCCGCCCCGCTCCCTGCTTTGCTACACAAATAAACATTTTTCCAGGACTGCTGCGGACGCTGGGGCGACCGGGGTCTCGGAGAGGAGCACGGGACACGCAGGATCGGGGGAGGTTCTGCGTAAGGAGGCAGCCCGGGCCCGGAACTGCGCGCCAGAACCGCGTGCGCATGCGCCGACCGCGCGCGCCGCGCCCCCGCGGCCCTCGCGGCGCCCCGTAGCCGCGCACCCCTCCCGTCCCGCCGAGCCGGCGCCAAGATGGCGGCGCTGACTCCTGGAGAGCGGTCGCGCCGGAGGCCGCGGGGGCCGGAGCGGAGCAGCCGCGGCTGAGGTTCCCGAGTCGCCGCTCGGGGCTGCGCTCCGCCGCCGGGACCCCGGCCTCTGGCCGCGCCGGCTCCGGCCTCCGGGGGGGCCGGGGCCGCCGGGACATGGTGCCAGTCGCACCCCTTCCCCGCCGCCGCTGAGCTCGCCGGCCGCGCCCGGGCTGGGACGTCCGAGCGGGAAGATGTTTTCCGCCCTGAAGAAGCTGGTGGGGTCGGACCAGGCCCCGGGCCGGGACAAGAACATCCCCGCCGGGCTGCAGTCCATGAACCAGGCGTTGCAGAGGCGCTTCGCCAAGGGGGTGCAGTACAACAGTGAGTGCGGCGGGCCGGGGGGGCGCGGGAGCGCCGCGCGGGTCTCCGAACCCAGGCCCCGGGCGCCGCGCGGTGGTGGGTGTCGGTCTCACCTGCTTGCCGGTTGTGGGGTGCGCTGGGCCCGCCGGGCGCTCCGGGAGCGGGGGCGCGGGCCAGGGGACGCGAGGAGAGGCCAGGCCAGGGCCGGGTCCTCGCGGCCCCCGAGCCGCGGGTCGTTTCCCAGCCGCACTCGCCTGCCGCGTGTCGCTCCCGCCGCGCTGTGCAGTGGAGCGGGTCGGCGGCGGCGGGGTTGGCCCGGCTGCCCGGCCCGGGGGTGATTACATAATGCCAAGCAGGGCCCGCCGGCCCGGGGCGCCGCGCCCCCGACGCTCCACGGTGCCCAGCCCCGGGCACCACTCACCTGCAGGAGGTGCGGGGAACCCAGCCGGCCTTGGCGCTTTCAGCGGGATTTTTCTTTGTTGACTTCCTACTGAGTTTGAAGACAGAATATTAGCTACGCCACACATTCTCGCCTTTTTTTTTAAAAGAAGCGTTTGTAAGAGACGTATCTAGAAAAGCTCCAGAAGGCACGGGCTGACTTGCGACTGTAGGAGACATCCCATTTCTCGTAGGAAGGAGGAGTCATTTACGGACTCCTGAGTGCCTGGGACGCTCCATTCCTTTGTTATAAATTGTGTAAATTGTCCTCGACCTCTTATGAGTTTTTCCATCTTGCGGGCTCTTTCCCAGTAGTTTTTGAAAGCTTTTATGTGGTTCCCTGTTTTGACATTGCTTCCCTCTTAGCCATTTCCGTATGTTTCTATGAGGTTTTAGGACGCTACGCCTATCCAGTTTTTTGGTCACTTTAAGGGGAGCCTTAGAGCCTCCGTGATATTTCCATGGTAATGTAGAATTTTAAGAACTAATGATCAGAAAGACTCTTGTGCAGGTTTAAAAGCAAGTTCATGAATTCGCGTGCCGTGTGCACGGAGAGAGGCCGTAGTTCCTGGGGCTGGAGCTAGTCCAGGAGGACAGTGAAGATGTCGCCTTCCTTAGTCCCCCGGCCTGTGAGCAAGAGGAAGCTGCAGACCACTCGGGCCACCCTCACCCAGACACCTTTAGCAGTAAGCAAGATAAAACAACTTCTTAAAGATAAGTCTGAGCATCTAGGTATGAAAGTTGGTGTCCGGGCCGGGCACGGTGGCTCATGCCTGTAATCCCAGCACTTTGGGAGGCCAAGGCGGGCAGATCACGAGGTCAGGAATTCGAGACCAGCCTGGCCAACATAGTGAAACACCGTCTCTACTAAAAATACGAAAAAAAAATTTAAAAGAAAGTTGATGTCCGAACCAAGGGCCGTATTGGCTTTTCTTATACTCTAGAACATACGACGACAAAGAAGATTTTGATGAAGTTCAAATTAGAGTCAGCGTGCTCATCAGAAAGAAAGCGCAGCCAACACGTTTAGGAACAGAAACGGATTATGTTGAAGACAAACAATCCATTGCGTTTGTGTTCAGTAACCCAAGCATCAAAGGAACTTGTGGCTGGGGAGAAGGCTTGACTATTTGAAATCTCAGGACTCCTCTGTCCAGGAGCTCCCAGACTCCCGTGGAGTGGAAGCCTGGGGGCTCGCTGAAGAAGTCACGTGACTGGAACGTGCTTAATGCTTGGCTGTCTGGTAAGGAAAATAAAGTGGTGCATTTTGAATAAAAATAAAAGCTGATTTTAAATGTGTTATAATTGAAACTTTATACATAGCTGGCATTCGGAGAAGAGAATATTGAGTCAAAATAACTGAGTTTACGCCAGTTTTTAGACTCTGCGTTTGGATCCTTTATTTAATTTTATTGCTTACAGTATTGGCTAAGCTCAGTATTAGTCCCTGGGAAATCAGGCCTGGACCTGGAAACTGTTCACCTTCTGAAAAGGCTCCCCGAGGGTCCTGGGCAAGGTCCACCTCATGCACCAGGACCACCCCTGTGTGGTCCTGGGCGAGTGTGACTAAAAAGGGCAATGGGGTCCTTCCAGAGGAGAAAAGCCAGTCTCCAGTACTTGGAGAACAGGTTATGATCTCCTAGAACTGAATGAAAGGTGGTGAGACAGAGAGAAATTTGAATTTGTACCTAAATTACATTTTAGAAAGATGTTATCTTTATAGCTGAATAACATGCAATTTTAAAACTTTTGAGTTTCTGTGTTAGAATAGAAAGTTTCTAGTATTTCTTTTCTTTTCTTTTCTTTTTTGAGACAGAGTTTTGCGTTTTGCTGTGTCTCCCAGGCTGGAGTGCAGTGGCGTGATCTCAGCTCACTGCAAGCTCCTCCTCCCGGGTTCACACCATTCTCCTGCTTCAGCCTCCCGAGTAGCTGGGACTATAGGCACCGGCCACCACGCCCGGCTAATTTTTTGTATTTTTAGTAGAGGCAGGATTTCACCGTGTTAGCCAGGATGGTCTCAATCTCCTGACCTCGTGATCTGCCCGCCTCAGCCTCTCAAAGTGCTGGGATTACAGGCGTAAGCCACCATGCCCGGCTTTCTGGTATTTATTTTCTCAAATATTTTACAGAGCGTAACAGACCAGCAATGTGATCAAGACAGAGTCGAGGGTTTTGGGGGTGAGAGTTTCTGGGAACTGCTGCGGGTTTCCAGGAGTCTGGGCTCTCCTCCTGGGCCCTGCATTTGCTCGGAGTTGCTAGTGGTCCCGGTAGACGTGTGGGACACCCACTGGTTTTAGAATAAAAACTCGAATGAGACATTGGACCATAATGGATGAAAAAGTCAAACTCTGTCAAATATTTGAAGAGATTTATTTTTGAGCTGAATATGAGTGACCATGGCTCGTGACATAGCCCTCAGGTGACCCTGAGGACATGTGCCCAAGGTGGAGGGCACAGCTTGGTTTTATACATTTTAGACATGAGACAGTAATCAAATACATTTAAGATATATGTTGATTTGGTCCACAAAGGCGGGACAACTTGAAGTGGGGGCTTCCAGGTCGGAGGTAGTTTAAAAAAATTGTGTTTTTTTGCCGGGCGCGGTGGCTCACGCCTGTAATCTCAGCACATTGAGAGGCCGAGGCAGGCGGACAACCTGAGGCCAGGAGTTCAAGACCAGCCTGGCCAACATGTCGAAACCCCGTCTCTACTAAAACTATAAAAATTAACCGGGTGTGATGGTGGGTGCCTGTAATCCCAGCTACTCAGGAGGCTGAGGCGGGAGAATCGCTTGAGCCCAAGTGGCAGAAGTTACAGTGAGCTGAGATTGTGCCACTGCACTCCAGCCTGGGTGACAGAGTCAGACCCTGTCTCAAAAAAAAAAAAAAAAACAATTGCACCACCACACCCAGCTAATTTTGGTATTTTTTAGAGAGACAGGGTTTCACCACGTTGCCCAGCTGGGCTCAGACCCCTCTACTCAAGCAGTCCGAACCCCTTGGCCTCCCAAAGTGCTGGGATTACAGGCGTGAGCCACCGCGCCTGGCCAGATTATGTTTCTTATCAGACTTAAAGTCAGTGTTGATGTTAAATGCTGGTGAGCTTTTCCTGAATTCCAGAAGGGAGGAGGCCACAATGAGGCCTGTCTGACTCCCCTCTTCCCATAATGGCCTGAACCAGTCTTTCAGATGAAATTTGGATGGCCCTGGCCTAGAAGAGGAAGTCCATTCAGATGGTTGGCAGGCCTTGGGATTTTAATTTTGGTTTACACAATTTTGAAATTATTTGCATATAAAATTATTAGGAAAATTATTTGAAATTATTTGGAAGAAAGATTGTTGCCTGAGTTGGTCTGTCCCTTTCTACTGTGACTGGACACAAAATATCAGTTGTATTTGGTGCAGAATTTTTCTGTGGAGTTGCTCCTGAGTGAGCATTATTGTGCAGCTCTGATACTGGCCTGGCCCAGGAGCTCGGACAACCAGAGTCCTCTCTGAGTAGACACTGGTGCGAATTTAGAAATGGGACTTAGCAGGCCGGGCACGGTGGCTCACACCTGTAATCCCAGCACTTTGGGAGGCTGAGGTGGGCGGATTACATGAGGTCAGGAGTTCAAGACCAACCTGGCCAACATGATGAAACTCATCTCTACTGAAAATATGAAAATTAGCCAGGTGTGGTGGCGTATGCCTGTAATCCCAGCTACTCGGGAGGCTGAGGCAGGAGAATCGCTTGAACCCGGGAGGCAGAGGTTGCCGTGAGCCAAGATCACACCACTGCGCTCCAGCCTGGGCGACAGAGTGAGACTTCGTCTTAAAAAAAAAAGAAAAGAAAGAAAAGTTTATATGAATATCCAGTCAAAACAAACAAGGAAGGTATTACCCTTGAAATGTTGTCTATACGAATTTCCAAGGAGACCACAGGACTGTAGACTGTCTTGGAATGTCCTCAGAGAGCTCTGTCATTGATCAGGTAACGGAATAAAAACCCCAGCGTCCTTTCTTTCAAATGGGAGAGGGAAAGACAAAGGGACAGAAGCCGTTCAAACTTTGTCTTCTTTCCTTGTGGCTTGTGGTCACCTCTGCCTCCCCAGAAGCTGCCTCGCCCACCAAAGCCTTCCTGGCTTCTGCCACCACCTCATCCTCCAAAGCTTCCTCTACCTCCATCACAACCCCAAAGCCACCTTCGCCCTTAGGTTTGGCCCAGTCCAAGTTACCTTTGTTTCCCTCAATTTCACCATCTTCCGCGGCCTCCTTGGCGCTTTTGGCATCCTCCTCACTGTTGCCATCTACAGAGCCAAAGCCTTTGGGGCACCCGGTTTCCTGGTTGGTGACTACCCTTGCCCAACAAAGCTGTCGAATGACTAAAGCCTCTTCAGTGGTGTCCTCAGACAGGCCTTTGACAGACAGTTTTAGATGGCTGGCTCCTGGCATCAGGTGGTCCTTGCAACTCCAGCCTGATTGCCCTGCCCCCAGTTTCCCTTTTATTACAGGAATTTAAAGCTGCTTTATCATCTTCAAATGAAGCGAACTGTAAGTGCATGCACACCCTTTAGATTTGCCATTTTGGTTCTGGGGCACTTTGATAAAAGTTGCCTTGTCTCAGATTCTTTCTGAAGAGTTTCTTCTGTTGCACTGTAGGAGAGGTTGCTTAAACCAGAGTTTTTGATTCACCCCTCCAAGTGGTCTCTCTAGTCTTGATTTAGACCTTTCTCTCCATGATAGTGCAGGGAAATAGATCGGCCATCCATCTCTGTTCCCTGCGTTTCTTCAGAAGTTTTCTCTGCATTAGCTTCTGTCTTAACCTCAATATAAGCAGTCCCTTTACTCTTCCCATCCTTGCTGACTAATCCAATCTCCACAGCATCTTCAAACACTTTTTTGTTTTTTGAGCCAGAGTCTCGCTCTGTTGCCCAGGCTGGAGTGCAGTGGCCGTGATCTCAGCTCACTGCAAGCTCCACCTCCCAAGTTTGCGCCATTTTCCTGCCTCAGCCTCCCGAGTAGCTGGGACTACAGGCACCCGTCACCACACCCAGCTAATTTTTTGTATTTTTAGTAGAGACAGGGTTTCACCGTGTTAGCCAGGATGGTCTTGATCTCCTGACCTCGTGATCTGCCTGCCTTGGCCTCCCAAAGTGCTGGGATTACAGGTGTGAGCCACTGCGCCACTGCGCCCAGCCAAAACACTTGTAATTCATCCTGAGTGACTTTGTAAGGGAGATTTGTAGCCAAAAGTATTCTCACATCTTGCTCTTTCTTACTGTCTTTTCCTTTTGGTTTCTCTAGTTTAATTTCATTGCCAAAGTCTTTCAAACCAGCGAGTTCCAAGGCTCTTTCCAGGTCTTCAGCAGCTTGAAAATCCACATAGTCAGATTTCCTTGTCATACCCATTCTGACATCCACAACAGCAAGATCATTTTTAGCAAAAATATCATGGATACTAGTTTTTGTTTTTCTTTCTTTTTCGAGACAGGGTCTTGCTCTGTTACCCAGGCTGGAGTGCAATGGTGCTCACTGCAGCTTCCACCTCCCGGGTTCAAGTGATTCTCCTGCCTCAGCCTCCCCAGTAGCTGGGACTACAGGCACGCACCACTACGCCCGGCTAATTTTTGTATTTTTAGTAGAGACAGGGTTTCATTATGTTGGCCAGGCTGGTCTCAAACTCCTGACCTTGTGATCTGTCCACCTCAGCCTCCCAAAGTGCTGGGATTACAGGCGTGAGCCACCAGGCCTGGCCCATGGATACTAGTTTTTAACTCAGGAGCAGACTTGTTAAAGTTCAGGTTTCCAACAAAGATTGAAAGACGTTCCAGCCTGGCCAACATGGTGAAACCCCGTCTCTACTAAAAATACAAAAATTAGCCGGGTGGTAGTGGTACACGCCTGTAATCCCAGCTACTCAGGAGGCTGAAGCAGGAGAATCACTTGAGCCTGGCAGGTGAAGGTTGCAGTGAGCCAAGATTGCGCCACTGCAGTCCAACCTGGGCGAGAGAGTGAGACCCTGTCTTAAAAAAAAAAAAAAGGCACAGTTGGTTCTGTGCTTCTCACTCTCCACTTTGTGTTTCTTGGCTTCAGAAGCTGCTGTTTGGTCATTTCCTTCATTTTCCAGGTGCTTCTTTGACAGACCCTTCCTCCTCTTTGTCGTCTTCATCACTTCATCCTCTTCATCATCGTCACCCTCGTCCTTGTCCTCATCATCCTCTTCATCTTCATTCCCAGCCATCCTCTTGGCTTTCCCAGGAACAGCATTTGTAGAAGCTTTCTTTCCTTTGGCTGGTGTTGTTTCCATAGGTGCTGCTTCAGAGCCATCTTCCTCAGCATCGTCCTCATCGTCCTCGTCCTCATCCCCTGAGGCAGGGGCACCCGCTGCTGCCTTCATCACTGCTGGTTCAGAGTCATCCTCCTCCTCATCGCTGTCTTCCTTCTTGGCGTTCTTGCCGTTCTTTGCCCCCTTGGCTGGGGTGTCCCTTCTTGCCAGGAGCTGCTGCCAGTGCTTTGCCTGCTATGGCTCCCTTCTTGGCAGGTGTGGCGACTGCTTTGCCTGGAGTGACAGTTGCTTTCTTGGTGGGTGTGGCACCTGCAGCCTTTTTTGTTCGGGAAACTGTCACCTTCTTGGCTGGGGTTGCAGCAGCCTTCTTGCCTTTCTCCTGAGGTGTGACAGTCTCTTCTCCACAGCTGTCATCTTCTTCATCTTCTGACATTTCCTCATCTTCACTTCCTCCTTCTGCCTCCTTTGGGGGAGCAGCCATTTTCTTGGGGTCACCTTGGTTTTTACCTGCCTCGACACCAAGTAGTCTGAAGCTGCTGAGGATGGGAAATCTTTGCAGGGTGCAGAGTGGGAGAGGAGCAAGGTGTGGCTGACACCAGCTGCAGCACAGGCTGTCAGGGTGGGGAGGTGGCTGGGCCCTTGTAATGGGCCCAGGAGATGCTGCTGGCACTGTGAGAGGGCCTGGTTAGGAGTTAAACCTTCATGCATCTGAGATAAATCATAAGCTCTTCTTGGTATGAAAATGTAAGAAAATTATTCCATATTTTGCAGGAAAGCTGCAGGAATGTGAAGGAGTTAAATTGAATCAGGGTAAGAAAGGCTCAGGGCCTCAAATAGAGCTCTGTGTTTTCTGCATTGTATCTTCTAAAACAAGCTTAGAACAGAGGTCGTGTTCACATCCCGTTTAGTAAAAGAGCAGGTTTACCATGAGGTTAAGTACAGGTAAGTACAGGGCTTCTTAGCGTTTCTTGGATGAATCCTAAAGGTTTTCCAGGAGAATCACTTAGCTTATTGCAGCCAACATTTAAGATTCTGAAGTTAAGCAGAAAAAAAGAAAACCCAAGATCAAGGGACCAGCAGGAGAAAAAAAAGATTCTGAAATTGATTTTATTTATTTAGGGTCTTGCTCTTTCGCCTGAACTGGAGTGCAGTGGCGCAATCTTGACTCACTGCAGCCTTCACCTCCCTGGCTCAAGCAATCTTCCCACCTCAGCCTCCTGAGTAGCTGGGACTACAGGTGCACGCCACCATGCCTGGCTGAGTTTTGTAATTTTTGTAGAGACAGTGTTTCACCATGTTGCCCAGGCTGGTCTCAAACTCCTGGGCCCAAGCGATCCATCTGCCTTGGCCTCCCAAAGTGCTGGCATTACAGGAGAGAGCCACTGCGACCAGCCTAACTTTTTAACTTAAAAGTAGAGGTTAAGTTGGGCATGGTGCCTCACTCCTGTAATCCCAGCACTTTGGGAGGCCGAGGTTGGTGGATCACTTGAGGTCAGGAGTTTGAGACCAGCCTGGCCAACATGGCAAAACCCTGTCTCTACTAAAAATAACAAAAATTAGCTGGGTGTGATGGGCACATGCCTGTAATCCCAGCTACTCAGGAGGCGGAGGCAGGAGAATTGCTTGAGCCTGGGAGGTGGAGGTTGCAGTGGGTCGAGATCGCGCCACTGCACTCCAGCCTGGGTGACAGAGTGAGACTCTGTCTCAAAAAAAAGGGGGGGGGGGTAATTTTTTAAAATAATTAAATCAGATTATTTTACTTGCCTTATTTCTGATGTTACAGGATTTCTTGTAATTAGCTTTTTTAAAAAAGAGTTTGTGGCCATATAGTAGGTGTGTATATGGGTAATTAGCTTTTAAAAGGAGTAAATTTCATTTCAAGGGAGAGAAAATAAGACTCTTCATTCTCAAAATGTGAAGATAATAGAAAACAAATGTATGTTAAAATTGATAAAGATGTAAAAGGAAGCAATCTTAAGACTAGTCAAGACTGTATGCCCATGATATGTGCAATTATTATGTCAATTATAAATACAAAAAACCATGAGCAGACAGTTTATGTTTGAAAAAGAAACAGAATGAAAACCTCTAGAAATGAAAAACATAGTCATTAACGTTAAATCAGTCAGCAGCAGGAGAAGCAGCACGAGAAGCAGCACTAACTCAGCTGAAGAGAGGAGCAGTGTTGGGAAGAGATGTGCGGCCCAGGGAGGAGGCGATGCCAGCCCATGTCCAGTACAAGTTCCAGAAGGAGAAGAGAGCAAGAAAGGAGAAAGGGAAGACTGAGGACTTTCCAGAGTTCATGAAATACAGGAAACTCCAAGAAGTCCAGAGTTTAAAAACATCCACAGCTAGATACATCATTGGAAATTTTCAAAACATTAAAAAGTAAACATCTTAGATGCAACCAGAACAAAAAGACTTCCCTGAGAGGAGCATGCAGTGGACTGGTGACCAGCTCGCAGCAAACCTGTGGCTGAGGGGAGGCCGACGTGGGCTGAGGGGAGGCCGACGTGGGCTGTGGGGAGGCCGACGTGGGCTGAGGGGAGGCCGACGTGGGCTGTGGGGAGGCCGACGTGGGCTGAGGGGAGGCCGACGTGGGCTGAGGTCTCTGTCTGATGAGCACTTGAGAGCCGTGTGACTGGCTCCACTTCTGCCGAAGCTTGAGGCTCACTGTGCAAAGGCTCTTTTAGAAATAAATACTGAAGGTTATTCTTCAGAGAGGTGGAGTTGAGCTCGAAACACAGGAGTGGATTTCAAAAAGCAAAGGGGGCCGGGTGCTGGCTCACACTTCTAATTCCAGCACTTTGCGAGGCTGAGGCAGGTGGATCACTTGAGGTCAGGAGTTTGAGTCCAGCCTGGCCAACATGGTGAAACGCTGTCTCTACTGAAAACACAAAAATTAGCCGGGCATGAGGGCAGGCGCCTGTAATCCCAGCTACTCAGGAGGCCGAGGCACAAGAATCGTGTGAACCCGGGAGGCACAAGTTGGAATGAGCTGAGATCGCGCCGCTGCACTCCAGCCTGGGCAACAGAACAAGACTCCATCTCAAAAAAAAAAAAAAAAAAAATGACGGGCACAGTGGCTCACGCCTGTAATCCCAGCACTTTGGGAGGCCGAGGCGGGCAGATCACGAGGTCAGGAGATCAAGACCATCCTGGCTAACACAGTGAAACCTCGTCTCTACTAAAAATACAAAAAATTAGACGGGCGTGGTGGCGGGCGCCTGTAGTCCCAGCTACTTAGGAGGCTGAGGCAGGAGAATGGCGTGAACCCAGGAGACGGAGCTTGCAGTGAGCCGAGATCCCACCACTGCACTCCAGCCTGGGCAACAAAACCAGACTCTGTCTCAAAAAAAAAAAAAAAAAAAAAAAAAAAAAAAAAAAAAAAAAACCAAAGGTAAGCAAAGAAACTGGTAAATATGTGGTGAAAATGAAATAAGTGTTGGTGGGTCAGGTGCGGTGGCTCACACCTGTAATCCCAACACTTTGGGAGGCCAAGGTGGGTGGATCACGAGGTCAGGAGTTCACGACCAGCCTGGCCAACATAGTGAGACCCCATCTCTACTAAAAAAAATACAAAAATTAGCCAGGCATGGTGGTGCGTACCTGTAGTCTCAGCTACTCGAGAGGCTGAGACAGGAGAATCACTTGAACCCGGGAGGTGGAGGTTGCAGTGAGCCAAGACTGCATCATTGCATTCCAGCTTGGGCAACAGAGTGAGACTTAATCAAAAAAAAAAAAGGAAAGAAAAGGAATAAGCGTTGGTTATGTTAATCAGTGGTGATCATGATTTATATAGGGTATATAAAAGAAGAAACTACCAGAAGTAACACAGCCCAGGGTGAAGCTGGACAGTCAAGGCGTTCAGATCTCTATATTATTATTAAGAAGAAGTGTTAACTTCAGACTTCACTGCAGCAGATGTGAGTGTTGAAAACTTAAGGGTTCCCAAAGTGTAGAAACAGGTTGCAAATCTTCCAAATAAATACCAGGTAGAAAGAATACTTTCTGAAAACCACCTTGTCCAGGCCGGGCGCGGTGGCTCACGCCTGTAATCCCAGCACTTTGGGAGGCCAAGGCGAGTGGATCACGAGGTCAGGAGATCGAGACCATCCTGGCTAACATGGTGAAACCCCGTCTCTAATAAAAATACAAAAAATTAGCCGGGCGTGGTGGCGGGCGCCTGTAGTCCCAGCTACTCGGGAGGCTGAGGCAGGAGAATGGCGTGAACCCGGGAGGCGGAGCTTGCAGTGAGCCGAGATGGTGCCACTGCACTCCAGCCTGGGCAGCAGAACGAGACTCCGTCTCAAGAAAAAAAAAAAAAAAAAAAGAAAACCACCTTGTCCAGCTTTAATCAAAGGCATAGAAGGCTGGGGGAGGGGCAAGGGAACCAGAGCTGTAACTAAAAATCATAAAATAACATGGCAGCAGCAGTTGTCAGTAAACAGAACTCACCAGCTCGAAAGAATGTGAGATTCGAGGAATTTTTTTTTCTTTAATTTGGCTATGTGGTGTATAAGAGACACATCCAAAACATAATGGTGTCGAAAGGTTGAAAGTTAGGAGTTGGAAACAAGACACTAGGTAAACATTAACCATAAGAAAGCTGCTCTAGCTATAGTCCTAGTGCTACAGCGACAGTGATGCCATATGCAGAATATACTTCAAAATGAAAGAGAGCGGGTAGAAATGTGAAGGGTTACCGCAGGCTCAGAGAAAGTCTCTGGACCTGAAGGCTCAAGGAACATTGATTAAAGTGGACCATCCTCACTGGTGCCGTGGCTTATACCTGTAATCCCAGCACTTTGGGAGGCCAAGGCAGGAGGATTGCTTGAGCCCAGGAGGTCGAGACCAGCTTGGGCAAAAAGCAAGACCCTGTCTCTAAGAAAAAAATAGTAAAAAAACTAGGCATGGGGTGGTGGCTCACATCTGTAATCCTAGCACTTTAGGAGGCCAAGATGGGCGGATTGCCTGAGCTCAGGAGTTTGAGACCAGCCCGGGCAAAATGGTGAACCCCTGTCTCTACTAAAATACAGAAAATTAGGCATGGCGGCTTGCGCCTGTAGTCCCAGCTACTTGGGAGGCTGAGATGGGAGAATCACTGGAATCCAGTAGGTGGAGGTTGCAGTTAGCTGAGATCACACCACTGCACTCCAGCCTGTGCGGCAGAGTGAGACTCCATCTTCCAAAAAAAAAAAAAAAAAAAAAAAATTAGCTGGCAGATGTCTGTAGTCTGAGCTACTTGGGAGGCTAAGGTGGGAGGATCACTTGAGCCCAGGAGATTGAGGCTGCAGTGAGCTAGGATGGTGCCACTGTGCTGGCTCTAGCCTGGGTGACAGTGAGACCCTGTTTGTAAAAATAATTTTGTTGTTTTTTTTGAGACGGTTCTGTTCTGTTGCCCAGGCTGGAGTGCAGTGGTGTGATCTTGGCTCACTGCAACCTCCACCTCCTGGGGTTAAGCAATTCTCCTGCCTCAGCCTCCTGAGTAGCTGGGATTACAGGTGTCCACCACCACACCCGGCTAATTTTGTATTTTTAGTAGATACGGGGTTTCTCCATGTTGTCCAGGCTGGTCTCGAACTCCTGAGCTCAGGTGATCCGCCCGCCTCGGCCTCCCAAAGTGCTGGGATTAGAGGCGTGAGCCACCGTGCCCGGCCAATAATAATTTTTAAAAAGCAAAAATAAAATCAAAGGAAGGTTTAGAAAATAAAGGGAAAATCTCACAGCAAAATGACAGCTGGTAAATGATATGAAAAAAATAAACAGAGGCTGAGTGTGGGTGTTGCAGTATCCGAATAATATATATTACGAAAAGAGAAAAATATCAATGGAAATTCAAGGAAAAGTGCGGCCAAGACGTCCTTCAGTAGATGAATGGATCAACTCCGTGCATCCAGATGGTGGAACATTATTTAGTCCTGAAAAGATGTTCTCAAGCCGTGGAGAGGCCTGCATGAGCCTTAAGTGCGTATCGCTGAGTGAGAGAAATTATTCTGTGTGACCCCAACTCTCCGACGTTCTGCAGAAGCCAAACTGGCCAGATGCCTGGAATGAGCTCCCCGCGTTCATGAGGGCTGGTTTCCGGCAGTGGCATTGGGAGGCTTTGTTAACATTGGTTCTTGTGCTTGTCTGCCTTGTTTAAGTTCCTTACAAAGAGCATGTGCCATTTTTACAAAATGAAGGAAGTGGGTTCTGTCCCGTAGGGTTGAGGAGCCGAGATGCGGGGACCAAGGGACGTCAGCGCGTTGGTTCTGGCCGCGGGAAAACGGGCGGTCGCTGTGACCGTCTCTGCGCTCTCCGCGTTGCTAACGCCCCACTCCCGGGAAAGACCCGGAGACGGGACCACCGCATGTGGAAACCACCGGGAAGCACAGCGCGTGGGCCGCCTGAGCGGTGCCGGGGCGGGGAGGCAGGGCCGCCGCTCAGGCCGTGGACCTCGGGGCCGCGGGACGGACGTGGATGGCGCCGCCGTTCTCTCGCGGGCCCAGCGAGGCTATGCGTGCGCGGCCCGGGCAGTCTCTGCGAGCCCGGGCTGCTGCTCATCTGGGGGGGACGGCGGCCGCCCGACTGAGCCCAGAGCTGTGGGCCGCGCCCGGGTTCCTGCCTCGGGCCGGAGGAGGGAGGGCGCCGCGGCCCGTCTCGGGCCTCCCGCCGCGCTGGGGCCTGGCTCCCTCCTGGCTGCGCTGAGCGCCTGCGGCTCCGCTTGGGGCTGCTGTGCTCTCCACAGGCCGGGCCGCCGGGCTGGAGGGCGCTGCAGGCGGCCTCTGTTCTCCAAGTTCTCCGCGGGAGAGGGAGGGGAACGAGGGCCCAGCCTTCCGCGGGGTGGGCTCGGCCGGGAGAAGCGCGGAGCCTCCTGGCTGCCCCCAGCCGGTGCGGCCGCCACCGTGGCCGTGAGGGCGCCTGGGTCCCCTCTGGAGGTTTTGCCGCAGCGCTGGCCGGCGCCGAGATATGACCAGAGGCGTTGAAAGTTGGCGCGTTGAGGTACCTAGGATGGGCGAGGAAATGAACAAGCTTCAGGGGAGAAGAAATGACTGTGGGAACAGGTGCCTTGAGGTAGAGGGAGGGGACTGGGCCAGGAGAGAGGAGCCGGGTGGGGCACAGGGACAGCCCAGGGTCCCTCAGAGCTTCGAGGCCGGGCGCCCTCTGCGTTGGGAGCTTGGGGTCCCCCTGACAGAAAACCTGGGGGGGGCGTTGCGGGAGTGAGAGGAGGCTGCAGACCTGACACAGATGGGGGAGCGGGCGGGAGGCCCGAGACCTGGGGAAGTGGGAGGAGCCTGCAGACCTGCTCCTTGGTTGCCTCTGCTCCCCACCAACCCGGCTCCCTTCCCTGGCTTCCCTGGCTCTCCCCTCCTGGAAACGTGGAGGACGGCCAGGGCTTCTCTCTCCCCCGTGCCTGTGGTGGGTTCACCAAGGCCTGTGTGAGAAGCTCTCGGGGTCTGCCCAGGTCCGAGGGCAGCTGTCTCAGTGCTGGCTGCTGCGTCCGCACAGCTTCTCGGTCATTCTCGATCCTGTTCTTCCAGCACCTCCGCAGGCTGGGTGTTCTTAGTCCAGTCGGGTGCCAGGTCCATCCCCATCTCCACCCGTTCTGAGCCACCTCCCGCCTTTGCTAAGTCCGTGCTCCCCTCCCAGCTGCCCTCCCTCCCCCATCACATTTTCAAAACAAGCTGGGCAGTGGCCTCTCCAACCCAGCCCCGGAGCAAGCAGGCCCAGGCCCGGGGCTACCCGGCACACACGCGTTGTGCGTGAGCTGGGATGCAGGCCCCGCGTTCTGCAGAATTGTGCACTGAAGACGCCAGGGCTCGCAGTGGCTCACGTCTGTAATCCCAGCACTTTGGGAGGCCAAGGCGGGCGGATCACGAGGTCAGGAGATCGAGACCACCCTGGCTAACACGGTGAAACCCCGTCTCTACTAAAAATACAAAAAATTAGCTGGACATGGTGGCGGGCGCCTGTAGTCCCAGCTACTCGGGAGGCTGAGACAGGAGAATGGCGTGAACCCGGGAGGTGGAGCTTGCAGTGAGCCGAGATAGCACCACTGCAGTACGGCCTGGGCAAAAAAGCGAGACTCCGTCTCAAAAAAAAAAAAAAAAAGACTCCAGGGCTGCAGAAAACCTGGTTAGGAGCAATCCGCAGAAGCCTGGGGTGCTGTGGAGAGCTCCTCAGGTGGTGGGCCCTGACCCTGAGGGTCACCAGGGGTCCCAGGGGTGGGCTCTAGGGCAGAACCACGTCCTCCAAGTAGAAAGCCTGACCTGGCTCCAAGTAGAAAGCTGCCCCCTGGGCCCGGTTCGCCGTTGATGCTCTGTGTGCTGCCAGGTGTCCTCCTGATGGGAGAGGTTGCCATGGTACCCACCCATCGTCTTCCTCCCCTGCCTGCCGGTCACCTGGTCTGATTCTAGCAAGAAAGATGAAACAGGTGGCAGCAGAACCGGCTCTCCTTGTAGTTGCTCTTAAAGCTGCAGCTTGGGTTCGGTTCGTTTAATTTGCCTTTTCTTTTTCTCTTCCCGTCCCCAGTGAAGATAGTGATCCGGGGAGACAGGAACACGGGCAAGACAGCGCTGTGGCACCGCCTGCAGGGCCGGCCGTTCGTGGAGGAGTACATCCCCACACAGGAGATCCAGGTCACCAGCATCCACTGGAGCTACAAGAGTAAGTGTGGTGGGTGCCCCAGTGGGTTCGGGCTCCAGGCTTCTCCTCCCTCAGCCCTGGTTCCTGGGAGATGCATTCCCCAGAGGGGGTCTCCCCGAAGAGTTCTTGTCTGTGAGGGACCCTGCTGACGTGGGGGCCCTGGCGTGAACTCTGGGGCTCTTTTGGGGTGGATCACCCTGCTGCCTGAGTGAGCTTCATGAAGCCCCACTGACCTGGGAGGCTCAGCTTGGGGCAGCGTTGGCCGCAGGTGAGTGGGCACGCGGGCGCCTCGGGGGCTGAAAAGAGGTACATTCCGAGGAGCATTCCCTTGCCTGCACCCTCTTGGTGCACATGGTATTTTTTCTTGGGCCCCAGCCCGACATCTTCTCCACCACCAGAAACAGTAATAAGACCTTTGTTTGAGCCTTGCCCTTGTGGAAAGTTCGTGTCACTAAAAGGTTCAGTGAGGTGGGCTTGATGGTGGGATAGACCCCTCCCCCAGGTCTCAATTGGGTGTGGGTGGGCTGGGCCTGGGTAGATGCGGGAAGGTGGGGGAGGTGACAGCTGTGGCGAGGCTCCTGCTGTGGGAGGCAGAGCAGCTGCCCTGTGTGTTCAGAATCGTGACAGCAAAAAGCCTTGGGGCTGGTTTTTTTGTTTGTTTGTTCGTTTGTTTTTTGGTTTGGTTGGGTTTTTTTTTTTTTTTTTTTTTTTTGAGACAGAGTCTCACTGTCGCCCAGACTGGAATGCAGTGGTGAGATCTCGGCTCACTGGAACCTCCGCCTCCCGGGTTCAAGCAATTCTCTGCCTCAGCCTCCTGAGTAGCTGGGATTACAGGCGCCCGCCACCACACCCAGCTAATTATTTGTATTTTTAGTAGAGACGGGGTTTCACCATCTTGGCCAGGCTGGCCTTGAACTCCTGACCACGTGATTCACCCACGTTGGGCTCCCAAAGTGCTGGGATTATAGGCGTGAGCCACCACTCCCACCCAGGGCTGTTTTAAACACCTTTCCTTTTCACTGCAAAAAAAAAAAAACTAGTGGGTTACTAGTGGGAGGCAAAGATGAGTTTGAGCTGCCACGTGGTGACAGCTGACACTTGGACTGCTGTGCAGGAACAGCCGTGGAGTTGCTGGGCATCTGCTGCTCTCTAGGGCCTGGGAGGGTGGTGCTGGGCTGACAGGACACAGAGCCCACAGGGCCGGCGCACAGAAGCTCTACCTGCCACCGCACCCTCTTCCTGGTTTGGGGTGAGGCTGATGGCAGCGTTCATGCCCCTCTGCTCAGGCGACGTGGATGTGATTGGTGTGGGGGCAGATGCCTGGCTGTGTGAGGGCCCCGGGCGTGCCTCTCCCCTCTGGTTCTCCCTTCCCCTTGGAATCCTTGGGTGGGCGGGAGGCTCCATCCATCAGCTCCCCCAGTCCCCAGCACGCCCCACAACAGAGCACAGTCATGGGAGCTCAGGAGGAGTGGTTGGCACCAGCAGGCCCAGCTGCGATGGTGCGGTGTGAGGCAGGCCTGGGGCCTCTCAGGTGGCTCCGAAGGGAGGGTCCGGCCTCCGCCCTCAGTGATTACTTAGATTCTGCTCCCTCAAAGTGAACTAGAGGCCAGTCACTGGATGAAGAAACAGGGTCAGAAGGTGACACAGGCGGGCCCATTCATTCGCACCTGTCAGCAGAAGCGTACTCCATGGGCAAAAACACAGACATCGACCCAGCCAGGAGGGTCCCCTTCCAGTATGCTGAGGCCAGGAGGGGCCGTGCCCAGGATCGGGGCCCGGGAGGGAGGGGCCGTGCCCAGGATCGGGGCCGGGGAGGGAGGGGCCGTGCCCAGGATCGGGGCCCTGGAGGGAGGGGCCGTGCCCAGGATCGGGGCCCGGGAGGGAGGGGCCGTGCCCAGGATTGGGGCTGCGGAGGGAGATACCGTGCATTCAGTTTGTCACTGAAGCTGTGTCTGAGCGAAGGCCTGAAGGAGCCGCCATGTGGTCGTCTGGGGAGGACACATCCCCTGCTTCTGGACACTCGGAAGTCCTGGTGGGAGCCGGTGGCTGCGGGGCACAGACAACCACACCAGCTGGACCGCTTTGTGCCACCTTGGGAACTTCATGTTGGGCACTAATTTTAGGATTCTCCCTGTTTCAGCCACGGATGACATCGTGAAGGTTGAAGTCTGGGATGTAGTAGACAAAGGTGAGGCGTCTCTGTTCTGTGTCTGCTTCTCTCTGGGACTGTGTGCTCTGCGCAGAGAGGCTTCCTTTCTTTCCCCCGGCGCCCATGCATCACCCACCATCCTCGTGGACGGTGCCCAGGGTCTTGCTGCTCTGCTCCCCTCCACATCCAGTGGCGACCCCGCAGCGTGGCGCAGCCCCTCCTGTGGCACTGCATGCTTTGCTGCTTTAGCATACTCCCCGTCTCTGAGTGACCGCGTGCACGGTGGCGGCAGGTGCAGCCGGGGGGTGTGCTTTGAGCCCCAAGGCCCAGGGTGCTATTTTGGGAGCCCTCCTCCTGCACTGCCTGGCGGAGTAGCCCAGCACCAGGCGGCCCCCTGCCCATAGCTGAGGACCCAGCTCCTGCGCTCCTGTCCCTGCCAGGGATCCCCAGCCACACAGACCTGCACTCTGGGGACCGTGGGAGGGCAGCACCAGCCCCCGGGGTGTCCTCGACATCGTTGGTCTCCTCCTCAGCCACAAGGTCATGAGTTCCTCTAAGTCCTCAGGGTGGAGCTCATGGCCCTCCCCGGGGCCCATGGTCCGTGTGCATGTGTGGTGTGTGCAGGGCTGGCCACGTGCACGCCCCGGCCTCACAGGCCTGGCTGTGGCCTCGTTACGAGGCTCTGCTGGAAAGGCGGCCGCCGCCTCTGTGTGATGGTGTCTGTTCGGATGGCGCATGCTCCCCTCCCTCCACCTGTGCTTTGTTGGGGTGGGTTTGGCCATGGGGGGTTAGAGGCAGGTGCTCATGCAGTTCCCGCAGGGGTGCTGGGCCCCTGCGGCTCCCACCACATTGCGCTGGACTCTTGTGGCCCGTGCTGACCTGGTGTTCCAGATGCTGTCTCTGCAGAGCTCTGCGTGGTCTCTGGTGTTAGAGAGGTGGCCACCCACCGCCCTATCATTGTCCTCATCCCCACTGTGAGGAGAAGCTATCAGATCTGCCTGTGGCCCCCAGGTGGCTCAGGAAGGGCCGTCCTGACCCCCATCCTGGCCCCTTTCGGAGCTGCAGAGATTTCCTGTGCCTCCAGCTCTGGCTTCCTGGGTCTGTCCTTGGCGTGGAGCGGGCACAGGCTTCCCGTAGACACGGTTGCCCAGAGTGGGGTTCATAACTGGGCACTGTAAAGGGTGTGGTCTCCACGGCTTAGGATGGGCCCCCCCTTCCTGGTGGCCTGCTGTGCCCGGGGCTGGTGTGGAGGCCTGTGGGTGCAGAGGCCGCCTGGCCCTGGGCTTCCTCTGGGGTTACATGTGTACCCTTGCACCCACCTGTTAGCACCCACCGGGAGAGTCTCACTCAGCCTAAACCAGGGCCCCTCAGGAGGAAAAGGTCCCCAGCTTCATGATGGGGCCCAGTGTGCCTTCCATCCCCGCCCTGACTCAGTGCCCACTGTGCGAGGTGTGAGCACTGTCCACAGCAGCCAGGGCGGCCGGTGGGGAGTGCATTGGAGGGGGTTGAGGTCTCTTGGGCACCTGGTGAGTTCTCAAGGGTGAGAGGAAGCCGAGGCCATCAGGCTTAGCTGACGCTGCATGGGGCAGGCTGCCAAGAGGGAGGCTGAATGGAGCAGCCTCAGGTGAGCCGACAATCCTCACCTCCGCCTGGTCAGCCAGGACCCGGCTCCCCTCCAGTCCCGCCTGCTTTCCCCAAAGCAGATCCAGCCAGTCTCAATGGCTCGCCCGGGGGGTGCTGGTTAGGCTGTGAGCATCCTTCCTGGGTGCAGGCCCCCGACAGCCAGCAGTGCTGTGCTGTGTGTGTGTTGGGGACTCTGCTGAGCCCTTTGTGGCCAGACTGGGGAGGCTCCTCCGGGCTGGCTCTGTCCCCTGTACCTTGTGAGGGAGGGGCTGACCCCCTGACTGGGTTACATCGTGGTGAGCAGTTCAGAAACAAGCTGTGGAATGAAGTGGACGTGGCGTTTTAAACACATGAGCCCCATCTGTTCTTAGGGGTTTTGTTTGTTGTCCCAGTCCGTGACTCCAAGACTGGGACCCCCAGAGTTCCCAGGATGGTCTGGAGCCTTTATCCTCAGGTCAGCATTGTGGAGTTAAAGGGAGGGGACCACGGCCCCTCATTCTCAGGAGAGCCATGGTGACCTTGATGGCGGAGGCTCAGGGGGACCTGGACCGTGGACACCACACAGCTGCCCTCCTCCCTCCCGAGGCCATTTCAGGGCTGGAATCCCTGCCCCCCTCTCCTTTCCTCCCGGGCTGGTTGTTGCCTTGAGAGTCCGTGCGCTCATCTCCCCACTTTTACCCCAGGGGGAGGCCCCTCACCTTCCCACCATATCCCTTGTACTTCCTCCCACCCTGGACTTGGGGGAGCTGGGGGGAGGGGGCCCTTCCTTCAGCAGCAAACCCTCCTGGTGTAGGGCTGTAGGCCATCCCACCGCAGCCTGTCCAGGAGCTGCTGAGCCTGTCAGCCCCAACTAGCACCTCCTGTCCAGGCCCGGCCCAGCCCTGCCTCCAGAGCCTACAGAGGGGCCTCGCCCAGGTCCTGCTGCTCCAGAGCTTGTGGGTGCCCACGCTGCAGGCTGTTTGGGGTGGTGGAGTAGAGCACCCGCTGGAGCTGGGGGCTGAGTGGCCATGGGGGGACCATGCTCCTCCTATGGCCCAAGGCCCAGGGGTTCCACCTCGTAATTTTTGTTTGTTTTTAAATAAGGAAAATGCAAAAAGCGAGGCGACGGCTTAAAGATGGAGAACGACCCCCAGGAGGTGAGTGCCAGGTACACAGTGGGTAGCAGTGGCTCAGGGCCCCGGGGTGCGTGAGCCGGTGCCCAGCGCTTCACACGCTTTTGACCCCAACCACCCCAGTTATGCTGTGGCCACGGGGGCCGCTGGCCTTCCCAACTGCTCTGAAAACCCCACACTGCCATGGCTGTATCTGGGGGTGGCCGGCTCACCTGCACTCGACAGACATCACGTTGGACTGACCCCTATTTGCATTTGAGTGACCTGAGAGGTATTTAAGTGAACTCGCCAAACTTTTATCCCAGTCTCGGTGGGCTCGGCCCTTCAAAGCACAGGACACATCTCGCAGCGCCATGGGCGTGAGTTTCGCTCACCGGAGCCACCTGGGGCCAACCCAACCTGAGCCCGACACACCCAGGGCCTCGCACTCTCCGTGCGGTGCCTCCCACTCCCTTTAGAGCATGGGGTGGAGTGACTCTGCCCACAGCACTGCAGCTAACCCTGTTTGTGGGCACTGGAACCTTCCGGAACGCACATCTAGCTGAGGGCAGCTGGTAGTCCAGCACCCACTTCTATTTTCGAGTGGTGGTTTGGTTATCCGTGAGGCCTGGGGCGGACACTGCTGTGATCAGTGGGAGGTCCTGGGTAGGAGGCTTGTTCAGGGAGCCATCAGCGAGGCTGGTGTTGACCGTCAGACCCTTTGGGGCAAACCTATGTTTAGCTATCCCATCTCTTCAGCATATCGTTTCCAAATGGAAATGGCTGTTATCTTTTCAGATTAGAAGACTATCCAGCCTTTTCTAAAACTGTGGGCCACACGGGTGGGGCCCAGCCTGGGCCAGTCTCACACCTGTTCCCTCCTGTCCCCAGGCGGAGTCTGAAATGGCCCTGGATGCTGAGTTCCTGGACGTGTACAAGAACTGCAACGGGGTGGTCATGATGTTCGACATTACCAAGCAGTGGTAAGAGGGAGCTGGCGGGGGCAGCTGCCTGTGACTCTCACCCCCCTAGCCCCTTGGGCGCCCTCTTTGTGCAGCAGATAATGGTTAGAGCAGCATCGTTCTGCAGGACCGAGGGACTCTTGCTGGGCAGCTGTGGCAGCTCAGCCACAAGGGGCACTGGCCTGGATGTCGGGCTGGGCAACGACTATGCCTGTGCCTATGGGGCGGGATGGCGTGGGCCGGCTGCAAAAGGCATCTGGGGCAAGGCACGCACCTTCCATAGCCCCACTGTTCTTCCTGAAAACCCATCTGAGACTTGGCGGAAGCAAGTGGCTGCTTGTGCTGGGGGCTCCCCGCGACCTCCGTCTTCATGACCTAGGAGGACCCACAGCCAAGATTCATTCTAGCAAGAAGATGACAGCGAAATCAGCTAAGGGCAGTGGCACACAGGACGATCTCTGGGGGACCAGGCGCAAGCCCCCAGAGTCCACTGTGGAGTCGCATGGGATCCACTCAGCTCCTCAGGAGTGCAGTGTCCCCCAGGACGCACCGGAGCCCCAGCGGGGGGGTGCTGCGGACGCACACTTGGCACAAGGCTCCTAGAAGAACGAGGGCCGCGTGAAGACCAGTGTCCTGGTGCAGGGCCCCTCCTAGCCACAGCCAGTGCCCGGAGCACCAGGAGCAGCATGCCCGACACGTCCAGGCATCTGCTCTTCCCAGCAGTGGGTCTGGCCTGGGGGCCTAGTCAGCAGCTTCTCTTACTTGGGAAGACCCCCACACCAGGGTTAAGCGTACCGCCTGTCACGGGGCCGCACACTCAGCACGCATCAGCAGCCCAGGCCTGAGGGCGGCTTGAAGCACCTGACCAGCCATGCTCTGGGCCTCTGCCAACCTTTGCCAATGCTGGGAACCATGCCTGCCCTCCCAGCCTTCAGCACCACCACCAAGGACTGACCGCAGGCACCCTCAGGAGAGCCCTCGGTGGGGGTGTGGCACACGGATGGCAGGAGAACCACACACGGGGCTGGCGGCCCCACCCCAGGGCACGAGTTCAGCTCGGGCGCACACGCTGGCCTCACCTGGGCGAGCAGTGGTGCTCCTCTCCCTCCGGCCTCTCCTGTCTAGGCAGCAGGCCAGCCTGGTGGGTGGGAAGTGGCTTTTCCCAAGCGAAGTTGAGTGTGGACACAGTGTGGCCTCCACGGCACCTCCCACTGCTGCCACAGGAACGGCCTGGAGGGAGCTGCAGCCGCCTGGGCTGCCGTGCGAGGAGTGGGCGGGAGTGACAGCGAGACTTGAGCCAGCCTGAGAAGACGCGGCAAAGGCGCTTACCTGTGGGCCCGGAGACCCTGTTGGCAGCACCAGCCTGGGCAGGCGATGCCTATGGTAGCAATGCTCTGTCTGGAGCCCCTGGTGCCCAGCAGGAAGGATGGAAAACACTGGCTCAGACAGCGGCTTCAAGCACCACGCAGGCCCTTCACAGCCACGAGAGGCAGGAGACACCAGAAGGCCACCTGCTTAGGAGGCCAGAGGTGCCCCTGGGCCGGCCTTGGTGAGGGGCCCGTTTAAATGACTGCGTGTAAATGAAAGAAAATGAAGTTAGAAACAGGATGTTGCATTTTTTACTCCCTTATGTTGGCTTTCAGTCGTGGGGAAGTTTTGTCACTTGAAGCGCTGGTTATTTCTTCACAAGCCATTTGGAAAACCACGCAGCTGGGAAACTGGCAGTTCCACGCCAGGCAGACTCTGGAGACTTGCCGTCCGTGCCAGGAGATGTCTGCTTAAGACAAGGCTCTCCAAACAGCCCGCTTCACCGGCAGCCGCAGAGGCACCCCAGGGTGTCCTCGGCTGCCCCGGTGGGCAGGGAGCCTGGAGGACCAGCCACAGGGTCGACACCAAGGGGCACAGAGGACAGTGCGGAATGAGGGTGGACACAGATGAAGCCAGAGGTGGTTTTGTAGGGATGCGGACATGGGGTGCTCTGAGGGAAGGCAGGGACAGGCAGGGGCGTTCCAGTGTGGGGTGCGGTCAAGTACCTGCCGTCAGGGAGAGGGACGGGCGGGGGCTGCAGGCTGAGGGGTGCGAAGGCCCTCGAGGCACTTCCCTCTAGCTCTGCATGCACGAGGCATGCTTCTGCTGGGTTGGATGTTGGAAATGAGAAGCAGCCACCATCCTCGGGCCTGGGCGCACAGCACCTTTCCAGGGAGGGACAGGGCGTCGCAGGGCTGAAACTAAGCCAGGTCCTCACCTGTTCTCCGAGGACCTTCAATTACATTCTCCGGGAGCTTCCAAAAGTGCCCACCCACGTGCCAGTGTGCGTGCTGGGAAACTACCGGGACATGGGCGAGCACCGAGTCATCCTGCCGGACGACGTGCGTGACTTCATCGACAACCTGGACAGGTGGGTGCGGTGGCCCTGCTCCCGAGGGACCCTGCCCGGTGCTCCGGTGTGCGGGGGAGGGTGCTGAGGCAGAGGCCCAGGGAGGGGTTAACGTTAGCATGGGGCCCGGCGGATGTGGGTCTCGCCGCTGAGTGGGGCTCACTGAAGCCTGGGTCTCCCCGATGGCAGGGCCGGGAACTGTGTGCTGGGGAACTGTGTGCCAGGGTGAAGTGCTGGCACTGTGGGGTCACCTGCAGAAGGGCACTCGGCTTAGCTGCTTAGCAGGGCTCAGCAGGGTCCTGTGGCCTCAGGAGCCTGCAGGAGGAGGGAGGGCAGTGCGGACCCACAGCTGTGGGCCCAGGGGTGATCCTTGGCACCAGGGCAAGGGTCTTTCTCTTGCATCTTTTTTCCTTTCTGAAAGCAGACCTCCAGGTTCCTCCTACTTCCGCTATGCTGAGTCTTCCATGAAGAACAGCTTCGGCCTAAAGTACCTTCATAAGTTCTTCAATATCCCATTTTTGCAGCTTCAGGTAAGCACTCACCACGTGGGGTGGAGTGGCTGCTGGTCTCTCACCTCCTTCCAGGTGTCTCCTGTGTAGCAACGGGTCTCCCTCCTAACCCCTGAGAAAGCTGTGGACCTGCTCGGAGATTGGCTGCTGGCAAGGGCCCAGCGTTCTACTGCACCTGCCTGCTCTGGGTGGCAGAGGGTACAGGGTCCTGAGGGCTAGACCCAGTCCCAGGAGCCCCTCCACCTCTGCGGGGACCCCTTGCTCAGTTTCCCCCAGTGTTTTTGGTTGTTTTTGTTTGTTGAGATAAGGTCTTGCTGTGTGGCCCAGGCTGGAGTGCAGTGGCGCAATCATGGCTCACTGCGGCCTCAAACTCCGGGGCTCAGGCAATCCTCCCACCTGTCTCCCAAAGTGCTGGGATGCCAGGCGTGAGTCACCGAGGTACTCGCTGTTCACATCTCACATTTCCCTGGTGCTTGTGTCAAAACCAAGGAACCAACTTTGGCCTACGGACTAAACTCACTTTCCTTTGTAGAAACAAGGGCCAGGCCAGCTGTGGCTGCAAAGTAGCCCAGCAAATGATGAGGCTTGAACCTCCTCGCCCTGGGCTGCCCTGATTGGGTCTGGGGGACCTGAACCTCCTCGCCCTGGGCTGCCCTGACTGGGTCTGGGGGACCTGAACCTCCTCGCCCTGGGCTGCCCCAGCTGGGTCTGGGGACCTGAACCTCCTCGCCCTGGGCTGCCCCGCCTGGGTCTGGGGACCTGAACCTCCTCGCCCTGGGCTGCCCCGCCTGGGTCTGGGGACCTGAACCTCCTCGCCCTGGGCTGCCCCACCTGGGTCTGGGGACCTGAACCTCCTCGCCCTGGGCTGCCCCAGCTGGGTCTGGGGGACCTGAACCTCCTCGCCCTGGGCTGCCCCAGCTGGGTCTGGGGGACCTGAACCTCCTCGCCCTGGGCTGCCCCAGCTGGATCTGGGGGACCTGAACCTCCTCGCCCTGGGCTGCCCCGCCTGGGTCTGGGGGACCTGAACCTCCTTGCCTGGGCTGCCCCGCCTGGGTCTGGGGGACCTGAACCTCCTCGCCCTGGGCTGCCCCAGCTGGGTCTGGGGGACCTGTACCTCCTCGCCCTGGGCTGCCCCGCCTGGGTCTGGGGGACCTGAACCTCCTCGCCCTGGGCTGCCCCGACTGGGTCTGGGGGACCTGAATCTCCTCACCCTGGGCTGCCCCAGCTGGGTCTGGGGACCTGAACCTCCTCGCCCTGGGCTGCCCCAGCTGGGTCTGGGGGACCTGAACCTCCTCGCCCTGGGCTGCCCCGACTGGGTCTGGGGGACCTGGGGCCCAGCTGCAGCTGCAGCAGCCTTGGTCTTTCTCCAGAAGGATGTCAGGCTTGCCCAGGAAAGGGGCTGTGCTGTCGTCCTGGTGTCAGAAGAAGTGAGGATGCCTGCAGGCTGGGACTGCTGCTGGGGACGTTTGGGTTGGAAGGAAGGCGGCAGTCAGACTTGTCCTGTGCCGGCACTGCTGGGGAGGCCCCTCCTTCCTGCAGAGCCGTCCCCTCATCACTGGGTTGATTACTCCTTAGAGAGCTCCCCACTGCTCAGCTGCTCCATTCCCTAATGGTTTGCCCTCCAAACCCTTCCAAAGCCTCCCAGGGAGAGAACGGGACCCTGGACAGAGTCTTGAGCTGGAAGCGTAGGGCTGAGCTGTGTGTGACTATCCTTTTGCTATGGATGTGTTCAAGCAGATCTGATGTCCTCGCCTGTCTCAGCAGCGGGACCCCTGTTTCCTCTTTGTCTTGCCCCTGGATTGCCTGGAAGCAAATTTCAGGCCTTCTTTATGTCACCTAAAAATATTTCAAACACATCTCTAAAAAAATCAGTTGTTTTTTTAACCTGACCGTAGTACCTAATGTAATACCGCATGTTAAACTCACAGAAGGTTTTTCTTGGAGAAATAAGCCACAATAACAAATTGAAAAAATAAAATTCCCAAAGAGTTCTTCCAGTCGTCAGATATTTGGTCAGTATTCAGAGTAGGATCCAGAGTTCACACATTACATTTGGTTGACAAGTCTGTAGATTTCTCTTTGTAAATCACATTTTTTTGTTGTTGTTATAGCCTGGGGACCTTAATGACTTTAATACACTCTTTTTTTTGGAGACGGAGTCTCACTCTGTCCAGGCTGGAGTACGGTGGTGCAATCTTGCCTCACTGTAACCTCTGCCTCCTGGGTTCAAGCGATTCTCCTGCCTAAGCCTCCCAAGTAGCTGGGATTACAGGCGCCTGCCACCACGCCTGGCTAATTTTTGTATTTTTAGTAGGGACGGGGTTTTGCCATATTGGCCAGGACGGTCTCGATCTCTTGACCTCGTGATCTGCCCGCCTTGGCCCCCCCAAAGTGCTGGGATTACAGGTGTGAGCCACCACGCCCAGCCTCACATTTTTATTTTAAAAACCTCTCCAGGCTGGGCGCAGTGGCTCACGCCTATAATCCCAGCTGTTAGGGAGGCAGAGGTGGGAGGACAGCTCGAGCCCAGGAGTTCCAGATCTTCTGCCTGGGCAATATAATATAGCATGACCCTGTTCTAAAAAAAAAAAAAAAAAAAAAATCTCTGAAAAAGATGATTCAAAAAAAAAAAAAGGAGAGGCCAGGCAAGTAGCTCAGGCCTGTAATTTCAGCAGAGGCCAAGCTGGGAGGATCACTTGAGTCCAGGAATTAGAGACCAGTCTGGGCAACATAGCGAGACCCCATCTCTATTTAAAAAAAGAGAAGGGGCCGGGCACGGTGGCTCCCGACTGTCATCCTCGCACTTTGGATGCTGAGGCAGCTGGATCACCTGAGGTCAGGAGTTCGTGAGGCTCCGGCGTTTGTATTTCATTTGAATCTAAAGTGAGCAGCCACAGGGACCCGCAGCTCATCAGACCAGCCTGGGGTTCCAGGCCAGGAGGGCAGTGGTTTGCTCCAGAGCCAGCTGCTTGTGGGTGTGGGACGGTGGCGACGCGTGCACCGGGGATGTGTCCTGCCACCAGAGGAGGTGTGCGTGGCGGGGAGCAGAGGGGCTTTGTTTCCCAGGTGAAGGTGCGGCTTCTTCACTCTTAGAGGTGCGTGTGTGGGTGGGGGTGCTTGCTGTTGAGGTTTATGCCTGTGACTGACAGCTGTCCCCCAAGCCATGCTGGCAGTGTGTAGGTGTCGTGCCGGCCACCGCAGAGGAATCCTCTGGGCTTCTGTGGTTCAAGTGGGGCCCAGCGCAGAGCTCCATGAGTTGCTGAGCAGCCAGCCCTGCAGCATCTCCTGGTTTTGGCAGCAGGAGGCGTCCCCTGTGCATTCAGGGGCTGTGGGGCTGGGGCACTCGCAGCAGGAAGGAGCCCTGCTCAGGCCTGCGTGCTCCCTTTCTGCAGAGGGAGACGCTGTTGCGGCAGCTGGAGACGAACCAGCTGGACATGGACGCCACGCTGGAGGAGCTGTCGGTGCAGCAGGAGACGGAGGACCAGAACTACGGCATGTATGTGGCCGGACCCGCCCGTGCGGGCGGTGTGGGGGCTGCGGGCGTGGCCGTGGTGCAGGGCCATGGGCTGCACCAAGGAGACAGCAGAGGGGAGTGTCCCCTGTTTGGGGTAAATTAGTCACCTTTGGGCACGGGTGGAGGAGGACTCAGGTTTGCACTGCCCCCAGCAGCCCCCCCACAGTCACCCCTGGCGTGGACTCCTCATACAGGTCATGCTGTGCCTGCCACTCTGAGTACCGCTGACCGTGGCCAGGTGCTGGTGCTCATGGAGTGCTGCTGGGGCTGCCTGCCCATCAGGGGCTTGGCCTCCCAGATTGATGCCAGCATGGGGTGTGCTTTCTGGGGAGCTGCTTGACTTTGGGAAGCTCCCTGTGTTGAAGAGGCATACAGGCCAGGACATGGAGGTCTCTGGTCCTCGATAGCAGAGGGCGGCTCAGAGCATCCTCCTGAGTGGGCCTGGGCAGTGCATAGCCCCGGGGTTGCGGCCAGTGGGACAGCTGGCCCGTTCTCTGCCTCAGGCTCCTGTACAGCTAGGGGCTTGGTGCCTCCCCTGGGACCCAGGCAGGGACCACGGAATCAGTGGCCCTCCTGAGGCCCCCCAGGAGGTCTCTGTTTCCAGAAGGAGAGCCCTGTGGGTCACCTTGGATCTGGCTGTTGGCTCAGACACAGCAAGAGACCGAGAGGGAAGGCAGTTTGATGCCTGGAGAGGGACCCGTGGCTTCCAGCTGCCAGGCCAGCCCCAGAATGGAGCCCCCCGCATGGGCGCTTCTCTGTTGAACCAATCCTGGCATTTCCTGGGCCTGAGAGTTGGGTCAGCTGGATGCTGCGATGGCCGCACGTGCTCCACCAAGCCCCAGCCCCCTCCTCTTCCCAGAAACCCCCGCTCACGGGAAGGTCCAGTTGCTGCCATCTGGCCACCTCTGCATGGAGCCCCCAACAGCTGTGCCTCAGAACAGATCCGAAGTGACTTTCAGGGGAGCTGGACACATGTACGCTGGTGCCTGCTGTCCCCACCCTTTGGCACTGCTGCTCTTTCTTTTTCTGAGATGGAGTCTCGCTCTGTCGCCCAGGCTGGAGCGCAGTGGTGTGATCTCGGCTCACCGCAAGCTCCGCCTCCCGGGTTCACGCCATTCTCCTGCCTCAGCCTCCCAAGTAGCTGGGGCTACAGGCACCCGCCACCACACCCGGCTAATTTTTTTTGTATTTTTAGTAGAGACGGGGTTTCACTGCGTTAGCCAGGACGGTCTCCACCTCCTGACCTCGTGATCTGCCTGCCTTGGCCTCCTACAGTGCTGGGATTACAGGCATGAGCCACCGTGCCTGGCTGGCACTGCTGCCCTTGGAAGTGGATGGGGATGATGGCCTCTGTGGGGCGGGTGGCCCAGAACACAGTGGCTCTTCCCAGCCCCAGCAGCAGCAGCAGAGAGCCCCCTGTCACCTGAGGGCCTCAGGGAGAGGCAGGGGAGCCAGGCTTCTCACCCGCCTTCTGCCTTTCAGCTTCCTGGAGATGATGGAGGCTCGCAGCCGTGGCCATGCGTCCCCACTGGCGGCCAACGGGCAGAGCCCATCCCCGGGCTCCCAGTCACCAGTGGTGCCTGCAGGCGCTGTGTCCACGGGGAGCTCCAGCCCCGGCACACCCCAGCCCGCCCCACAGCTGCCCCTCAATGCCGCCCCACCATCCTCTGTGCCCCCTGTACCACCCTCAGAGGCCCTGCCCCCACCTGCGTGCCCCTCAGCCCCCGCCCCACGGCGCAGCATCATCTCTAGGCTGTTTGGGACGTCACCTGCCACCGAGGCAGCCCCTCCACCTCCAGGTAGGCCCTGGAGCTGCCCCTCCCAAACTGGTCCCAGACCCCCAGGCCCTCACAGGTGGGGTCCTGGATTTCGGAGCGCTCCACGCTTCTTCCTGCTTGTCCCAGTCCCGTGGGCACATCCCGGGTGGGCCTGGCTTGGGGTTGGGTGCAGTGAGGGTTCTGGTGCCGAGTGAAGAGGACCCGGCATCACTGTTCACAGAGCCAGTCCCGGCCGCAGAGGGCCCAGCAACGGTCCAGAGTGTGGAGGACTTTGTTCCTGACGACCGCCTGGACCGCAGCTTCCTGGAAGACACAACCCCCGCCAGGGACGAGAAGAAGGTGGGGGCCAAGGCTGCCCAGCAGGACAGCGACAGGTGAGGGGTGGGCCTGGGCCTCCTCTCCCATTGCCCCCCAGCCTCCAGGGTGCCCGAGCAGCAGGTGGGGCTGGCTTTCTAGGGGCGCAGAAGGGGCCCCCCGCCGGCTGGTCACTGTTGGCTGAGGACAGAGCAGCTCTGTGGCTGGAGCAGACGAGGGAAGGGCTTGGACGGGGCTTCCAGACATCAGAAAGGCCTGGCCACCTGCTCTGCCCACACCCTGGAGAGGACAGGGGCACCTTGGGGTCTTCTGTGGGCAGATGCCACATGGAAGCCATTGGAGAGGCCACTGCAGGTCATATGGGAGGTTCAGGCCACCAGATGTGGTCTCCACAGGGCCAGGATCCAGGTGCTGCAGAGACAGGGGCGGCTTCCTGCAGGTCCTAGAGCTGGGAGCTAGAGCCGCCTCCCCAGCCATCTGCCAGCCCCTCCCACCACTCTGTCTGCCAAGCTGCCCCAAATTTTGCCTGCAGCAAAGCCCTGCATTTGGTCCCAGGACAGCCCTGGACAAGCTCCACCCACAGTGGCCTCAGCACCTCAGCCTCACCCATTGCTGTGGGGCAGCGGCTTCCTCCAGAAATACACAAAGGACAGAAAGCCCCGTGGCCCTGAGCTGGGCCCGCCTCCTCCACGAGCGCCCACTTGTGCGGCTCCACATCCTTCACCCACTGAGCGGCCGCAGGGCAGCACTGTGTCCAACCTTGTGCCCCCGACCCCTTCCTGCTCAGAAGCCCTGTGACCATGAGGGGGCCTCTCCACAACACAGCACCTGGGGTGGGGTGGCCCCACGGCCAGGGTGTGCTGGGTACCAGGGCGCCTAGAACCAAGGCCCGTGAGCCCGGCCAGCCATCCCTACCCCGTGGCCCTTGACCGCTTTGCCCCCTGCTTTGCAGTGATGGGGAGGCCCTGGGCGGCAACCCGATGGTGGCAGGGTTCCAGGACGATGTGGACCTCGAAGACCAGCCACGTGGGAGTCCCCCGCTGCCTGCAGGCCCCGTCCCCAGTCAAGACATCACTCTTTCGAGTGAGGAGGAAGCAGAAGTGGCAGCTCCCACAAAAGGCCCTGCCCCAGCTCCCCAGCAGTGCTCAGAGCCAGAGACCAAGTGGTAAGGGCAGGTGTCCCCACGGGTGCGGCCTGGAGACCCGGGTGGGGCAGTTCAGGACGCCTCCAGAGGACCCTGACTGACCCTCTGCTTGTCCACAAAGGTCCTCCATACCAGCTTCGAAGCCACGGAGGGGGACAGCTCCCACGAGGACCGCAGCACCCCCCTGGCCAGGCGGTGTCTCTGTTCGCACAGGTCCGGAGAAGCGCAGCAGCACCAGGCCCCCTGCTGAGATGGAGCCGGGGAAGGGTGAGCAGGCCTCCTCGTCGGAGAGTGACCCCGAGGGACCCATTGCTGCACAAATGCTGTCCTTCGTCATGGATGACCCCGACTTTGAGAGCGAGGGATCAGACACACAGCGCAGGGCGGTAAGACGAGTCCTCCCGGGGCAGAGGTCAGCCAGGTGGCCAGGGTCCCTCCCACAGGCCTGATCTGGGTGGGTGCAGTGGGAGGAGGCTTCTGGAAGAGGCATCTCATGTCCCCACACTTGGGCCTTGCCGGCCTGGTTTGAGATCCCACAACCCCTGGGGGTGTGGGAGGGATGATGGCCTGACCAGTTGCTCTCCCTGCTCCAGGATGACTTTCCCGTGCGAGATGACCCCTCCGATGTGACTGACGAGGATGAGGGCCCTGCCGAGCCGCCCCCACCCCCCAAGCTCCCTCTCCCCGCCTTCAGACTGAAGAATGACTCGGACCTCTTCGGGCTGGGGCTGGAGGAGGCCGGACCCAAGGAGAGCAGTGAGGAAGGTGGGTGGGGGCACCAGAGTGCGGTCAGCCTGCTGGAGTTTGGGTAGAACGTGGGCCTCCTCCCAGCTGCTGGCCGCTGGCCGGGGTCCTCTCCTGAGTCCAGGATGCTGTGCCATGCTCCTGGCAGCCCCCTGCAGGAGCTGATGTTTGCAGTGTGGTCCTGTCCATCAGCAGGGCCTCCTGGAGGGCTGGGGCTCGCTGCTTTGTGAGTTTCTAGAGAAGTCCTGTCACCCAGCTTGGGGTCCCCGTTGGCCTGAGTTTGAGCCACTGTCTGTCCTGTCTGTGCAGGTAAGGAGGGCAAAACCCCCTCTAAGGAGAAGAAGAAGAAGAAGAAAAAAGGCAAAGAGGTACTGGCTACTCCCCTTCCTGGCAGGCCAGGACTGGGTGGCATGCGGTCCTGGGACCAGGGCTGTGGCTTCCTGTGACTCCATGGCGCCCCATCCTTGTGCTCCTCAGGAAGAAGAAAAAGCTGCCAAGAAGAAGAGCAAACACAAGAAGAGCAAGGACAAGGAGGAGGGCAAGGAGGAGCGGCGACGGCGGCAGCAGCGGCCCCCGCGCAGCAGGGAGAGGACGGCTGCCGATGAGCTGGAGGCTTTCCTGGGGGGCGGGGCCCCGGGCGGCCGCCACCCTGGGGGTGGCGACTACGAGGAGCTCTAGGCCGGCGTGGGCAGTGGCCGCCCTGGGGCGGGGGGCGTGCCTGTCACTGCCTGGGGAGGCATTTGCCTCTGTACCATCGCCTTTGCCGCTGCCCCGTGGCTGCCGTGTGCGCTTCTGAGCTGGAAGAGGCCGGGCATTGGTGGTCCCCAGGCTGGGCCCTGCAGGTGCTGGGCCTTCAGGCCCAGTGTGAGCCTGCTCTGCAAGAAGGGAGGGGACAGCTGGCTTCAGCCAGGCTCGGTGGACACCCTGGCCCTCTCGGGGCAGAGCCGCCAGTGTTTCTCAGGGATGTGACTGAGGCCCAGGAGGGACCTGTGAGGGTCTGTTTACAGAGGCTGGGCAGGGGCCGCTTGGCTGTGGGGTGTGCGCTGCCCCGGCACCTGCTTGCCCTCCGCGCTCATCTGGGGCCGCAGCATGCCTATGGTTCCGCTTCCGGCCGGGAGCCCTGAACACGGGTGTGCAGACTCACCCTAAAGGGCGGCCCAGGCCCCACGCTAGAAGGCTGGCGAGACCGAAGGCAGCATGTGAGGCCTCTCCTGGGAGTGGGGGTTGTGTTTCCCACAGTGGCCTCAGCTGCGCCCCCGCTCAGGTGAGCCCGAAGGCAGGAGCCGGGAGGCACTCCTCCCAAACACTCCACTCAGACCATAAAGCACTCCTGTTTCACTCTGCGTGTGTCTGTTCTTCTGCCTGTACCTCTGCTCCCGCTGCCCCGGGCCCAGGCTGCCGTGGGTTGGCAGGAGGCTGCCCAGCAGTGGTGTGAGGACGTCCCACCAAGTCTGGCCACACCCTGGGTACATTCCAGCCCACCTGTGCCAGGGCTCAGCAGCTGCACGCAGCACGCTTGGCGACCTCAGCCCCAGGAGGTGGAAGTCCACTCTGCAAGGCTCCCAGGCAGCCGCCTGCAGCCCTGCCCCCCGCCTTCAGGCTCCTGCCCCCTCCAGCTGTCAGCAGCGCCCAGCCTCCACCCCCACAGCTACTGTTGCCATGAGAACCCTGCAGGGCAGGCAGGAAGAGTGTGCCAGTGAAGGGGAGGAGGTGGCCAAGCTGGAGGCTCCTCTGCCTGGGAGCCTTGTGGCCCCAGGGTGTTGGGCAGTCACTGCAGTCCCTGAGCAGGTGCTGTGGCCCACAGCAAGCTTAGCCTGGCCCCTTAGCCCACAGCCCATGAGGTCAGGGCCGGGTTCAGGGGTTCGCCTGGTGTGGGGATGGGTCGACAGTACGTGAACTTGACAGGATCACACCATGGACGGCTATGTTGGGGTTTCAGTGGGCCCTGCTTTGAACAGTGCAGAATGGGGTAGGTCCTGCCCTTCAGAGCCAAGGGCATCAGCTCCCCACCCCTCTGCCAAGCTAGAACGTTCCCAGGCCCAATGCCTTGGGGAGGGGCTGGCAGAGTGGGACGAGGACATTACCAGGCAGGTATGGCAGGTCACGTGCAGGCCTTCCCAGGCTGGCAGGGACCGGATGCAGGAGTGGCCTCACCCAGAGAGGATGGCATCCTGGGGACACAAGAGGCTGCAGGGGCCATCTGGCCCCAGGTACCCGCCAAGATTTTGGCATTGGCAGCCTTGAAGCAGATAGGGCCTGGGGAGAGGCCAGTGGGGCACAGAGTAGCCCATCTGCTCCTGCCTCGCCCGACAGGAGATGCGAATTCCAAGATGCCCCTGACCAATCTCTGCAGCCCAGGCCAGGGTTCGGGCCCCTCCTCTCAGGCAAGTGTGTTGGGGTGACACTGGCGGGACTGGCAGGCTGCTCCGGGCCACAAGACTCCTGCTTAGACACTGAGGTCTGTGTCTTGGGGGTGCTGCAGGGACCCTGTGCTCTGCACAGCCCCAAATTGGAGCCAGTGCAGCTCATGATCCCCAGCTCCACGGTGCAGCCCCCACTGGGTGCGGCCCCTTTAAGTACAGCCCCTTCAGCTGCCATCAGGGGCAGCACTGAGCAGCCAGGCCAGGATCCGCGCTGCTGCCTGGAAGCTTCTGCCCGTGCCGGGGACGCAGCAGTGCCGGGGACACAGAGGAGCCGACCTGGGGGTGGCACAGCCCACCGGGGCACAGCCAGAGCAGCACCCAGGTAAGGGGCTAGGGGCCGAGTTGCTGAGTGTGTCACCGTCATGGGCGGGGGAAGCTGCCTTAGGGCAGCCGAAAGGATGGGGAGTCCCCGCCCCCAGGCAACACCGGCTGTATCCCTTGAAGGGCCGCTCCCAGCCAGGGCAAGGCAAGGCAAGGCAGGGCTGGGAGGTGGGGAAGGCCGCCAGCCATCTCCGTGGGCTCCAGAAGGCCTTGGGCCCGGGAGAGGGCCGACCCCACCCCCATCCCCACGGGAGGGGGTGTCACCGACAGCTGCAGCCAGCAAGGCCGACTGTCACCTCCCTGGGGTGGAGCCTCACACCCTGTCATCCGGCCGGATTCCGGCCTGGCCTTGAGCTTAGCATGAAAGAGGGAGCAGGAGGGTAGACAGTCCTGCCACGGGTGGGGTGGAGGGGGGAGATGGGGGGGTGGGCGGGGGAGGCTGGGATGGGCACAAGGCCTGGGACTCGTGGCCCTGACCCAGAAAAACAGCCCTGCCAGCAGGAAGCCCCTGCACACCTGGGACACAGAGGGGGGACCCGGCCAGACCCCGAGAGGCCCATCCACCTGAGGTTCTGCCCTGCAAGGGGCCTGGCCAGGTACCCGCTTTCCCCAGCTCACTCTGGGGTAGACCCCCCAGACCAGGTGTTGGGTGTGCAGAGGCCAGGCCTGTGGCCACTCTCTGACGCACCCCCCAGCTGGCTCTGGGATCACAGAGGGGTTGGCAGCCCACATCTGAACCCAGGCCAGCCTGCCGCGTGGGGGCCTAAGAAATGCAGGTTTCCATGGAACCTTCTGAGCGAAATGGGGAGGGCCCTCTCCTGCAAAGCAGTGGGGCTTCCCCCACCCTCCGCCCTGCCCACCCCCAGCGGGCAGCTTCCAGGCCTGGTGCGCAGCTCAGAGGAGGGGCTGCCACGAGCTCGCGGCTCGATGGCTTGGGACTGCCTTGCAAACCCTAGGGGGGTGTCCTGTGCGTTTACACAAAGCTGGGGCCTTGTTTCAACCACCCAAAGATACTTGGGGTCAGAAAAGGTGTCGGCAGAGGAAAGGGAGATTTAGGGCCCGGGTATGCTCTCTGGGGGCATTTTTCTGGCCTGGGGCTCGCGGGAAGTTGAGGGCACCTAGGCGTGGGTCCTTGCAGTGCTGGGGGCGGGGCTCTGTGCTCGGCCCGGCCAGCAGGTGGGGTGGTTGGTGTCACCCACTTGGTGCAGAGCCGGCTAAGGCTGAGGCCCAGGGACTCGCCTTCCACTGTGCGCGATCGGAGGGGTCGCTCTGCAGTGGGCGCTGTGACGGGGGCGCAGTCACTGACGTCTCCTGGGGCAACACCTATAAATAAGGCCCAAATGCGGCCCGTCCTTCCAACTGCGGACACCAGAGGGCGCAGCCCCAGGACCACGCCCCCACTCCCCTACCCCACCCGGAAAGGGGTCCACCCGAGCCGACCCCGCCGTCACTAGTCGGGGGAGGGGAGGCCCTGGAGCTTCACGCGGGAGCTCCCGCCGCGGGAACCACAACCACGGCTAAGCCTTTCTGGCCCGCCCGCCCCATCGCAGGGAGAGGACGGGGGGACGGGCAGGACGGGCGCCTGGACAGCTGGGTTCCTCCCGCAGGTGCTTCTGACCCCGGCATGGAGGAAGCGCCCGCGTTCTCGGCCCAGGCCCGCAGCCAGGGCTGCTCCGCCCGCTGCGCCCCAGGTAAGCCGGGCCAGCGTGGGGGAGTAGCGGGGCCTGGGCTGCGGAGGGGGCCGCCCTGACCCGCGTCTCCCCCCAGGGCAAAAGCCCCGCAAGGCAGTGTGAGCTGGAGCCGCCAGCCTGGGGACCTCTTTTAAGATGACCCGTACGGACCCTCCGGACCTGCTGGTGTCGACCGTGTACCAGGACATCAAGGTGGCGACCCCGGGACCCGCGTCCAAGTGCTCGCCATGTGAGCGATCCGTGGCCCGGCCTGCTGAGCCCGCGCCTTTCAACAAGCGCCACTGCCGCAGCTTCGACTTCCTGGAGGCGCTGGACGGGCCGGCCATGGAGACCCTGCCGGAGCCACCGCCGCCGGAGTCCGCTGTGCCGCGCGCCCGGACCCGCGAAGCCGAGCCACGCCGCCGCGCCCGCTCCAAGAGTGCGCCCCGCGCGCCCCCGGGCCTGACGCCCGCGCCCGCCTCGCCGCCGGTGTTGCCCCGCCGAGGGCGGGAGGCCCAGCGTGCGGCGCGGGCCGAGGCATCGCCGCGCCGGGAGCCCGCGTACCCGGCGCTCCGCGCCCTTGCCAACGAGCTGCATCCCATCAAGTTGCAGCCGCAGCGGGGCGGCCCCGGCCGCGTCGCGCCCCTGTGCGCCGCCGCGGGCCGCTGCGCACCGCCCGAGCCACCCGCGGGTCCCGCCCCCCACGTGCGCTGCCGCCTGGACATCAAGCCAGACGACGCAGTGCTCCAGCACGCCACCCGGGGCTCGCGGTCCTGCGGGCCCACCGAGGCCGCGCACTGGGCCCGCCCCGCCCCGCAGTTCCACGGCCTCACGGTGCCCGGGCCCCGCCACATGGCGCTGTCGCGCACCCCGACGCCCAGCGACTCATACTGTGCGGATCCCCGGGCGTTCTACTGCGACGGGCCCCTGCCTGGGCCCCGGGACTACGCCGAGCGCCGCAGTCTGCCCTTCACCACCCCGCCGGGCCCCACCCAGTTCTTCTATACAGAGGAGCCCCAAGGCTTCCGGGGCAGCTTTGCAGCCAGTCCCGGCCCAACCTTCGACGCCTACTACCCCAGGCCCTATCCGTCCGAGGAGCTCTCGGGGCCCAGTCCAAGGCGCATGGGCGGCTACTACGCAGGAGAGGTGCGCACCTTCCCAATCCAGGAACCGCCCTCCCGCTCCTACTATGGGGAGGCTCCACGAGCCTACGGCCTGCCCTACGGGCCCCGCTATGTCCCCGAGGAGCCCCGGGCCCACTCCACCGCCCGCCCCTTTTACACGGAGGACTTCGGAAGGTACCGCGAGCGTGACGTCCTGGCTCGGACGTACCCGCACCCGCGCAGCAGCCCGGCCTGGGCGGACTGGGGCCCGCGACCGTACCGCACCCTGCAAGTGGTGCCGCCCTCTGACCCCGACCCGTTGCTCGCCTCCTGGCACGGCGGCACCGGCACCAGTCCGCCCCGGCTGGCCACCGACAGCCGCCACTACTCGCGCTCCTGGGACAACATTCTGGCCCCGGGGCCGCGCCGAGAAGACCCGTTGGGCCGCGGCCGCAGCTACGAGAACCTGCTGGGGCGCGAGGTGCGGGAGCCGCGAGGCGTGTCCCCCGAAGGCCGGCGCCCGCCCGTCGTCGTGAACCTGTCCACCTCTCCCAGACGCTACGCCGCACTGTCCCTGTCCGAGACGTCGCTGACGGAGAAGGGCCGCGCGGGCGAGGGCCTGGGCCGCAACTGGTACGTGACGCCCGAGATCACCATCACTGACAATGACCTGCGCGCCACCGAGCGCCCGAGCGCCAGGGCCTGGGAGTTGCCCGGGGGCCGCACGCGGCCACCTCCCCACGCGGCCCCCGACGGCCCCACCTCTGGCCGCCAGCGGAGCCTAGAGCAGCTGGACGAGCTCATCACGGACCTGGTCATCGACTCGCGACCCACCGCCGGCCAGGCCTCAGAGCCCGCGGCCGACTGCCTGGGCCCCCAACTGCGCCGACTGCTGGACTCGCGGCCCGCGGGCTCCGGGGCCCCCGCGCTGGCGCCGCCACGCTCGCCCCCCGCCTCGGCCGGCAGCGCCGAGGAGCCCGCGGCCCCGGGAGAGGCGGCCGACGCGTCCCCCGAACCCAGCGCCGACGAGGACGACCTGATGACCTGCTCCAATGCGCGCTGCCGGCGCACCGAGACCATGTTCAACGCCTGCCTCTACTTCAAGTCCTGCCACAGCTGCTACACCTACTACTGCTCGCGCCTGTGCCGCCGCGAGGACTGGGACGCCCACAAGGCGCGCTGCGTGTACGGCCGCGTGGGCAGCGTGTGCCGCCACGTACTGCAGTTTTGCCGCGACAGCGGCCCGGTGCACCGCGCTTTCTCGCGCATCGCGCGTGTCGGCTTCCTGTCGCGCGGCCGCGGCGTGCTCTTCCTGGGCTTCCCAAGTCCAGGCTCGGCCGACAACTTCCTGCGCTTTGGCCTGGAGGGGCTGCTGCTATCCCCCACCTACCTATCGCTGCGTGAGCTGGCCACACACGCGGCGCCCCTGGGCAGCTACGCGCGCGAGCTGGCGGCCGCTGGGCGCCTCTACGAACCGGCAGAGTGCTTCCTGCTCAGCGTGTCCGTGGCCGTGGGACCCGGCACCGCGCCACCGGGGACACCGGCCCTGCCCGCGCCCGCGCCACGCAGCCACGGGCCAACAGTGCGCAAGTTCGCCAAGGTAGCGCTGGCGGCCGGCAGCCCCGCGCGGCCGCCCCCGGCGCGGAGCCGCGAGCCCGACATGGAGACGCTGATCCTGACGCCACCGCCGGGCACGGCGGGCCTGGATCAGGACGGCGAGGCGGGCCGGCGCGCGCGCGAGGTGGCCTTCATCCACATCCAGCGCGAGCTGCGGCTGCGCGGCGTCTTCCTGCGCCACGAGTTCCCGCGCGTCTACGAGCAGCTTTGCGAGTTCGTCGAGGCCAACAGGCGCTTCACGCCCACCACCATCTACCCCACGGACCGGCGCACCGGCCGCCCCTTCATGTGCATGATCATGGCCGCCTCCGAGCCGCGCGCGCTCGACTGGGTGGCCAGCGCCAACCTGCTGGACGACATCATGTGAGGCGCCGGGCCCACCAGGCCTAGCCCAGGCGCTGGCCCGAACCCTGCCCTGCCCACTCAGGCCCCGCCCGGCCCACCCAGGGCCGCCCCCGAGCCCCGCCAGGGCCCCACCCCGACTTCTTCTAGGCCCCGCCTCTAATTCCCCAGCCTTCCAAGCTCCGCTCAGTTCGGCCTCCAGCTCCGCCCAGGCCCCCACCCCCCGGCCCTTCGTCCCCGTAGTGTTCCTCACAGGCCCTTCGCCTTCCCACCCCCAGCAACCCCTCTCCCTCCTCCGGGCCTCCTCCCTCTCCCAGCTCGCCCTCGAGGATCCCCAGAAGAAGTCGGTCCTCGCCCTCGGTGCTCCCCGCTGGGAGGCGGGGTGGGCCTGAGGACCGCCGAGCTCTGCCTTCACTCGGAGGGGTCACTACTGCACAGACCCCACCCGTAGAGATCCGGTCCCCGTCGGTCCGCGGGGCTCTCGCTGGAGCCTCCCCGACTCCGGTTTCCCCTCGTCCAGAAGCCCGACGTAACCAAAGCCCAGTCTGTCACTTTAAACACGCCCCGCCCCGCCTCCCGCGGCTGTGTTGCCTCCTCGCTGGAGAACACCCTGGTCGACCTCTGTGCGTCCGTGTGCGCGAGCGCGTCCCGCCGAGGCGGTGGGCAGGGCGGACGGTGCGCAGTGCGTTCCCGCTGGTCGGAGCCAGCACACTAACCACGCCACGCGCCCTGCCGTCCCTTCGCCTCCAGCCGCTGCAGTCTGGGCCCTGCAGGAGCTGGGAAAAACCGCAGGGAGGTCTTCAGGCCGATATGCAAGTCTCCCAGCCGAAGGGGCAGGGGACCTGAACAGGGGAAGCAGAGCACCTGGGCCTGGCCAGAGCTGACACCTGGCTAGGAGAGGAAGGACCAAGGGACGGGGCGTTCCCAGGTGGGAGCCTGGAGGGCAAAGCGTGGTGCGAGCAGGTGAGGGAGAGAGCTAGTTGGTAAGCGTGGAAGCCCACCCGAGGGGGCTTGACCTGTCCCGAGAGGTCCCCGCACACCCGCTCTGGCCGCACGCCGTACTGCGGGCGTGGAGGCGCAAGCCCGGCGGCCCGGCCTCCACCTGTCCCCCAAGTGCACCCTGGTCCGCGCCCAGAGCTCTCTGGAGGGTGGGGTATGCGGGAGAGGGGTGGAGGCCAAACGCAAGGGCCCTCCTGGAGTCCCCAGCCCTACTTCGGAGCCAGGGGAGGGGGCACCAAGTGAGAGAAATTGGGCACCCCCGCCTCCGCTCCTGCTTTCGCACCCGGCACGCCCATCTCGTCCCCGCGCGTCTGCACCGGCCAGGCGTCCCGCTTGCCCACCCGCCGCCGCGCCCCGCGCCCCCTACCCCAGGGCCTCTGCATTCGGCCCCACCCCTGAGGGCCGGCCGGGAACGCCCCTGGACCGGAATAATTTCCAGGGGGCAAGAGCTTTCGAACCAAGTAAAATAGAACTTGAATGTAGCGGCTGCCGTTGCCTCCTTGTACCGGTAGCGGGGTTGGGGACGGAAGCCTTCGGTCGGTGGAGAGGAGAAAGGGAGAGGCCTTCGGGCGGTGGACGGGGAAGAGAGGGAGTCCTTCGGGCGGTGGAGGGGGTGGAGAGCGAGGCCTTCGGGCGGTGGAGAGCGGGGAGGGGGGAGGCCTTCGGGCGGTGGGAGGGGGAGAGAGGGAGGCCTTTGGGCGGTGGGGGCCACGGGGAGGGTGGTCTTCGGACTACGTGCGGGACAGGAGGTCAGGGCTGGCAAGTCCCTCAGGCCTCCCTCGTTGCCCCAGCCTCGCGGGCCGCCTAACTGCCCCGTTCCAAGGGTGCCACCGGACCCCGCTGGAGAGGAACTTCTCCGTTGGCTGGATTTCATCACCACCCATTCCCGATTCCACGTTTCCTTTAAGCGGGGCTGGCGGAGCCGCAAGGCGGCAAGGAACTGGATTGCGATTGGTCAGCACGTGCCTCGGTCGGCGGTACAATTGGCTGAGGCGCTGGGCCTTGGGAAGCATTCCCCGACGGGATTGGTCGTCGCTCTCGCAGAGCCCGCCTCCCGCAGTACAAGCGGCCCCCGGGTCGGGTGGGAGGAGGGGACTCCGGGAGGAGGAACATGGCGGTGGCGGACCTCGCTCTCATTCCTGATGTGGACATCGACTCCGACGGCGTCTTCAAGTATGTGCTGATCCGAGTCCACTCGGCTCCCCGCTCCGGGGCTCCGGCTGCAGAGAGCAAGGAGATCGTGCGCGGCTACAAGTGGGCTGAGTACCATGGTGAGGGCGGGACCTGCGGGCATGCCAGGGGCACGCCTGGCGAGGCGGGGGCGGGGCTGGCGGGACGGAGACGGGGCTGACGAGGCAGGGGCGGGGCTGGCGGGGCGGGGGCGGGGCTGCGGGCCGTAGCGGACTGCGCTCTGCTCCGAGTCCTGCCCCTGCTAGGTTTGACCCAGGCTGAGGTCCTGGGCGGGAAGGGCGTGACACGGCCTGACACCCTCCCCAGCAGTCTCCCAGTTCCCGCGCCCTCCCCGGTTCCACCCTCCTTCGCTCATTCATCCCTGTCCCAGCCTCAAGGGGCTTCGTCTCTCCTGGGGAAGGGGCTGTTCAGAGCTGGGATTTCAGACCCCTTCGGCTGGGAGTTCCTCCCGCGGCCTCCAAGGGCGGCCAGGGCACGTCCTGAGGCCGCCCTCCCATCCCAGCGGACATCTACGACAAAGTGTCGGGCGACATGCAGAAGCAAGGCTGCGACTGTGAGTGTCTGGGCGGCGGGCGCATCTCCCACCAGAGTCAGGACAAGAAGATTCACGTGTACGGCTATTCCATGGTGAGCCGCAGCCCCGTCCCGCCCTGCCGGAGGCCCCAGTACCAGCTTCGAGGCCCACCTGAGCCTGCTGCCCTGACCCGTGGCCCCAGCTGAGCACGCAGGCTTCCTGGGGTTCTCCCAGGGTCGGCGGCAGAGCCCTCCCTCCAGGGCCCATTGTGTTCCTGCATTCCCCCATGGAGCACACGCCAGACCTGAGGGGTGGGACGGACACCCCCAGACATGGCCGGCTGTCTCCTCTCCCTGCCTTGGGAGGCCTTGCTGGGCTCTAGCTGTCCTCCAGCACTTTGGGCCCTGGGCCCCCAGAGGCAGTCAGTACCTGGGTGGAGCTCAGAGTCCCCACCTGTGCTCTTCACAAAAACCACCAGCAGATGAGACCCACGTGCGTCCCTCTGGGCGCCTCAGGCCCCAGGATCCACCATCAAGGTTTGCTTGCCTGTGGAGGTCGCCTCTCCCCAGGGGAGCCCCCAAGGGCGGTCGGGATGGTGGGTTTGGCATCCCCAGGCACTGCCTATCCCTTTCCCACACTCGCTTCTGGTGTGGCTGGTGGCTGGATGCCCAGAGCCGGGTATCGGGTTGAAGGGTCCAGGTAGTGCCAGCAGGCGTCTTCTCTTCTCCAGGCCTATGGTCCTGCCCAGCACGCCATTTCAACTGAGAAAATCAAAGCCAAGTACCCCGACTACGAGGTCACCTGGGCTAACGACGGCTACTGAGCACTCCCAGCCCGGGGCCTGCTGCCTCCAGCAGCCACTTCAGAGCCCCCGCCTTTGCCTGCACTCCTCTTGCAGGGCTGGCCCTGCCTGCTCCTGCGGCAGCCTCTGGTGACGTGCTGTCCACCAGGCCTTGGAGACAGGCTAGCCTGGCCACAGAATTAAACGTGTTGCCACACCTGCCGGCTTCTGAACTCTGTCCTTGGCTTCCTGCACCCTGCGTCACCACCTCCGGGGGCCCCCAGACCCTAACTAAAGCAGGTGGGTGGGGGAACACAGGAGTGGCCCCAGGGAGTGGCGGTGCACACTCAGCCCTTTGGGGTCTGATAAAGGGGCCCGCTGATGGCCTGACTGCTCTTCCCACGGCCATCGTCCTCCAGGGCATCTTGGAGGAGGTCTGGCAAGCCCTTGCGAGAGGAGTCAGGGCCTGGTCCCTCGGGCTGGCCAAGACCTGGGGCGCCCACCAGTGCTCCCTCCTATGAGCCCATCCCAGGGCTCCCCAGTGTCCTGTCTGCCCTGAGGCTCCTTCCGTGACCTGCAGGCTCCTTCCATGACCAGCCCCATGGGGCCTACCAGTATCCAGGGTCAGGTCGCACAGCTGCATCTACCCCACAGGCTCACGTTGACTCTGGAGGCCCCTCCCAGGTCCCTCTTGCACCCGGCAGGGCTGTGGGCAGGACACGGGTTCAGGCCTTGCCCTGGGAAGCCCCATACACAGTGGGACTCCATGGGGTGGTGCAGGGGCACCCTGGGGGCCAGGGCTGGTTGTACACAGGGCACCCCCACCTTTGTCAGCTCACTGGTCCTCCGGCCAGCCTCTCCAGACGGGCACTGTCATAACCACATTTTACAGACCGGGACACTGAGGCTCAGTGACACAAGCTCCGAGGTCACACCATGGGAAATCACAAACAGGGCCTGGCCCCAAATGCCACACTCCTTCCCCAGCCCCAAAGACCCTGCCCCAAGCATGAGTCTGCTCCATGAGAAACCGAAGTTTCTGGGCTCCTAGGGACCCTGTATCTGGCACCGGACAGCACCTGGCTGCTCAGGACGAATGAATGACGGCGTGATCCTCCACAGCCTGACTTAAAGGCAGGTTCCCCACGGCTGAGAACGCAGGGACCAGCTCTGGTGCACGTGCTGGACTCCTGCAGCTGCTGGACTGGTTGAGTCCTGACCTTGGCCAGCACCACGCTATTGCCAGAGGCACAGTGAGAGGCCACGGCGGCCTCTGCCCGCCCCACACTGCCGAGCAGAGTCCTGGTGGGGTGCCTGGGTCCCTCCCCATTCCAGTGGGAGCCTCCCCTTCACCAGGCAGGGCAGGGCAGGGTGGAAGAGCCTGACCTTGTGTCTGAGGGAGCCGGGCAGGTGGGAGCTGACCCTGGGTCAGAGGCCCCCTCCTGGGGCCACTTTCACGGCCCATGCTTGGCACCGTCAGCACTGGGTGGGGCCGGGCCGAGGGGCCCTCCACTTAACAGCAGAGTCAGCGTGCGGGGCCAGCGCAGGCTGATAACCGCACGGAACTTCCCAGGCACCCTGTGTGGCCGCACTGCTCCCTCTGGCCCAACCATGCCTCTGTCCAGCCACCTGCTGCCCGCCTTGGTCCTGTTCCTGGGTAAGTAGTCTGGTCCCACTCCTGAGGCAGGACCAGGGGCCCTGGCTTCTGAGCCTACCATCTGTGTGGCAGTGACGGACACCAGGGCTGATGCCTGAGCCCCAAAGGGAAGGAGGGTTGCAAGGTACTACCTTGGCCGGCCTGCAAGGGGGGTGACCTGGAATCAGCCCATGGGGTCCTCGGGCCTGCCAAGCAAAGGAAGAGGCACGACTCCCCTCCCAGTCTGGGACAAGAGGGCTCAGGAGGTGCCCCCAGCTCTGCCAGCCTTCATCTGCCACCCTTGGACTGGGTGGAGCTTGTGGAGGCCCTGGGCCGCCCGTCGATGCCTCCCATTGGGGGTCGCCCTCCCAGTGCCCAGTTCCCTGCTGGGCACTCTGGGTTCCTGCTACCTTTCTTGGGGTGCCCCATGGCCGGGTCCCCCTCCCCAGCCTCTTCAGGGCTGGAAACAGGAACGTGCTGTGCTTGGTCCTGAGCCGGGTGGGAGTTCTCTGTGGGTCCCAGCCCCTCCCTGCTCCATCTCCTGGTCTGAGGGGCATCCCCGGACAAAAGATGTCCAGTGCTAAAACTGAATAGTCCTAGGCAGGCTGGGATGGCTGGTCACCCTGCCCCCAGGCCACCTGGCTGTCAACCTCCCAGCAGCAGGGTCCTCAGGCTGGGCCTGGGTCCCCAACCACTGCAGGAGCCCTGGCCAGGCCGTGTGCAACTTCGTGTGTGACTGCAGGGACTGCTCAGATGAGGCCCAGTGTGGTGAGCCAAGACCAGATGGGCGGGCAGGGCCAGTGCGAGCAGGTCTGGCACACACCTGACCACCCACTCTCCCAGGTTACCACGGGGCCTCGCCCACCCTGGGCGCCCCCTTCGCCTGTGACTTCGAGCAGGACCCCTGCGGCTGGCGGGACATTAGTACCTCAGGCTACAGCTGGCTCCGAGACAGGGCAGGGGCCGCACTGGAGGGTCCTGGGCCTCACTCAGACCACACACTGGGCACCGACTTGGGTGAGGCCAGGGCAAGTCTCTGTGCGCCCCTGTCCCAATACCCTCCTTGCTCCCTGCCCCGTCTCCTGACCTCTCACCTGCGCCAGGCTGGTACATGGCCGTTGGAACCCACCGAGGGAAAGAGGCATCCACCGCAGCCCTGCGCTCGCCAACCCTGCGAGAGGCAGCCTCCTCTTGCAAGCTGAGGCTCTGGTACCACGCGGCCTCTGGAGGTGCACCCTGGACCCCCAAGGCTCGTGGGGGGTGCCCAAGGGGAGGGCGGGTGGGCAGCTGGGGACAAGCAGGGCCGCAGCTGCCCTGGGACCCCTGACATTGCAGATGTGGCTGAACTGCGGGTGGAGCTGACCCATGGCGCAGAGACCCTGACCCTGTGGCAGAGCACAGGGCCCTGGGGCCCTGGCTGGCAGGAGTTGGCAGTGACCACAGGCCGCATCCGGGGTGACTTCCGAGTGAGCTGGGAGGGTCTGGACGAGTGGGGGCCTTGAGGAGGGGTCTGGGCCCTGACTTAGGTCCTAAGAGCCTGTTCTCTTCAGGTGACCTTCTCTGCCACCCGAAATGCCACCCACAGGGGCGCTGTGGCTCTAGATGACCTAGAGTTCTGGGACTGTGGTCTGCCCAGTAAGGCACCGCCTCTTCCTGTTCCACCCCCGGGAGGGCCCCCACCTGCCCACTCCCCTGCTCAGACCCTGTCTGCCCCCGAGTGCTCTCCCACTCCTGGGGCCTCGGTGAAGGGTTAACCCTGCCCCACCCAGCCCCCCAGGCCAACTGTCCCCCGGGACACCACCACTGCCAGAACAAGGTCTGCGTGGAGCCCCAGCAGCTGTGCGACGGGGAAGACAACTGCGGGGACCTGTCTGATGAGAACCCACTCACCTGTGGTGAGGCCGGAGTGGGGGCCCAGAGTGAGGCTGGGAGACTGGACGCCTCGGTGGGGGCCCTGGCACTCATCCAGGAGGGGGTGCCTTGGATCCTTGGATGGTCCTTCTTGGGGTGTGGTTGCCAGGGCCCCCCTGGAGCTGGGGCCATACGGCTTCAGGAAGCACTGCCTGGTGGCCCTGACACGCCCACCTCCTGCCCTAGGCCGCCACATAGCCACCGACTTTGAGACAGGCCTGGGCCCATGGAACCGCTCGGAAGGCTGGTCCCGGAACCACCGCGCTGGTGGTCCTGAGCGCCCCTCCTGGCCACGCCGTGACCACAGCCGGAACAGTGCACAGGGTGAGGCCCACAGAGGACCCGGCCCAGGCCCTGCCCACGCAGCCACAGCCCAGTGGCCCTGGCCCACTCCCGTCCTTTCCCGCAGGCTCCTTCCTGGTCTCCGTGGCCGAGCCTGGCACCCCTGCTATACTCTCCAGCCCCGAATTCCAAGCCTCAGGCACCTCCAACTGCTCGGTGAGATGGGTGGGGCTCACAGGGCCTCCCTGCTCTCCGTGCTGGCTGCCCCGGTGCAGGCCCCCAGCCAGCTCTTGGTTCCACAGCTGGTCTTCTATCAGTACCTGAGTGGGTCTGAGGCTGGCTGCCTCCAGCTGTTCCTGCAGACTCTGGGGCCCGGCGCCCCCCGGGCCCCCGTCCTGCTGCGGAGGCGCCGAGGGGAGCTGGGGACCGCCTGGGTCCGAGACCGTGTTGACATCCAGAGCGCCTACCCCTTCCAGGTAGGGAACAGCAAGAGGGTGGGGTCTGGGGAGCCGCACTGTGGGCAGGGGAGGGGAACCCACAAGGTACCCACTGCGGGTGGACAGGGACCAGACCCCAGGGGGAAATAGGCTGGGCACCCCCTGAGCCCCTCTGCCCTCAGATCCTCCTGGCCGGGCAGACAGGCCCGGGGGGCGTCGTGGGTCTGGACGACCTCATCCTGTCTGACCACTGCAGACCAGTCTCGGGTGAGCCTGCTGACTCTGCCCTACCCTGCCTTGCCCTGGAGAGGCACAGCACTCCCCATCCCTGCCTCCTGACACCAGTTCTGCCCCCACAGAGGTGTCCACCCTGCAGCCGCTGCCTCCTGGGCCCCGGGCCCCAGCCCCCCAGCCCCTGCCGCCCAGCTCGCGGCTCCAGGATTCCTGCAAGCAGGGGCATCTTGCCTGCGGGGACCTGTGTGTGCCCCCGGAACAACTGTGTGACTTCGAGGAGCAGTGCGCAGGGGGCGAGGACGAGCAGGCCTGTGGTAAAGGGGCTCAACCTCCTGCAGACCTCCTGCTGCGGAGCCAAGGGGGTAGGCGCCGGGGCAGGCTGAGGACTCTGAGGACTCTGCCATTCAGTGCCGGCTGCTGTTCCAGGCACCACAGACTTTGAGTCCCCCGAGGCTGGGGGCTGGGAGGACGCCAGCGTGGGGCGGCTGCAGTGGCGGCGTGTCTCAGCCCAGGAGAGCCAGGGGTCCAGTGCAGCTGCTGCTGGTGAGGCCCAAGGCCCAAGGCTCAAGCCCCCGCCCGGGTGTGAGCAGCGTCCTCAGAGGGGTCTCTGCTCTGCCTCTGCACTACAGAGGGTCTCTGGACTGGGGATCCCTGAGGGACAGAGTGGGGCCCTGGAAGGGATGAGGCTCTGAGCACCATGCTCTTCCCCTAGGGCACTTCCTGTCTCTGCAGCGGGCCTGGGGGCAGCTAGGCGCTGAGGCCCGGGTCCTCACACCCCTCCTTGGCCCTTCTGGCCCCAGCTGTGAACTCCACCTGGCTTATTATTTACAGAGCCAGCCCCGAGGTACCGCCACACTCCGCAAGTTCCCTGGCCAGCCCCTGGGTGCTCCCTGCACAGTGGGAGGGGTCTGGGGCCGGGTGACCCACAGTGCCCCCCGCCCCGCTGGCCAGGCTTCCTGGCACTAGTTGTGGTGGACAACGGCTCCCGGGAGCTGGCATGGCAGGCCCTGAGCAGCAGTGCAGGCATCTGGAAGGTGGACAAGGTCCTTCTAGGGGCCCGCCGCCGGCCCTTCCGGGTGAGGAGGGCAGCCCAGAGTGGGAGCTCCGCTGGAGCGGGCCCTGACTTAACCATCCTCCTCATCCCCCTACCCCATGAAGCTGGAGTTTGTCGGTTTGGTGGACTTGGATGGCCCTGACCAGCAGGGAGCTGGGGTGGACAACGTGACCCTGAGGGACTGTAGCCCCACAGTGACCACCGAGAGAGACAGAGGTTCCTGCTGCCCATCCTCACTCCCACCTGGGTGCTCCCCTTACACTCCTCCAGGGACCCCGGAGCTTCCACCTTCTCAGGGCTCTGGAGGGGGAGGGGAGAAGGTGTGTGACGCCACCTGGCCCCACCCCCAGAGGTCTCCTGTAACTTTGAGCGGGACACATGCAGCTGGTACCCAGGCCACCTCTCAGACACACACTGGCGCTGGGTGGAGAGCCGCGGCCCTGACCACGACCACACCACAGGCCAAGGTAGGATGGGCGCTCAGACCGGGGGTGGCTTTCAGACGAGAGTGGGGCATCTCTGCAGCACAGCCCCATGCCCCCTGCAGGCCACTTTGTGCTCCTGGACCCCACAGACCCCCTGGCCTGGGGCCACAGTGCCCACCTGCTCTCCAGGCCCCAGGTGCCAGCAGCACCCACGGAGTGTCTCAGCTTCTGGTACCACCTCCATGGGCCCCAGATTGGTGAGTGGACCTGGAAACAGGGCAGAGCCTGTGGGGAGGCCCCCGGGGGTTCAGAGTCCCCCGCTCTGACACCCATCAAGGCACAGGAGAGAGGTCAGTTATGGACTGGTCCCCTCCCTGCAGGGACTCTGCGCCTAGCCATGAGACGGGAAGGGGAGGAGACACACCTGTGGTCGCGGTCAGGCACCCAGGGCAACCGCTGGCACGAGGCCTGGGCCACCCTTTCCCACCAGCCTGGCTCCCATGCCCAGTACCAGGTGAGGCCTGGCACCCGGGTGGGAGGACAGGGCAGGGCCCCTGGCCAGCTGACACCCTCCACCCCCAGCTGCTGTTCGAGGGCCTCCGGGACGGATACCACGGCACCATGGCGCTGGACGATGTGGCCGTGCGGCCGGGCCCCTGCTGGGCCCCTAATTACTGCTCCTTTGAGGACTCAGACTGCGGCTTCTCCCCTGGAGGCCAAGGTCTCTGGAGGCGGCAGGCCAATGCCTCGGGCCATGCTGCCTGGGGCCCCCCAACAGACCATACCACTGAGACAGCCCAAGGTATGGGGGCCTGGCAGGGGCAGGGATTGAGGGGCTGGCCAGGGGCTGGCAGGCTGATGCTGGCACCTCCAGGGCACTACATGGTGGTGGACACAAGCCCAGACGCACTACCCCGGGGCCAGACGGCCTCCCTGACCTCCAAGGAGCACAGGCCCCTGGCCCAGCCTGCTTGTCTGACCTTCTGGTACCACGGGAGCCTCCGCAGCCCAGGTGAGGGGCTTTGGGAGGGGGCCCCAGTGGGCTCAGGGAAGCTTGGCCTGGTGTCCCCACCAGCCTTGTGCTGAGGCCACTGGGGAGCCTCTTGCGCCCGCCAGGCTGGGAGCCTGGGAGCTCAGACCAGGGCCTGCAGGTGCTCTCCCCACACTGCTGACCTGGGCCGCCCCTGCTGGCAGGCACCCTGCGGGTCTACCTGGAGGAGCGCGGGAGGCACCAGGTGCTCAGCCTCAGTGCCCACGGCGGGCTTGCCTGGCGCCTGGGCAGCATGGACGTGCAGGCCGAGCGAGCCTGGAGGGTGAGTGCAGGGTGGGGTGCCCCTCCCCCTCCCCCTCCCCCGAGGGCTGCCTGGACCCGCTGAGGCTGCCCTGCCCTGCACCCGCCAGGTGGTGTTTGAGGCAGTGGCCGCAGGCGTGGCACACTCCTACGTGGCTCTGGATGATCTGCTCCTCCAGGACGGGCCCTGCCCTCAGCCAGGTGGGAGCCCTGCCGTGGCCTCGGCCCTGCTCTGGGGTGCCTGCCTAGCCCTTTCCCTTCGTAGTCGTGGTGCCCAGGGCTTGGGCCGTGGGGCAGCACCACTCACCCACCCATGTCCTGCAGGTTCCTGTGATTTTGAGTCTGGCCTGTGTGGCTGGAGCCACCTGGCCTGGCCCGGCCTGGGCGGATACAGCTGGGACTGGGGCGGGGGAGCCACCCCCTCTCGTTACCCCCAGCCCCCTGTGGACCACACCCTGGGCACAGAGGCAGGTACGTGCCCACTGGAGCCAGGTGGGGAGGCACACACAGCCACCTGGCCTCCTGCTGCCCACCCACAGAGTACATGCCCCATCCAGAGGAGGCCCTGCTCACCGAGCCTCTGCTCGGGCCCTGAGGGCTGGCTCTGCCCATCAGCTGGGCATCAGCCTCCTCTTGTTCCCAGGCCACTTTGCCTTCTTTGAAACTGGCGTGCTGGGCCCCGGGGGCCGGGCCGCCTGGCTGCGCAGCGAGCCTCTGCCGGCCACCCCAGCCTCCTGCCTCCGCTTCTGGTACCACATGGGTTTTCCTGAGCACTTCTGTGAGTCCGGCTGGGCCAATGGGTGCCTGGGCAACGGGGGCAGCAGGGGTCCAGGAGCAGAGGTGGGGAGGTGGCCTCCCCAGCCCGCCCCTGGTTAGGCGTGCAGGAGCCCCAGGACCCCAGGCCTGACACGCCCTGGCCCTGCTCTCAGACAAGGGGGAGCTGAAGGTACTGCTGCACAGTGCTCAGGGCCAGCTGGCTGTGTGGGGCGCAGGCGGGCATCGGCGGCACCAGTGGCTGGAGGCCCAGGTGGAGGTAGCCAGTGCCAAGGAGTTCCAGGTGAGGCTGGCTGTGGGCAAGGAGCCTCCTCCTCCTCCACCCAGGGCCCACACAAACTCCTTTCCTTCTCCATCAGATCGTGTTTGAAGCCACTCTGGGCGGCCAGCCAGCCCTGGGGCCCATTGCCCTGGATGACGTGGAGTATCTGGCTGGGCAGCATTGCCAGCAGCCTGCCCCCAGCCCGGGTGAGCCCTGGGCTGCAGTGGAGGCACGGAGGAGGGCCCAAGGGGCCAGCCTGGCTCGGGGTTTGCCAGGCTTACCAGTGTGTGGTCCCAGGAGCTGCGAGCATGCTGCACCCAGACAGGACAAGAGAGCTGCCAGGCCCAGGCCCTGTGCCCTCCTCACTCTGCCCTGCTCACCCCTGGGGCCGCTGCCTGGGCTGGGCTGTCCCTGGGGTGCAGCCTCTGGGGCCTGCCCTGCCTGGCTGTGGCCTCTGTGCTCCCTGTGCCCACACCCAGGGCAAGGTCCATCCTGGAGGAACCGCCAGCCGGGTCAGGGCAGCCACTGACTGCTCTCACTTGGTGAGGGAAAGAATCTCGCCTGGGGCCATGAGCCCCACCAAGTCTGCAGACAGCAGCTGCCTGTCTGCCAGGCCCCATCCTTGTGGTAGCAGAACCAATACCCTCTGCCTTTGAAATAGGGGTGAACCCCAGGAGCCAGCAGAGGCTGAGGGACCATGCAGCCCCAGGCTTCCTCCTTAGCCCCAGATGTGGGGGCTGCTTTGGAGGGCTCACATGTCCCTATGGCCCACAGGGAACACAGCCGCACCCGGGTCTGTGCCAGCTGTGGTTGGCAGTGCCCTCCTATTGCTCATGCTCCTGGTGCTGCTGGGACTTGGGGGACGGCGCTGGCTGCAGAAGAAGGGGAGCTGCCCCTTCCAGAGCAACACAGAGGCCACAGCCCCTGGCTTTGACAACATCCTTTTCAATGCGGTAGGAGCCCCTGGGGATGGGTGGGCAGGAGCCTCTGTGCTCAGCTGTGACGCTGGAGGGCGGGCAGTGGCGGGACACAACCCCCCGGGGAGGAGCCCCCACCTGTGCAAGGCCCATCCTTGCCCTCCCTGCCCTGCCTCTCCCAGCCACCACTGTCAAAGCTCCTCCTCCTTGGCCGGGCGCGGTGGCTCACACCTGTAATCCCAGCACTTTGGGAGATTGAGGTGGGCGGATCACCTGAGGTCAGGAGTTTGAGACCAGCCTGCCCAACATGGTGAAACCCCGTCTCAACTAAAACTAGAAAAAATTAGCTGGGTATGGTGGCAGGAACCTGTAATCCCAACTACTCGGGAGGCTGAGGCAGGAGAATCGCTTGAACCAGGGAGGCAGGGGTTGCAGTGAGCGAAGATCGTGCCATTGCACTCCATCCTGGTTGACAAGAGCGAAACTCCGTCTCAGGAAAGAAAGAAAAAAAAAGCTCCTCTTCCTCCTCCTAGGATGGTGTCACCCTCCCGGCATCTGTCACCAGTGATCCGTAGACCACCCCAGACAAGGCCCCGCTTCCTCACGTGACATCCAGCACTTGGTCAGACCCTAGCCAGGGACCGGACACCTGCCCCGCCCAGGCTGGGACAGGCTGCAGGTCTCAGGATATGCTGAGGCCTGGGCGTTCCCTGCCCTGTGCTGACTCTGTTGCTCTGTGAATAAACACCCTGGCCCATGAGGGCAGCCCAAGCTCCCAGGGTGAAGTCAGTGTGTCCACACTTTACCAGCCAGTGAGGGTGGGGGCTGCAAGTGTTAAGTGACGTGCTAGGGGCGCCTGCTTGCTTCTGGATGCAGCTCAGGAACCAGAGACAAGGGGACCCTCTCTCATCAGGACACAGACCCACCCAGGACAAGGGCCGGGGCAGGCCCTACCAGCTAGGGGCTCTGCATCTATTGAGGACAACAGTGAAACTGACCCACAGCATCAGGGGCATGCAGAGGAGATGACCCTTAGGGGACAGGGTGCATGGAGCAGGCCTGGAAGGGAGAAGTGCCCCAGCTGGGCCCACTGTCTGTGGTATAGGCCTGAGCTGCCCCAGGGGCTGTGGGTCACAGTACCCAGGTCACCAGGTGCCCCAGGGCTGTGGGTCGCAGTGGCCAGCTAAGTGGGTGCCTCAAGGCTGCGGCTGAGCCCTTCCCTTTGGCCCCCATGCCTGAGCAGGAGGGTGACCCTGTGAAGCTGTCACTGGGCCTGGGGCACCAGCAGAGGACTGCCATCCTAACGCAGGGTCAACGTCACTAACCTCAGCTCCCAGAGCTCTGCTCCTCCATGTGGGTGACTTGGCCACTGCCCCATGGTGAGGGCCTGGTCTTGTGGCTCTGAGGCCTGGCTGTGGGTGGCTGTCCCCAGGGAGGGTAGCGATACCCAGACCTGTGCAGCCAGGCCCCCTCCTGCCCACAGGAAAGCCCTACCCTGCCTCATGAACACACATCTGCCCCCAGGAGCCATGCGGTGTTGGAGGGCACAGCACAGCACCCTTGCCAGCCGCTAGGCTCCCATCCGCCCTGGGGACTAAGTCCCAGCGGAGGGCGGCAGTTGGGCACGGCTACCGCCGTCCCTCGTCTTCAGGTGCCGTGGGGCTGACCAGTGCCCACCAACTGTCCACGCAGATGGGCGAAGAGGAAATGGCCCTGCAGAGACCTTCAGAGCTCCCCCCGGCAGCCCACTCCCGGGCATCAGTCATGAAAATTCACCAGCTTTCCCCACAACTAGGGGCCTGGGAGCTGAGAGCAGGACCGGACAATCTGGCCCCAGCGCCAAGGGCAGGAACTTTTCCCAGCTTCTCTTCAGAGCTGCATCAAAGAAAGCAGCGCCCAGTGACACCGCTCCTCTTCCTTCCACGCCTCAGGCCTCCACCCCTCACCCTTGTATAAGGTGGTGCTCAGAGCTCCCCGAGGCCTCTGAGCCACAACCGCTACTGGGCAGACACCCCAGGACAGGAAGGTGGAGTTCTGCACCCTGATCTGAGGAACGCGATGTAGGGAGAAAAACAGCCAGCAGAACCCAGCGCTTTGCAAGGTTTTGTTTGTTTGACAGCAGGAATGGGCTGGGGAGGGTCCCCCGCAAGCTGGACCCCTTGTTCCGTTCGGCCCGTGAGGAGAACGGAACTGGCGGCCAAGGGGAACCGGCGGAACGAGATCAGCTGGAGCGCACTGATTTCGAGGCTTTGTGTTCATTTCGCCCTAGGCCCCTTCTCGATGGGCTTTCCAATGTCCTTTCCCCGGAGCTTGAGGCCTGAAATGAGCCACAGCCACTGGCCACTGCAGCACCAGCTCCCTCCTCCCCCCAACGCTGCCCCTCTTCAACATCTTCCCAGGGAAGGGGGGCCACGCCGCTCCCGTGCCTCACTGGGCTCTCAGCACACGAGCACTCCTGGTTCCCACATCTAATTTTGAAGAGGATGAGTCTGATCACCTTAGACAGCAGAGCATGAACACCCCTCTCCGGAAGAACCGGAGCCGGGGTCCTCTGTGGAACTGGCTTCCGGCCCCATGCTGACAGGGCCCGGACCCGCTGTGCTCAGGCTCAGAGAACCATCGCCAACAGCACAGGCTGACGGGAACTGGCAAGGGGAAGGGACTCGGACTCCACTTGCTCTTAGGGGTTTCCTGAGGCCTGCAGAGACCCCACCATCCCTCAGTCTGTACTACCTGGAGAAGCAAAGCTCCAGAATTCAGAGAACAGGGGACCCCCAGGGCCATCTTCTTCCCCCGAGTCCCACTCTCACCAACCCCAGCTGGGAGCGGGTAGCCTCCCTGTTCAGCGGACCCGGCGAAGGGTGGAGGGACACTCACCAATGGCCCGCTCGATTTTGCCAAGCACCTGGTTATTGGGTATGGCCCGTCCGCTCTCATAGTCCGCGATCACCTGTGGCTTCTCATTGATTTTCTAAAGAGAAGATGTGCTTTATACACATCAGCTCCACTAGGACTGCTGCAAAACCAGGCGCGAAGCGTCGCCTGAGAACAGCAGCTTCTAGGGCCCCTGGGGTACGCACCCACACGCAGCTGGGTTTTGTGCGAGAGGCAGTGAGAGCCGGGCTGACCTGGCTTCCCGAGGCATTCCCTGCAGGGGAACCAGGGGGGTGGAGCCCACCCTCCCCGTGCTATCTGAACACCGGCCATCCCCCTCCCCAAACCCACAACCCCAGGAGTGAGAGCCCCGGCGCAGCCTCACCGTGGCCAGGTCCTTCTGCGTAAGCCCCTTGCTCTGCCGACCTTGCTGGATCACCTTGCCCACCTCCAGGGTCACCCTGTCATGGTGCAGCTCCTCTGTCTCCCGGTCCAGCTTGGCCGTGTTCTTGGTAATAGAATGTTGTTTGTTCTGGCCAGCAGCCCCTGGAGTCGGTGTGAGGCAAAAGCAGAGGAGAGGATTTGGAATTAACCTGAAGAAAAACCATTTCAAAGCGGTAACCAGACCCCAGAGGCTGCCTGAACTCAAGGGGACATGGGAACCCAGGCTGTCCCAAGTTCACACACCTCAGGTCGTGGACTTCCAGAGTTTTCTCTCAGTTATGAGGACAGGCAGCTGTACTCATGCCAACCAGAGCTGCTCTGGGAAGATGGCTGCCTCCCAGGGCTCCGGCCAGCACCGGTGCAGGCAGGCACTCAGCTGACAACGTCCCCGGGGGCGCCGCACACACCACACCCACCAGCACATGGACCCCACAGCACAGCCTCATGTTGCAAGCGGAAACACAAGTACCTACATTTCTTGGAAGTCTCCACATCTTCTCCTCGTCTCTGTGCCGCTAAGATAGCCTAGAAAATTAGAAAACATCAGTGGATCAAAATTAGCTTTGACAGTATCCAGCACACACCAATTCAGGCCTGCTGTTAGCCAGTTAGCACACTGCTAAGGACTAGTGGTGCCCAAGGACTGATATGCAGTCCTGGGTTCAGTTACCTAAGCTCAACTAGGCACCATGGCTTATGCCTGTAATCCCAGCACTTTGGGAAACCGAAGTAGCAGGATCACTTGAGGCCACGAGTTCGAGACCAGCCTGGGCAACACAGCAAGATCCTGTCTCTACAAACAATAAAACACAACAAAACCCCAAACTCATTATACAAAAGCCTCTACAATCAGATGTCTAAGAAAGTCACAGTTAACTGCTAAGAGAACACCACTTCCTTTGCTGTTGAGAAAGACACACTAGGGATTTTTTTTTTTTTTTTTTAGAGTTGAGGTCTTGCTATGTTGCCCAGGCTGGTCTGGAACTCCTGGGCTCAAGTGAGCCTCTGGCCTCAGCCTCCCTCCTGAATAGCTGGTATGCGTTAGTGGATTCTTTTTGAGAAATCATATTTAGCACAGATTTACTTTTCTGCTGGACTCTACTGCAAAAGTAGGAAGGAACACCAAATACTGGCCTGGTGTGGCCTTCCTCCCTGAATCTGGTTCCTAGTAACACAGAGATGACACATCTCATGGAAGCCTGCAGGCTCTCCAGAAACATCACCAATAACAGTGATGCCATCTCATCTACAGTCACTGAATATTAATATAATGTATTTATTAACTTTTTTTTTTTGAGACAGAGTCTCACTCTGTTGCCCAGGCTGGAATGCAGTGACACGATCTCGGCTCACTGCAACCTTCGCCCTCCGAGTTCAAGCAATTCTCCTGCCTCAGCCTCCCGAGTAGCTGGGATTACAGGCTCCTGCCACCGTGCCTGGCTAATTTTTTGTATTTTTAGTAGAGACGGGGTTTCACCATCTTGGCCAGGCTGGTCTTGAACTCCTGACCTCATGATCCACCTGCCTTGGCCTCCCAGAGTGCTGGGATTACAGGCGTGAGCCACCGCGCCCGGCCAACATTTCTACCACTTCAGAGGAGTGACTTGTGGAGCATCCTAAGTGTGATCTGCTCACAGATGCTGCCACGCAATTATTCCCATGACTCCTAGCTTGTGGCCATTAAGTTTCCTTTAAAAGAAAAGGAGAGTGAATTTGGTTTTGACTGTGCAACCAGTAAGGGTAGGGCAGACCAATGAATCCCTGTCACCAGAGCCCCAGCGCATCCTGGCCCAACTGGCCTCAAAGGCTTCAGCCCTAGGCCACCTGAGGGTACGAATGAGGCAGAGGCGGTGACTAAACTGTCCTCCCTATTACATCAGACTCACAACTGACCCTCGGATCCATCAGCCACATTGGTAATCTCCTTCCACAAGTACTGTTCAGGGCACGCCCATCTTCCACCTGTGCAACAGGGTCCACCTGCTCATGGGGTCCCCTGAAGCAGGCACTCTCTACAGCCTGTGATGCACCCAGGCAGGCTCCCTGGGCAGTATCTGACCAGCGGAGACCAGTAGAACCAAGCAGGTCCCAGGCAGAGAGAAAACTCTCAGGGAGGAGCCTACCCCCTGTCCCCAGCTCCCACTCAGGTCACTAACCTCTGCCCCGTCACCCAGTCTCCCGCCCCAGGCCCTCAACTGCTGTCCAATGGCCCCCAGCCCTATCCCAACCCCAATTCCCCACCTTCATCGCTGGTTCCTGCTGCTTGCCCCAGTCCCCACCCCTGTCCTAAGCCCTGTACCCCACTCTACCCTGTTCTTCCAAGCCCTGTCCCCATCTCCATCCCTGCCCCCGTTCCCAGTGCCCACCCTGGTTCTCTGTCCCCTATCCTCACACAAGGCCCCCAGCCTTGTCCCCGTCCCCGTCCCCACCTCCTGCCTCTGTCCTCACACCTGTCCCCACCAACAGTCCCTGCCCCTATCCCCTCCCCGCCCCACCCTGGCACTGGTCCCGGCCCTATCGCCTGCCCCTTGCCCCGTCCGGTTCCCTGCTCCTCTCCTCCTCCAGTCGCCCGCCCCCTGCCTCCTGGGTCCGTCCATCCCCTCCTGGGTCCGCCCCCCACCTTCCCACCCCTGTCCTGGCCCGGTCCTCCTACCCCTGCGATTCGCCCCGCCCTTCGAACCCCGTCCTGCCCCCGGCACCCCAGCCTTGTCCCCGTCCCCTGCGCCCTGTCCCAGGCCCCGCCTGCCCTTCCCCGAGCCCCCTGCCCCACGGTCCGTGGCCCCGGCCCAGCGTCCGCCCCGCCCGGCCCGGCCGCTCCTCAGTCAGCAAAGCACCTGCTTGGATTTGGCCTGGGCGGCCGTAGGGCCCTTCTTGCGCAGCACCGTCACCGTGTCCCAGTCGCTCTCGGCCATGGCGGGCGAAGACGAGCGTCCGTCCGGCGGCTCAGCGGCAGCTGCTAGAGACCTGGCGCGGCGACGCTACGTCCCCTCGGCACCTCCCCGCTTTCGGCGTCCCATTGGCTGGCTGCACGCGGGGGGCGGGCACTTCCCGTGCTCGGGGCCATTCGGCGTTCGGCTCGTCTGAGGGACGTCGTGGCCGGGCGCCGGCGACGTAGGGAAGGCGACGTCGGGGCCTGGCCTGGCCTGGCGAGGCGCGGTAGCCGCTGGGGCTGCAGGTCGGGAGGACCCCGGAGCCCGGGCCCCGCGGCCTCCGAGCACACGCGGGCGGCGGCTGCGCCCCGACGCGCAGCCCCCGTGCCTCCCCGGGCCCCGCACCCCGGCCGGGCCACGCGGGCGGAGGGGGCGCGGGGTCTCCGCTCTAGCCGTGCGGCCGCCCCCCTTTGTTTTGCCGCCTGCGCGGCTGGGACCTGCGCTCGAGGACCAGGGCCGTGGGGCCCGAAACGCAGCGTGGGGTGGGACACTTTTTTTTTTTTAACTTTTATTTTTTGAGATGGAGTCTTGCTCTATCGCCCAGGCTGGGTGCCGTGGCGCGATCTCGGCTCACTCCGTCTCCCGGGTTCATGCCATTCTCCTGCCTCAGCCTCCCGAGTACCTGGGACTACAGGCGCCAGCCACCACGCCCGGCTAATTTATTTATTTTATTTTATTTTATTTTTAGTAGAGACGGGCCAGGATGGTCTCGATCTCCTGATCTCGTGATCCGCAGGTGGGACTCTTTAAGAAAAAGAACGCAAGCCGGGCACGGTGGTTCACGCCTGTAGTCCCAGAACTTTGGGAGGCCGAGGCGGGCGTATCACCTGAGGTCGGGAGTTCGAGACCAGCCTGACCAACATGGAGAAACCCCGTCTCTACTAAAAATACAAAATTAGCCGGACGTGGTGGCGGGCACCTGTAATCTCAGCTACTCGGGGAGGCTGAGGCAGAAGAATCAGTTGAACCCGGGAGGCGGAGGTTGCGGTGAGCCGAGATCGCGCTATTGCACTCCAGCCTGGGCAACAAGAATGAAACTGCGTTTCAAAAAAAAAGAAAAAGAATGGAAAACTGTGAAAACATCGGTTGCAAAAATGAATGGTTTTGCATGATGTTTATTTTCTGTAATGTATAAAGTGTATATGTTATATGACAATAATTCTGTAATACCCTATTTTCCAGCCGTTTTGTATAATGAGAAAGGTCATTATACATTATCATTGAACAACTTTTTTAGGATTTTTATTTTTATAGACAGGGTCTCACTCTGTGGCCCACGCTGGAGCACAACATTGAGATCTCAGCTCACTGCAGCCTCGACGTCCTGCGCTCAAGCGATGGGACTATAGGCGCGGCCCCCACGCCTGGCTAATTTTTGTATTTTGTGGGGTAGAGATGGGGTCTCCGTGCCGCCCTGGCTCGTCGGTCTGGAACTCCTGAGCTCGCGTGATCCTCCCGCCTCGGCCTCCCAAAGCCTGGGATTACAGGCTTGAGCCACCGCAGGCCCTAATCATAGTATTGACTTCCGGGCTTTGAATAGATGCTCCACAAACAAGGAACCTGATAAATGCAGTCTCCATCCAAAAAGAAAACATACATAAATGCTGTATTAAATTGGAAATGCTGCATTAGCAAATGCACTCCGCGGAGGAGACAACTGTAATTCTAACCAGGCAGTGGGAAGTTGAGTCTTCTGCTTACCGTTTTTCACACCGGATGATTGGAAGAACCTTGGGGACACACTGATGGCTCCGTCCATACAAACCTTGCTTCTCTGTTTCCCGCCGACTTCCAGCACCAAGCTCCGTTCGGCTAAGGACTCAACAGCCTCAGCCGGCCAGCAAGGATGTGCTTCCACTGAATGAAAATAATCTCTTGTGGCCGGGCGCAGTGGCTCACTTCTGTAATCCCAGCACTTTGGAAGGCCGAGGCGGATGGATCACGAGGTTGAGAGATCGAGATCATCCTGGCCAACACGGTGAAACCCTGTCTCTATTAAAAATACAAAAATCAGCTGGGCATGGTGGTGCGTGCCTGTAGTCCCAGCTACTCAGGAGGCTGAGGCAGGAGAATTGCTTGAACCGGGAGGCGGAGGTTGCAGTGAGTCGACGACACCGCACCATTGCACTCCAGCCTAGGGACAGAGCAAGACTCTGCTGTCTCAGAAAAACAAAAAAAAGAAAGAAAGAAAAAGAAAATATCCCATAAACTCTGACTGGATGTATCTCCACTCAAGTCCCCCTTTGTTGTGTGCCAAAAATGCTTATCGTCACTCCAGTGCCACCAGCCCCCAGGAAGATTGTGATGAAGGTGGAGTTGGCCTGGAAAGAGGCAGCCTTGTTAACACTGCAGTTCAGGCCTCCTAACATGACAAACTTAACCAACACCTGATCTCATGAACGCATTGGGAGGCCCTTTTCAGAGCCTGGGAGACCCATGCAAGTGGGGCTCAGCTAGCTCCGTAGTGAGCCTGGGCTGAGAGAGAGGGGACAGCTACATCTAGCTGTCCTCTGCAGGTGTCCACCAAGACAGCCGTTGTCCCATCTGGCCCTCCATCGGGAGTCCAGGCCTGATGCCACAAGTCACTTGTGCCCTGTCCTTGGCACTCCCTGCACCAAGGCATGATGGATACAGGTGTCTGTGTGAGGCTGTCCTCACTGCCCACTCCGTCCCACTCCATCCCACTCCGTCCGTCCCACTCCGGGGTCGTTTGTTTGCACTCCCTCCTATTCCTGGATTCTTCCGACTTCGGGCCCAGAGGAAAGCAGCTGATACAAAGAAGCAGCTTTGGGGGGTCTGGTGAGCCTCTCGTATCTCACTGGAGATGTTGCACCAGTCTGTCTACCAGTTATCCATTTAGCTTCATGCATGGAGAAAAGACAATTCCAAAGACTTCTGGAGAAAAAAAGTCTCTTCATTTCCATCTGCAGATCTTAGTGTCTCTCTGGCATAATTTCCCTCCAGCCTTTCTTCGGTCCTTTTAGTACCATCTGCTGTAGTTTCATCTTTCATTTAACTGAAAATGTCTCTATTTTGCCCTTGTGTTTGAAGGATACACTATTGTATAAACGTCATCCCATTGTCTTCCAACTTCCATCCTTGCCAGTGAGAATCAGTGATCAGTCATTTGTGTCCTGGTTCCCCAGCAGGTTATGTGACAATGTGGCATGTCCTCTGGCTCTTTCAAGACTATCCCTGTCTTCAGTTTTCTTTTTCTTTTCTTTTTCTTTTTTTTTTCTTTTTTTTTTTTTTTTGAGACAGGGCCTCACTCTGTTGCCCAGGCTGGAGTGCAGTGGCACAATCATGGCTCACTGCAGCCTCAACCTCCTGGGCTCAAGTGATCCTCCCACCTCAGCCTCCCAAAATACTGGAATTACAGGCATGTTCCAACACCCCCAGCCTGATCTTCAGTTTTCTTAGCATGTGCCTAAGCATATTTTCCTTTGTATTTACCTTGCTTGGGTTCACTGAGCTGCTTTTTTATTTTATTTTTTTTTGAGATGGAATCTTGCTGTGTCACCCAGGCTGGAGTGCAGTGGCACGATCTTGGCTTGCTACAACCTCCACCTCCTGGGTTCATGCCCAGCTAATTTTCTTTTCTTTTTTTTTTTTGAGATGGAGTTTCGCTCTTGTCATCCAGACTGGAGTGCAGTGACATGATCTAGGCTCACTGCAACCTCTGCCTCCCAGGTTCAAGTGATTTTCCTGCCTCAGCCTCCTGAATAGCTGGGATTACAGGCACCTGCCACCACGCCTGACTAATTTTTTGTGTTTTTAGTAGAGACGGGTTTCATCATGTTGGCCAGGCTGGTCTCAAACTTTTGACCTCAGGTGATCCGCCCGCCTCGGCCTCCCAAAGTGTTGGGACTACAGGCGTGAGCCACCACATCTGGCCCACTGAGCTTCTTAGGACTATATAGTACCACACATTCACCATGTCGGAAACATTTTCCTACTATTTATTTATTTAGAGACAAGGTCTCACTGTGGCATCCAGGCTGGAATGCAGTGGCGTGATCACAGCTCACAGCAGGCCCAACCTCCCAGGCTTAAGCGATCCTCCCACCTCAGCCTCCCACAATGCAGCACTTTGGGAGGCCGAGGTGGGAAATCGCTTAAGGCCAGGAGTTCGAGACCAGCCTGGGCAACATGGTAAAACCCTGTCTCTACAAAAACATACAAACAATTAGCTGGGTGTGGTGATGTGTGCCTGTGGTCCCAGCTACTCAGGAAGCTGCAGTAGGAGGATCACTTGAACCTGGAAGGTCAAGCCTATGGTGAACCATGATCATGCCATCGCACTCCAGCCTGGACAACAGTAAGACCCTGTCTCAGTAAATAAATAAATAATAAAAGTCTCACAGGACAGCTTGGATTTTTAAAAAATCAGTGGTCACCCCCTGTCCCTCTGCCCACCATGTTCCCAATCCCCAGAGGTTACTGCTTCCAAGTTTCACAGCTGCTTTGTACTTTTGGGTGTTCACTTCCACATGTTTAAGTGACATGCTTACTCCGCTCTCACTATGTCTTCTTTTTTCTGTTTTTGAGACGGGGTCTCACACTGTCGCCTGGGATGGAATGCGGTGGCGCGATCTTGTCTCACTGCAACCTCCGCCTCCCAGGTTCAAGCAATTCTCCTGCCTCAGCCTCCCAAGTAGCCAGGACTACAGGCACATGCCACCAAGCCCAGCTAATTTTTGTATTGTTAGTAGAGACGGGGTTTCACCATATTGCCCAGGATGGTCTTGAACTCTTGACCTCATGATCTGCCTGATTAGGCCTCCCAAAGTTCTGGGATTACAGGTGTGCCCAGCCAATATCTCAGTTTTCATAAGTAATCTAGGTAATCTGTTAAAAATAAGTATATTAGTACACACAATGCCAATGTGCCCTAAATACGTAAATAAATAAATAAATACATTACGTAAATGTAAATCTGATAAATTCGTTATTTTTTTGCGACAGAGTCTCACTCCATCTGTTGCCCAAGCTTGAGTGCATTGGCACAATGTCAGCTCACTACAACCTCCACCTCCTGGGTTCAAGCGATTCTCCTGCCTCAGCCTCCCGAGTAGCTGGGACTACAGGTGCACGCCACCACACCTGGCTAAATTTTGTATTTTTAGTAGAGATGGTGTTTCACCATGTCGGCCAGGCTGGTCTCGAACTCCTGACCTCAGGTAATCCACCACCTCAGCCTCCCAAAGTGCTGTGATTACAGGTGTGAGCCACCAAGCCCAGCCAATTAATTCTTATAAATGAACTTTTCATGTACTTTAAATTTTAAAGTTGTGTTATGTTAAATAACAGATGTTCTTTAAGTGTGTGGATCATTTCCATATAACATGTGCTTCTGATGAGGAAAAATATAAAAAAGGCATAAAATGTGATCTTTATTTTTTTAAAGAATAATTTTGTCTAATTTGGAGGTTATTTCAAGGTTATTTCCAAATATGAAATAAGATAGGAATCAGTAAGCAGGAAAGAGAAATGTGAAGTTATGGATATGAAGATATATTTTGGTAAGTAAGTTTATAAAAAAGAAATAGCCAGGCATGGTGGCTCATGCATGTAATCCCAACACTTTGGGAGGCCGGGGCAGGCGGATCACAAGGTCAGGAGTTTGAGGCCAGCCTGGCCAATATGGTGAAACCCCATCTCTACTAAAAATACAAAACAGCCAGGCGTGGTGGTGGGTGCCTGTAGTCCCAGCTACTCAGGAAGCTGAGGCAGGAGAATCACTTGAACCTGGGAGGCAGAGGTTGCAGCAAGCCAAGATCACACCACTGCACTCCAGCCTGGGCAACAGAACAAAACTCTCTGTCAAAAAAAAAAAAAAAAAAAAGAAAGAAAGAAAGAAAGAAAGAAAAGAAAAGAGAGAGATAATAATTTTAAATAAGAAGGAATCACATATGGTAAATGTTTGTCCTAAAGTGACCGGTTATTTAAGAAAAAGAAACTGGCCAGGTGTGGTGGCTCATGCCTGTAATCCCAGTGCTTTGGAAGGCTGAGGCAAGGTGGATCACTTGAGCTCAAGAGTTCAAGACCAGCCTGGGCAACATGGTGATACCCCATCTCTACAAAAAATATAAAAATTAGCTGCCCATGGTGGCACACACTTGTAGTTCCAGCTAATTGGGAGGCTGAATTTGGAAGATCACCTGAGCCTGGGAGGTGAAGACTGCAGTGAGCCAAGATAGAGCCACTGCACTCCAGCCTGGGCAACAGAGTCAGGCCCTGTCTCAAAAAAAAAAAAAAAAAGAAAGAAAGAAAGAAAAAGATAAGGAAAGAAAGCAGAACCATAGGACAAAACAGAAAGTCCAAGCATGTCACCAATAGTCTGAGTAAGTTTTTGTTTTTTGAGACAGTCTTGCTCTGTTGCCCACGCTGGAGTGTAGTGGCACAGTCTCAGCTCACTGCAACCTCCACCTCCCGGGTTCAAGTGATTCTCCTGCCTCAGCCTCCTGAGTGGCTGGGATTACAGGCACATGCCACTATTCCTGGCTAGTTTTTGTATTTTTAGTAGAGAGGGGTTTCGCCATGTTGGCCAGGCTGGTCTTGAGCTCCTGACCTCAGGTGAGCCTCAGCCTCCCAAAGTGCTGGGATTACAGGCATGAGCCACCACGCCTGGTCTGGTATGAGTAAGTTTTGATAAGACTTGTGAAAAGGGAATTTATGAAAGGTATTTTGTGTGTAATTAAGTTAGCTATAATTAGAAGGAATTATTTGTAAGTCTTTCTAAATATTGATCTTTTCTATTAAAAATACACTAATACAAAACTAAAAAAACTGGTCACCTATGTCATACATTGCTTTTTTTTTTTTTTTTCCAGGGACAGAGTATCTCTCTGTTGCCCAGGCTGGAGTGCAGTGGCATGACCTTGGTTTACTGCAACCTCTGCCTCCTGGGTTCAAGTGATTCTCCTGCCTCAGGCTCCCGAGTAGCTGGGACTACAGGTGCGCACCACCATGCCCAGCTAATTTTTGTATTTTTAGTAGAGACAGGGTTTCACCATATTGGTCAGGCCAGTCTCGAACTCCTGACCTTGTGATCCACCCACCTCAGCTTCTCAAAGTATTGGGATTACAGGTGTGAGCCTCCAAGCCCAGCCCAAAGTTTTTTGATTATCACTCTGGTTACTATGATTCTATTTTTATTAAGTGTTTTGAATCTTTTGACATCTTTGACTGGCTTCCCCAGGATCAATATCCTAAGTTAAGTCTTTTTGACCTAAATTTAACTTTGCGATTTTCCACTTCGGTTCATGAAGAGCCTCAAAGAATATACACCTCACTTTGTAGAGATATTAAATGATAAGACTTATTTGATAAGTTGTCAAATGATAACACTAAATCTTTCAGTTATATTTATTAGTATTTATTGGTATAAATGTTCCACAAATTATAAAAATTCATGAAAATTTAATGTTAGTCATAATTTTGGTTATGTTGAACTTTTCCTAAAGTTATATTTGTATAGATACGTTTTTGTTTGTTTATTATAGACAGGGTCTCTGTTGCCCAGGCTGGATGGAGTGTACTGGCATGATTATGGCTCACTGCCGCCTCAAAATCTTAGACTCAAGAAATCCTCCCAGCCAGGCGTGGTGGCTCACATCTGTAATCCCAGCACTTTGGGAGGCCGAGGCGGGCGGATCACGAGGTCAGGAGATCGAGACCATCCTGGCTAACACGGTGAAACCCCGTCTCCACTAAAAATACAAAAAATTAGCCAGGCGTGGTGGCAGGCGCCTGTAGTCCCAGCTACTCGGGAGGCTGAGGCAGGAGAATGGTGTGAACCCTGGGGGGCGGAGCCTGCAGTGAGTCGAGATCGTGCCACTGCACTCCAGCCTGGGTGACAGCGAGACTCCGTCTCAAAAAAAAAAAAAAAAATCCTCCCACCTCAGCCTCCCAAGCAGGTAGGACTATAGGCATGTGCCACCACCCAGGTAATTTATTTTATTTTTATTATAGGTGGGGTCTTGCTATGTTGCCCAGCCTGATCTCAAACTCTTGGCCAAAAGTGATCCTGTCACCTCAGCCTCCCAAGTTACTGGGATTACAGACATGATCCACCACACCTGGCTCTGGATATGTTATTAATGTATTCTAAAAATTATATGAAATTTATAAAAGTCTGATGGCCCTGATGTGACACTGGTAGTCACCATTCTGGTTGCTATCTTAACATGCTGCATGTAATGGAAGTAACTAAGTTTCCTTGTCACTTGGGAACTGTCATCAGATTTTTAACTGTGGCTATTTTAAGTTTTTATCATTCACAATGGTTTTCTGAAAGCATTTGGAATAAGGTACAGTCCAAAATTGGTTTTCATGGAAAAGACTCTAACAAGTACTCTTGAACACAGATTTCTGATAACTGTTTTTTTTTTTTTTTGAGACGGAGTCTTGCTCTGTAGCCCAGGCTGGAGTGCAGTAGCGTGATCTCGGCTCACTGCAAGCTCTGCCTCCCGAGTTCACGCCATTCTCCTGCCTCAGCCTCCTGAGTAGCCAGGACTACAGGTGCCTGCCACTGCGCCCGGCTAATTTTTTTTTGTATTTTTAGTAGAGATGGGGTTTCACCGTGGTCTCGATCTCCTGACCTCGTGATCTGCCCGCCTCGGCCTCCCAAAGTGCTGGGATTACAGGCGTGAGCCACCGCACCCGGCAGATTTCTGATAACTTTAAGGTCAATGAACTAAATTAAAACTTTCAGAACTGTAATAAAGAAACTGATGGGGCTGGGTGCAGTGGCTCAAGCCTGTAATCCAAACTGTCTGATGTTATGACCAGAGACATTCAAACTACAAACCAGGAGGAGAAGCTGATGTTTAAATGCTGCAGACAGCCTTCCCAAGACAAAGGAATGAGACTCCACATCATAACAAAACCTTTATCCCTCTTAATGGTACCTTTCCACTTTGCAGGGTAATGCTGTGAAATTTCACAATCAGTGCCTTCTGCTGGTAGCTTAATGGAACCTAAACTAAGCAATCCTTGAGTGGTCATTGGTTAAATAAGAAAATGTCTGTGTCACCGCCGATACTACATGCTGTACCTAGATAAGCTCCTCTAAGAAAAGTTGAGACCCTGATACACAAAAGAAGAGCAGGCCACACAACTGCACCAGGTTTCGCCTAATTTCCTAGGGCCATTTGACTTACTCAATTCACATTCTTCCCCACCATCTGTGTCAGCTGCTGCACCACCTACAGTGAGAAGCACCCGGCAGGCCCCGGGACCCTCCCCGGCTCCACCACAATGAAGACACATGGACATCACACCCAGAGACAGTGCGGCCCTCTCTCTGGACATCTGTCCTTCCTACTTTTTGGCAGAAAACGTTCCCTCCTCTCTTATTACATATTGGCACCCAGTCTGATGGTAGCAGTTTCTGTTATTTTTATTTTTTAATTACTGTTTTTGAGACAAGGCCTTGCTCTGTTTCCCAGGTTGGAGTGCAGCAGCTCAATTGTGGCTCACTGCATCCTTGACCTCCTGGGCTCAAGTGATCCTCCTGCCTCAGCCTCCCAAGTAGCTGGGACTACAATCATATGCCACCATGCCCAACCAACTTTTTTTTTTTTTTTTTGAGACGGAGTCCCGCTTTATCGCCCAGGCTGGAGTGCAGTGCGCAATCTTGGCTCACTGCAAGCTCCACTTCCCGGGTTTCTGCGATTCTCCTGCCTCAGCCTCCCAAGTAGCTGGGATTATAGGCACCTGCCACCATGCCTGGCTAATTTTTTTGTATTTTTAGTAGAGACGAGGTTTCACCATGTTGGTCAGGCTCATCTCAAACTCCTGACCTCAGGTGATCCGCCCACCTCAGCCTCCCAAAGTGCTGGGATTACAGGCGTGAGCCACCGCGCCTGGCCAGTCTTTCCTGTTTTTCAACTCATGTTCTTTCTGTTCTAATTTTGGGAGATTTCCTCAATGTATAACCTTTCTACTTAACATTTTTCTTAACTTCGATATCACATTTTTTATTTAGAAGGGCTCCCTCTTATATTCCTTCTTTCTTTTTCTTTCTTTCCTTTCTTTCTCTCTTTCCTTTGTCTTTTTCTAATACGGTATCTGGCTCTGTTGCCCAATTGGTGTGCAGTGGTGCAATCTTGGCTCACTGCAGCCTCCACCTCCTGGGCTCCAGTGATCCTCCTGCCTCAGCCTCCCAGGTAGCTGGGATTATAGGCATGAACCACGACATCTGACTCCTCTTACATTCTCTTAAGTTCTTTTTATAGCATTGAATTTTATAGCATTCTATTTCACAAATTCTTCTCTTTTTTCTTCTAAGATTACTAATTTGGTTCTTCTCACATTCTCCTCTGGTGCCTGTACCCTCCCTCTCCGCTCTTTTGTTTGGTTCAGGGCTCTGTTTTTTCCCTGTGTCTGGCAATCCTTGCTAAGGTCAGCCCACATGCAGAGCAGCCTTCTGTGCCCGGCGGGACTTTCCATTATTAATTCCACTGCAGGATGATGGGGTGGGACACGGCCATTTCTACTGGGGTCCTAGAGAGCAACATGGTCCCACCCATGGGGAAGTGGCCTCCCCACTGCCAGCCTCCAGCGAGCCAAGGGAGAAGAGCTGAGCCTGGTGCCCCTGAGGCTGGAGGGCCCCCAGATCCACTGTCTCCTGCCTGCTGTGGGAGTGAGGAGGGGAAAGTCGCCTGGCTGTGCTGGCTGATGAGGGGAAGTTCTGGGGGTCCCAGACAGTTCTGGAGGCTTAAGCCCCAGTAGGCAGCCCTGCTGTGCAGCAGCTCCCAAGGCCTCTCTGTCCACTGTCGGCACAACTTGCTCCCCTTTTTTTTTTTTTTTTTTTTTTTTTTTTTTTTTGAGGCAGAGTTTTGCTCTGTCTCCTAGGCTAGAGTGCAGTGGTGCCATCTCAGCTCACTGCAACCTCCTCCGCCTCCTGGGTTCAAGTGATTCTCATGCCTCTGCCTTCCCAGTAGCTCCCTCTGTCACCCAGGCTGGAGTGCAATGGTGCAATCTCGGCTCACTGCAACGCCCGCCTCCTGGGTTCAAGCAATTCTCCTGCCTCAGCCTCCCACATAGCTGGGATTACAGGTGCCCGCCAACACACCTGGGTAATTTTTGTATTTTTAGCAGAGACGGGGTTTCACCACGTTGGCCAGGCTGGTCTTGAACTCCTGACTGCAGGTGACCCACATGCCTTGGCCTCCCAAAGTGCTGGGATAATAGGCGTGAGCCACCGTGACCGGCCTGGCTCCTGTCTTCGACAGCAAAACAGGACATTAGTTGTATAATCATCACCGTGTGGGGCCACTTGGGAGTTTTCATTTGAATTTACAATTATTTTGACTGCAGAGAGATCTGAATGTCACTAGGATCACCTTAAAAAAACAAAGACACAGACAGAATCACAATGTCTAGAATGTCCTGTGAAGTGGGAGTTTTATAAACCAAACACTATGTCCTGTGGTCAAGGTTCTTCCTACCTTTGTGTATCTGTGGCTTTAAGTGAAAGACAATTTTCTAAATTCAAGTGAATAAAAAGTGTTTTCTGGTTGACCATGAGGAAAAATAGGTGGATAAACATAGCTGGAGTATCATGACAACAAGAAAAAGATCAATTTTGACAAAGTTGTCAAACTTGCAGATGTTAAAACTCAAAGCCATGCCGGGCGCGGTGGCTCACACCTGTAATCCCAGCACTTTGGGAGGCCGAGGCGGGCGGATCACGAGGTCAGGAGATCGAGACCATCCTGGCCAACACAGTAAAACCCTGTCTCTACTAAAATATACCAAAAAAAAAAAAAATTAGCCGGGCGTGGTAGCGGGCGCCTGTAGTCCCAGCTACTCGGGAGGCTGAGGCAGGAGAATGGTGTGAACCTGGGAGGCGGAGCTTGCAGTGAGCTGAGATCGTGCCACCGCACTCCAGCCTGGGCGACAGAGCGAGACTCCATCTCAAAAAAAAAAAAGCAAAAAAAACCTCAAAGCCAGAAACTGGACTATAATGTTATCATTAATTAATACAAAAAACCAATAGGTTTGGCTTACACCTATAATCCCGGCACTTTGGGAGGCTGAGGCAGGTGGATCACCTGAGGTCAGGAGTTCAAGACCAGCCTGACCAACACGGTGAAACCCCATCTCTACTAAAAATACAAAATCGCTGGGTGTGGTGGCAGGCCCTGTAATCCCAGCTACTTGGGAGGTTGAGACAGGAGAATCGCTTGAACCCAGGAGGCGGAGGTTGCAGTGAGCCGAGATCTCACCATTGCACTCCAGCCTAGGCAAAAAGAACAGAACTCCGTCTCAAACAAACAAACAAAAAACCAACAAAAAAAACCCAATATGTTGGCCAGGCAGTGGCTCACACCTGTAACCCAGGACTTTGGGAGGCCAAGGCAGGAGGACTGCTTGAGCTCAGGAGTTCAAGACCAGCCTGGGCAACACAGTAAGACTCCATCTCTACTGCAAACTTAAAAAAAAAAAAAAAAACTTAGCTGAATGAGGTGGGGTTTGGTGGCTCACGTCTGTCATCCCAGCACTTAGGGAGGCTGAGGCGGGCAGATCACTTGAGGCCAGGAGTTTGAGACCAGCCTGGCCAACATGGTGAAAACCCGTCTCTACTAAAAATACAAAAAATTAGCCAGGCGTGATGGCTCACACCTGTAGTCCCAGCTACTCAGGAGGCTGAGGCTGGAGAATTGCTTGAACCTGGGAAGCAGAGGTTGCAGTGAGCCAAGATCATGCCACTGCACTCCAGCCTGGGCCACAGAGCGAGACTCTGTCTCAGAGGAAAAAAAAAAAAAATTTCCATTACTTTTTTTTTTTTTTTTTTGCAGGGACAGAATATCGCTCTGTCACCCAGACTGGAGTACAGTGGCACAGTAATAGCTCACAGCAGCCTTGAACTCCTGGGCTCAAGCCATCCTCCTGCCTCAGCCTTCCAAGCACCTGGGACTACAGGTGCATACCACTACATCTGGTTAGAAAACGTCCATTACAGCCGGGTGCCGTGGCTCATGCCTGTAATCTCAGCACTTTGGGAGGCCGAGGTGGGAGGATCAGTTGAGGTCAGGCGTTCGAGACCAGCCTGGCCAACATGGTGAAACCCTGTCTCTACTAAAAATACAAAAATTAGCCGGGCATGCTGGCATGTGCCTGTAATCCTGGGAGGCTGAGGCAGGAGAATCACTTAAACCCGGGAGACGGAGATTGCAGTGAGCTGAGATTGTGCCATTGCACTCCAGCCTGGGCGAAGAAGCGAGACTCCATCTCAAAAACAACAACAACAAAAAATGTCCATTACATTAACATATTTTTCCAAAAGCAAGGGGTAAAGGGTACTTATACCATCATATTAGTATTTATTTATTTATTTATTTATTTATTTTTGAAACAGAGTTTTGCTCGCCACCCAGGCTGGGGTGCTGTGGTGCGATCGTGGTTCACTGCAACCTCCGCCTCCTAGGTTCAAGTGACTCCTGTGCCTCAGCCTCCAGAGTAGCTGGGACTATAAGCGTGAGCCACCACACCTGGCTAATTTTTTGTATTTTTAGTAGAGATGGGTTTTCACCATGTTGGCCAGGCTGGTCTCAAACTCCTGGCCTCAAGTGATCCACCTGCCTCAGCCTCCCAAAGTGCTGGGATTACAGGCGTGAGCCGTGTCCAGCCGGTAATGGAAATTTTAATCCACCGCTTTTGTATTGTAAAGTTTATTTAGCGTATTTTTTTATTTTTGAGACAGGGTCTTGCTCTGTTGCCCAGGCTGGAGTGCAGTGGTGCACACACTGCAACCAGAGCTCACTGCAGCCTTGACCTCCCCAGGCTTAGGTGATCCTCTCACCTCAGCCTCCCTAGTAGCTTAGGCTACAGGTGCATACCACCATTCTGGGCTAATTTTTGTATTGTTTGTAGAGATGGGGTTTTGCCATGTTGCCCAGGCTGGTCTCAGATTCCCGGGCTCAAGTGATCCTCCTGCCTCAGCTGAGTAGCTGGGATGACAGTTGCGTGCCACCATGCCCGGCTAAATGTTGTATTTTTAGTAGAGACAGGATTTCACCATGTTGGTCAGGCTGGTCTTGAACTCCTGACCTCATGATCCGCCCGCCTTGGCCTCCCAAATTGCTGGGATGGCAGCAGCTTTTTTTTTTTTAACGGGCATGTTGTGCAGATGTGGTTCAGGAGAGTGAGCCAGTGGCCCAGGTCATCCCCAGGTTTCTCCGCCAGCAGTGACGCCCCACCCTGGGGAGCAACTTCCCTTAGGCCCAGCTAGCTGCAGAATGGGGGTAGTTGGAGGGAACCTAGAAGGACCTAAGCGCAGGGCCCTGGCAGGTGAGCACAGCATAGGGAGGTGCCAGGTGGAGAAGTGTGCAGGGAAGCAGGGAAGGATGGTGGAAACATGGCGGCCCAGGGGCAGAGGTTGCAGATGGTCGCAGTTGCCCTGGTCCCGGGACCAAGGGGCGAGAGCTAAAAAAGTGGGAGGCCCCACTGGGGAGGGTGGCGGTAGGGCTGGGAGAATGTGGCTGTGGCAGGGTGGGCGGGGACCTTCCAGCCACCTGGAGCATCCTGGGTGGAGGGTTGGGTGGCCTTGGCCAGATGGTCACAGTTGCTGGGACCAAGTGTGAGCACAGACCTCTAGAGTTTGTGGGTGTGAAGTGCAACCGTGGTGACTGGTCCTGGCGGGTGCTTAGGAGGCGGGGGCAGAGACATGGCTCACTCCAGCCTCAACCTCCTGGGCTCAAGCAATTCTCCCACCTCAGCCACTCAGGTAGCTGGGGCTACAGGCGTGCACCATCACGCCCGGCTATTTTTTTTTTTTTTTTGAGACAGAATTTGGCTCTTATTGCCCAGGCTGGAGTGCAATGGTGCAATCTCAGCCACAACCTCTGCCTCCCAGGGTCAAGTGATTCTCCTGCCTCAGCCTCCCAAGTAGCTAGGATTACAGGTGTGCACCACCACGCCGGGCTAATTTTTGTATTTTTAGTAGAAACGGGGTTTCTCCATGTTGGTCAGGTTGGTCTCGAACTCCCAACCTCAGGTGATCTGCCTGCCTCAGCCTCCCAAAGTGCTGGGATTACAGGCGTGAGCCACCACACCCGGCCTAATTTTTGCATTTTTTGGAGAGACGGAGGTTTCACTATATTGCCCAGGCTGGTCTTGAACTCCCGAGCTCAAGTGATCCAGCCTTGGCCTCCCAAAGTGCTGGGATTACAGGTGTGAATCTTCTATTACTTTCCTGTGTGTCCTTCCCAAGTTCACAGAAAACACAAGCTGACAGAAATCCATTCTTTCCCACGGTTGCTGGCACGGATGCTGCTGTGTGACAGCACAAGTTCATGTGCTTGAGGGTCTCCTGGCCACAGCCAGCCCCAGGCTTGCCCTGGACAGGCGGGCTTCAGATTCCCCCCAAGGTTCTATGCCATTGAGTTGGAGGACAAGAGCTTCCCCACTGTCCAGCGTTGAAGCAAACCTCCCTCCAGGTCCCACCCCTCCCCAGGCCTTTGTCCTTTTATCAGGGATTGCCCTGGGGGAGCCCCCCTGGGGAGCTGATGAGGAGGGAGCCTCTGTGCCCCGTGCACTGGCCTGAGGGGGTGAGGCCAGGGCTGGGGCTGCTGCAGGGGACTCTGGCCCGGAGCTGCGGCTGCCTTCCTGGAAACACTCCTGTCAGATGACTGCAGAGTGAGAGTGAAACCAGCTTCCCTCGGAGGCTGCAGCACAGGGCTGACATGCAAACGTCTGAAAAAGAGGCAAGCTCTCGGTGTGAGCAAGTGGACTGCGGCTATTTGAGGTGGGCACTTCCCCTGGGGACAGCACCAGGCACACAAGGGTCCCTTGTTCATGGTCCCGTGGGGGGCCCAGCTTGGACATTCTGCCTCCTGGCTCCATGTGCAAGCTGGGCTCTGTCGTCCCAAGACCTGAGTAAAAGGACATGAGGTGTGAGCCTTCAAGGGTGCCAACCACGCCCAAGGGAAGCCAAGCATCCACAGAGCCCTGCTGGGCACAGAGGGCAGACGCAGCCGCTGGATTTCAGATGCATCCACAGAGCCCTGCTGGGCACAGGGCAGATGCCAGTGGCATGGCGGCCCCTCACCTCCCGTGCTCTGCAGGCCCAGTAGGTAGCTGTGGGGTCCTCCCTGGCCAGGCCAGTGAGTGGCTGGCATCCACGGCAGCATCTGCTGTGGTCCATGGTCATGCCGCCCCTCCAGGGACACTGGCACCCTCGTCAGGACACGGAGCCCAGGACAGCAGCTGCATGTGTCCATCTCCAGGTTCCAACTGCTGCCCTCCTTCCTGCTCCTGCAACCCCCATCCTCAGGCAGTGAGAGGGTGCTGGGGCTTCTCCTGAGACTGCCCGGGGACATACCCTCCCCCTGCCCCTGCTGGAGGCCTGGGTGGCTGACTTTTGCTTTCTTTTCGGCAGGAAGGAGCCCACGTGGGAATCCCCTGAGCTGCGCCATGGCCAGAGTGAGTCACCCCTTTCCAGCCAGCAAACAAGGCGAGTCCCCAGGCCAAGGTGTCACAGCTTCCAAGCTGGTGGGCGGGGTGGGGAGGCCGCTTCCCAATCAGTGTGTGCCTCTGCCTCTCAGTCAGGCTGGTATCAACTTGCTATGCCTTACAGGCCTGTCATCACAATCAATATTATTAGACAGAGTCTTGCTCTGTCGTCCAGGATGGAGTGCAGTGGCGCAATCCTGGCTCACTGCAACCTCCGCCTCGCAGGTTCAAGCGATTTTCCTGCCTCAGCCTCCTGAGTAGTTGGGATTACAGGCACCTGCCATCATGTTCAGTTAATTTTTGTATTTTAGTAGAGACGGGGTTTCACCACCTTGGCCAGGCTGGTCTTGAACTCCTGATCTCAGGTGATCTGCCCACCTCAGCCTCCCAAAGTGCCGGGATTACAGGCGTGAGCCACCATGCCCAGCCAGTTTTTTTTTTACGTGTCTGTGCCAATCTTCTGGAAACAGAGCAGTATAAATTAAACAAAGGCATTTTCATGAGAGCAGCACTGGGGCAAGTACTCTGAGACTGGGCGGCACGGGGCAGTCATCCTGGTCACTACCTGCTCTCGAGGGCTGTGGGCATTTGCCAAGCTTGGGAAACCTTTTCTGGACTTGGGGTGGGGCTGAGGTGGTCTCAGACTCAGCCCTTCAACACTGTCATCATCCAGGACCAGTGAGGTGTGTCACCCCATGTTGGAGGCCACTGTCTGAAAGCTGTTAGAATGACTTTCCCGTTACCCTGAAGGAAGTAGAGTGTCCTAAAACAGGTGAACCCCTTCTTTTTTCTTTGAGATGGAGTCTTGCTCTGTCACCCAGGGTGGAATGCAGTGGCGTAATCTCGGCTCACTGCAACCTCTGCCTCCCAGGTTCAAGTGATTTTCCTGCCTCAGCCTCCTGAGTAATTGGGATTACAGGCATCTGCCACCATGCCCAGCTGATTTTTGTATTTTTAGTAGAGACAGGGTTTCACCACGTTGGCCAGGCTGGTCTTGAACCCCTGACCTCAGGTGATCCACCCACCTCAGCCTCCCAAAGTGCTGGGATTACAAACATGAGCCACTGTGCCGGGCCTTTTGTGTATTTTTTTTTTTTTTTGAGATGGATTCTTGCTCTGTCGCCAGGCTGGAGTGTAGTGGCGCAATCTCGGCTCACTGCAACCTACGCCTCCCGGGTTCAAGTGAATCTCCTGCCTACTCAGTCTCCTGAGTAGCTGTGAGTACAGGCGCGTACCACCATGCCCAGCTAATTTTTGTACTTTTAGTAGAGACAGGGTTTCAACATGTTGGCCAGAATGGTCTCGATCTCTTGACCTCATGATCTGCCCACCTCGGCCTCCCAAAGTGCTGGGGTGAGCCACCGCGCCCGGCCTTTTGTATTTTTTTAGTAGAGACGAGGTTTCACCATGTTGGCCAGTCTGGTCTCAAACTCCTGACCTCAGGTGATCTGCTCGCCTAGGCCTCCCAAAGTGCTGGGATTACAGGCATGAGCCGCCGTGCCTGGCTGTTTTTTCTTTTTTAAAAGAGACAGGGTCAGCCAGGCGCAGTGGCTCATGCCTGTAATCCTAGCACTTTGGGAGGCCGAGGCAGGCAATTGCCTGAGCTCAGGAGTTCGAGACCAGCCTGAGCAACACGGTGAAACCCCGTCTCTACTAAAATACAAAAAAAATTAGCCGGGCGTAGCGGTGTGCGCCGGTAGTCCCAGCTACTCCGGAGGCTTAGGCAGGAGAATTTCTTGAACCCGGGAGGCAGAGGTTGCAGTGAGCCGAGATCGCACCACTGCACTCCAGCCTGGGTGACAGAGCAAGACACCGTCTCAAAAAAGAAAAAAAAGAGACAGGGTCTCACTCTATAGCGCAGCCTGGAGTGCAGTGGTGCAACCACAGCTCACTGCAACCTCCACCTCCTGAGCTTCAGTCATCTTCCTGCCTCAGCCTTCCAAGCAGTTGGGACTACAGGTGTGCAGCACCACACCCAGCTAAATTTTTTTTCCTTTTTTTGGTAGAGATGGGGTTCCCCCATGCTGCCCATGCTGGTTTCGAACTCATGGGCTCAAGCGGTCCTCCTGCCTCAGCCTCCCAAAGTGCTGGGATTATAGGCATGAACTGCCACGTGAACCCTTTCTCATCCCGAGCTGGCTGCTGCAGACTCAGGACAGCTTTGAGCCTCCCAGGTGCAGCCAGGAGGAGACGCCTTCTTACGTTTGAGAGCTCAGTTAGTTCCTGGGCTTGAGCAACCTCACTGAGCCTGCAGGTGCGGACTTGGGACGTTTCCATGGCTGCTTGCAGCAAACTCAGGGGTGATGACGTTGATGGAATCCGATGGCTTCCTGAGTTCCATCTCAAGGCCTTGCTGTCCCAGGAATGTGGGTTTGGGGCGGAGGGGAATTCCAACTGCAAACCAAGTAACATATATGAAATGTGGCATTGGCGCCTGGGGACAGCGTGGCCTGTGTAAATTATGCAACTTCAAAGCCTGCCCTGTTTTGCAGTGTATTCCATCCTTGAGGAGTCCCGTGGTCTCAGGGTCTGAATGCTTGGAGGAGACTTACCTCCGTGAACGTTTCCTTCTCTGCAAAGCGGGGTGAAAGGTCTCCATTTCACCAAAGGCTGGATGGAGAGGGGGTGGTGTGTCCAGTGCTAGCCCGTGCACCGCCAGAGAGAACCTGCTGCAGCTCCCGTTCTCCTGGGCAGATGACAGTGCCGCCTCCCCCATGCAGCCCACAGGACTCCTAGGGCAGCCCCTGTTTTGGCCGCCAAGGCCACTGTTTTCATTTGAGTGTCTGGAGGCCATAGGTTGTGTTTTCACTTGAGGTCGGGAGTTCAAGACCAGCCTGGCCAACATGGTGAAACCTCGTCTCTATCAAAAATACAAACATTAGCCGGGCGTGATGGCGGGCGCCTGTAGTCCCAGCTACTCGGGAGGCTGAGGCAGGAGAATCGCTTGAACCCGGGAGGCGGAGGTTGCAGTGAGTCGAGATCGCGCCACTGAACTCCAGCCTGGGCGACAGAGTGAGCCTCCGTCTCAAAAAAAAAAATAAATAAAGTGCACAACCCAGTAGATTAGCACACCGGCCATGTCGGGCGGCCGTCACCACTGTCCGGTTGCAGAGCATTACCTCACCCCAAAAGGAGACCCCATAGCCTTAATACCTTACTTAAGTGTGCAGTATTCTTTTAGTCCTGTTTCTCATAAATGTTACCCAAATTGAGGCGCCGCTCTGCGCCCGGCACCGGGGGAGGCGGAGGGACCCGCAGGTGTCGGGTAGGTGCGGCCGCCCCGCCAGGGCCCCGCGTCCCGCGCGCGACGCGCGCCTCGTGGGAACCGGTGTCGCCCGGCTTGGGCTCCCGGCTCACCTCTCGGGTGTGCGGCAGGGGTCTCCGCCCCGGGGCCACGGGAGGGGAAGCAAGGGCCTCGCTGTCTCGCCGCACCTGGGGAAGGGACCCAATTAGCGCGGACCCCACAGCGCAGCACCTCACCAGCTCCCCGCACCAACGCCCCGGCGCGCTCTTTGAGGAAAAAGCAGAGGGCGACTTAGGTACCCACGCCGTCTCAGCGCCGACCAATCGGCGCACGCTGCGGCTCCTGCGGGCTCGCTGGTTGGCTCCGGCGTCAGTCCGTCAGGCGCGCTCGGAGCGGGGCGTATCTGGCCAATGGCTCTCGCTACAGCTTCCTGAGGGCTGGCTGGTTGGCTCCCATGTCCGTCCGTCAGGCGCACGCGGCGGAGCGGCGGCGGCGGCGGCGGCGTTGGGGGCGGTAGCTGGGCGGGCCCTTAGTTCCGGGCGCGCTGCGACCGTTGGGTGAGGCGAGCGCGGGGTCGGGTGCGGGGTCGGGCGCGGGCGCGGGGTCGGGTGCGGGGTCGGGCGCGGGGTCGGGCGCAGGCGCGGGCACCTCTCAGGGAGACTCCGGGCCGGAGCGGGAGCGGGGGCGGGAGAGGCCGCGGGGCGGGGGCGGGGCCAGCCCGAGGGGATTTCTCTGAGCCGCTGGGCCGGAAACCAAGTCCGAGCGTGGCTGGCGCGGGAAAGTTCGGGAACGCGCGCGGCCGTGCTCGGAGCAGCGCCAGGGCACGGTCCGGGGTTTTGCGCGGGGTCGCGGCTCCCAGTACCGCCTGAGGCCCGTGGGCGGCCCACCCGGCCCTGCCCCGTCCCGGGTCCGTCGCTCCCCCGCACCCTGTCGCCCCTCCACGCTCAGCTGTGGGCCCCTCGTGTCCCCGAAGCCCCGCACCCTCAGCCGGCTGCGTGCTCGGGAGGGTCAGGGGCGCCTCCGACCCCTGAGTTTGCCAGCGCCCCCCAGCCAGGGGTCGGGGAAGACCAGTGAGGCTGGGGGCGGAGCCGACTCTGCTGCCTTCCTGCCCAGTGGCTGGGGAGACCCAGGCTGAGCCTGGGTGAAAAGTCCCTCTGGCTGCTGGGAGGGTCGGGGGCAGCAAGGAGCCAGTGCGGGGATGGGCTGCGGTGGACCGGGCCGGGATCGGGGCCGGGGCCTGGTCCTGGCAGTAGCAGGGGATGTTTGTGGAAGGTAGAGCCGAGAAAAAGAGGAGTTGCAATGTCTGCAAGAATCTGGCGTGAGCAGCTGAAGGCTGGTGCTTCCTAGGCCAAGATGAAGGAGTCACAGCGCCCATGGCCTCTCGGGAGGCGGCCAGATGGGCAGCCTGGGGTCAGGGGAACGGTCAGGGCCAGAGCTGGGTATTTTGGAGTTGTCATTTTGAGGCCCCGAGGGCTGAGGGTCAGTGCAGAAGAGCACCAAGCCTCCACTCGGTGTAGGGCCGACAGGGGGTGGGGTGTCTGGCAGCCGGTGAAGACGGGGCTCGGAGGAGGAGGGAGTCTGGTCTGGGTCAAGTCAAGGGAAACTAGGACTGAGAACGGACCCTGCTCTGTGGCCACATGATTTTGAAGGGACGGAATTACTGCCCTGTAACTCAGTCTCTCTCCCTGTTAATAGCCCTAGTTTTTAATAAGAGGAACTGAATGTATTAATGGGTGGACACTTGTAAGGTTCAAGATCTCCTCTTCTACCACGCTTGCTTCTGATACTTTTGTATAAACAGTTGTTAAGAGTTTAGGTTGTTATCAAGCTTCTATTTGGTATTATTTTGAGCCTGAAAAAGATGGGGTTACATATAAAATTGTAATTTTATTTATTTATTTTTTGAGATAGTTTTGGTCTTGTTGCCCAGGCTGGAGTGCAGTGGCTCGATCTCGGCTCACTGCAGCCTCCGCCTCCTGGGTTCAAGCGATTTTTCTGCCTCAGCCTCCCGAGCAGCTGGGATTACAGGCGTGCACCACCACGCCCGGCTAATTTTTTGTATTTTTAGTAGAGATAGGGTTTCATCATGTTGGCCAGGCTGGTTTCAAACTCTTGACCTTAGGTGATCCACCCGCCTCGGCCTCCCAAAGTGCTAGGATTACAGGCATGAGCCACCGCGCCCGGCCATGAAATTACAGTTTTAAAGTTAACTTCTAGTATTTGGAGGGCCTCATATTCATGGCTGCATGCAGATCAGTGTTCCTGAATATTACTCAGATGAGCTTTTATAGAAGTGGGTTAGAATCAGGTGCCATTGACGCCTGTAGTCCCAGCTACTCCGGAGGCTGAGGCAGGAGAATGGCGTGAACCCGGGAGGCGGAGCTTGCAGTGAGCCGAGATCGCGCCACTGCACTCCAGCCTGGGTGACAGAGCGAGACTCCATCTCAAAAAGAATCGGGTGCCACCCAGTGAACTCTTACGTGGAGTCCAGTATTGTATGAAGCAGTTGTGTGCTGTTGGTGGAGACATGAATTGAGGTTTGAATCTCCAGCATTTGGGGCATCTTGGAGTCTGCTTGTGAGAAGGGCGAGGCCTGGGTTGAACCCAAGCGTTTGCGGCGACTAGGTGACCCCTGCAGCGGCCAGGTTGCACCCATATCTGATTTGATGTCATGGTTTGGGCAGTGTTTGACTTGTGTAACAATACAGCTTGTCCTTTTGAGAGTCACCGATGCCACCAAACCATGTTCACACACCAGAGTCAGGATGCCAGGTCTCAGCTGCCTGATGACTCCAGCTTAGTGAAGGCCTCTGATTTCTTGTGGGGGTGTCCCATTGTGAAGGGAACACACAGCTCGGCCCTACCAGCAACAAGGGTGCCAGATGCCCCCACTCTCCTGTGGAGGGGAGTCTCGCTCTGTCACCCGGCTGGAGTGCAGTGGCACGATCTCGGCTCACTGCAACCTCTGCCTCCTGGGTTCACGCTATTCTTCTGCCTCAGCCTCCCGAGTAGCTGGACTACAGGCACCCGCCACCACGCCCAGCTAATTTTTTGTATTTTTAATGGAGACGGGGTTTCACCATGTTAGCCAGGGTGGTCTCGATCTGATCTCGTGATCCGCCCACCTCGGCCTCCCAGAGTGCTGGGATTACAGGTGTGAGCCACCACTGAGGGGCTTTTTTACGTTAAAACTTGTTTGTTTGTTTTTCTTTTTTTGTTTGTGTGGTTTTTTCTGTTTTTTTTTTTTTTTTGAGACGGAGTCTCGCTCTGTCCCCCGGTGTGAGCCACCACGCCTGGCCTTTTTTTTTCTTTTTTTGAGACAGAGTTTCGCTCTTGTTGCCCAGGCTGGAGTGCAATGGTGCGATCTCGGCTCGCTGCAACCTCTGCCTCCCAGGTTCAAGTGATTCTCCTGCCTCATCCTCCAGAGTAGGTGGGATTACAGGCACCCACCATAATGCCCGGCTAATTTTTGTGTTTTTAATAGAGACAGGGTTTCTCCACTTTGGTGAGGCTGGTCTCGAACTCCTGACCTCAGGTGATCCACCTGCCTTGGCACTCCCAAAGTGCTGGGATTACAGGTATGAGCCACCTTGCCCGGCCTTAAAACCTGTTTTTGACATTTCTTTGCCATTTTAACTTTTTTGTTATTTTATTTTTATACCTGAGGTCTTGTTATGTTTCCCAGGCTGGTCTCGAACTCCTGGCCTGAAGTGATCCTCCAACCTCAGCCTCCCAAGTAGCTGGGATTACAGGTGCAAGCCACTGTGTCAGTTGGTCACCGCATGTGTGAGAGTTCCCCCCACACTTATTCAGTCGGTCACCACTTGTGTGAGAGTCGCCCCTGCATGCTCATTCAGTCGGTCACTACATTTGTGACAGTCATCCCCGCATGCTCATTCAGTCGGTCACCGCATGTGTGATAATCACCCCCGCATGCTTGTTCAGCTCGTCACCGCGTGTGTGAGAGTCCCCACCGCACGCTCGTTCAGCCGGTCACCGCGTGTGTGAGAGTCCCCACCGCACGCTCGTTCAGCCGGTCACCGCGTGTGTGAGTCCCCCCCGCACGCTCGTTCAGCCGGTCACCGCGTGTGTGAGTCCCCACCGCACGCTTGTTCAGCCGGTCACCGCGTGTGAGTCCCCACTGCACGCTCGTTCAGCCGGTCACCGTGTGTGTGAGAGTCCCCACCGCACGCTCGTTCAGTCGGTCACCGCATGTGTGAGAGTCCCCACCACACGCTCGTTCAGCTGGTCACCACGGGGGTGGCACTTTTGTTTTTAGCTGACTTAGCTGATAGAATTGGGAGTTTTAGAGTAAAACTGATCTGGAAGCCTGAAAAAACCAGCAGCACATTGTTCGTTTCCAGGTTGAATCGCTCCTAGCTGACCCCTCACGTCTCTTATGATACGTACAGAAAGCAAGAGCAGCCCATGCCGTCCGGCCGCGCACCAGGTCTCAGTCTGTGTGTCTGGTTCAGGTGACCATGGTGTTCAGTTCAGTTCCTCCTGCCTCGTGTGTAGGCCACTGAGAGCTCCCTAGTCTAAGCCGGAGGAGGTTCTGGTAAGTGCTAGGCACAGTGGAAGTCGGATTCCAACATGTGCGCAAATTGGGGCACTGTCAGAAGTGTGCTAAAATCTTGGTGTAGCACTTTTGAGCCTTCGTGGTGGTTTTCATTAGTTCTTAAAATGTATTTATGAATGAGATTCAAATAAAATGTTTAAGGAATCTCTAAGCACAAAGAACCCCAGAGTGTAGTGTGGGCATCAGTGGGACCTCAGGGTCCCCTGACCGGGCTGCCTGCCGTGTCCTGGCTGTCTGGGGTTGTGTTTTCATTTGGAAACAGGAATAATGATCCCCGACCTTCCAGCCGTGTCAGGATGTCACGATGGCCACGTGAGGCCGTGTCTGTGAGAAGCGTCTGCCGGTGGTGGAGGACGTGCACTTTGTTGTGAACCTCGGCTCACTGCAGCCTCCTCCTCCCCAGGCTCAGGTGATCCTCCCACCTCAGCCTCCTGAGTGGCTGGGACCACAGATGCGAGATCCTCCCACCTCGGCCTCCTGAGTAGCTGGGACCACAGATGCATGCCATCACACTTGGCCATTTTTTGTATTTTTAGATTTGTTTTTTTATGTGTGTTTTGTTTTTGAGACAGATGGTTGCTCTTGCTCAGGCTGGAGTGCAGTGGCATGATCTCAGCTCACTGCAACCTCCGCCTCTCAGGTTTGAGCGATTCTTCTGCCTCAGCCTCTGGAGTAGCTGGGCTTACAGGCTTGCACCACCATGCCTGGCTAATTTTTTGTATTTTTAGTGGAGACGGGGTCTCACCATGTTGGCCAGCCTGGTCTTGAACTCCTGACCTCATGATCCGCCCGCCTCGGCCTCCCAAAGTGCTGGGATTACAAGTGTGAGCCACCGCGCCCAGCCATTTTTTTGTGTTTTTGGTAGAGACAGGGTTTCATCATGTTCCCCAGGCTGGTCTTGAACTCCTGAGCTCAAGCAATCTGCCTACCTCGGCCTCCCAAAGTGCTGGGATTATAGGTGTGAGCCACCATGCCTGGCCCATTTTTGTGGTTCTTTTATGTCTGACAGGCATGCCTAGGGCAGGGAGGGCACACCTCTGTCTCCACCTTCAAGAGCGCATTTAGGAGGAATGTCGATATGAAAAGAATCAAGCTTTGTCTGAAAGATGCACCAGGACACTCTTCAGTGACATTGGGAAAAAAGAACGCTCACCCTGAATCTTTTTTTTTTTTTTGAGACGAAGTTTCGCTCTTTGTGCCCAAGCTGGAGAGCAGTGGTGCGATCTTGACTCTCTGCAACCTCTGCCTCCCAGGTTCAAGCGATTCTCCTGCCTCAGCCTCCCAAGTAGCTGGAATTACAGGCGTGAGCCACTGCACTCGGCTAATTTTGTGTTTTTAGTAGAAATGGGTTTCTCCATGTTGGTCAAGCTGGTCTCGATCACCACCTCAGGTGATCCACCCGCCTCAGCCTCCCAAAGTGCTGGGATTACAGGCATGAGCCACCGTGCCCGGCCCATTCTGAATCTGTCTACCCTAGCAAAACGATCCTTTATTTTACTTTCTTGCCCCATTCGTACACTGGCATGACTGCACTCATAGGGTTCTTCACATTTTATATCCTATTTAACATCTTATAATAAGTATAAAATAGGATTTTGTCCTAAAGAATGTGGTTTAAGGCCAGGCGCGGTGGCTCACGCCTGTAATCCCAGCACTTTGGGAGACCGAGGCGGGCAGATCACGAGGTCAGGAGATCGAGACCATCCTGGCTAACACGGTGAAACCCCGTCTCTACTAAAAAATACAAAAAATTAGCTGGGCATGGTGACTGGTGCCTGTAGTCCCAGCTACTTGGGAGGCTGAGGCAGGAGAATGGCGTGAACCTGGGCGGTGGAGGTTGCAGTGAGCCAAGATCGCGCCACTGCACTCCCGCCTGGGCGACAGAGCGAGACTCCGTCTCAAAAAAATAAATAAATAAAAAGAATGTGGCTTAAAAACCAATGATACTTAAAAATAGAAAATTTCTTTGTCCAAAGTGGATTAGAAGCCACTTTGTTCTAAAACCATTAAACCTTTTTAAACTGTTAGTGGCTCAGCCAGGCACAGTGGCTCATGCCTATAATCTCAGCACTTTGGGAGATTGAGGTGGGCAGATTATCTGAGGTCAGGAGTTCGAGACCAGCCTGGCCAACATGGTGAAACCCTGTCTCTACTAAAAATACAAAAATTAGCCAGGCGTGGTGACAGGCGTCTGTAATCCCAGCTACTCGGGAGGCTGAGGCAGGAGAATCGCTTGAACCTGGGAGGCGGAGGTTGCACCTTAGATCACACCGTTGCACTCCCGCCTGAGCGACAGAGCAAGACTCTGTCTCACATGAATAAATAAATAAACCATTAGTGGCTCATGAAATCAATGTAATAGCTTCTGACCAGAACAAAAGAAAGAAAATAGAACACTCAGAATGCCTCTTATGAAGACTAAGTGTAGTTCTGTGAACCTTTTAGTGACGTACATGTATGTAGCACGTCTCCACATGTCATGATGAATGTGCGCTGAGGGTGCAGTCCTGGTGAGCAGGCTACCACCTCAGTTTGCCACGGCTGGTATGCATCTGTGAGCTCCGGAACATCCACATAGCTCTGCCGCCCACAGGAGCAGGTGCACCCACCTTCGAGAAAGTGGGAGAAACAGGTGTGGCGTCCCCACCGAGGGACCTTGAGCACTGGGCAGGCAGAGCCCCAGCGTCCCTTCTGTTGGGTGGTTGGAGGAGTAAGTTTAGGTTATAAGCATGTTTTCTGAACTCTGAAGTGCCACACGAATGTAAGGTCTCACTAAATTACAGATTCAGAAGCTGGGATTGAAAGCACACCACTGCTGGCTTTGGGGGGCAGACAGGTGACTGACAGTCTCGTCACAGTTTCTCAAGAGTCAGCCCTATTCAGGTCAGTGAGCGCAGGTCAGGGATGAGGTCGCTGCACTCTGCGTTCCCCAGTCCTGTATGCGGCGTCAGTTTTGGCAGTCCACGTGTCTCTCCTGTAGAGGATTAGAGGGGCCAGCCCCATGGGTCTGCAGGGTTGGCGCACCGTCTGGGGAAGACACTTGGAATGTGCTTTCGTTGGTGAGCCAGGTCAAGGAAACTTTGGGGAATGTTTGCAGAGAGCTGAGGATGGTTGTCTTGGGGCCTAAGTTTTTCTGACTTAAAAAGCACCTCCTATTTGGGGTCTGTGTGGTAGTGACCCTTTTTCTTTTTTACTTTTTTTTTCGAGACGGAGTCTCACTGCAATGCGCAGGCTGGAGTGCAGTGGTGCAATATCGGCTCACTGCAACCTCTCCTTCCCGGGTTCAAGCGATTCTCCTGCCTCAGCCTCCTGAGTAGCTGGGATTACAGGCGTGCACCACCACGCCCGGCTAATTTTTGTATTTTTACTAGAGATGGGGTTTCACCATGTTGGTCGGGCTGGTCTCAAACTCCTGACCTCGTGATTCTCCTGCCTTGGCCTCCGAAAGTGCTGGGATTACAGGTGTGAGCCACTGCGCCTGGCCTTTTTTTTTTTTTTTTTGAAATGGAGTCTTGCCTCATCGCCCAGGCTGGAGTGAAGTGGTATGATCTCAGCTCACTGCAACCTCTGCTTGCTGGGTTCAAGCAATTCTCCTGCTTCAGCCTCCACAGTAGCTGGGATTACAGGCACACACCACAATGTCCGGCTAATTTTTGTATTTTTAGTAGAGACAGGGTTTCACCATGTTGGCCAGGATGGTCTCGATCTCTTGACCTCGTGATCTGCCTGCTTCGGCCTCCCAAAGTGCTGGGATTACAGGCGTGAGCCACCGCACCTGGCTGGTAGTGGCCCTTTTTCAGGGGTTTACAGGTAAACTTTCCTTCCACTTTTTGAGATCTGGGGACATTACATGGGAGTTGGAGGCAAGTCTCGGAAGGCTGCTGGGCCTTGTCCTGGGCGCAGGCTTCTTAGGCCCACCTCAGGGTTGCCAAGGGGCAGGTGTGCAGATCCATAGGGACCAGCACCGGGGCTCTTCCAAGCAGGGCAAAGGTGTTAAGGGAACAGAGGAGAGCAGGGGGATTGGGGGCATCATGAGGATGGAGGGGGACAAGGCCAGATGGGGCTAAACCCAGTGGCCGGGTTTCCTTCTGAGTGCCCAGGATGTTCCTAGGGAGCCCTCAGTGAGGGGTGCCCTATTGTGGGTATGAAGGAGGAGCAGAGAGCAGGGTCGGGGCCAGAGAAGGGGCTAGTGCTGGCAGCATGGAGGCAGAGCCAGTGGAATTGGCCTGTGATTGGACAAGGAATGGGCTCAGAAAGCATCCTGGATAGCTGGGCATGGAGGTGCACTCACCTGTAGTCCCAGCCACTGGAGAAACTGGCGGGAGGATCGCTTGAGCCCAGGACTTCCAACCTGTAGTGTGCATGATCACACTTGTGAATAGACAGCGTACTCCAGCTAGGGAAACATAGTGAGACCCCTGTTTCTAAAGAAAAATGAAAGCCTCCTGGGTTTGGCTGAGTCCCTGGTGAATGGTGGAGCGGTCCTGAGAGCTGGGAAGACCTCTTTCTGGCACAGCAACCGGGGCAGAGGTGAGAGGAGAAGGGCCTCAGCAGTGTTCTGGCCTTTTGGGTTCATCCAAAACTTGCCGGTCCTGGGCCTGCTGGGAGAGGTCAGCCCCTTTCAGGTGAGCAGCTCTGGGGCCGGGTGACCCACGCCACCGTGTCGGGCACACAGTGGTGCTTCGTTTTCCTCACTCCTGGGGCCACAGCCTTCCTGCTGCGGTTCTGCCTGGTGGGTGGGTCCATGCTGCTTTGAGGAGGCAAGTGACCTAAGGCTTCCGGGACACTCTTTTGGCAACTTGGGCCTTGGAAGGACAGCAGAGCAGGTGTGCAGTGTTAGGACCTGTGGCTGAGCTGACCTAACAGCCTGCCTGGAGGCATCAGTCAGGCTCAAGTAGAACAGCAAGGCCCCCATCTTGGGGCTGTCGTCCAGGCACAGAGCGGTCAGCATCTACTGTCCTTCCTGGAGAAAAAAGGGAAAATGCATTTGTCATTTAAATGTTGGAATGGGCCAGGCACGGTGGCTCCTACCTGGAATCCCAGCACATTGGGAGGGCAAGGTTGGATCACATGAGGCCAGGAGTTTAAGACCATCCTGGCCAACATGGTGAAACCCCATCTGAAAAATACAAAAAATTAGCCACCTGTGGTGGCGGGTACCTGTGGTCCCAGTTACTTGGGAGGCTGAAGCATGAGAATTGCTTGAACCCAGGAGGTGGAGGTTGCAGTGACAGATTGCTCCACTGCACTCCAGCCTAGGTGACAGAGCGTAAGACTCTGTTTAAGGAAAAAAAAAAAAAAAAAAAAGGAATGGTTCTGAGAAGTCATTCCTTAAGTAAATAAATTGCCACCCCAGGTTGCCCTCTTGGGAGGGGACTCTGGAGGCCGCCCTCCACCCTTAGGCCAGGGCCTGTCAGTCCCTGCCTCCCTGGGCTGCCTCCTGGGGATCTCAGCCGACACCATGCCCCTGTCCTTCCTCCACCTCTTTCCCAGGTTGCTCTGCCTGCAGTCCACCTTCTAGGAGTGAGCCCCCCCACCCCCACTGGAAGTCCCTCTCTAGCTGTCCCCAGTTCCCTGAATCAAGACTGCTTCCCTGCCAGAGAGATGACCCCAATTCCTGCCTCCTCTCACTAGGCTCTCAGGGGCCGGGACTGGGGACAGAGCATACTTAGAGCTAGCCCTGGCCCTCGGGCTGCTTTTGGAAGGAGGAGCATGGCAGGCGAGCATCAGGTGACACGTGCCCCCACGGGGAGCGCAAGAAGGCACTGGAGGCTGTTGCGAAGGAGCAGTGGGTTTCGGGTCCTCATGACCGGCCCTGGTTCCGGGTGTGAGGCTGTGGAGACGCATGGGTCTGCCTTTCTCATCCGCAGCTTCCTGTTGCTACTTGGGAAGCTCCATGTTTGCTGTCCGGTTGTGTTTCGAGTCTGTTCTCTTGGGCGTCTGTGCCGTGGAAGTTCCTTGTGCTTGATAGGGCCAGCACGTGTGAACAATCTTCACTTCAGCTAGAAGCTTTGAAGTCTTTGGACTCAAGCTTTACCCAAACCGCTTATAAGGTTGGGGGGAACCGAGTGCCTGTCTCTCCCCGCTTTTTTTTTTGAGTGGAGTCTCGCTCTGTCACCCAGGCTGGAGCACAGTGGCGCGATCTTGGCTCACTGCAACCTCAGCCTCCTGAGTAGCTGGGACTACAGGCGCCCGCCGCCACGCCCGGCTAATTTTTTGTATTTTTAATAGAGACGGGGTTTCACCGTGTTAGCCAGGATGGTCCCGAACTCCTGATCTCATGATCTGCCCACCTCGGCCTCCCAAAGTGCTGAGATTACAGGCGTGAGAGTTGTAGTTCGTTGAGAGGGAGACAGACCTCGAGGAAATGCTTGGTGTGCCTGCCGGGTGACTGCTCGCTCTCCTTGTCTGCTCACTCTGCCCAGTGAATGGGTCTAGGCATCCTCATTGTTCCCTTCCTCTGTCCTCAACATCAGCCCAACCCTGACCAGGCCCCTTCCTGAGGTTCCCACACAACAGGGGCTCCATGTTCAGAAGGGGAGAGAGAAACCCACCTGGGGATGCTCTGTAAGGAGAGCAGAGCCCAGTGGAGTCTCTGCCCGGGACGCTGAGGGAGGAAGAGCTGCGGTTAATTCAAAAGGAAGGGTGAGGTGCAGGTATTGGCTGGATGATGCTCAGAGAAGCAGGAAGAGTGGGCATGGCACTGAGTGGCTGAGGCCATCACTGGTGGCCTTGGTGCTTAGGCAGAAGGAGAGGGCATGGTGCAGGGCGCTGAGGCCGTCTGTGGCTGCCTTGGTGGGGCTTACTGAGTTCTAGTGGACAGCAAGGTGCCAGGGCAGGGCTGGCACATGGAGGGCTCTGAAGGCCATGTGTATCGTCTGAAGTGAGGGAAACCCGTGGTAGCTAAAGGGAATGCACTAGCCAGCCCCAGGTGCGCCACATTCCTGCTCTAGGGGCTGGAGGGAAACCCGTGGTAGCTAAAGGGAATGCACTAGCCAGCCCCAGGTGTGCTACGTTCCGCTCTCGGGGCTGGAGGGGAACCCGTGGTAGCTAAAGGGAGTGCACTAGGCAGCCCCAGGTGTGCTACGTTCCCGCTCTCGGGGCTGGAGGGAAACCCGTGGTAGCTAAAGGGAATGCACTAGGCAGCCCCAGGTGTGCTACGTTCCCGCTCTCAGGGCTGGAGGGGAACCCGTGGTAGCTAAAGGGAGTGCACTAGCCAGCTCCAGGTGTGCTACGTTCCGCTCTCGGGGCTGGAGGGGAACCCGTGGTAGCTATAGGGAGTGCACTAGCCAGCCTCAGGTGTGCTACGTTCCCGCTCTCGGGGCTGGAGGGGAACCCGTGGTAGCTAAAGGGAGTGCACTAGCCAGCCTCAGGTGTGCTACGTTCCCGCTCTCGGGGCTGGAGGGGAATCCGTGGTAGCTATAGGGAGTGCACTAGCCAGCCTCAGATGTGCTACGTTCCCGCTCTCAGGGCTGGAGGGGAACCCGTGGTAGCTAAAGGGAGTGCACTAGCCAGCTCCAGGTGTGCTACATTCCCGCTCTCGGGGCTGGAGGGGAACCCGTGGTAGCTAAAGGGAGTGCACTAGCCAGCCCCAGGTGTGCTACATTCCCGCTCTAGGGGCTGGTCTGGCGGCATGGCTCTCTCCTGAGTGCCTTCAGAGCCTGAGTGCCAGCAGGCAGGCGTCTCCTGCCCAGTGGGTTTGGTAAGATATATTTCAGAAGGCATCCACCACTCTAAAACATGCTTATTGCAGGAACCATGGGGGAGACCAAAGGGCCTAGAGCCTTGAGAACCTCTGACCATTAGTGTTAACAGGAAGGCAGCCTGTTCCCCTAGCTGGGGAGGGGGTTGTGCGTGGCAGGAAGCCCGTGCGTCTGTGTCTCTTTGGAGCTGTGGGTTGGTTGTGTGGATGCCAGCTGTGTGGTCCCCAGCCTCACTGAGCCTGAGTTTCCATACTAGCGGCGGGAGATGGGACTAGAGGGTCTCCAAGGCTCCCTGAAGCTCTGCGATTCTGCTTCTCTGAGTCTTGACCGCAGGTCAGTGGGGACCCGGCCCCTCACCATCGCCTGCTACTGATCACCATTGGTTTGGTTTTGTCTCGAGGACTGTTCTGGAATTGAGGTGTAACGTGCTGTGTGTTCTTCCTTAGGGCTTTGTTCGCGGGGGTCACAGCTCTCATGGCTGCAGCTAGCGTGACCCCCCCTGGCTCCCTGGAGTTGCTACAGCCCGGCTTCTCCAAGACCCTCCTGGGGACCAAGCTGGAAGCCAAGTACCTGTGCTCCGCCTGCAGAAACGTCCTCCGCAGGCCCTTCCAGGCGCAGTGTGGCCACCGGTACTGCTCCTTCTGCCTGGCCAGCATCCTCAGGTGCATGGGGCCTGCAGGCTGGGAGGAGGGGCAGGCAGGCTAGGCTGGTTTTAGAGCCACGCTGCCCAGCCTGGTAGCTCCCAGCAGAGCCGGGTCCAGCTTAGATGTGCTCCAGTTATCGATACTCCCTGGATTTCGGAGGTTTACCACAAAGAATGTAAAATTAATAATTTTAAAATAGCAATTTGAAATACGATTTTGGATACATGGGGTTAAATATAGTACGTCATTACAGTTAATTTTATCTTTTTATTATTTTTAATGTGAGTACTGGAAAGTTTAAAGTGCCACCTACTGCTCACTTTTTGGCTGCTCTAGGCAGCTAAGACAGCCGCCTTCCTTGCAGCGAGTGGTCTGAGAGGTGTGGCCTGTGCACATCGGCAGCAGCTCGGCCTGTCGGGAGAGCCGGCAATACCTGAGTTACTGCAGCAGATGTCCTTGGCGGTTCAGGCGTGCCTTCCTCACAAACGGAGTGATAAAAACAGTGTGCTGTGAATACTGGGGTTTAAAACATGTCCTGTTAACATTTGCCTGCTGTTGGTTTCACTAAGGATGAGAAAGTTTAAACTGTGGTGTGGAGGTAGGTTTTTGAACTGAAGCAAATGGTGTTTGTTTTTTGCATTAGGTTTCACAGTGGGTTGTTTTTTGCCTTTTTTCCCCACTAGCTCTGGGCCTCAGAACTGTGCTGCCTGTGTTCACGAGGGCATATATGAAGAAGGCATTTCTATTTTAGAAAGCAGTTCGGTAAGTAAAATGTCTTGAAGCTAAAAATGTTGAACAGAAAATGTCTTAATTTCCTTTACAACATGGGTGGGGCTGGGCACAGTGGCTCACACCTGTAATCCCAGCACTTTGGGAGGCCCAGGTAGGGGGATTGCTTGAGTCCAGGAGTTTGAGACCAGCCTGGGCAACATAGTGAGACCCTGTCTCTACAAAAAGCAAAAAACTTACCAGGGGCCGGGCTCAGTGTCTCACACCTGTAATCCCAGCACTTTGCAGGGCCAAAGTGGGTGGATCACCTGAGGTAAGGAGTTCGAGACCAGCCTGGCGCACATGGTGAAACCCCATCTCTACCAGAAATACAAAAAATTAGCCGGGTGTGGTGGCGCACGCCTATAGTCCCAGCCACTTGGGAGGCTGAAGTGGGAGGATTGCTTGAGGCTGGGAGGCGGAGGTTGCAGTGAGCCAAGATCGCATGCCACTGCACTCCAACCTGGGTTACAAAGTGAGACCCCTCCTTTAAAAAAAAAAAAAGAATAAAGGGCCGCCAGAAGTTGTCCCTTAGCAGACTCCTGAAGTTTAGGGTTTGGAAACTTTGGCATCAAGGTGAGTCCAAAAATAAAAAGGAATCAGAGAGTCATCCTCTGCTCCTGGAGTGGCCTGGAAAGGCGATGTGACGCAGTATTGGTTGGTTTGGACGTGTGGTCTGTGTTCCTTGGTTGCTGCAGGGAGTCTGGGAGGAGGTTTAACCCGAGGGATATTCCTCTCCCCAGGCCTTCCCAGATAATGCTGCCCGCAGGGAGGTGGAGAGCCTGCCGGCCGTCTGTCCCAGTGATGGATGCACCTGGAAGGGGACCCTGAAAGAATACGAGGTAAAGATGCCTGCGTGTGGCATGGTGACAGAAGCTCCAGCAGTCGGGAGTCGTCCACGCTCCCCAAGCAGTTATGACCTTGTCCTGCACGTTCCTCTCACTGGGGCTGAAGCCTGTCTGATGTCTGTGGAGGAAGAGACGGAGCTGCTCCTTAGAGTATGTCCATTTAGAAACTCAAGTAGTGCAGAGCACAGACCTGCACCATGGAGCTTGGGCTGTGTGACCTCGGGCGAGGTATTTACCCTCTCTGTGCCTCAGGTTTCTTGTCTGTCGATGGGGGTGCAGGATCCCACCATCGTGGGGTGGCTGTGAGGGTTGGAGGTGCCTGTGTGAGCCCTGGGAATGCCATGGTTATCTGAGCAGTAGCATTTCCTGGGAATGAAGGGGAGATCGCTGTGCACCAGGACCTGCAGCTTTCAAGTTTGGTGGGGGTTTTTGTTGTGTCTCTTGTATCCACAAAGGATTGCTTATTTTGAATTGTGTTGACACTGGAAATTGCAGAAATAATGGACACACTTGTCCTGTGGTCACAGCAACATAGGCAGTGGCCCGCACTTCACTTGGCTGTGGTTTGTCCCTGTGTGCTGGGCGAGCCGTGCACGCCTTCCTGCACTGGGGATTTCAGTGTGATTCTCACGTCACCTTTTAGGCATTTGGAAACTTCACCTGTAGTGTAGAGGCCAGGAGGTGCCGAGAGAGCTCGTCGAGGCCACTACAGCTCGCCAAGTTATGCAGTCTTCCTTCTTGTAATGAATGCCCTTTAAGAGGTTTCTCTCTGGGATCCTTGTACAGGATTCCTGGAGTAACACTGTCCACAGAGCCCAAAGGTAGAGGCAGCCCAGTGTCTGCGGATGAATGGATAAACACGGGAAGTGTGATCTGTGCACACAGTGGGATATGATTCAGCCTTAAAAAGGAAGGCGATTCGGACACACACACCCCAGGGATGAACTCTGAGGACAGTGTGCTGAGTGACATGAGCCAGTTACCAAAGGACAGATCCTCTGTGATTCCACTTAGGGGCCACCCTTAGAGTCATCAGATCCATGGGTACAGGAAGTAGAATGGAGGAGACAGGGGTCATTGTTCAGTGAGTACCGAGTCATACATTGGAATGAGGCAGTACCTTGATGCCATCCAATCCAGCCCCAGGTTGGTGAGGCTGTGAGGGCTGTTTGCTCAGAATCCTGGCTTTCTGCACTTAGGGGAGCTTCCTGCCCGGGCCAGAGCTGGGATCTCCTGCTCAGCCGGACCCTGGGGTGTTACCGGCTGGGTTGGAATTGGACCTGCATTACTGTGTGTTTCTCCTCTCCTGCTCCCCGCCCTGTGAGCCTGGCCACGCCTCCCTCTTCTCCTCGCCCACTCCCCACCCTGTGAGCCTGGCCACACCTCCCACGATCTTTTGACAGACTCTGCTTTGTGGTCTTTGGGCTCCAAGTTTCGTTTTTTCAGAAGAACTGCCCCAGCTGTGTCTGGGGTGAACAAGATGTGCTTTCCTCCCTAGCACGGGGATTGCGTCCTGGACACGGAGCGGTAGCTCCAGGGCACTGCCCTAGAGTGAGACTCCTACCTCTGTGGGCAGAGATGCCAGACCGCCCTCAGCCACGACGTGCGATGCAAAGCTTTCTAGGCTCCTGTGTGGCTCTGCCGCACAAACGGCTGTGGCGCATGGCATTGTACCCCCCACTCCCTGCTCCTTGAAAGAGATGCAGCTTGGTCATTGCCCAGTGCTGTCTGCAAGGGAGATGGCTCCCTGGGGAGGTGGCCCAGGGTCAGGGTCTCCCTGGGAGGGTTGGGGTACCAGCTGGCTGCAGGGAGTAGGGGTGCTATGCGCCATGCCACCCTTTGAGAGGACTGAGGAGTGTCTGGGGGACAGGTGGGATAATAGTTTCCAGCTCTGCACTGGACCCTGAGTCCTCTGGGGTCTCTGCCACCTCCAGGCTCATGGGATGCCACATTGACAATTATGAGGGCCTCCGGCTGAGGGCCAAGGACTATAGCCAGCCCCTGGCCTGGGGCGCCACGCGGTCCTGCAGGCACGCAGGGTGGAAAGTCCCTGGCTGCACCTTTGAGAGCTCTGGAAAGTCCCTGAGAGGAGCCGGGTTTGGTCATGTGGGAGGGGCGGGCACTGCTCTGGAATAACTTGGCTGTGGCCTTTGATTTTGTTGATAAAACCTCTCACTGGCTGTAAATGTCACACATGGGGACGGAAATCAACCCGTCTATACAGTTGGGAGCCGCTCTGCCCCTCGGAGCCGCCTCTCTTTGCTCTCCGGGTGCTCGGAGTGTGCTGCTAGTTGGGGCCTTATTGTAAACACAGTACGGAGGCTAAGGCTGCCTTTCCTCCTTGATGGTCGGAACTTTATTGGAAAAGGGGAAAATCCTGCTTAGCTTTTGAATGTTTGTCCTTTGCAATGATGCCTTTCTAGGAACTGAATGATTTTATTTATTTATTTTTATTTTTTTGAGACGGTCTTGCTCTGTTGTCCAGGCTAGAGTGCAGTGGCGTGACCTCGGCTCACTGCAGCCTCCACCTCCCAGGTTCAAGTGATTCTTCTGCCTCAGCCTACAGGCGCCTGCCACCACATCCGGCTAATTTTTTATATTTCTAGTAGAGATGGGGTTTTACCACGTTGGCCAGGCTGGTCTTGAACTCCTTACCTCAAGTGATCCATCCACCTTGGCCTCCCAAAGTGCTGAGATTCCTGGCATAAGCCACTGCACCTGGCCAAATCGAATAATTTTAAAACTTTAGGTAAATGTTGATGGAGTGCTTGCTGAGTGCCAATAGCAGAACTGAATTCCCCAGTGGGCCCCTGAGCTACTCGTTCTGGCAGCTGGATGCGGGGGTGCGGGGAGACTTTCCAGAGAGGACATAGGCTGGCTGCACGAGCAGCGGAAAGGCCAGGAAAAGCCAAGTATGCTCGGCCTCATGGACATTCTAGTGACATTCAGAGGGATGACGACTGTATTTGCGTCAAATGTGTAGTTTGAATTCTGGCTGAATAAATATTGATTTTTTTTTTTTTAAACTGTGTCTGCTGTGGGTGGGGAGAAGACTGAGACAGATGGTGCTGGTGTAGATGTATCTGCTGCAGGACAACCCTGGTCCCACTGGAGATTTCAAGTACCGAGTGCCAAGAGAAAGGTTTTTTTTGTTTGTTTGTTTGTTGTTTTTTGCGATGGAGTCTCACTCTGTCACCCAGACTGGAGTGCAGTGGTGCGATCTCGGCTCACTGCAAGCTCCGCCTCCCGGGTTCACACCATTCTTCCTGCCTCAGCCTCCTGAGTAGCTGGGACTACAGGCGCCCCCACCACTCCCGGCTAATTTTTTTGTATTTTTAGTAGAGATGGGGTTTCACCATGTTAGCCAGGATGGTCTCGATCTCCTGACCTCGTGATCCGCCTGCCTCGGCCTCCCAAAGTGCTGGGATTACAGGCGTGAGCCACCGCGCCCAGCCAAGAAAGATTTTATTTTTGACATTTCGAGCATGCAGCGCATCTGAGCAGTGAGGCTGAGAGTAGAGGTGTGCCGCTGCCCCACAGGCCTACATGCTGCCCCGCAGCACCTGCCAGCCTTCGCCAGCCTACTTTCAGCCCTTCAACCCCCCACACACATTTTTTTCTTTTCTGGCTTATTTTAAAGCAAATGAAGATGTCATATCATTTCACCTATGAGCATTTTATTACTATTATTTTTAGAAATAGAGTCTCGCTCTGTTGCCTAGGCTAGCGTGTAGTGGTGGGATCATAGCTCACTGCAGCCTCAAACTCCTGGGCTCAAGTGATCCTCCCACCTTGGTCTCCTAAAGTGCTGGGATTACAGGTGGGAACCCACTGTGCCCGGCCATTTTACTATGTTTTAAAGAACAGTCTTTTTTATTTTTATTTTTTTATTTATTTGAGATGGAGTCTCACTCTGTCGCCCAGGCTGGAGTGCAGTGGCACGATCCCGGCTCACTGCAAGCTCCACCTCCCACGTTCACGCCATTCTTCTGCCTCAGCCTCCCGAGTAGCTAGGACTACAGGCGCTCACCACCACTCTCGGCTAATTTTTTTTGTATTTTTAGTAGAGACGGGGTTTCACTGTGTTAGCCAGGATGGTCTCAATCTCCTGAGCTCGTGATCCACCCGCCTCGGCCTCCCAAAGTGCTGGGATTACAAGGCGTTAGCCACCGCGCCTGGCCTAAAGAACAGTCTTTTAATTAAATCTAAGAACATTGACTATTTGTGCTTTCGTTTTTAGGTTTCATAAGCCAGAATAGTTGCTGAGGCTCCTCTTTGATTCAGCTTGATGGTGGCTTGTTACACACTAGTGTGGCCGAGGGCTGGGTCCTGTCCCGTCAGTGGGTAGCAGAGTGCAAGGCGCTGTTGGGTTCAGGGAGTTGGTTCCTTTAGCAGGCTTAGCTTGGGCCAGTGCCGCTGGAGGTCTTGGAGGGCTGGGCCCATGTTCCCTGGGGCGCCTCTAAGGAGTAGTTGCTGTGCCTGTGTGAAGGTTTGGGAGGAACACTCCCTGGGGAGGTTGAATGGAAGCCAGCCCAAGTGCCTGTGCTGTCCAGAGCAGGGTCTCCCCTCTTGGGGGAAGTAGCATTAACCTTTCCTGAGTCACTTGGGGCTCCTGAGCTGTAGCCAGCTCTCTATGGAGCTGCTGACCCCCACTCCCCACCCCATGAAGGGCCCCGCAGCCAGGTCCTCTGCTGCCCTGGCCTCTCAGGAACCTTCCTCTCAGCACATTGTCCTCCTCTCTCCGGGTTGTGCCCATCGGTACAGAATATGCTCTAGTCTCTCCTGTCTCAAAACTTAGTGTTGTGCTCAGTGAGCTAAGCTAGGCACAAGAAGATAAAGACTGCGTGAATTCACTGACAGAGTCCCCGGAGTGGTCAAATTGAGAGCCAATAGATGGTGCTGGGGGCTGGAGCAGGGGAATGGGGAGTTAGGGTTTAACAGGGACAGGGTTTCAGGTTTCTACAATGGGAAAGCGTGATGGAGGTAGATGGTGGTGATGGTTACATAACATCAGTGAAATGTACTTAATACCACAGAACTGTGCACTTGAAAATGGTTAAGATGATACATTTTATGTTTATCATGATTGAAGAAACAGCAGATTTTCAACTTCCTGTTCCTTTGACTTCCATTCCCTTTCTCTGTTCCCAGTCATAGCAGACTTCTCCCAAAAGACGTGTTTAACTCTGGCCAGGCACAGGGGCTCATGCCTGTAATCCCAGTACTTTGGGAGGCTTAGGTGGGCAGATTGCTTGAGCTCAGGAGTTCAAGACCAGCCTGGGTAAGATGGCTCTACCGCCGGGCGCGGTGGCTCACACCTGTAATCCCAGCACTTTGGGAGGCCAAGGCAGGTGAATCACGAGGTCAGGAGATTGAGACCATCCTGGCTAACACGGTGAAACCCTGTCTGTACTAAAAATACAAAAAAATTAGCCGGGTGTGGTGGCGGGCGCCCGTAGTCCCAGCTACTCAGGAGGCTGAGGCAGAAGAATGGCGTGAACCCAGGAGGTGGAGGTTGCTGGTTGCAGTGAGCCGAGATCGCGCCACTGCACGACAGAGCAAGATTCCATCTCAAAACAAAAACAAAAAACCAAGATGGCTCTGCCAAAAATACAAAGAAATTTAGCTGGGTGTGGTGGTGCGTGCCTGTATTCCTATAGTCCCAGCTATGTGGGTGCTGATGTCGAGGCTGCAGTGACCTGTATTCTTACCCCTGCACTCCAGCCTAGGTAACTGTATCAGTCCATTTTCATACTACTATAAAGAAATACCCGAGACTTGGGTAGTTTATAAAGAAAAAGAGGTTGAATGGACTCATAGTTCCATGTGCCTGGGGAGGCCTCACAATCATGGAGGAAGGCAAAGGAGGAGAAAGGCACGTCTCACATGGCAGCAGGCAAGAGAGCATGTGCAGGGGAACTGCCCTTTATCAAACCATCAGATCCCATGAGACTTACTATCACGAGAGCAGCACGGGAAAAACCCACCCCATGATTCAATGACCTCCCACCAGGCCCCTCCCACAACACATGGGGATTATGGGAGTTGCAATTCAAGATGAGATTTGGGTGGGGACACAGCCAAACCATATCAGTGACAAAGTGAGACCCTGTCTCAAAAAACAAAACAAAACAAAAAGCCCTGTTTAGTTTTATTTCTGTACCTCACCAGCCCCTTATGGAGGCAGGTGGGACCTCCTGTGGCTTGGGCCAGAGGCCTGAGAGTCCTTCTTGACTTCTCTGTGTTCCTGTAAGCGGCACGTTCAGTCTGCCGGCAGGTCCACGTGGCTCCCCAGACACATCCTGAATCCGGCCCTCTCTCCCGTTACACTAGCACCTTTGTAGTGCCTGCCACCCCGTTCTTCCTCCTGTGACTGCTGCGGCTTCCCAACCTTAGAGTCTGTGAGAGGTGCAGCTGCCAGGCAGTCCTGGAAGGGTTCAGCCACATCCCGTCACCTTGCTGTCCTGACCCCTCACATTCGGGCAGAGCCCTCAAGACGGTCGGGGAAGCCCTGCCTGGGGCAGCAGTGGGCTGGAGAGGTGGCTGGGTTCTGCATCCTACATTCTTGATTCTTCCTGGCCTGGGTGTGGCGAGGAGCTGGCACCGCCTCCCTTCCCTCTGTGTCCTTTTCCCTTGCCACCCTGGCCATCTGTGGACGTCCACAGTCCTCTGCCTCGCCTGACGCTTAGCCTGCGGCACCGGCTCCCGCTTCCCTAGTCTGCAGTCTGCATCTTGTGGCACCTTCCCCGGCCCTGCCTCCACTGCCTGCCTTCCCTGGTGTTCTGGCACTGGTGGTCACTACCAGGTTGTCAGCTCCAGGAGGGCAGGGCCTCTGCCCAGCTCCTGGGTGGCTCAGTGTGTGGGAACGTGTAGGTGCCTGAGTGACCTTCCTGTGTGTCACTGGCCCTCGCCTGTCTTCCTCGCAGCTTCGGCCCTTTCAGATGCGTGTGCTGTGCAGCTAGACCCAGCTCCTGGCACCTTGGCCTGGTGGGCTTGTGCCTCAGGCCTTTGCTGGCTTCCTGGTGCTGGAGGCAGAGGCCAGCTGCCCGCATGCTATCTCCCGTGCGTGTTCCCTACCTCTTCACACCTCCCACCTGCAATGAGGATGGGGCTGGGACTGGCAAGACTCAGCCTGGACCGCGTTGGGCTTGGTCATCAGATCGAGCGTGGCCTGCTTTCTCGGTTAGGAGCTGGTGTGTGTGGCAGGGACCCGCTGGCGCAGAGCAGGGACTGTGCACTTGGCTGTTTCAGGGGGCAGATCGGGGAGCCTGGTGGTGGCAAGGCATCCACACAGAGACCCCCATGGCAGAGCATCCCCTCAGCTCAGTGTGCGGTGAAGAGAGTGGAGACGAGGACACACTGATCTGATCTCCTCCTGCCCTCCCACCTGTGGGAGCCCTGAGAGCTATCTGCAGAGGGCGGCCCCCAGGACCAGCATGCGGACACCAAGCCAGCGCTACATCGCCTTGTGTCCCCGGGTGAAGCTGTGGCTGCCCAAATGTCCCACGCGAGTTCTACTGACGCTTCCTCCTTTCGTTGCTAGAGCTGCCACGAAGGCCGCTGCCCGCTCATGCTGACCGAATGTCCCGCGTGCAAAGGCCTGGTCCGCCTTGGTGAAAAGGAGCGCCACCTGGAGCACGAGTGCCCGGAGAGAAGCCTGAGCTGCCGGCATTGCCGGGCACCCTGCTGCGGAGCAGACGTGAAGGTGCGTGGGGTGGAGCAGCAGCCTGTGTGGCTGCAGCCATGCGGGGCTGAGCTGGGGAGCTGCGTGCTGGCCACTGCGGCTGCGTCGGCCCCTTTGCACTCGTTCCACCCCCTCGGCCCTTTCCCTGGAGACACGCGGGCGGATGTTTCTTGGCAGAACTGGGAATGGGTGTGAAGTTAATGCCGAGGCCTTTCAAAAGCATTTTTGTAAGCCGGGCACGGCGGCTCACGCCTGTAATCCCAGCGCTTTGGGAGGCTGAGGCGGGCGGATCACGAGGTCCGGAGTTGAAGACCAGCCTGGCCAACATGGTGAAACCCCGTCTCTACTAAAAATGCAAAAAGTTAGCCAGGAGTGGCCAGGTGCGGCGGTTCATGCCTGTAATCCCAGCACTTTGGGAGGCCGAGGCGGGCAGATCACGAGGTCAGGAGCTCGAGACCATCCTGGCTAACATGGTGAAACCCTGTCTCTACTAAAAATACAAAAACAAAATTAGCTGGGCATGGTGGCGGGCGCCTGCAGTCCCAGCTACTCAGGAGGCTAAGGCGGGAGAATGGCGTGAACCCAGGAGGCGGAGCTTGCAGTGAGCCGAGATTGCGCCACTGCACTCCAGCCCAGGCGACAGAGCGAGATTCCGTCTCGGAAAAAAAAAAAAAAAAAAAAGCCAGGCACGGTGGCGAGTGCCTGTAATTCCAGCTACTCGGGAGGCTGAGGCAGGAGAATTGCTTGAACCCAGGAGGCAGAGGTTGCAGCGAGCCAAGACTGCACCACTGCACACTAGCCTGGGCAACAGAGGAAGACTCTGTCTCAAAAAAAAAAAAAAGAAAAAAAATTTTTAAAAAAAGTTTGTTTTTAGGACAAAAAAGCATTTTTGTCTTAGAAAAGTCTAAATGCATCAGGTAGAGAGTGCGGTGGTGGGTGTGCGTCCGTCCTCGCCAGGCCTGGGCTTTGCTCTCAAGACAGTTGCTCAAGTCTGACTTCGCCTTCCCCAAAGCGTTGGTGAGAATAGCGCCATGTCTGAGATGCAGCTGTGACTGCTCACATGGCCTGCAGCCTGTGTCTGCGTCCCTGTTGTCTGTCTTTGCCTTGGTGTATCTGAATCACGATCCATACAGGGTTCCTGCCTTTGGTGGAAATGTCTCTGGGTCTCTCTCTGCCTCTGGGGCCCATGGCATCTTTTTTCCTGGGCTCTTGTCCTTCAGGAGCCCCACTTCCCTGAGACCCATCTGCACTTCCCTGTAAACTGTCAGATGGACGGGCCTGACCATAGCACATCTGGGGTGCCAAGCCCTCCGCAGCAGCATGTCAGGGTCTGTCTTGGAGACGTCCCGCATGCCGCCAGCCCTGCCCATCCGCCAGGCCCTCCCACCGGCCTCGCCTCCCAGCGGGAGCAGCGTTTCCCCATCTTCACCGGGGCCGTTGTTTCACGTGGCTTCCAAATCTCCTCTGGTGGCTTGGGTCTCCCTCGCATTGCCCTGAGCTGGCAGAACAAACAAAGCGTTAAGATCTCCGAGGCTCCTGGGTGGTGCTGGCAGGATCCTGCCCGGGAGGAGCACTGTCCTTCGAGGCTGGAGGGTGACCACGTGCTCCTGCGGCCCCTCGGCGCTGCCCAGCCTGAGCACTGTGTGCCGCCCTCCACCCGCGCCTGGCATTGGCGTCCACCCTCACACTCCTGATCCCTTCTTTTGAAGGCGCACCACGAGGTCTGCCCCAAGTTCCCCTTAACTTGTGACGGCTGCGGCAAGAAGAAGATCCCCCGGGAGAAGGTGAGTGTCCTTCACCTCCTTGGAGGACCGCAGGGCGGGGCCCATGTGTTGGACGTGAGGGTCCCGTGGGTGGGGGTGGGGCAGGTTATGACCCTTGTGCCCAAAGGAACAGCAGTGCAAAGCCCCTGTAACGTTGGGTCATGGATGCGTTCAGGGTGGCGGCCGCTCTCCTGAGTGGGCCGGGGGCCAGGTGGCTGAGTCCCGAGCCCTCTTCCTCATCCTCCAGTGTACATAGCTGCTTACTTTTCAGCAGGTCACTTCCTAGTTATCCTGAAAATGAAACATTAAAGTTCTCATCGCCCTCCATGTGCTGCTTATGAGAAATGTTGTTACTGACTTTGAAGCTGAATGTTTGCAGCAAGCGGTTGGGGTGGAGACTGGGCGCCCTAGTCTGGTCTGCTGCCACAGCCGTGAAATGTGGGTGGCTCGCCTGGCAGAACTTTGTCCCTGGTGTCCTTACTTCTTTCAGGAAAATGGTTTCTCTCCCAGTTGAGAGTTAACTGCTGCAGATGACACCTTTAGGAAAGGAAGCTGGGAAATAATACGCATGGAAACATTTTCCCAAACTGCCTCCCTTGTTGGAGGTGTGAGGGTAGCTCATCCAGAGAGGCTGAAGCTCTGGAAGGGGCACCTGCTCTGTGTGTCAGAGGTCCAATGTGGAGGCCTCACAGGTGGCAGCCCCCATCTGGGCAGCTACAGGAGGGGTCAGGCTGGCCAGGCCTGCCCGCGGGCTCAGCCTGACAGGTGTGTGCCTGTCTTTCTGATTTGCTTCTGTTTAAATATAGGTCACAGCCCAAGTCCTGAAATGGGTAGGGCTGGGGGACGGGACAGGGCTGTCTCCTCACCTCTTTCCACTTGTCTGTTAAATGTCCCGCACTGTGAGCTTGGCCGAGTGCTGTCTGAAAGCATCCTTTCCCTTCACCTGGAGACTGGAGCGCCATAGAGGCTATGGCTGCTGCCATGCCCCCTTCAGAGGCCAGGACGCCTGCCTGGGGCCCGTGTCTGTGAGGCTGTGTCCCCTGCTGGTGGGGCCTGGAGGTGCCCCCGAGAGGTGCCCTCTGCGTGTGCCCCAGTCTGTGTCAGCCCTTGTCTGTCCTGAGGGGGTTGTACAGAGGAGTTAGGAGGTGATTCTTTCCTTGAGACTGTTTCCAGAGTGAAAGACGAAGACGGGCGCCCACGCAGCGCGGTGGTGTCTGGTGGGTTTTGTCCCCACCCATCACTGTGAACACGGGGCTTTCTCTGTGCATGGTGCATTTTCATCCTTCCCGTCTTTTTTTTTTTTTTTTTTTTGGAGACAGAGTTTCGCTCTTGTTGCCCAGGAGTGCAATGGTGTGATCTCGGCTCACTGCAACCTCTGCCTCCTGGGTTCAGGTGATTCTCCTGCCTCAGCTTCCCGAGTAGCTGGGATTGCAGGTATGCACCACCACACCCAGCTAATTTTGTATTTTCAGTAGAGATGGGGTTTCTCCATGTTGGTCAGTCTGGTTCTTGAACTCCCAACTTTAGGTGATCCACCTGCCTCAGCCTCCCAAAGTGCTGGGATTACAGGCGTGAGCCACTGCCCCAGCCCATTGCATCTTTATTTTGATGTTCACAGGGCCTCATCTTCAGACTGAGGGGCCTTTCAGGCTCTCTGAGAATGAATCTCTTGGGCCCCGCCTGCTTCCTCAGGGCAGTCCTGTCTAGGCATGGAACTCTGGCCCTTCAATGCAGGCCGACATATAGGGGCTGCATGTATGTGCAGGGTGTCCTGGGGCTGTCTGTGCCCCCTGGCCCGTTCCAGAGGAGAATGCTGAGAGTGCTCTCAGGTGTTTCTAATGTGTGTGGCGTGCTTGGGATTTTCTCTTATCTCTTTTTTTTTTTTTTTTTTTTTGAGATGGAGTCTCGCTCTGTCACCCAGGCTGGAGGGCAGTGGCGAGATCTCGGTTCACTGCAAGCTCCGCCTCCTGGGTTCACGCCATTCTCCTGCCTCAGCCTCCCGAGTAGCTGGGACTACAGGCGCCTGCCACCATGCCCGGCTAATTTTGTTTTTGTATTTTTAGTACAGATGGGGTTTCACCGTGTTGACCAGGATGGTGTCGATCTCCTGACCTCGTGATCTGCCCACCTCGGCTCCCAAAGTGCTGGGATTACAGGCGTGAGCCACTGCGTCTGGCCCTTTTTTTTTTTTTTTTTTTTTTTTTTTGGAGACAGAGTCTCACTCTGTCGTCAGGCTGGAAGTGCAGTGGCGCAATCTCGGCTCATTGCAACTTCTGCCTCCTGGGTTCAAGCAGTTCTCTGCCTCAGCCTCCTGAGTATCTGGGATTACTGGCACCTGCCACTCCACCTAGCTAATTTTTGTATTTTTAGTAGAGACAGGGTTTCACCATCTTGGCCAGGCTGGTCTTGAACTCCTGACCTGGTGGTCCACCCATCTCGGCCTCCCAAAGTACTGGGATTACAGGCGTGAGCCACTGTGCCTGGCCTCTCTTATCTTTTTTTAGTGTTGCAAATCTTGGTTCCTAACACTGGTAACGTATTTGTTTTATGTTATATATAGAGTAGGTTTAAAATTAAAAATACCTACTGAGCATGGTGGCTCACTCCTGTAATACCAGCATTTTAGGAGGCTGAGGCGGGAGGATCACTTGAGGCCAGTTCGAGACCAGCCTGGCCAACGTGGTGAAACTCCGTCTCTACTGAAAATACAAAAATTAGCTGGGCATGGTGGTGCACACCTGTAGTCCCAGCTCCTTGAGAGGCTGAGGTGCGAAAATTGCTTGAACCCAGGAGGTGGAGGTTGCAGTGAGCTGAGATCGCACCACTGCACTCCAGCCTGGGTGACAGAGTGAGAGCCTGTCTAAAAAAACAAGTCAAGGCCAGTTGTGGTGGCTCACATCTGCAATCCCAGCACTTTGGGAAGCCAAGGCAGGTGGATCACCTGAGGTCAGGAGATCAAAACCAGCCTGTCCAACATGGCAAAACCCCTTCTCTACTAAAAATACAAAAATTAGCCAGGTGTGGTGGCACAGGCACTCCTGTAATCCCAGCTACTTGGGAAGCTGAGACAGGAGAATCGCCTGAACCCGGGAGGCACAGGTTGCAGTCGCAGTGAGCCAAGATCGCGCCAGTGCGCTCCAGCCTGGGCCACAGAGTGAAACTCCATCTCAAAAAAAAACAATAAACAAAAACCAGCAACATGGCTTCTGATGATGAGGCCACTGATGATGAGGCCACCTGTTTCTTCGAAGCTCTTTTTGTTCTTGGAAGTACATCTTATGAAGATGTGGGGTCCACATACCATGTTCTTATTATAAAGGAATTTTTTTTTTTTTTTTTTTTTTGAGATGGAGTCTCTCTGCCGCCCAGGCTGGAGTGCAGTGGCGCAATCTCGGTTCACTGCAACCTCTGCCTCCTGGATTCAAGTGATTCTCCTGCCTCAGCGTCCCTAGTAGCTGGGATTACAGGTGCCCACCACCATGCCCGGCTAATTTTTTGTATTTTTAGTAGAGACGGGGTTTCACTATGTTGGCCAGGCTGGTCTCAAACTCCTGACCTCGTGATCCACCTGCCTCGGCCTCCCAAAGTGCTGGGATTACAAGTGTGAGCCACCGTGCCCGGCTACATACTATGTTCTGAGGTGAACTGGAATACATTTTTTCTTTGAGTTTATGTCAGCTGTGGTATATAGTTCATTTGCTTCAGGTTCTTTTAAAATGTGAGGGTTTTTTTTAAAGATTTGCTTTTGTTCTTTGACGATGTAAACTATTGGCCTGCTGTCTTATCAGTCAGAGCTGTGCAGAGGCACAGGCCCCATCTCATCCTCCCAGCCCCTCCTCTCCATCTTTGCTGGTTTTGCTGGAGCCTTTCTCGGTGACCATGCTCCCAGGGCTTGGTCGGGTTCCTCACCACTGCCTGGGACATGTGCAGGGCTGAGCCGAGCATGGGGCGGCGTATGTTGGGACCTGGTCCTTTGGAGGCTGACCTGTGGGGCTCGCTGGATAGGAGAAGTGGGCCTGGGCCTCATGGCCAAACAGCCCAGAAGCCTTGGCAGTGACGGACACCTCGTGTTTGATAAGGTGTTTGCCCCTTCATGGTGATGCTGGCAGGAACCACAGACGGGCAGTGTTTAGTGTTTCCTGGGGGCCTGGGGGTTGCCCTCCTGCCCTCACAGGAACCCTAGGGCACCCTTTATCAGATGAGGAAATTGAGGTTTACAGAGGCCAGGCGCCCAGCTGGCTTCCAGTTCCATGGACGGCCCTGCCGTGGGCAGCCTGGGGGACTTGTCTCCTCGCTTCCAGCAGTGCCTTCTCCCACACCTACCCTACCTGGGCGATCGCACCCCCCATTCCCAGCATGCTGCGCACATGCCAGGTTCCTGGCCTCTTCTCCTTCAGCTTCCTGTGGTGGAAATTTCTGAGCCTGGACAGATGAGAGAGAGCACATTAGAACTTGGGGCCCTGCTGTGGCTCAAGATGGGGGGTGCCCAGTGACAGTTCTGTTTCATTCCTGCCTCCACTTCTTCCCGCAGCCCAGTGTTTCATCCGAAAATACTTCAGTGACAGCAGAGGGATCCTTGCTTTATTTTAAGAGAAAATACATTGTGGGTTCACACGGATGTTTGCATTTCAGATTCTTACCCAACTTCCATGTTGCTGTCTCCTTTCTACAGAAAGTCGTGGTTCCTGTTGACATTGCTATACATAAGAACGGTGTCAGTAGCACTGAGTCTGATCCATGGCAAATTATGTGATGACGAAGTTCTCTTTCTAGTTCTCTTTGCTTTTAGAGTCTGTATTGAGTTGCTGTGTCATAAGTCATTCGAAGCAGCGTCTCTGGGCAGGCGGCTGTCTCAGTATTCCACGGAGGCCCATTTGTTTCATTTTGCTTTTGAGTTTTAAAGATTGCCCTTTAAAAAAAAAAAGGCCGGGTGCGGTGGCTCATGCCTGTTATCCCAGCACTTTGAAAGGCGGAGGCGAGCGGATCACCTGAGCTCAGGAGTTTGAGACCTGCCTGACCAAAATGCAGAAACCCCGTCTCTACTAAAAATACAAAATTAGCCGGGTGTGGTAGCGCATGCCTGTAATCCCAGCTACTCGGGAGGCTGAGGCAGGAGAATCACTTGAACCTGGGAGGCAGAGGTTGCGGTGAGCTGAAATCATGCCATTGTACTCCAGCCTGGGCAACAAGAGAGAAACTCCGTCTCAAAAAAAAGTTTTGTAATTTTGTAAAATGGTTACATGGCACCAAAGCGAAAACTACAAAAAAGGTGCATTCTGAGACGTCAGAGGGAAATGTGTCAGGCTCCCCGTCCGCAGCGCCGTGCGGTCGTTCAGAAATTTGCATTCCCATAAGCATTGTGGGAGCACCGTCTCCCGAGACTTGCCAGCACAGTGTGGTGTGAAGGTTGGACGTGCCACTGTGATGTGTGAGAAACACATCAGTCCTCTGTATCGGGGGTCCACGCCGTGGATCCAGCCAACCGTAGGTTGGAAATGTTCAGGTAAAAATGCACTGAACACGCGCGGACATTTTTTATTGACACAGCGTTCACGTTGTATTGGTCATGAGTCACCGAGAGCTGATTTCAGGTATGAGGGAGGGTGTGCTTAGGCTCTGTGCAAACACTCTGCCATCTTCCATCAGGGACTCGAGCATCCTTGGGTTTCAGGGACCCTGAGACCAACCTCCTATGGGTGGCAAGGGACAGCAGAGCCTCGAGGCGGTTCTGACGGGCGTTTCCCAAGCTGTGGTGTGACCGAGCCCATCTGTGCTTCTCTTGCTGTTCATGACTCCTGCCCACTGAATAGTGTTTTTGGTTTTTGTTTGTTTTGGGGGAAATTGTTCAAGGTTCTTATGTGACTGTTTCTGGAAACTGATTCACAGTTACGGCCGTTTCCCTCCTTCCGGGTATGAAATCTTGTGCTGCGTCTGGCATGTGTGGGTTTGGTTTTCTCACACTCAGAGCCGCGACACACCTGCCATGTCACCTGGGAAATGGAGGAGGAACTTGGGGTTCATGTTTTTCCTCGGGCTGTTCCTGCATCCATAGACCCATGTCAGATACCACAGTGTTAGTCTCTGTTTCTTCCCTGGTTCGATGTTCCTGTTGTATGTGAGTGTCTGTGTGCACTTGGCCCCTTTCTGGATTTTACGTTTTGCTTCATGTCGTGTCTGTGTCATCCTGTACCACCACGCACCGGGTGAGCAGTGGGCGTTTGATTCTGGGTTTTGAACCCAGGCCCTGAGGCCTCAGCACCGCATGTCCTGTGGACTGTGATAGAGGGACAGGCGTGCCATGTGACACACAAGCTGGGGTCTCCACAGGTGTCCCGAAATGCTTGCCCATCTCAGTTACTGGCACAGTGTGCATGTTTGCACGTGTGTGTGCACAGGTGTGTGAGCGTGTCGCTTTGGAAATGGGCTGTTGGGTTTCATTCAGTGTGAGAGTGAAGAGGCCAACGGGGCAGGTCATGTAACCTCTGTGTCAGTCAGTGTGGTCCATGTGGAAGTGCTGAAATGCATCAGAACAGAGAAAGATGGCTCTGTGACGTCACTCCCTTGTAGTTTCAGGACCACGTCAAGACTTGTGGCAAGTGTCGAGTCCCTTGCAGATTCCACGCCATCGGCTGCCTCGAGACGGTGAGTCGGGGGGTCTGAGGTTGGGGGCCACCCCTCATCCTGGGTGTGGTCTTCACTGCCTCCAGCCCAGTGCTTCCTGGTTTCCTTCCAGCTGCTCCTCAGCCACCTCTGCAGCACTGCCTCCTCCTGCCCCGGCTGTCCGAGTGTTCCCAGCTTGGTCTCTGGGCTGGCAGCCCTGTCCACTCCCTCCTGGTGGCATTGTAGTGCCTGGCTTTGACTGCCACCTGTCTCTGAGGATGCCCAGTGTGTGTGCCCACCTGTCGCCTTGAGCCTCCCTGGGTGTTGAGTGCACGTCTCAGATGTACCCGGCCGGCTCGCCACGACCACTCCTTGGCCGCTGTCTCCCTGCCCCCATCTCACACAGAAAAGGGCAGCACTCTAACCCAGCGGCTGTCGCTGAGCCCTCCGCCACCAGCAGGCACTCGGGCCCCTCCTCTCGCCTCATGCTTCACGTTCGGGCTGACAGAGGTCTCGTCTACCCTCAAATGGTCCCCCCAGCCGTCACTGCCCTGTCCACATCATCCTCATCTCTCACTGGGACCCAGGCTCAGGCGCTTATGGGACCCCCGTTCTTTTCCGTTCTGGCCTGTTCACAGATGGAAATCGATCACAGCTCTTCCTCATGGCTTCTCATTCAGAGTGGCCTGCTCCTGTGATCTTTCCCTCCCCTCAGCTATCTCCTCTGCCCTGCTCGCTGGCCTGAGCTTCCTTGGGCATGCCCACTTGTGCCCACCCCAGGCACTTGGGCACTGGCACAATGGCCAGGCGCCTGGGTCTCTCCAGGTGGACCCCCCTGCTCCACCCCTGCAGACTCTGCCCCTCTGTCGCCAGCACCTCGTGTCTTTGTCTCTTGTCCGTCTTGCCCTGTACAACAGGAGCCCCTTGAGGTCAGGACCCTCGAGGAGTACTGGGCCCAGAGGTGGTCCCCAGCTGAGGTGTGTGCCTGATGGATGGAGAGGGGCAGGCCGTGGGTGCAGACCCTCCCCTGGCCAGCTCACTGGGCGGGCACCTTCCTTGCTTGAAGACAGGGATGTCTTGACGGCATTTGTGGTAGAGTCAGTTGCTGACTTGATTCTATGTGGCCTTAGGTATTGTGTTTTTTTCCTAATGGTGAAAAGGAGCGTGGCTGCTTCCATTTTCTTTGTCTGCGTTGGATAGTCTTCTGCTGTCCGTGTTCTTGTCTGTTTCCTGCTCTGACGTGGCATCTGCCATCTCTAGGAAGCCCAGGCTTCCCGTGCGGGAGGTTGCGTAGTGACCACCCGGGCCTCAGTGGTGCTTGCTGCCGCCACCGTGCTCCTTGTTTCTGGGCCTCTTGGTGTTGAGAAATGAGAGAGAACACAGCGTGAGTCTGTGGCGATGCTCGCTTCCCGTTTGCACAAAGGATCTCCCCGTGCTGGCACACCCACCCCAGGCTCAGCCAGGGCCTGCTTTTTCCACGCCGCGCACAGCATGGTCCCAACAGCAGCACTCTCTGAGAAAATGCAGGGCGAGCTCTCGTCCAGCTGTTTGTGTCTTGAGTGCCCTTCTGCTCTCTGGGTGGTCATGCCTCTAGCTGGGTACACATGTAGGTCCATTTGTTTCTTTTACTGTAATTTTTTTAGAGTGTTTTGTTTATATATATATATATATATATATATATATATTTATTTAATTAATTAATTTATTTATTTTTGAGGTTGAGTCTTGCTTTGTCGCCCAGGCTGGAGTGCAGTGGCATGATCTCAGCTCACTGCAACCTCTGCCTCCCGGGTTCAAACAATTCTTGTGCCTCAGCCTCCCAAGTAGGTGATAAAAGGCCCAAGTAGCTGTGATCACAGCTGTGTGCCACCACACCCGGCTAATTTTTGTATTTTTAGTAGAGATGAGGTTTCACCATGTTGCCCAGGCTGGTCTCGAACTTCTGACCTCAAGTGATCCTCCTGCCTCAGCCTCCTAAAGTGCTGGGATTACAGGCATGACCGCGCCTGGCCTCATTTTCAAATTTTGTTGTGGAAATTTGAAAATAATTTAATTGCAAAGTCAAGTCTATAAAATGAGGTATGTTTAAGGAGGCCTAGCTTCCAGCCCTGTGTTTTCACCTTCCCCTGTGGGTGGCTTTTTATTTCTTATTTTATTTTGTTTTATTTCATTTTATTTTTGAGACAGAGTCTTGCTCTGTCACCCAGGCTGGAGTGCAGTGGCGCCATCTCGGCTCACTGCAGCCTCCACCTCCTGGGTTCAAGTACTCTCCTGCCTCAGCCTTCCGGGAAGCTGGGATTACAAGCACACACCACCAGGCCCAGCTAATTTTTGTATTTTTAGTAGAGATAGGGTTTTGCCATGTTGACCAGGCTAGTCTCAAACTCCTGACCTCAGGTGATCCGCCCACTTCAGCCTCCCAAAGTACTGGGATTACAGGTGTGAGCCACTGCACCTGGCCTATTTTAATATTTATTTATTTATTTATTTATTTATTTATTTTCGAAACAGAGTCTCGCTCTGTTGGCCAGGCTGGAAGTGCAGTGGCACCATCTCAGCTCACTACAGCCTCCCTCTCCTGGGTTCAAACTATTCTCATGCCTCAGTCTCCCGAGTAGCTGGAATTACAGACATGTGCCACCATGCCCAGCTAATTTTTGTAGCTTTACTAGAGACAGGGTTTCACCATGTTGCCCAGGCTTCTCTGGAACTTGTGGGTGGCTTTTTTTTTTTTTTTTTTTTGAGACAGAGTTTCGCTCTTGTTGCCCAGACTAGAGTACAGTGGCGCGATCTCGGCTCACCACAACCTCCACCTCCCGGGTTCAAACAGTTCTGCCTCAGCCTCCCAAGTAGCTGGGATTACAGGCGTGCACCACCACGCCCTGCTAATTTTGTATTTTTAGTAGAGACAGGGTTTCTCCATGTTGGTCAGGCTAGTCTCGAACTCCCGACCTCAGGTGATCCTCCCACCTTGGCCTCCCAAAGTGCTGGGATTACAGGCGGGAGCCACCATGCCCAGTCATGAGTAGCTTTTTTAAAATGGTGTGTTGCTTTTATTTTTCTTTTCTCTTCCTTTCTGTCCCTCCCCCTCCTTCTTTCCCTCCCCTTCTTCCCTTCATCCCTTCATCTCGTCCTGTCCCGTCCCTTTTTTCTTTTCTTCCAAACAGGGTTTTGCTGTGTCAGCCAGGCAGGGATGCAGTGGTATGATCTCGGCTCACTGCAGCGTCAACCTCCTGGGCTCAAGTGATCCTCCCACCTCAGCCTCCTGAGTAGCTGGAACCACTGGCACACACCACCATGCCCAGCTAATTTTTAAAAATTTTTTGTAGACGTGGGGTTTTGCCATGTTGCCCCAGCTAGTCTCCAACTCCTGGGCCCAAATGATCCTCCCGCTTTGGCCTTCTGAAGTGCTGGAATCACAGTTGCTAGCTACTGTGCCTGGCTGCAACTAAGTTCTATAGCTTCACGTTCTTTAAACACACCTGACTTTCAGTCTGTCATACACAAGAAGGATCAGCCATGACCAGGCCACCCAGGCATCCCTATCTATGACCCTGGCCTGTCTCCTCAGCTCAGCTGAGGCCCACGTCTTGGTGGCCGTCCCCGGGTGGGAGCCGAATGGTGGATGGAGCCAGCAGCCTCCCTGCCCTGTGTCCGCAGGTAGAGGGTGAGAAACAGCAGGAGCACGAGGTGCAGTGGCTGCGGGAGCACCTGGCCATGCTACTGAGCTCGGTGCTGGAGGCAAAGCCCCTCTTGGGAGACCAGAGCCACGCGGGGTCAGAGCTCCTGCAGAGGTGCGAGAGCCTGGAGAAGAAGACGGCCACTTTTGAGAACATTGTCTGCGTCCTGAACCGGGAGGTGGAGAGGGTGGCCATGACTGCCGAGGCCTGCAGCCGGCAGCACCGGCTGGACCAAGACAAGATTGAAGCCCTGAGTAGCAAGGTTTGTGCCTGCCGGGTGGCCAGCCATGAGGAGGACAGTGTAAAGGGGGATAGTGTTCGTGCCCCAGCAGGTTCTAGCAGGTCCTGGAGCTTTAGAGCCCGGACAATGTAGAACTCCATCTGCAAACCCCAGTCCAGTGTGGTTTAGGGGAGGCTCTGGCCCCCTTCATTTCTGAGTCCTGTCATCTAAGGGGCCCAAACCCTGGAAGGTCCTAGAGGCCAGGCCGTGGGCAGGAGCCTCTTCTCTCTGATGGGAGGGCAGAGTCAGCCATGGATGGGGATGTGCATGGCCTGGTGTGGCTTCTGAGCACGCTTGCTGGCCCGGAGCTTCTGTGTGGACTTGGAGCCACCACCTCTTGGCGAGGGTGGGGTTGGGTTCTTGTGTGCAGGGAGTGGACATGAGAAACATGGAGCCCAGGGGTGCCCAAGAGCACTGTCCTGCTGGAGATCGGTGGGTGTGGGAGGCAGGGGCTCGTGCCCGCACCCCTCCTGTAAGAGGGAAGGTGGTCTTGGCACCCGGCAGGTGCAGCAGCTGGAGAGGAGCATTGGCCTCAAGGACCTGGCGATGGCTGACTTGGAGCAGAAGGTCTTGGAGATGGAGGCATCCACCTACGATGGGGTCTTCATCTGGAAGATCTCAGACTTCGCCAGGAAGCGCCAGGAAGCTGTGGCTGGCCGCATACCCGCCATCTTCTCCCCAGGTGTGGTTCTAGGACCCCCACCTCACTGCAGCTGCTGTTTACTTGGCACCTGGGTCCCCTCACCCCTGTGACCACATAGGATGGCTCCCAAGGGTGGGGCTGGGATACGACCCCCAGTGATACCGGGAGCAGCTACACCTCCCTGAGTGGCAAGTGGGGTAGCTGAATATGGGCTGGCCGGTGGGTGCCCTCGGGCAGGGGTCGGGGTAGGGGGGTTGGGCCGGCTGCCCTCCTGCCGTGCCAGCCCTCGAGGTGTGCCCCTCGTCACCCACAGCCTGGTCCTCTGGCACACAGCCCTAAAGCAGACATTACATCAACAGGCTCTCCTGCCTGATCACAGCTCCCAGGAAGACAGGGCGGGTGGGGGTGGCTGTGGGGGTGGGACATGGCTCTCAGGGCCTTGGAGCTGAGCTAGTCTGATCCCTCCCAGGTTCATTTTCCACACGGAGCTCAGGGAGGGTGTTTCTCACACTCCCCCACCTTTTTTTTTTTTAAACCCCAACTATGGGGTCTCTTGAGAGGGTGCTCGTGGGGTCTCCCCTGGAGGGCACTGCTGGAGAGGGGGTGGGGTGGTGGCTGCCCAGCTGCAGGCTCCTGCCAGGACTGTGCTTCTGGGCGCTGCAGTCCAGAGGCGGCCCCCCTGCTGTCCCTCGAGGCCCTGGCTGACCTTGTGGCGGCCCCAGCCATCATCTCGGCCCCAACTCAGTCACTCCCTTCTTGGGCTTTGTTGCCATGGCTCAGAACACGCCCTCGTGCAGACTTTATTTTTAGGCTGAGTTGGTGAACCTGCTGATAGAATCTTAGGTTCTAGGATCAAGGCCGAGATGCTGTAGGCACCTTTCCTGTTTGAATTTAGCCTGGCACTGCTCGTGAAACTCAGCACTGGGGGCCATGGCAGTCCTGTGCTCTGGCGCCCTCGAGGCGGAAAGAGACCCAAGCGTCATCTGGAGGGGCCGCCACATTGTGTGGTGCCTGCTGCCAAGGCCTTCAGCAGGGACCAGAAACAAAACTCACACTCTTTCTTCTCTGAGTTGAGACTGGAAAAATGAAAGATTGTTTTAGGGGAAACTTGAGGGAACAGTCTGGGCAGCCTGCAGGGCATGGCCCTGTTCCTCCAGGGCTGGGAAAGTCAGCACTGCTTTCTGGTGGCGACCTTCCCTCTGCAGCTGCTGGCTCAGCCGATTGTATATGCTGGGAGCTCTGCACTAAGCGTTGGGTGAAGGGTCAGCATTGTGGAGGCCCTGCCACGGAGGTGGTCTTCTTGGGAGCTGCACTCAGGCAAGAGGACCTGTTTGTGTGGAACATCTGCTTTAAGCAATGCTGGTGAACACAGCTTGTGTGCGGCACGCGTGCAGGCTGAGGACAGGCAGAATGGGCCTGGGGGCACGGTGGAGGACGAGGATGGGGAGGATGGGCCTGGGGGCACGGTGGAGGACGAGGATGGGGAGGATGGGCCTGGGGGCGTGTGGAGGACAGGGATGGGGAGGATGGGCCTGGGCACGTGGTGGAGGACGGGGACGGGGAGGATGGGCCTGGGCATGTGGTGGAGGACTAGGACGGGGGGAGGATGGGCCTGGGGGCATGTGGAGGACGAGGATGGGGAGGATGGGTCTGGGGGCACGTGGTGGAGGACGAGGATGGGGAGGATGGGCCTGGGGGCACGAGGTGGAGAGGACTAGGACAGGGAGGATGGGCTTGGGGGCACGCGGTGGAGGACGAGGATGGGGAGGATGGGCCTGGGGGCACGCGGTGGAGGACGAGGACGGAAGGGTGGTCCTGGTGCTGCCACAGTGGGGTCCCTGCGTGCAGACCTTTGCACACAGTGTTCTGTCATGTGACTTGGAAAGCAGCCTCTGCCGGGTTCTGGCTGTCACTCACGTCTGTGTCTTGTTGGGTGGGAAGGAAGTCGACTCTTCTTGTTTTGGGGTTCACTCTAGCCAGTGCCTCTTCTGAGGCAGGCTTGGGGCCCAACCTAAGCCCTGGGCCGGTCAGGGCTCCCTCTGTGGCTCTGCCGAGGTCCCAACCACTGCATTTAGTGGATCTCGCCATGTGGCTCTGCTCATCTTCTTAAGTTTTGGGGGTTACATTTGGGATTCTTAGAAATGCTTTTTCTGGCTGGGCACAGTGGCTCACACCTGTAATCCCAGCACTTTGTGAGGCCAACACGTGTGGATCGCCTGAGGGCAGGAGTTTGAGACCATCCTGGCCAACATGGTAAAACCCCATCTCTACTAAAAATACAAAAATTAGCCAGGTGTGGTGTCGAGCGTCTGTAATCTCAGCTACTCAGGAGGCTGAGGCAGGAGAATCGCTTGATCCCAGGAGGTGGAGGTTGCAGTGAGCTGAGATTGCGCCACTGCACTCAGCCTGGGCAACAAGAGTGAGACTCCATCTCAAAAAAAAAAAAAAAAAAAAAAAAACTTTTTCTAAGTACTACCTTTTTTTTTGTAATGAAATTTGTTTTCATTGGAAACTAACTGCATAGTTTGAGGGAAAAAAAACTTTTCTTTGCACCCCAGAACCTGAATGTTTCTTTGTAGGTGTTTTTGTCCCTGGGGGAGGGCAGCCAGGCAGGAAGAGCCCTGCCCCGCCCTTGCTGAGTGTCAGCTCACCAGGCACCCCTCCTGCCTCCCCAGCCTTCTACACCAGCAGGTACGGCTACAAGATGTGTCTGCGTATCTACCTGAACGGCGACGGCACCGGGCGAGGAACACACCTGTCCCTCTTCTTTGTGGTGATGAAGGGCCCGAATGACGCCCTGCTGCGGTGGCCCTTCAACCAGAAGGTGAGGCCGTCCCTGCAGGCTTCGCTAGGGCCGCACCTGGGAGTCCCTCTGGGCAGTGCAGCTTCTGTGGTGCAGGGTTGTGCGGGACAAGGTGGCTTGGGCTCGCTGGACCAGGTGTCTGCAGCAGGCACGTCACCCTGTGATGCTGTGTCACGCGGTGGAGAGCTCTGGCAGTTTGTTGTTTCCATGATTTCTGAGCACTGGTCCGTGACACAAGCACCTGGCTTCCTGACCTGTCAGATAAATATAAATATGACTAAGAAAAAGCACAAGGCCGAGTGGGCGGGGAGTATGTATCCCTGTGATCCCAGCACTTTGGGAGGCTGAGGTGGGAGGATTGCTTGAACCCAGGAGTTTGAGATCAGCCTGGGCAACATAGTGAGAACCCATGTCTACAAAAAAAATAGAAAAATTAGCCGGGCATGGTGGTGTGCACCTGTATTCCCAGCTATTCGGGAGGCTAAGGCAGGAGCATTGCTTGAGCCCAGTAGGTTGAGGCTGCAGTGAGCCGAGATCACGCTACTGCACTGCAGCCTGGGCAACAGAGCAAGAGGGGGCTCTAAATAAATGAACAAAAGGACAAAGCACAAAATAATGCAAGTTTGGGGGTGCCCAGCTTTAGCCCAGGACTCCAGATGTTGATGGGCATCTGGACCAGTAGTTTGAAAACCCTGCCCTGGAGAGAGAGTGCAGAGGAAGGAACACAGCTTCGGAGCCCTCTTCGTCGGAGGTGTCATTTATTTATTTACTTATTGTTAAGACGGAGTCTTGCTCTGTCGCCCAGGCTGGAGTGCAGTGGCATGATCTCGGCTCACTGCAACCTCCCCTCCTGGGTTCAAGCGATTCTCCTGCCTCAGCCTCCTGAGTAGCTGGGACTACAGGCATGCACCACCACGCCCAGCTAATTTTTGTATTTTTAGTAGAGATGGGGTTTCTCCATGTTGGCCAGGCTGGTCTTGATCTCCTGACCTTGTGATCCGCCCACCTTGGCCTCCCAAAGTGCTGGGATTGTAGGCGTGAGCCACTGTGCCTGGCCTATTTTGAAAATCAGAATCTATTATTTTGTGGAATTGAAGATGCAGAGACTAGACTGGAATGAGAGAAGGTCCCTTCCTTTTGCCACAGTTGGCCCAGACTTGCTACTTCCCCCACCCCCTATAGCTAGTGGAGTAGGCAGAGCAGAGTTGGGTGGGGGAGGGGGTGTGGAGGGCCCACAGGCCCTTGTCTGTCCTGGGGCATCCAGGTTCACAGTCCTGACAGAGGCAGACTCAGGTTCTCCCTGAAAAGTGCTCTTCACGAGTGGGCAGTGGGTGCTTCATGATCTCTTTGGCAAGAAAATGTCTTTGCCAGATGTGTTATTTTTTGCATTTTCCTAATAATAATTCAAGTTCAGGAGTGGTAAGCTTTAGTCTAGGACTCCAGATGTCAGTGGACAGGAAAGGCCAGAATGGACACAGATTCCCCAGAGAGAAGCGGAATGCCGGTGGCTGGGGAGGGCTGGGGAGCCCGGGCGCTGTGGCAGGAGCAAGGCCGCCCACCACGTGGTCTCGGCTGGGCCTCAGCCTCTGGCCTGGGTCCTGGGATGGCCTCCTGCTGGTGGCCCTGCCAGTGTCCAGACCCTCGGGAGCCAGAGAGAGACGGCCCACAGACCTGTGTCCCCTCCCTGGGGCTCTCTCCTCCAGGTGACCTTAATGCTGCTCGACCAGAATAACCGGGAGCACGTGATTGACGCCTTCAGGCCCGACGTGACTTCATCCTCTTTTCAGAGGCCAGTCAACGACATGAACATCGCAAGCGGCTGCCCCCTCTTCTGCCCCGTCTCCAAGATGGAGGCAAAGAATTCCTACGTGCGGGACGATGCCATCTTCATCAAGGCCATTGTGGACCTGACAGGGCTCTAACTGCCCCCTACTGGTGTCTGGGGGTTGGGGGCAGCCAGGCACAGCCGGCTCACGGAGGGGCCACCACGCTGGGCCAGGGTCTCACTGTACAAGTGGGCAGGGGCCGCGCTTGGGCGCTTGGGAGGGTGTCGGCCTGCAGCCAAGTTCACTGTCACGGGGGAAGGAGCCACCAGCCAGTCCTCAGATTTCAGAGACTGCGGAGGGGCTTGGCAGACGGTCTTAGCCAAGGGCTGTGGTGGCATTGGCCGAGGGTCTTCGGGTGCTTCCCAGCACAAGCTGCCCTTGCTGTCCTGTGCAGTGAAGGGAGAGGCCCTGGGTGGGGGACACTCAGAGTGGGAGCACATCCCAGCAGTGCCCATGTAGCAGGAGCACAGTGGATGGCCTTGTGTCCCTCGGGCATGACAGGCAGAAACGAGGGCTGCTCCAGGAGAAGGGCCTCCTGCTGGCCAGAGCAAGGAAGGCTGAGCAGCTTGGTTCTCCCCTCTGGCCCCTGGAGAGAAGGGAGCATTCCTAGACCCCTGGGTGCTTGTCTGCACAGAGCTCTGGTCTGTGCCACCTTGGCCAGGCTGGCTGTGGGAGAGGGTCTGGTCCCACGCCGCCTCTGCTCAGACCACTGTGTGGGAGGTGCACAGCACAGCCTGCGGGTAAAGTGTGAGAGCTTGCCATCCAGCTCACGAAGACAGAGTTATTAAACCATTCAAATCTCTGTGGTCAGTGGCATCCATTTGATTCCAGGTTGCCTGCGGCTTCCAGCCTTGGCAGTGGTGACCCTCTGCGGGTCCTCCTGGCCTCTCCTCTCACAGACCCCTCCCCACGGGGTGCCTAGCCCCTGCCTGCTTCTCTAGCTAGCCAGGCTGTGTTCTCTGTTCCTCACCTGATGTAAGCTCCCTCTTCTCGAGCCTTGTTCCCTCTTCTGGAATGTTCTTCCCTGTCCATCTCCTCTCCTGGGCCTCCCCAGGGACTCCTGTGAGAGCAGAATGAGGATGAGCCAGCCCTGGTCCTGCCTTTCTGTGCACAGGCTCCACCGAGCATCCTGGCTGCACCCGGGGGGTCCTGGCCACACCGAGGGTCCTGGCTGCACCGCCCCTGTGGTGTGTTTTTGGGACAGTGCAGGCAGGCGTAGGCACGGCTTCACACTCGGTGTCAGGGCAGCCGTGCTGGGACCTACTGGGCATCTGTATCGGGGTCCAGGATAAAGTGCTGTCCCCTCTCGACGTCTTCACGCACTGCTGTAGTTTGAGAAGTTGACCACAGAAAAGTACAGAAAATAACTCAGGCACGGAGCTGACCGACGGGCATTGTCTGTGTTCCGTGAGTGTGTACTGGGCCTAAAGAGCAAGCATTGCAGAGCCCTGCTGTTCCCTTTCCCGGCCTCACCTCAGCTCCCCAGGCCACGTGGCGGGAATTGAGGCGTTCCGGTTCTCTTTGGGCTTTAGAATTTTGCATCTGTACGTTTCTGTATTCACAAATAAGAATATTGCATTAAAAATGCAGAAACCATCCACTGGGTCAGCTGCAGGTAGCTGGGCTTTTGACTCAGCCTGGCTACTTTTAATGCATCTTGTGCTGGGCACTCTACATGGTGGATTCTGACTGCCGTGTGTGAGTTCCCTAGAGAGCACCTTCCAGTCTCTTCCCGTGTCTTCAGGGTTTGGTGACTGGAGATAGCCAGACCTGCTCTCGTGGGTCTCCTGTCAACCTGGAAGGAGGGTTGGTGGTTTCTAGGCCTCCCCTTTTTAGCAGTTGCCAGCTTGCTTTGCAGAGGGGCTGCATCCGGTCCTTCCACCAGCACCAGGGGGAGGGTTCCCATCACTCCCATCCCTCCCATCCCTGCCCGTGCTTCGTGTTGTTGGAATTGAGATGCTGCAGCGTGCTGTGTGTGAAGTGAAGTGGCATCGCTGTCACGTGCGTTTCTCTGATGACTCGGCGGAGTCAGGCGTCTTTACCACGCTTACCTCTCCCTTGGATTCTCTCCCGTGCGAATTGCCTGTTGATGTCTTTTTCTCATTTTTCTTCTGGTTGTTGGTCTGGGTCTTATTCTGCTGGTTGGTAGGAGTTCCTGATATTCCTGATTACGGATTCTCGGTTGTGTCTTTGAACTGCGTTTCTGTTGCTCCTGATGTGCAGAAGCTTAAGCCTTACACATGATCAGCTGATCTTATCCTTTATGAATGGTGCTATTTCCGACCGACTCAGAACATCCTGACCTTCCCTGAGGCTGGAAACCACTGTCATGTTTTCGTCTAATGATTGTGAAGTTTTGTCTTTAACATACTGGGCTTCTATATTTGGGGATTTGTTTGTATGTGACAGGTTTTGCTGGGTCACTGCAGTTTGTTAAAACAGATTGATTGAGGTCATCTCTTCTCACTTAAAACGAAATGGAACTGTGAAATGAGAGGAATGGACCAAAAAAAAATCCTCCCCCAGGGACAAAGATGGGGAAGAAGCCAACATCCCACAAAGGATTTGAACCCATTTTGGAAGGTGGGAAGTGGGTTGGTGGGTGGCTGCTGAGCAGAAGAGGGCTGAGGGGGAAGCTGGCCACACCGGGAGGCCCTGGCATGGAGCAGAGTCTAAAAGTGGATCAACTGAAAGACGGGGCAGAGCAGCTACCTTGGAGGTCCTTTGCCAGAGCAGCCGGATGGTCCTCCTGGCCCTCACCTCCCTGCAGTGGAGATGGAGGTCTGGAGAACCTGGGGAAGAGCTGAGGACCGCACCCCCCACGCAGTGAGAGCAGCATCGGGCTCCAGGCTGCAGAAGGGGCAGAGGTCTGCACTCGGAACAATTCCCTAGGCACTGGCTGCCACACCAAGAGGCTCCCACGAAGCAGACCAAGGCCCTTGAGGGACAAAATGCTCTGGAGCAGCCCCGTGGGCAGGCCTGGCCCAGCCGCCTCATGGCCTTCTGGGGAAGTGACAGGCTCTGTGCAAACCCACAGAGGTACCATCGTCACTACCTAATTTTGGGACATTTCATCACCCTGCAGAGAAACCTTCCCTTAGCAGTCACTGTTCCCTCCCGCTCAGCCCCTGACAGCCAGCCATAAACCTACCTTCTGTCTCTATAGATTTGCCTACTCAGGACATTCATGTGAATGTGGCCTTTGCTTTTACTCAGCAAGATATTTTCATGGTTCCTGTGTGTTGCAGCATGCATTGGAGTTTCATTCCTTCTAATGGCTGAATAATCTCTTGTATGGATGCACCACACCTTATTTATCCATTCATCCGTTGCTGGACATTTGGGTGGTTTCTACTTTTTGGCTACTCTGAAAATGCTGCTGTGAACATTTGTGAACAAGTTTTTATGGGGACGTGTATTTGTTTTCATTTCTCTTGAATATTTATACCGAGGAGTAGAGCTGCTGGGCCGCTTGTTCAGCTCTTGGAGGAATTGCCGAACTTTTGTGTCACCTTACATCTCCCTCAGGAAGTGTTTTTTTTTTTTTTTTTTTTTTTTGAGACGGAATCTCGTTCTGTCTTCCTGGCTGGAATACAATGGCACAATCTCGGCTCACTGCAGCCTCCGCCTCCCAGGTTCAAGCAATTCTCCTGCCTCAGCTTCCTGAGTAGCTGGGATTACAGCTGTGAGCCACCACGCCTGGCTAATTTTTGTATTTTTAGTAGAGACAGGGCTTTACCATGTTGGCCAGGCTGGTCTCGAACTGCTGACCTCAGGTGATCTGCCCACCTCAGCCTCCCAAAGTGCTGGGATTGCAGGTGTTGCACCTGGCCCCTAATAACATTTTTAAATTTCACGTAGTAAAATTGATTTGTTCTTTTGTTTTGTTCATGGAACATTCAATTCCATGGATGTTCACACCTGTGCAGATGTGGGTAAGCACCATACCTGGGAGACAGGCGAGCCCTGCCATCTCAGAAGACTGTTCCACTTTCCCCATAGTCACCACCCCGACCCGTGGCAGCCACACACCTGTCCTCCACCACTGTAGTTATGTCTTTCCAAGAAGGTCCCATAATGGAGTCCTACAATGCGTGGCTGGGAGCAGCGAGATCTGCAGAACGCCGCTGAGACTGATCAGGATGCGTGCATCAGCATTTGTTTTCTCTCTTTTTTTTTTGTTTTTTTTGGAGTAGTGCTCTATGGATGGATCAGTTTGTCTCGTCACCTGTTGAAGGGTGTTTGGGTTGTTTCTAATGTTTTGCAGGTCTGAATAGAGCTGCTATAAACATTTGTGTACAGGTTGTTGAGCAAGTTTTTATTTCATTAAGGTAGTTAGCAGTGGGGCTGCTGGATCACACAGTAAGTGTATTTTTAAATTCAAAAGAAACTGCCAAGCACTTTCCAGAATAGCTGTAGCCTGTTGTGGAATGCCAGCATGAGCCACAGTTCCCGCTGCTCCACATCCTTGTGGGCACTTTGTGTTGTCAGCATTCTTTTTTAATTTCTTTTTAAGATATAGGGTCTTGCTCTGTCACCCAGGCTGGAGCGCAATGGCGCAGTCCTACCTCACTGCAGCCTCAAACCCCTGAGCTCCAGTGATCCTCCCACCTAGGCCTCCCAAGTAGCTGCGACTACAGGTTCACACCATCGTGCTCAGCTTATTTTCTTTAATTTTTGTAGAGACAGAATATCACTATGTTGCCCAGGGTGGTCTCAGACTCCTGGTCTCACACTGTCCTGTCTTGGACTCCCAAAGTGCTGGGATTATAGGCATGTGTCACTGTACCTGGCCAAACTTTATTCTTGTTTCTCTTTTTCTTTTTTTCCTTTTTCCTCCCTCCCTCCTTCCTTTTTTCTTTTCGTTTTCTTTTCTCTTTTTTTTCGTTTGCCCTGCCCTGCCCTTTTTTTTTTTTTTTTTTTTTTTTTTTTTTTAAAGACAGTCACAGTCTCGTTCTGTTGCCTAGGCTGGAGTGCAGTGGTACAAATCCTACCTCACTGCACCCTCGAGACCTCAGGCTCAAGCAGGTCTTCCCACCTCAAGCATCCCAAGTAGCTGGGACCACAGGCACACCACCACACTCGGTTAATTTTTTAAATTTTTAGTAGAGATAGAGTTTTTTTTTTTTTTTTTTTTTTTTTTTTTTTTTTGAGACAGACTCTCGCTCTGTCACCAGACTGGAGTACAGTGACCCATCTTGGCTCACTGCAACCTCTGACTCCTTGGTTCAAGCGATTCTCCTGCCCCAGCCTTCCAAGTATTTGGGATTACAGGTGCATGCCACCACACCCAGGTAATTTTTTTGTATTTTTAGTAGAGTCGGGGTTTCACCATGTTGGCCAGTATGGTCTCGATCTTCTGACCTCAGATCTGCCTACCTCGACCTCCCAGAGTGCTGGGATTACAGGCATGAGCCACTGCACCCAGCCGGAGACAGGGTCTCTCTGTTGTCCAGGCTGGCCTGAAACTCCTGGGCTCAAGTGATCCGCCTGCCTCAGCTTCCCAAAGTGATGGGATTACAGGCATTAGCCACCACGCCCAGCCAGTTGTTGTTTTTCAGAATTGTTTTCCCTATTTTTGTTTGTTTGACAGTACATATATATTTCACAGTCAACTACAAAAAAATTCTGGGATTTTGATTGGAATTGCGTTAAGTCTACACATCAGTTTGGGGAGAATTGACATCTGTGTTGAGTCAGACAATCCATGAACATAGTCTATCTCTATTCTTTATCAGCGTTTTGTAGTATTTCATATGTATGTTGAACTGGCTGGAATGCAGTGGCATGATCGCAGCTCACTGTGGCTTTGACCTCCTGGGCTCAATGGATCTTCCCACCTCAGCCTCCTAAGTAGCTGGGACTACAAGTGTGTGCCACCACGCCCGGCTAATTTTTGTATTTTTTGTAGAGATAGGGTTTTGCCATGTTGCCTGGGCTGGTGTCCTGGACTCAAGTGATTCACCCACCTCTGCCTTCCAAAGTGCTGGGATTATGGGCATAAAAGTCACCACACCCAGCCAGTATACATATCTTGTACATGTTTTAGTAGGTTTATGCTTCAGTGTTTCTTTTACTTATTTATTGCTTCCTATCCCACAGCTTACTTTGTTTCTTGAGCTGTTGTAAGAGGTTGTTTTTTGAATTTTGGTTTCTGACTGTATATTTCCAGTGTTTAAAAACAAAACTGATTTTTATGTGTTGTTCTTATACCTCATAACCTTGATGAATTCACTTACTGGTTGTAGGAGATTAGGATTTTGTTTGTTTTTATAGATTTGGGGGGATTTTATGTGTGAACAATATGTCATCCATTAATAAGGACAGTTTTATTTCTTTTTATTCAATCTCTATGCCTTTTATTTCTTTTGCTTGCCTTGTTCCATTGGCTGACTTCCCGTTTATAAGGTTGAATAGTAATGGTAAGAGTCTATAGCCTTTCCTCATTCCCACTCTTGGGGAAAGCTTTCTTGCTTTCACAATTATGTATCATGTTACCCACGGGGATTTTTGGTGATGCTGTTTTATCAGGTTGAGCAAGTTCCCTTCTACTTCTAGTTTGCTTCTAGGGTTTTTTTTTTTTTTTTTTATCATGACTAGACATTTTATCAAGATGTTTTTCAATGGCTGGGTTTGGTGGCTCATGCCTATAATCCCAGCACTTTGGGAGGCCGAGGCAGGCGGATCACCTTAGGTCAGGAGTTTGAGACCAGCTTGGCCAACATGGTGAAAACCCATCTCTATTAAAAACAAAAATTAGCTGGGCATGGTGGTGCACTCCTGTAATCCCAGCTACTTGGGAGGCTGAGGCAGGAGAATTGCTTGAACTGGGAGACGGAGGTGACAGTGAGCTGAGATCGTGCCATTGCACTCTAACCTGGGCAACAAGGAAACTGTCTTCCAAAAAAAAAAAAAAAAAGATGCTTTTTCTATACCAAGTGATATGTTCATGTGGTTTTTCTCCTGTACAGTTAATATGGTGACTTATGTTGATCTTCAAATATTGGACCAACCTTGCATTCCTGGAATAAACCCTACCTGGTTATGGTGCACTATCACTTTTATATATTGCTGGATTTGATTTAAATTTTTTTTGAGGATTTTGCATCTCTGTTCATGAAGGACATTTGTCTATAATTGTCTTTTGTATTGTCTTTGTCTGGTTTTTGGTATCAGGGTGCTGTGGGCAGAAAATCGAGACCAGGAGTGGGTTTGTTGTCATCACAAATGCTCGAAAAATGTGGAAGCAGCTTTGGAACTGGGTAGTAGGCAGAGGCCAGAAGAGTTTGGAGGAGCGAGAAGAAGCTTAGATGCCATTCATGGAGTGTAAAGGGTGATTTTGTTGAGGGCTCAGAAGAGAACTGTAGGGAAAGTCTGAAGCTTCTTTGAGAATACTTAAAGTGGTCATGGTCAGAATGTTGGTAGAAATCTGGACAGTGAAGGCCATTCTGGTAAGATCTCAGACAGAAATGAAGAACAAGGTGTCAGAAACTGGAGGAATGACCATCCTAGTTATAAAGTGGCAGAGAACGTGGCTGAACGGTGTCCATGCCCAGTCCTTCCTTTGTGGAAGGAACTGGGATATCTGGCTGAAGAAATACTCAGGGTGTGGCATGTTTTCTTCTAACTGCAGAGAGTAAGATGTGAGAAGAGAAATGAATTAAAGATGGAATTTATAATTAACAAGGAAAGAATAGGGATCGTAAGGATTTTCAGCCTGCCCATTTAGGGAGTAAATAAGATGTCTTTAGGAGAACAGACCAAGTGTGTGGCCAAGCAACTTAGTATGGACAGAACGAAGCCAGAGGCTGCTCATCAGGACAGTGGGAAAATGGCCCCAGAGGCATTTCAGATTCCTGGTGCTGCCCCTCCCACCACAGGCCCAGAGTGCCAAGGCCTTTGGGAAGGAAATATGTCAAAAGAGAGGTGTAGGGTGTGGACCTTAGAGCCTGCTGGCCAGGGCCACCCCAAGTCTTGGCTGTCTGCATTCCAGTGCAGACCCCCTAAGCCACTCCAGCCTGTCTCATGTGGACCCAGGGAAGGTACAAGTCATAAGCCTTGGTGGTGTCGATTCTGCAGCCTTGCAGGAGCTGTGGGGACATGGCTTCATCCACTGGGTGTCACACAGGATGTCACAAGTCTCCAGGCCAGAGCCATGGCAGAGAGCCCACACTAGGGCAATATGTGGTAGAGCCTTGGGGATAAGGCCACCCCTGAGACCCCAGAACTGGAGAGCCTCTAGTGTTCATTGCCAGCCTGGGAGAGCTGAAGGCACGAGACTCCAACCTAAGAGAGTTGTGTGAGGTCTGAGCCCAGCAAAGCTCTAGGGGTGAGGTTCCCAAGAGCCTGAGGACCCAGCCGCACCCCACGGCGTGCAGAAGGCAGGATTTGGAGTCAAAGATGATGATTCTCAAGCCTTAGGATTTAGTAGTATTCTCCCTGTTGGACTTTGGACATGCTTTTGAGGCCTGTTATTCCTTTCCTCTTTATAATTTATCCCTTTGGAATGGAAATGTCTGTTCTATGCCTGCCCTACCATTGTATTTTGGAAGCACGTAACTTGTTTAATTTCACAGGCTCATAGTGGAGGGAAAGTTGCCTCAGGATGAATCATGCCTTGAGTCTCACCCATGTTTGATTTAGACGAGACTCTGGGCTTTGGACTTTTGAATGGGGCCATTGGGATGGAATGAGTATATTTTGTATGTGAAAAGAACATGAATTGGTGTAGGGGCAGGGATGGAATGCTACGGTTTGAATGTTTTTATCTCCCAAACTCATGTTAATATTTAATTGTCATTGTAACAGTGTTAAGAGGTGGGATCCTTAAAGGGTGATTAGGTCAGAGGGAAGATAGGCTGGAATTGGTGCTGGTATAATAAGATGAGCTTGGCCCTCTCTTGCCCTTCCACCTTCCACAGTGACACAACAAGAAGGATTGCACCAGACGCTGGCACCTTACTCTGGGACTTCCCAGCCCCCAGAACTGTGAGCCAATAAATTTCTATTCCTTATAAATTATCTGGTCTCAGGTATTCGGTTATAGCAGCAAAAACAGACTAAGAGAAGACAATGTTTGTGCCCCCCCCACCCAATTTCCTGTGTTGAAACATAATCTCCAATGTGATGGTACTTGGAGGCAGGACTTTTTAGATCATGAGGGTGCAACACTTGTGGATGGGATTCGTGCCCTTAAAAAGAGGCTGCAGCCCAGTATGGTGGCTCACGCCGTAATCCCAGCACTTACGGAAGCCGAGGCAGGCGGATCACTTCAGCCTAGGAGTTCAAAACCAGCCTGGACAACATGGCAAAACCCCATCTCTACAAAAAATATAAAAATTAGCTGGGTGTGGTGGTGCATGCCTGTGGTCCCAGCTACTTGAGAGGCTGAGGTGGGAGGATCACTTGAGCCTGAAGGTCGAAGCTGCAGTAAGTCATGACTGTACTGGTGACTCAAGGCTGGGCAACAGAGTGAGAACCTGTCTTTTTTTTTTTTTTTTTTTTTGAGATGGAGTCTTGCTCTGTCGCCCAGGCTGGAGTGCAGTGGCGCGATCTCGGCTCACTGCAAGCTCCGCCTCCTGGGTTCACGCCATTCTGCCTCAGCCTCCCGAGTAGCTGGAACTTGGTCTCGATCCTCCTGACCTTGTGATCTGCCCACCTCGGCCTCCCAAAGTGCTGGGATTAACAAGCGTGAGCCACCGCACACGGCCTTTTTTTTTTTGTATTTTTAGTAGAGACGGGATTTTACCATGTTGGCCAGGCTGGTCTTGAACTCCTGACCTCAGGTGATCTGCCCGCCTTGGCCTCCCAAAATGTTAGGGTTACAGGCGTAAGCCACCGTGCCCAGCCTTTTTCCTTCTCTTTTTATAGATACCTAATCTTGGTATGAATGGTCCTTTTTACATCTTCTATTTTTTTGCTGAGACTTTCATATTTTTACATCCATTGCAAAATGTTTGTGATTGCTTGCTCTGGCATATTTATAGTAGCTACTTTAAAGCCCTTGTCAGATAATTTCAGCATCTGTGTCTGTGTCACTTCCTCCCAAGCCTGGCGTTTGGTTGGTGAGGACTTGCAGGTTCCCCCTGCATATCGGGAAGTGTGAGTTTTTGTTCAGGGTGCATCTACCTGGGGCCATGGCATAATGTTCATCTGCAATGATTGTAAGGTGTTCAGATTTTGTAAATCCAAATAAAACTGTTTTAAAGAACACAATCCTCAGCCGGGCATGGTGGCTCATGCCTGGAATCCCAGCACTTTGGGAGGCCGAGGCGGGCGGATCACGAGGTCAGGAGATCGAGACCATCCTGGCCAACACAGTGAAACCCCGTCTCCACTAAAATAATACAAAAAAATTAGCCGGGCATGGTGGCGGGCGCCTGTAGTCCCAGCTACTCGGGAGGCTGGGGCAGGAGAATGGCATGAACCTGGTAGGCAGAGCCTGCAGTGAGCTGAGATCGCGCCACTGCACTCCAGCCTGGGCGACAGAGCAAGACTCTGTCTCAAAAAAAAAAAAAAAAAAAAAAAATCTCTCTCTCCTACATTGCTGTCTGCAAAACAATGGAGGTTATGGATGTTAGATTGCATCTCGATGTTAAACCTTTGCTAATGTACTTATGGGAATCACAAAGATTCTGTTTGTAAATACAGAAGTGAATTGTAGACATAAAATGGTTGTGCCATGTGGATAATGGCAGGCACTAGGTGACATTTATGTAGTAACTAATGACAAAAATTCATGGCTAGTGGCATATAAAATACTCTTTGCAGTAAAATATTTCCTTGATTAATGTTATAGAAGGGGGACATAACAAGGAACTCACAGTTGGTGTGGCAGCTAGCCTCAAAGACTGTCTTTCATTTGGTTTCAGCACCTCCTGTTTGGGGTTATTAGCATCTTAGAAGAGCACGGTGGCCTTGTCTGATGAAGCCGAATTGTGCTGGTCTGTTCCGAGCTGGTTTAAGTGTTCTGATGGGCAGCTGTGGATGTTGGGGTTCAGAGCTTAGTCATCGTTGCCTGAAATGGCACTAGACTCTACAATTTCTGCCTTGGAGAACACTCAGTTCTTACTTGTGATTTCTGGTAGAACAAGCTTTATTTTTCTAGCCTAGTAATGATCTTGAAGCAGAGGAATCCCAGTGCCTTTTAAGAATTGTGTTGGCCGGTGCGGTGGCTCACGCCTGTAATCCCAGCACTTCTGGAGGCCGAGGCTGGAAGATTACTTGAGCCCAGGAGTTTGAGACCAGCCTGGGCAACATAGACCTCATTTCTACAAAAATTAAAAAATAATAAAAATTTGTTGTGTGGTTTTTTAAAAAAGCTACTAATTGTTTTTGGGAAATAGAATTTATGGGTCTTTACCTTTGCACATTGAATCTTTTATTTTTTATTTTTATTTTTTAGAAACAGGGTCTCTGTCACCCAGGCTGGAGTGCAGCGGCCCGGTGATTGCTCCCTGCAGCCGTGGCCTCCCAGGGAACTAGGGTTTCAGGTGTGAGCCGCGGTGCCCAGCTGCAAGTTGAAATGTTGTGGTTCTTCGTGTGTCAAGCAATTTTGGGCTATATTCTAGACATTTTGAATATGACTTTATGAGATCTGGGTCATGTTTGAATCCTGTGGGAAATGTTGAAGTCTGGTTAGCAGGCACTTGGTCCTGTGAAGGTTGGGCCCACATTGTTCCTGCCCGCATGAGTATCTTTGGTTAGCAGGCACTTGGTCCTGGGATGGTCAGGCCCACACTGCTCCCACCTGCGTGGGTGTCTTTGGTTAGCAGGCACTTGGTCCTGTGAGGGTTGGGCCCACACTGCTCCCACCTGCGTGGACTCCTGTCTTCAGAGCTGCTGGTCTTTGGTCTGGGACCCAAGGCTGGTCTGCAGTTCCCCACGTCCATGGTGTGATCATTAGACCCATGTGTCTGCATGTGAGCTGAGCCCGGCATCCACAGCCACCCCATGTGGGTGCTTCCCAAGCTCCCCACGCTGGGTTTGGTTGCTGGGCTCACTCACTGTCAGTTCAGACAGTGACATGCCCTTGACTGGGCCGCGTTGGAGTCTATGTGGCAGGAGGACAGGGGAGGAAAGCTAATGGGGGTGGTCCCACCCTCAATACAGCCGCACTGAGCTGTGAGGGACTTTCTGGCCCCAAGTTTGGCTCTGATGGGTTCCTGTAGCCACCACTCCCACTGCCATCAGGGTCACAAAAGAATGGAGAAGAGGGTAAACCCAGGGCATTGCCTCACTGACCCTGCGCATCGGCGTGGGTTCCTTTCCCTGGCCCTTAGGGCTGCTCTGGGCTTTCTGCCTGGCCCCAGCACTCACGTCCGGTGTTGCGGCTGCGTGGAGTTCAGGTCATGGATGTTAGGTCAAGCACCAGTTCTGCGAAACTTGGGATCTTGCTGCTGCTCCCTGACCCAGCTCTCTGGCAGCTGCTCCAGGCCCCGTGCACAAGTTTCATAGCTGCAGTTTCACAGAGTTCACTCTGTCGCCCAGGCTGGAGTGCAGTGGCGCAATCTCAGCTCATTCCCGGGTTCAATGAATTCTCCTGCCTCAGTCCCCTGAGTAGCTGGGATTAGAGGTGTGTGCCACCACGCTCGGCTAATTTTTTTTTTTTTTTTTTTTAAGTACAAAAGGGGTTTCACCGTGTTGGCCAGGCTGGTCTTGATCTCCTGACCTCAAGTGATCCGCCTCGGCCTCCCAAAGTGCTAGGATTACAGGCATGAACCACCACGCCCGGCCTGACCTCAGCATATGTTTTCTGAGGACTTCTGTTCTTTTGCTAATTCAGTCACTTTCTCTTTAAACACTGGGTCTCCACCCCTGCCCCGTAGATGGGGTGGGGGCATGCATGCCGCTCCATTCCCCTCCCAGGGCTGTGTTTCTTTCGTCTCCTCTGTGCCATCTTCTGCTGCCTGGTCCTCTCGTCGAGTCTGTCTGGTCCAGCACTTTCCACATATCAAGATTTTTTTTTTTTTCTTTTCCTTTTTTGAGACAGAGTCTTGTTCTGTCGCCCAGGCTGGAGTGCAGTGGTGCAATCTCGGCTCACTGCAAGCTCCGCCTCCCAGGTTCACGCCATTCTCCTACCTCAGTCTCTCGAGTAGCTGAGACTACAGGCGTCCGCCACCGCGCCCGGCTAATTTTTTGTATTTTTAGTAGAGACAGGGTTTCACCTTGTTAGCCAGGATGGCCTCGATCTGACCTCGTGATCTGCCCACCTCGGCCTCCCAAAGTACTGGGATTACAGGCGTGAGCCACCGCGCCCGGCCTACGTATCAAGCTTTTGATGCAGTCACTCGCCCTGTCATTTTCCAGTGTCTAATTGGCTCCCTTTTTATTTTGAAATGTCCAAGTCCTCTTGATTTCTGTCCCCACTTTTGTTTTATGGTGCATAGGAATGTTTTTGTTAGTCTCCTTGAATGTGAACGTAGGTAAGTCCTTTTCAGGAAATTGCTCAATTCTTTGGAGCCTGCCCGTGGTGTGCTTGCATTTACAGAATCTGTCAGCTCCCTTCTGAGGGTGTTAGTCTCAGGGCAGCTTATCTTGTCTGGGGGTCTTTGGTGTGTCTTCCTTCCTTTCCTTGTTCTCGCCCACGTTGGGGGTTTTATTATGAACTGCAGTGGTCCCCAGGGCTTCCCAGCTGGAGACCAGGAGTTGGCAGGGCAGAGGCTCCGTCCCTCTGGGTGGCGCAGCCTCTCTCGGTGGTGCTGTCCCTGATCCCGTCGGTGCTCGAGCTCAGCCCCAGGGTCTCTACCTGCGGCCCACGTGGCTCAGGGGAACCATCACCTCGACACTCACTCGTCTCCTCTGCGTCCTTTCTCTGTACGGGGTTGCTTGCTGCCATGTTTGGAGCCACAAGCTCTGTGTGCTTCCTATAATGGGCAGCTGACCCGAGTGCCAGGCTCTACTCCTGCCATCTTCCTTGTCACCACCATCGCCCCGGGCCCCCGAGCTCCCGGTGCAGTTCCAACAAAGCCTGTGGGGTCCAGCTGGAGCTCCACCTCTGCTCCCACTTCTGGGCCCCTGGTCCCATCCTCGCCGGCCTGAACTGACTGTGGAGACCGCCCTGGCACTGGGAGCGACACGGCCTGCCGACTCTGGACCCAGCAGCCGAGGGACTCCCTCAAGGACGGGACTGTGGGGGGCCGCCCTGGCACTGGGAGTGACGCAGCCTGCCAACTCTGGACCCAGCAGCCGAGGAACTCCCTTAAGGATGGGACTGACTGTGGGGGCTGCCCTGGCACTGGGAGCGACGCAGCCTGCCGACTCTGGACCCAGCAGCTGAGGAACTCCCTCAAGGACGGGACTGACTGGGGGGGCTGCCCTGGCACTGGGAGTGACGTGGCCTACTGACCCTGGACCCAGACGGCAGGCCCTGCATGCTGCCAGCCCCGGCACATGTGCCAGGCATCTCCCTGGAGGTCATGGAGGACAGGGCAGTGTGACAAAGTCTGGCACCAGCACATGACCTCAGACGCACATGTCACCTGTCAGCAGTGACTGCAACATTCACTCCAGTAGGACCACTGTGCCAGCAATAACAGCGTCACCCGTCAGCAGTGACCATGAGGTCCACTCCACTGTGCCAGCAGTGCCCACAGTCTCCCTCCCTGCAGACAGAGACTGGACAACAATGTGCTGTTGCCAACTGTTTATTCAGGGCCCTGAACGGGTGGTGCGTGGACATGCAACACACTCGGGCCCACAGCAGCGTGACCGGCCGCTCCCAAGCCCCGGGCGCACAACCACAGCCAGGAGCAGCCCCTGCCACCACTGGGCCACCGTCCAGGGCCCCACAGGACCAGCCGAAGGTGCCCCGGGCCGAGGCCAGCTGGGTCAGGTGTACCCCTAGCCTGGGGTTGAGTGAGGAGCGGCACCCCCAGTATCCTGTGTACCCCAAGTTGCCCAGGAGGCCGAGGGGGCCTTGGGCTCCATCTGCACTGGCCACCCCGTGCCAAGCATCACAGCTGCGTGAGCAGGTTTGTGTGTGAGCGTGTGGCGGGGCCTGGTTGTCCCCTTCCTAAGGCGTAACTGCTATAAGCATCTCCACCTCTCCCGCTCGGGAAAAAGCCACAGAGCCTGGCGATGTCCTCAAGGGGTCCCGGTGGCTCCAGTGCACCCAGCACACCTCAGCGCCTCTGGCTGGCAAGCCAGGAGAAGAAGGTGCGAGGCCGTGGGCGAGGTGCCTGGAGGACGCGCATGGTGCGTGGGGAGCGCCAGGCTTTGATGGTGGCGTCGTCGCTGGCCGTGAGCAGCAGCTCCTGCTCCTGGGGACTGAAGACCACTGAGTTGACCACATCCTCGTGCCGCAGCCTGGCCAGACAGATGTTGTAGTGGCGGTCCCAGATGTAGCCGTGCCGGTCCTCCGCCCCGCTGCAGAACAGCGCCTGGGTGAGCCGGCCGCCCGCCCGCTGCTGCCCACACCCGCCCTGCACCACGCCGCGCCCTGCACCTGGCCACGAAGTCCCTGCTGACGTCCAGGAAGATGAAGAAGCACTCGTCGTTGGGCGTGTAGGCGCGGTGCGCACGCAGAGCCCGCCTCACCTCCCGCATGGTCTTGAGGTCGAACACCAGCAGGTCAATCTCCTCCGCGATTGGTGGCGGCTGCATGGGGTCGGCCACCACCGCACCGTTGGGCCAGGCGCGGCTGTTCACGTACAGGTACCTGGGCGAGGGGCACTGTGCTAGGTGTGGGCCGCCTGCGGGCACCCCGCCTGGGACACTGGCAAGAGGCCCACCTGTTGTCGGGCGACAGGCCCATGCCGATGATGTGTCCGTGTATGTCTATGACGTGGTCCAGCGCGTCGAAGAAGGCATCGGAGCCCCGGCCCTCACCCAGCACGGGCCCTGCCGTGGTCATCTGGTGTGGCAGGATCTGCTTGATGCCTGCAGGGAGGGCTACGGTGAGGGTCCCTGTCCAATGCCCCAAGGACATCACTCCAGGGCAGCTTCCTACCTCAGTGGTGTCTCTGGGGCTGTGAGCACCACAGAGGTCCGTGGGCACTGCCTGCTCCGGGGGCCCCAGACCTGAATCAGGCCCGTCGGTTGCTTGCTGGCCAGCGGCCCTGCCTGCGTTTGTTTTCACTGCTCATCCCACAGGCCCCAGGTCTGGGCTTGTGACCCCAGGGGCGAGTGAACGATCCCAGCTTTGCCTGTGGACTTGCTTGCTGTCTGCCCCTCAGGACCCCTGCCCGGCCTCCCCCAAGCTCCTAGGACCGAGGCGGGCAGCATGGCGGCAGGGGTGTACCGATCTGGTGTGGGGAGTAGGTGAGGCAGCCAGTGGTGAAGATGAGGTACTTGCTCTTGGCGCCTGTGGCACTGCGCTCGGGTGGCTTGGTGTGGCCCTGGGCCAGCAGCTCGGCCACCTTGGTCTCTAGCATGCGCTCCGACAGCTGTGGCTGCGCCCGCCCCTCCAGCACGCGGTCCAGAAAGTGCCGCAAGCCCTCCTTGGCGTGGGCGGGGGCCGGGCCAGCCACCACCTCCTCGTTGTCGCTGCCCAGGTCAAAGATGCGGCAGGGGGACGTGGCCGGGTCACCGGCTTCCAGCAGCAGGTCAGGGCTGTCGAAGCGGCTGCAGTCGGCCACCATCACCGTGCGGACGGTGCTGGCATTGAGGTTCTGGATCTTGAACAGCCGCTTCACCACGTTGACGTTCTCTGACTCCACATCCTGGGGGCGGGGGCACGTGCCAGGTGGGCGCCGGGCGCCAGGCCCCAGGAGGGCAGCCCCGCCCCTAGCCCCGCACGCACCTGGAAGGCATTGTTGAGCCACAGCACCGAGCAGGAGGTGATATCTCCGATGCGGTGCAGGTTCCCCGAGATGAGGCTGGTCTCGGTGAGCCAACAGCCAAACACGTCATAGGGCTTGTTCCGCACGCGGGACAGCAGCGCGAAGGAGTCTGTGGGGAGGCCGGGGCTGGACAGGCTGTCGGCGTGGGGCGGGGGCAGGGTCAACCCGCCGCCCGTGCTCACCTAGGCTGATGACAGCAATCTCGCCGGATGAGGAGTTGTGCGGCCCCAGGAACACCCCCGAGGCCAGCAGTAGCGAGTCGTCCTTGTTGAACTGGGAGAACTGGGTGTAGCTCCAGTTGTAGGGCCGCATGTCCGCGCTGTGCAGCAGCGAGATGGTCAGGTCGTTGCTCCAGATCTGTTCGGCAGGGGCGGCTGTAGTGATCGCCTGGCCAGGTCGCGGGGCGGGGGCCTGCTACTACACAGCCATGAGGCCCCAGCTCTGCCAGCCCTACTCAGAGGCCACCAGGGAGCAGGGACCCCTTCCAGCCACTGTCATCCACTCGGGGGGCATTGGTATAGAGCGGAGGAGCCTGCCCCTGAAGCAGGCGGCTGTGTGTGGGACCCTCTCCTCAGCACTCAGGGCCACCCTGCACCGCTCCTGATCCTCTGTGGTCCCTCCGCTGGATGCAGGGAGGCTGCTGTCACCTCTGGCCTGACCCACCCCCCCCCCCACCACCACCTGGTTGGAACGCCTGGGTCCTGGGACCTCCGTGCTGCGGCAGAGCTGGGTGGGGTGTGCAGGACACCTGGCCGTCCTCACCTTCACAGTGCAGTCCTTGGAGCAGGACGCGAACTGGTACCCGGAATGGGAGAAGCTGAGGTGCAGGACCTGGTCTGTGTGTTCCCGCAGCGTCTGCACCTCCACGCAGGGCACCGTGTCATACAGCCGCTGGAACTCCTCGTACCAGGACATGGCCGCTGCGGGTGGGCAGTTGTCAGTCCTGGGCCCGGGCCTTCCTCGCAGTCACGGCCATGAGCCGAGTGTGGCCCCAGCAGTCCTGGCAGGCCCCGTGGTGCCCCTGGAACCCACTAGTCATGGCATAGGCCTCGGCTGGGGGATTCAACCCTGTAGCTCACAGAGACCCCTGTACCCCCCACCCCCCAAGTGACCCAATGAACCCTCTGGCCTCCAAGCTCTGAGGGGCGCCTGCGCTGTGTCCTGACAGGCCTCTATCAGGGTGTGGGGGGGTGAGCATGGACACGCGGGGCCGCGGGGCGGGCCCCCAGCCAGGCTGACCCCCAAGCGCAGGGGCCCGGGGCCCTGGCTGCAGAACGTGGGTAGGGGCCCCACACGCCACTGACCTGGGTGTCGGGGCACGTCGCGGGCCACCTGGTAGTAGCGGTAGAACTGCTCCCTCCACAGGAACTCGTCCCGCGACACGGCCTGCCATTGGCGGCACACCAGCCCGGCGGCCAGCACGTCGGCCGGGCCCAGGCTCAGGAAGATCTGGTAGACCAGGCTGTCGGGGAGCAGGGGCGTGCCGCCCTCGTCCATCGTGACATTCTGCCCAGGCGGCCCTGAAACCCACCAACGGCTGCCCTCAGCCCAGGCCCGGGAAGGGAGGCCGAGAGCGGGCGTCCTGTTCCTCCAGCCCCAACCGTCCCGCCGGGAGTTCCACGGGGCTGCGTGTCTGCAGGGGACGCCCGGGTACCGCCGCCCAACCAAGGACCCGGCAGCTCCGGGCGGGCCGGGCCGGCCCCTCTCCGCCGCGTCATCCCCCGGCCTCCTGCGGCCGGCAGCGGGCGCCCCTCAGCCCGCCAGGGCCCGGACCGCCGCACGCGAGGCACGGGGACACCAGGCGCCGTCCGGGGACGGGCTTCCGCCGAGAGGAAGCTCGGGGCGGCCAGGCAGTGGCCTCCGCCCTGCGGCCCTGGAGCAGCTCTGCCCGGCGGGCTCGGGGCGGACGGCGGGGACGAGCGCACGGGCGGCCTCGGGGCTCCTGCACTCGCCCAAGGCGGGCGGGGACGACAAGGCGGGACCCCCGAGGGCCGCAGGCGCACTCACCACGGCCGCCTCCGCCCGCTGCGCCGCCCCCGCCCTGCGCGACCCGGACCCGCTTCCGCTGCCGCAGCCGCTCGGACCGCCGCCCCCGCCCAACGGGGAGCCCGCCAGGCCCGACGCCACGAGCCCCGAGGCATCGATGGCCGAGGAAGGCAGAGCGCGCGGGTAGCCCGCATCCGCCCCTCGTGCGCCTGCGCCTTGGGCTCCGGCGGCCTGGCCGGCTTTTCTTTGTGCGCCTGCGCGCACTCGGGCGCATTGGGAACAGCGCCCCTTGTGGCCAGCGGGCGGCGGTCGTGGGCGGGGTTGCAGGCGAGGCTCAACGAACGCTGGTTCGGGACCCGCCTCCGGCGCTCCCTGTTGCCGGGCCCTGAGCAAGTGGCTTCATGAACCCCGTGACGTTGGCCATGGAGATAAGACCACTGGGTGATGGTTTAAGGAAGATAACGTGTAAAGGGCTAAGGACTGTCGGTGGAAATCAGGGGTGCAGGAGAAATGGATAAACAGCCAGAGGTCAACTCGGACTTTGTACATAGGACATGGTGCCAGGGCCCTGCCAGGAAGTGCAGATCGAAGCTAGGCTCACGAGGAGGCTGGAGGTGGGGGGTGGGGAGGCAACGGATGGACATGGACTTCCTGGGCTGGGCTCTGTGACAGCAGAGTAGACTCTGTCCTGGGACTTGGTGGTGCTACCCTTGGCCTCCCACAGTCCTGCCACCCTGCTGCCGCCACCATGCTGCCCCCTGGGACTGCGACCCTCTTGACTCTGCTCCTGGCAGCTGGCTCGCTGGGCCAGAAGCCTCAGAGGCCACGCCGGCCCGCATCCCCCATCAGCACCATCCAGCCCAAGGCCAATTTTGATGCTCAGCAGGTAGAAGTTGGGGGGGGTAGAGGGAGGCAGGTAGAAGTTGTGGGAGGGGTAGAGGGAGACAGGTAGAAGTTGTTGCGGGGGAGAGGGAAGCAGGTGAAGTTGTGGGGGGTGTAGAGGGAAGCAGGTGAGGGGCCCTCCCACAGTGCCCTCGAGTTCTCCCATGGTCTGCCCCCAGTTTGCAGGGACCTGGCTCCTTGTGGCTGTGGGCTCCGCTTGCCGTTTCCTGCAGGAGCAGGGCCACCGGGCCGAGGCCACCACACTGCATGTGGCTCCCCAGGGCACAGCCATGGCTGTCAGTACCTTCCGAAAGCTGTGAGTCCCAGAGCAGCCCTGCACCCTAACCCCAACCCTCCTCTCAGCCCCCGGACTTCAGCCCTGCTCTGGCCCCTGACCCCACCCCGGCTGTGGCCTGGACTAGGATTCCTGGTTGGGGTCTCCCAGCCTGTGGTGCCTCCTCCCCGCCCCCCCAGGGATGGGATCTGCTGGCAGGTGCGCCAGCTCTATGGAGACACAGGGGTCCTCGGCCGCTTCCTGCTTCAAGGTGAGGCAGGGGCTGCAGGGCATGTGGGTGGGGGATGACGCAGCCACTGTGGCTCTCTGACATGGCTACTGTGGCTCTGCCCCAGCCCGAGACGCCCGAGGGGCTGTGCACGTGGTTGTCGCTGAGACCGACTACCAGAGTTTCGCTGTCCTGTACCTGGAGCGGGCGGGGCAGCTGTCAGTGAAGCTCTACGGTATGTGGGGGCCAGCCTCTGTGACCAGGCAGGCGCTCAAGCTCTGCACACTCACTGGGCCACCCCGAGGGGCTGGGTGAGCCCATGGGGACACACTTCCTTTCTCCCATCCTGATCCTCCTGCTAAGCAGGGGCCCAGGGAGTAGTGACAGACAGGCCTGGTGTGGGAGCAGGGAGAGGGCCCCGAGGGGGCAGGGGACACACAGACCCCGTTTCCAGAGCCCTCCACGCCGCCTGGTGCCAGGACCCCAGGAACCCTGTCTGCCCTGCAGCCCGCTCGCTCCCTGTGAGCGACTCGGTCCTGAGTGGGTTTGAGCAGCGGGTCCAGGAGGCCCACCTGACTGAGGACCAGATCTTCTACTTCCCCAAGTACGGTGAGTGTCCCCAGCAGGTCCCCAGCTCAGCCACCCCCACTCTCTGGGCTGATGTCCAGCCTGACCCCTGCCTTGGGCCCCCAGGCTTCTGCGAGGCTGCAGACCAGTTCCACGTCCTGGACGGTGAGTGCACAGCGGGGCAAGCATGGCGGCGTGGTGAGGGGGGCCACTGCCACCGGCTGAGTCTCGTCTCTGCTGCAGAAGTGAGGAGGTGAGGCCGGCACACAGCTCCAGTGCTGAGAAGTCAGTGCCCCGAGAGACGACCCCACCAGTGGGGTGCCCGCTGCCTGTCCTCCGTGAAACCAGCCTCAGATCAGGGCCCTGCCACCCAGGGCAGGGGATCTTCTGCCGGCTGCCCCAGAGGACAGTGGGTGGAGTGGTACCTACTTATTAAATGTCTCAGACCCCTCTCTGACTCTTCTGTCCACTCTGGACCGGCGCCAGTACCACCAAGGCCCTCTCTGCCCCCACCCCGCCTCTTTAAAAGCCCGGCGCTCCCTGTTGGCTGGAGTCCACGCAGTGGGCACTGGGCCGATTTCAGCGGCTCTTGGGATTTGGGAGGGGAGATCCTCTCTGGCATATGCCCATCTTGTGCCCTGCTGGGACCTGGGGGCGTCCAGCCTCACTCCAAGGCTGCTCTTGCCTGGGCCATTGTCCTGCAGCCCCCGGGCTGCTCTTCCGCCCCCGTGGGAGGCCAGCTGTCTCCCGTCACTGCCCATTTTGGCCTCTTCCGAGCCGAGCTGGCACCAGCTGGCCCGTGTTGGTGGCAGCAGTTGGTGCTGTCCACCCACAGCCACTGCACTCTCTGCACACCTCATCCACTCCCACGTCCCCCGTGAAACCAGGAAGCAGAAGAGAATGTGGGGGTGGGCCAGCTCTGCCCTCGGGGCAGCCCCTGGGCTAGGGCCGGAGAATCAGGAACCCGGCATGGCTTGACCATGCTGGGCCTGGACCTGGCCGCTAAGCTGCTCCTCTCAGGCCCTGCCTGCGGCCACTGGCATTTGTTTGATAAGCATTTCTGAAGGCCCACTGTGTGCTGGGCCCTGGGACCACCAGGTGGGCTGGTCCCTCCCCCTAGGAACTTACAAGTCCAGGGATCAGCCACCAATCGGCCACAGTGGGCAGGGATGGGAGGAGAAGGCACCTTGGAGTTGGTCCCAAAGCACACGGCCTGGGTGGGGGCAGGGAGGAGCCAGCAGCTGCTTCAGGGGGGTCCCCATCCCACGGGCGGGGCTCCCCCTGCCGTGCCCACCTGTTCACTAAGCTGCTAGACCCCAGGAGGGCAGGCAAGTCAGGTGGTGGGAAGGGGAGGCAGGGGCCCTGACTGCCGGGACCTGGGAAGGAGAAGGGCCCAGGAGGTCGTACCCTTGCATCGCCTTCCCCCACTCCAGCTCCATGTCCCAGAGACCCATGAGATAGCAGGGCGCAGCAGAAGGGCTCAGGGTTCAGAGCTGGCAACGCCGGGAAGACTCTAGGCCTGAGCCCCAGGAAAGCCTCCTCCATGCCTGGCCCCACATCCCCCAAACAGAAAGTGAGGGTCTCATCTGGGGGCAGGAGGAGTCGGGTAGCTGGCCACGGTCACAAGCTTCAGGGAGGGCTGAATGTCCGAGGGGTGGCGCCAGAGACCCACCCGATGACCTTGGGTGCTGTGGTTGGTGGCAGAGTGGCCCAGCCTGACCCTCCACGCCTCTGACTGCAGGGCTGGGTGGGTTCCCGCACTGAGTGAAGTGCGTGGCCACTTGGCTGTGTGCTCTGGGACCAGAGGATGTGCAGCGCAAGGATTACAAGGCATTTCATTTTCACAGAAGCATTGAATGAGCTCTAGTTAAATTTCAAACACTACATAAAATCACGATAGCTCTGTGTGAATCATTGTTCTTTAAAATAGTTTGCATAATTTGGCTGGGCGTGGTGGCTTACGCCTATAATCCCAGCACTTTGGGAGGCTGAGGCGGGTGGATCACTTGAGGCCAGGAGTTCAAGACCAGCCTGTCCAACATGGTGAAACCTTGTCTCTACTAAAAATACAAAAATTAGCTGGTCATGGTGGCAGGCGCCTGTAATCCCAGCTACTCCAGAGGCTGAGGCAGGAGAATTGCTTGAACCCAGGAGGCAGAGGTTGTGGTGACCCGGGATCATGCCACTGCCTCCAGTCTGGGCGACAGTGAGACTCTGTCTCAAAAAAAAAAAAAAAAAAAAAATCTATGGAAATGGCTGGGCGCTGTGGCTCACGCCTGTAATTCTAGCACTTTGGGAGGCTGAGGCGGGCAGATCACTTGAGGTCAGGAGTTTGAAACCAGCCTGGCCAACATGGTGAAACCCCGTCTCTACTAAAAATACAAAAAAAATTAGCCAGGCGTGGTGGTGGGCGCCTGTAATCCTAGCTACCCAGGAGGCTCAGGCAGGAGAATCGCTTGAATCCAGGGGACAGAGGTTGCCGTGAGCCGAGATCGCGCCATTGCACTCCAGCCCGGGTGACAGAGCGAGACTCTGTCTCAATTTATTTAAAAAACAACAACAAACAACAACAAAACTATGCAAACTGGCTGGGCACAGTGGCTCACACCTTTAATCTCAGCACTTTGAGAGGCTGAGGCAGGAGGATCGCTTGAGGCCAGGAGTTCAAGATCTGACTGGGTGGGCAACATAGTGAGACCTCATCTCTATTTAAAAAAAAAGTTTTTTCATCTATAGAAACTAACATTTAATTGTTAGCAGTCTTGCCCAAGACCTGCGGGGTCAGGAGTCCAGGACTGTCCTGGGTGCCCCCGCCTTGCCTGGACGTGAGAGTGCTGTGTGGGGCCCCGGGAGCCCCTGGTCCCACAGGCAGGGCCGACAGGCAGGTGCCGTGCCCGTCCTCCCTGCCCACGCAGGTGCTCAGAGGGACAGGTGGGCCAGGACTCCTCCATGTGGGGACGAGGCACCCTCCTCCCCAGCCACGCCCCAACCACCCCTGGCCCCCCACCCCACCCCCAAGGGGCCTCCCAGCGCCCAGGACCGTGTCTGGGAAAAGGTCTTTGCCCGGAGAGTGGGAAGAGAGAGGGGAGGGTGAGCAGAGGACAGGCCGGGAGTTTTCCGGGAACGGAGGAAGAGCAGTGGAGGGTAAGTCTGTCCTTGTTGCTGTGGGGAGGCCGAGATGAAGGCGATGGGTTGGGGGTGGGGGTGCCGGGGAGCGAAGCAGAGGGAAGAGAGGACCTGATGGGAGGGGTCAATGGGAGAGGCCCCAGGGACCGGTCCCCACGGTGGGCTGGGGGTCCAGGGTGCTGAGTGGAAGCGGCGGTTTCCCTCCCGCCTCTCAAGGACGCCTTGCAGAAGGCGCGGCTGCTCCTCCCCGTGGCACGCAAGCTCCCGGGCACCGCCTCCCGCCTCGGCCTCCCAAAGCGCTGGGCTCACTGGCGTGTGCTGCCGCGCCCGGCCCGCCCACCCCAGGCGGTATGGAAGGCCGAGGTCAGAGCCAGGACTCCCCCGGGAGCCCCGCAGGTGCCTCAAGGCCCGCGTCCTGCACGGCCCGTTCCAGCGCCGCCGGCCCAGCCAGGCAAAGGCACCTGCAGGGCCCTGATTGGGCGGCGGAGGTCACGTGCCCACCCTCCACCAATCACGTTAGACGGGAGGAGCAGCACCTGCGTCTGCCCCGCGGTGGGGGGAGGAGGCGCGCCGAACCCATTGTCGTGTCCGGGAGGCTCCTGCAGGGGACGTGGGGGGCACAGAGGTTAACGGCAGCAGCCAGTGGCTACCTGGAGGCACACACAGACCCCCCAGGGCGGCAGGAGTGGGTCTGGGGGAGGGAGCATGGGGCCTGAGGCGCTGCTTGGAGCCGAGGGACCCTCCTCTGTGTCGAGGACTCGGCCCACCCGACCTCTGCTGCTCAGTCTCTGTGGGTCTCGGGCTGGCCAGGGAAGGCCCGGTTTTCCTCCCGCAGGGCCCTGCATGGGCGGGGTCCGTAGCGGGGACTGTCCTGTACATGGGCTGTGTGCTGTGATCCCAAATCTCCCCAGTGCCCTGCGATAAGACGGGCTCCGGGAGGGGTGCCTGCTGCGCTGAGAGCGGGACCCTGGGGCTGCGGACAGGCGCTCCTAGGCTGGCTGGGGCCAGGGGGATGGTGGAGAGTCGAAGGCGCCTTGGGGAGTTCAGGGGAATGAACAGATTATTTCCAACTTTTCCTTCCCTGGGCCAGCCTCCTGAAACGCTAGCGTTGTGCTGGTGAGACAAGGCACAGCAAGCTGCCCTTCTACGTGGGCAGTGAGGCCTGGGACAGAGCCCAGCCCTGGAGCCCTGAAGTCCTGGGGGCTGGGCTCTTCGAGTGGCCAGGCTGGGGCTGCCACCCAGGGCAGGCTGCCGAGGCCCAGGGCACCTCCTGGGATGAGCCTAAGTCCCTTGTAAGCAGGGCTGGATGAGGGGAGGAGGTGGCCAGGACAGGGAATCTGGGGTGGGAGGGGGCAGCCAGGACAGGGACCTGGGGGGCCTGGACAGAGGCTCACAGGCCAGGCACACGGTGAGTGGGAGGCACCTGGCTCACCCTTGGTGACCCCTAACATGGAGTCCAGCACCCAGAGGCTTCAGCTACCTGTGAGGATGGGAGGAGAGGTCAGGAAGGGGACTCCACTCCCTAGCCCCATCGTCCAAGGGGTGCCAGGGCAGCTAGAAGCCCCAAGCCTGCCATTGCCCTCCCTGCCAGCCCTCTGTTTACATTTTATTTTTATATTTTTAGAGATGAGATCTCAGTCTTGCCCAGGCTGGAGTCCAGTGGCACAATCATAGCTTACTGCAGGCTCAAACTCCTGGGCTAAAGCAATCCTCCCACCTCAGCCTCTCAAGTAGCTGGGACCACAGGTGTGCACCACCACCCCCAGCTAACTTTTAAATTTTTTTGTAGAGATGGAGTCTCGCTATGTTGTCCAGGGTGATGTCAAACTCCTGGGCTTGAGAGATCCTCCCACCTTGGCCCCCCAAAGTGCTGGGATTATAGGCATGAGCCTCTGTGCCTGGCCTACTAATCCTTTCTTTTAGGCAGGACCAGCATGGGGTGCCCACTCCCATTAGTGGGGCTTCCCAGCCCTGCCCCTCCCTCTGGGCAGAGACTGCGTTTAAAA